>NC_000019.10:36615874-37240874 GCF_000001405.40 Homo sapiens
AGAATAAAAATATGTGCTCATAGATGCACCTCTTTTTATTAAACCAACAATATTAAACTCATCTTAGTTATCAAAATTTTACCCCAAGTCACATGAACTTGAAAGGCCTTTGGGTTAGTTCCTACATTTCTGGGGGTGTTAGGAACATTTCACTTATATAAACACTCATTTTTCTCTTAAAACAATTTGAATAAACTCTTTAAGGGAGTTTATAAATTAATTTGGCCAAGTGTTGTGGCTCACACCTGTAATTCCAGCTACTCAGGAGGCTGAGGCAGGAGGATCGCTTGAGGCCAGGAGTGTGAGGCCAGCCTGGGCAACATAGCAAGACCCAGTCTCTGAAAAAATGTATCCCAGTGCAGTGGTGTGCACCTGTAGATCCAGCTATTCAGAAGGCTGAAGCAGGAGAATCACTTAAGCCCAGAAGTTCAAGGCTGCAGTGAGCTATGCACTACTGCACTCCAGCCTGGGCAAGAGTGAGACCTCGTCTCTAAATAACTAAAATGTTTAAATAATTAATTAATACCATCTAGAGGTAAGAAAATATCACATATACATAACATACATACATAGACATACATAGGCGGACAGACCCAAACAGAGATCTTATAACTTTCATTCTAAAATGTTAGCCAGGAGTCAGTAAAATAGTATTACACTCTCATCTTTGCTCCACTTTATATTTTTATCTGAATAGTGTTTCTGACACATGGAACAAGGTTAGCTGTTCAATATGTGGGCTAATGCTTTTTAGCCAATATTTGTAGAGATTTTCAGATTTTCATTTGCCCTGTTATGTAATCTTATGGAAGCTGTGGACTAAATTTTAGGTGAGCAACTGAGCTATCTGGATGTCTCCAAAGCTTGGCTGAGTGAATAAAATATCCACTTTGTTTCCAGTTAGCCCTTTTGTCCTTCTCAGCTGCAGGTAGTTTCTTTTGGGGGCCCCTTGAGTGCCCCCAATGTGGGGCAGGGCACCTAAAGTTCAAGTGACTGTAGGGGCTACAGTGGGAAGGGAAAGGTCAGCAGGGTGGACAGAGGGATGGAGGAGTTCTGAAGGGCCACCTGTCAAAGGATTCAGGGGAACTGAAGGGACAATCAGAGGTGGTGAGAGGAGGAAGGAGGAGTGGAGCAGTGGGAAAAGAGAGGTCTTACAGGAGCCAGTGTAGAGAATCCTTAGTAAAGTAATGCCAAGAAGAAAGGAAGTAGAGGGAGTTGGCAGAGCATATACCAACAGGGGAACATACACCATCAATCAACTGAGAAGTTCCCATGGGAGAAACAGGATCAAACAGGCCTCACAGAGTCAGGAATTTTCTAGCCCTGAGAGTCAGGAAGTAAATTCCCACCCAAAAGAAAAACCCAGGAAGAAAGACTTCTAGCCCAGCAGGTACCTTTTAAACAAAGAAGCCGGTGCCTGTAACCCAACTTCATATAAACAAGAGGAGCCTAGGATTCTAACCCAGCCTCTAGAGTATGCTCAGAATCTAAGGAATCAAAATGTTGTACCAGCTTCAATGGGAGTTTGTCCAGAGTAGTGGACCAGGAGTCTGACTCACCAGTGGGTCCCCAGTCAGTCAGGAGTGAAGACCAAGGCTCAAAAGGTGTGCACTTGGGGTCCTGGGTGAGATGCCAAGGGGTCCAATAATCAATCTGTTCCTATCCAAGCTGTGTTACTATAAATACTAAAGAAAAACATTATCCTGACACTTGTAAGGCAGATCTCAGGGACTGCTACAATGGGGTTTTGAAGTACTGGGGAGAGAATGGGCCAACTCTGAATACGATAAGGAAGAGAGGAAATTTATAGTTGTGGGAGGGGGCAGTGATGGGAAATTACTGAGTGGATAGGGTAATCTTGCTTAGCTGACCTACCAGGATTCCTACTGAAAGCAGGTCATGGTGATCAGATATCACCTGGAGGGGTTGGTGAGGAGAGATATCAGATATTGAGAGTGGGGGATTCCAGCTAAACCGACTTGACAGAATTCTCGCTAAAACTGGGCCCTTCGGTGGACATGCCCAAGGACTGGGCCTAATTGGTTAAAGTTTTATGGTATTGTCCTGAGTCCTGGGATGCAGTCTTTACTCCTAAAACGTGGCCCTTCTGGAGTCTCGATGGAAAGACCAAGATTGTTGTGCTTTGTTGCTTTGTTTTGTTTTCACCTAGCCCAGGACAAAAATGAATGGACCAGGATTTTTTGTTCTTTTGTTTTGTTTTGTTTGCCTGTTTTTCCACTCTGCTTTAAAATTTTCAGTGCATTTAAAAATACCAGAAAGGGACTGCCCCATATTGGTCTTCATGAATCCATGCTGAACTACTCTCTTTTATTATAACATTTCCAGTTTGCTTATATTGGGACCAAGGTTTTAACAAGGTTCTTGTTGTCACAGGGCTAGAATTGCAAACTCTTTTTCAGAGCTAAACAGCCACTGAACTCTTTGCTCAGTTCCTTCAGGGCTCTAGCTTTCTTTCCTCTTTGGGCTCCTTGCAATCTTGCCCTGCAGCAATGTAGTTAACCAAGGCTTTGAGGATGGCTTATGCCAACTTTGGGGCTCTGCTTTTTTGACTTCTCCATTCCCAGATTTTGTCTTCAAGTTAGGGTAGCTCTGAACTCTAACCTCTGATTCCCCTATACAGATGACTTGTGCTTTCTCCTGGAGATCTATCTCTTCTGTGCTGCCTGAACTACTGAGAACATATACCTGGCTAAATGTAGCTCTTATGCAGTGTGGTTTCTTTCTTTCAAAGATTGCATCCACTTCAGCTTCTGGCTACTTTTGGTCATTCTTTAGTGCCTTCAAATAAGTGGGTTTTTTTTTTATCAGCTGGAGGATTGTTTTGATACAAACTTCTTTGTCTTACCAAAATCTAGATGTCAGCCGGGCACAGTGGTTCATGTCTGTAATCCCAGCACTTTGGGAGGCTGCGACGGGAGGATCACTTGAGGCCAGGAGTTCCAGACCACCCTGCCCAACATGGCAAAACCCCATCTCTACTAAAAATACAAAAATTAGCTGGGCATGGTGGCGCCCACCTGTAATTCCAGCTACTCAGGAGGCTGAGGCACACAAGTTGCTAGGACCCAGGAGGTGGAGGTAGATCGCGCCACTGCACTCCAGCATAGGTAACAGAGCAAGATTCTGTCTCCAAAAATAAATAAATAAATACATAAATAAATCTAGATGTCCAGACCAGCAGTTCTCAAACTTTCTAGTCTTAGACATATTTAAAATCTTAAAGTTATTAAGAACTTAGAAGAACTTTGTGCGCATATGTCTGTGTGTATGGCATTGTAACTGGCCTAAGTCCAGCTGCTCACTGCTTAGAGACCAAAAACATGAGAAGTGAGGAATGGTGAAAGGAAAGCAACTTGATTGATTAAATGCCAGCAGATGGGAGTTGGCAAGGCTTCTGCCTCAAAGAAGCCATCTCTACCTTTTGGGCTGAGTGAAGGGGGTTGTGAAGGAAAGGATGTGGAAAGGGTGGTGCAGGAGGGCACAGGCCTGTGTGTCTTGTTCCGATGCTTATCTTGAGTAATTGCTCTTCCGGAGGTCCAGTTTGCATCATTCTGACTTTGGCCTGGTAGTGGTGGGCTAACTATTTGTAACCCCCACTAAGTGGGGAGGATTCTGCAGCTGGGTGTCTCTGCCTGGTTTGTTTCAAAATTGGCCCCTGGAATTCCTAAGCAAGCACATAATTAGATAAGTAAACACTGTTCACATGGAAGTGCCAGGTGAGAAGGTGACAAAGCGTTTTAAAGTGTCTCAACGTTGAAAGCAAGAAAGGAAAAAATGTTTTAAAGTATGTTTGAGGCTGGGTTACTTGGTTACACTATTCAGAAATTAAAAGAGTTTTTTTTTTTTTCTTTTTGAGATGGAGTATTGCTCTGTTGCCCAGGCTGGAGTGCAGTGGCACGATCTCGGCTCACTGCAAGCTCCGCCTCCCGAGTTCACACCATTCTCCTGCCTTAGCCTCCTGAGTAGCTGGGACTGCAGGCACCCACCACCATGCCCAGCTAATTTTTTTGTATTTTTAGTAGAGACAGGGTTTCACCGTGTTAGCCAGGATGGTCTCTATCTCCTGACCTCGAGATCTGCCCGCCCCGGCCTCCCAAAGTGCTGGGATTACAGGAGTGAGCCACTGCGCCTGGCCTGAGAGAGCCTTCTTAAACCTATCAGAAAAATAAAAATCATTGTTTAATATCTATCTCCCTCATAGTTTTCACTTTCTTCTCTTTCCCTGGGCAAAGAAAGATTATTTCTTTGTTTCCTGCCTGAGTCTCACATCCCATTCTCACCATGAGACCTACCACCAGGTTCCAAAATCCATATGCCTGGGACCAAAATGGTAATTTGAAGATCACAATTTCTTTCCAGTAAACTTTTATGTTTCATATCATAATGCTGAGCATCATTCTTGATATCTGCCAGGGATAGTTGTGGGATTTGGGTGAAAAATACTAACTCATTCTCATCCTATTTCCCTGAGTACCTTTTCACATCTTGTTTGCTTTTATCCCCTTTATGTACCTTGTCTAGGACAATAAATATTTGTTGACTAAATGAATCTTGTTTCATTAGGCCTCTCATTGGTCCTTTCTGATGTGTCCTTAAAGCATTTTATTCACTCTCAGTTCTTGACTTTATGAAAGTCCTGCAAGCTACAATCATCTGATGAATTCTCAAATTGATTTCCTTGTTTTATGTGAATTGCTTTCAAATAGACATTTCAGCCCATTTCTCCCTTGTCAACTGTAGTGGTATATTTTAATCTGCCAACAGAAATATGACTATCAATTGTCCTATCCTTTTTGGTTTACAATATATCAGAAATAATAATTGCTATCTTTACTCTTATTTGTTTATTCTTTTGTTCCCATAATCTTTTTTTTTTTAATTGAGATGGAGTCTCACTCTATTGCTCAGGCTGGAGTGCAATGGCATGATCTGGGCACACTGCAACCTCCACCTCCCGAGTTCAAGTGATCCTCTCTCCTCAGCCTTCCGAATAGCTGGGATTACAGGCACGTGCCACCACGCCTGGCTAATTTTTGTATTTTCAGTAGAGGTGGGGTTTCACCATGTTGGCCAGGTTGGTCTCGAACTCCTGGTCTCAAGTGATGTGCCCACCTTCGCCTCCGACAGTGCTGGGATTACAGGCATGAACCACCACGCCCGGCCTGTTCCCATAATCTTATTTATTATTGTTTGTTTCTGTATTCTCTTGTTCCCATAATCAGCCCAAGTAGTATAAAATTGAGTCCATCATCTCTGTTATACTTTCTTAATGATCTCTCCACAATGTGTTATATTATCTCACTCTGTAAAATATCTTTACATCTTCTTATATTCTGATTTGCCATTGACAGCTTCCAAAATGAGAGCCATATCATTTCAGGTGTGGGCTACTGTAATTAATCTTTGGATTTGCCATGATTTTTCCCTAGTTTTTTTTTTTTTTTTTTTTTTCCAGTTTTTTCTGTCATTATGCTAAAAAGATAACACTTTTTAATATGAACTTTAAATCCCTCTGTTTTCAAGGGTGACAGGATCATACCCGATTTGGTCATTCCAAATGTATTTCTGTCTGTGACTCAGAACTTTCGATAATCTCTATTTGTTCAAGACTACTAAATATACTTCATATACAGTCAGCCCCCCGAATTCATGGCTTCCACATCAGCAGATTCAACCAACTGTAAATAGAAAAAAATACACACACACACACACACACACACACAAAATACAAATAAAAATCAGTATAGTATAACAACTGTTGGCATAGCATTTGCACTGTATTAGGTATAAGTCATGTAGAGATGATTCAAAGTATACAGGAGGATATGTGTAGGTCATATGCAAATACTACACTATTTTATATGAGGGACTTGAGCATCTTTGGATTTTAGTATCCTTGGGGATTTCGGAACCTGTCCCCTTAGATTGGATAATGAGGGAAAACTGTAATTGGTTTTATTCATCACAGCTGGACCTTTCCTTATATGATGGATACTATATGTTCCATATATACTTGCAAAATTAGCCAACTAGGAAGTTAGAGGGTACAGTAATCCATCCAAGACTGCCTTTACTTCTGATAGCAGCTGTTAATTCAGGGATCCTCAAGACTGCCCTTAGGTTCGATAATTTTTTTTTTTTTTTGAGAGATAGTCTCACTCTGTCACTCAGGCTAGGGTGCAGTGGCGTGATCTTGGCTCACTGCAACGTCCGCCTCCCAGGTTCAAGCGATTCTCATGCCTCAGCCTCCCAAGTAGCTGGGATTATAGGCATGTGCCACTACACCCTGCTGATTTTTGTATTTGAGTGGAGACGGGGTTTCACTATGTTGGCCAGGCTGGTCTCAAACTCCTGACCTCAAGTGATCCACCCACCTCGGCCTCCCAAAGTGCTGGAATTACAGGCATGAGCCACCGGTGGCACCCGGCCAGGTTTGATAATTTGCTGAAAAGACCCATGGAACTCAGTGAAAGCTGTTATACTCACAGTTACAGTTTGCTACAGGAAAAGATTGAAATCAATCAAGGGAAGAAGGAAATGGGCAGAGTCTGGGAAAGTGCCAAACATGCAGCTTCTAGTCGCCCTATCGCCGTGGAGTCATGGATATCAATCCTGGCAACACTATGTGACGATACATACAGAGTACCACCAACCAGCGAAGCTCAGCACAGCCTCAGTGTCCAAAGTTTTTATTGGGGCTCCATCAAATAGGCCTGATTGCCCATGTGGCTGAGCTCAGTTTCCAGCGCCTTAGGAAGCTGAGCTGATGCTTGCTGCATGACTCAAAGCCCCTACCCTAAATCATATTGTTACTGTCTGGCCAGCCAAAGACTCCCCAGCAAACAAATAAACTCCTATTAGCCATGACATTCAAAGGCCTTAAAAATTACCACCCTGAAACTGAAGTTAAAGGTTCGGCCTCTCATTTGGCAGGGTTAAATTCTTTACCACACAATACTATATAATATATCATTTAGCTAAAAAATCAAGTTTCATTTCCTCCATGAAATACCTTGACTACTGTATAGACTATGTCTATTTCTGTTTTTTATGCATTCCATTGTACTTGACATCTGTAACATGTGAGCAGACACGTCCTCTGATATGATCTAGTAATTTGGTACCTAATTCAACATTGTTTTATATGACATTTCTTTCTCTATTTGGTTATAATCATTCCCCAAAATAAGGTCCTCTCATTTGCCTTTCCTTACTGCAGCTTGTAACAGAGGCCATGTATCCAGTAGTTATCTTATTGATTGTCGTGCCATGCAAGCGAAAATGTCTTTCTCATCCATTTAGAAATCATTTACTACTAAGTTCTTTTTAGGGGTACCTGCCAGCATTTTATCCCCTAACTTCAGATAACAGTGTGTAAACGTATACTGAGAAGATTTTAGAGAAAATCGTCAATAAAATGTTGACCTCCAAAAACATGAGTTTTAGTTGGGAAAGCAATACTGTATTATCAAATTGAGGACTTTACATAGAATGATCGTGTTAAAATCTTAGGCCGTTGGAAAATATCTGGAAGTGAATGTTCCAGACCATAATTATATTACAATTTCAGACAGACGGGATACTGAAAGGTAGAAAAACTATGTGAAAGCTTAGCCGGGAGCAGTCGCTCACTCCTGTAATCTCAGCATTTTGGGAGGCCAGGGCAGGTGGATCACTTGAGGCCAGGGGTTCAAGACCCACCAGGCCAACACAGTGAAACCCCATCTCCGCTAAAAAATACAAAAAACATCAGTCAGATTTGGTGGCACACACCTGTAGTCCCAGCTACTCAGGAGGTCGAGGCATGAGAATCACTTGAACCTGGGATACTAAGGTTGCAGTGAGCCGGGATTGTGCCACTGCAATCCAGCCTGGGTGACAGAGTGAGACTCTGTCTCAAAAAAAAAAAAAGGGGCCGGGCGCAGTGGCTCACACCTGTAATCTCAGCACTTTGGGAGGCCGAGGTGGGTGGATTACAAGGTCGGGAGTTCGAGACCAGCCTGGCCAACATAGTGAAACCCTGTCTCTACTAAAAATACAAAAATTAGCCAAGTGTGGTGGCGGGCACCTGTAATCCCAGCTTCTCATGAGGCTGAGGCAGGAGAATCACTTGAACCTGGGAGGCGGAGGTTGCAGTGAGCTGAGACCACGCTGTTGCACTCCAGCCTGAGTGACAGAGTGAGACTTTGTCTCAAAAAAAAAAAGGAAAGACTATGTGAAAACTTTATGAAAAATCGGATAGTAGCATATACTTGGAGGTGTTTGAAGTTCTTAGGGAGGCAATGTAACTCCAATTACCAATACAGATTAGTTTTACGTGTTCAAACTGCACATAAGTGGAATTGTATAATATGTATTCTTTTTCATAAAGCTTACACTCTGCAAAATATTTGAGATTCATTCTTGTTGTCATTGTGTATCAGCATTGTTTCTTCTTGTTGCTGAGGTAGTATTCTATTGTGTAATACATGACACAGTTTTACCTGTTCATCTTTTGATGGATATTTGGGCTGTTCCCAGTATGGGGCTATTATAAATAACAATGTTAATCATAGGTAAGATGAATCCATCTTTAAATTGCCCTCCCAAATATGGATGGTAGTAAGGCAACAATAGTAAGATATACAATAATTTTTTTTAAATAGTTAAGATTAATCAGTGCTCTGCACATACATTGAAGAATCCAGTCCTTTACAGCTCCAGTAGGGAATAGCAGAGTTAAGGTAGGTGATGTATTGGGAGGAAAACTCAAACCTATCTTTCCCTAAAGCTGAAAAGAAGTAATTTGGCAAATTTAAGGAATGAAGTTAGAATTGTTGGTCAGGAGAATTTCATTATTGACCATCTCTGGCAGAATAAATTGAATAAATTGATGGTAACAGCAATCAGAATACTACAGTTTCCGGGCACTGTGGCTCATGCCTATAATCCCAGAACTTTTGGAAGATCATTTGAGGCCAGGAGTTCGCGACCAGCCTGGGCAACATAGGAAGATCCCGTCTGTGAAAAAAAAAAATCAAAAATTAGCTGGATATGGTGGCACACATCTGTAGCCCCAGATACTTGGGAGGCTGAGGTGGGAGGATTGCTTGAATCCAGGAGATCAAGGCTGCAGTGAGCCAGGATCAAACCACTGTATTCCAGCTTGGGGGACAGAGCGAGACCCTTTCTCAAAAAAATAAAAATGAATTTAAATATATATATATATATATATATATATATATATATATATAATGTATACACAACAGTGATTATATTCATGTTGGAAATATATTTTGTCTTTTGCTGTATTTTATAATTCCTCATGGGAATATGTTTTCCAGATTCTCTGCTTTCAAGAGAAAATAAATTACGGTTATATGGACATCTAGGGCCTAGACTGTAGACTAATGTTTCTGTAAACACTAGGAAATGAGCTGAGAAAGTTCATTTACCATTCATGGGCTAAATGCAAGTGAAGAAGAAAGAATTGGAAGCACTTATAACACATTTAGTCGTGAGGGGATAAATGTATAGCTTTTCATCTCTTCCTAAATAATTTTTTGTCACATTGCCTACTGTTCAGCACCCTTGGTAGGCTCACTTCAGCAGCTTTGAATCTTCCATTCCAAGTAGAATCCCTCTTTCTTCATTCTTTCTCTTCTGCTCACTTATCTTTTTTTTTTTTTTGGGTGGGGCGGGGGGACAGAGTTTCGCTCTTGTTGCCCAGGCTGGAGTGCAATGGCACAATCTCGGCTCACTACAACCTCTGCCTCCCAGGTTCAAGCAATTCTCCTGCCTCAGCCTCCTGAGTAGCTGGGATTACAGGCATGTACCACCATGCCCAGCTAATTTTGAATTTTTAGTAGAGACAGGGTTTCACCATGTTGGCCAGGCTGGTCTCAAACTCCTGACCTCAGGTGATCCGCCCGCCTTGGCCTCCCAGAGTGTTGGGATTACAGCCATGAGCCACTGCGCCCGGCCATCCTTGTGTTTCCTATACCTTCTCAGTGCAGCTTATATTTATAACATGCCAAAGATATGAGTGTTTTTTGCTTATGCCAGTTTTTCTTCATTTTAACAGAGTAGCAAGATTTGTATTTATGTTTATACATTTTCCCTACCAAGAGGTAATTTATTCTGGCCTTTTTGTAGATCACGGTAGTGAGATAGTCCCACCATAGTTTGTCTGTATGTATACCCAATCCATAGCATTTATGTGAAGACTCACAGTGTTAATGGTATTCTTTTCTAGAAGAAGATGGGAAAACTGAAGATGTCTTAGTGAAGTTCAAAGAATACCAAGACAGGCATTCTAGACCCCTCATATTCATCAACCACAAAAAACTAATTAAGGAGAGAAGTAATATTTATGGTAAAACATTTACTCTAGGCAAGAACCGTATTTCAAAAACAATACTATGTGAATATAAACCTGATGGAAAAGTTTTGAAAAATATTTCAGAACTAGTCATTAGAAATATAAGCCCCATAAAAGAGAAGTTTGGTGACAGTACTGGATGGGAGAAATCACTCCTCAATACCAAGCATGAGAAAATTCATCCTGCAGTGAATCTCCATAAACAAACAGAAAGAGTTCTCAGTGGTAAACAGGAGCTTATTCAGCATCAGAAGGTTCAAGCTCCAGAGCAACCATTTGACCATAATGAATGTGAAAAATCCTTCCTGATGAAAGGAATGCTATTTACACATACTAGAGCTCACAGAGGAGAAAGAACCTTTGAATACAATAAAGATGGAATTGCCTTCATAGAAAAGTCAAGCCTCAGTGTCCATCCAAGTAATCTTATGGAAAAGAAGCCCTCTGCCTACAACAAATATGGGAAATTCCTCTGCAGAAAGCCTGTTTTTATTATGCCTCAGAGACCTCAAACAGAAGAGAAACCCTTTCACTGTCCTTACTGTGGGAATAACTTTAGAAGGAAGTCATACCTCATTGAACATCAGCGAATTCACACAGGTGAAAAACCTTATGTTTGCAATCAATGTGGAAAGGCCTTCCGTCAGAAGACAGCCCTCACCCTTCATGAGAAAACACATATAGAGGGGAAACCCTTTATTTGTATCGATTGTGGGAAGTCCTTCCGCCAGAAGGCCACCCTCACTAGACATCACAAAACACATACGGGGGAGAAAGCCTATGAATGTCCTCAGTGTGGAAGTGCCTTTAGGAAGAAGTCATACCTCATTGATCACCAGAGAACTCACACAGGAGAGAAACCGTATCAGTGTAATGAGTGTGGGAAGGCATTTATCCAGAAGACAACCCTCACTGTTCATCAGAGAACTCACACAGGAGAGAAACCCTATATTTGCAATGAATGTGGGAAGTCCTTCTGCCAAAAGACAACCCTCACTCTCCACCAGAGAATTCACACGGGGGAAAAACCCTATATTTGTAATGAATGTGGGAAGTCCTTCCGCCAGAAGGCAATCCTCACTGTTCATCACAGAATACATACAGGAGAAAAATCCAATGGGTGTCCTCAGTGTGGGAAAGCCTTCAGTAGGAAATCAAACCTCATTCGCCATCAGAAAACTCACACAGGCGAGAAACCATATGAATGTAAACAGTGTGGGAAGTTCTTCAGTTGTAAGTCAAACCTCATTGTCCATCAGAAAACTCACAAGGTAGAAACCACGGGAATTCAGTAAGTAATGTGGCTTTTTTTGTAAAAAAATGTTAAGTCATAGTAAACCCTGTAGATGATGTTGCTTGCAAGCGTAATATCCAACAGTTTAAGGTACTATACCACATGGTAACCTACTGTTTGCCAGCCTGTAAAACACACACACACACACACACACACACACAAATATTATTAGACAAATTAGATGACAAAAATCATTAAGAAGTCCAAACTTTTTTTTTATTACTAGCTTCAGCAGACAAAAACTTCCTCTGTCAAGGTGTTATAAACATTTAAAATCACATTTTCCATTTCCATACATATCTTTTTGTTCATCAGTAATAACTAGTTGGCCAACTGACTGTGGTCCATGGACTACACAGTGAGTAGAGGTTCTTTAAAAGAAGGAGGTATGAACTGTATTTCTCATTGCAAATACAAAATAAAAATTAGTTGTTACCTCCTCACAGTTGACCATGATTCTGACTTCTAACATTACAAATTAGTTTTTACTATTATAAACCTTTCTATAAATTGGATTATATATCATGTATTCTTTCATATACAGCTTATTACCTTCATCATGTCCGTGAGTCTAATCATTAGTACGTGTGGCAGAAGTTTATTTATTTTTATCCAGTATAGAATTCAATTATATGATTATATCACAATTTATCCATTCTGCTGTTGATGGACTTTTACATTGTTTACAGCTTAGGGTCATAATAAATCATGCTTCTGAGAACATACTTGTCTTGGTGTACATACATGTATTTCTCTTGTGTATATACTTAGGAGTGGAATCGCTGGGTCTTAGAGCATGTGTGTATTCAGTCAGATACTGGCAGACAATTCAGAACTTTCACCACATGAGATAATTGACACTGAAGGGAAACAGCTATAAATTTTATCAATATGGTGCTGGTTCAAACCAGAGAATTCATGCTGCAGGGAAACTCAATCAATGTTATTGTGAAAACTGGGAATGTGAATGTAATATATGTAGAAAAACATTTAGCCACAGCCCAAATCTTCCAGGCAAATGTAATAAACGTGACATTGCCGTTAGCCACAGTAAATGCCTTATTTGAACTCAAAAAGTCTACTAGAGGAGAGGCATCCAGCATTTCCCTTGTTCAACATCAGAGAATTCCAACTAGAGAAAAGTCCTGTGACTGTGTTGAAGTTAGGGCGTGGGGAGGAATATAGTCTTTACCTATGGTCTGTATCTACTGGTCAGGTACAAATGATGAATATGGAAAAGCTTATAGCCATCATTCATATATTATACTACACCAGGGAATTCACATAGGATGAGAACTCTTCAAATGAAATGATTGTAAGAATGACTTTAACTGTTGCTCATTTCTTTTACACCATCAAAGAATTAATACCAAAGAAAGGAAGATTACAAGGAAACAAATGGGTCTTGGGACTTTTTTTTTTTTTTTTTTGAGACAGAATCTTGCTCTGTCACCCAGGCGGGAGTGCAGTGGCATGATCTTGGCTCACTGCAGCCTCTGCCTCCCAGGTTCCAGTGATTCTCCTGCCTCAGCCTCCCGGGTAGCTGAGATTACAGGCACACGCCACACGCACAGCTAATTTTCGTATTTTTAGTAGAGACAGGGTTTCATCATGTTGGCCAGGCTGGTCTCGAACTCCTGACCTCAGGTGATCTGCCTGCCTCGGCCTCCCAAAGTGCTAGGATTACAGGGACTTTTAACTCTGGGGAAAGCTCTCTTTCATGAAAGAAGTCTAGCCATACCGAGACCATAATGCTAGGAAGTCTATGTGTAGGCCCCCTGGTCAACAGCTACAGCTGAGCTCCCAGCCATCAGCTAGCATCAGCTGCCAACCATGTAAGTGAGGCCTCTTGGACATCCAGTCAAGCCTTCAGATGACTGTGGACCCTGCTAACACCCAACTGGTACCACAAATGAGACCTCAAGCAAGAACTGCCCAGCTGAGGCCTTCCCAAATTCCTGGCCAACAAAATCATCAGGCTTTTTAACTACAAACAGTTTTATTTTTTATTTAATAAAAAAGTTTTTATTTAACTTGATTGTTTTATTAAAAGGGAAAAGTAATTTTTTAGTATCTGTTAATATATAATAAAAATAAAGGTATAAGCCTGGGCTTGGTGGCTCATTTCTGTAATCCCAGCACTTTGGGAGGTGTTGGGAGGATCACTTGAGCCCAGGAGTTCGAGACCAGCCTGGGAAACATGCCAAAACCCCATCTCTACAAAAAATTAGCCAGGAATGGTGGCACATGCCTGTAGTCCCAGCTACTCGGGAGGCTGAGTGGGAGGATCACTTGGGCCCGGGAGGCGGAGGTTGCAGTGAGCCAGGATAGCACCACTGCACTCCAGCCTGGGTAACAGAGCGAGACCCTGTCTCATAAATAAATAAATACATAAAGGTGTAAATATATGGATTCTAGAGTCAATGAGCAAAGGTATTGTTGTTACTAATAGGTGATTTTGGCATGAAGAAAAACTGGCCATAAAATACAGTTGAAGATTTGGCTGCATTTTTGCCTTACGATTACATACCTTAATAATTACAACTCAATTGAGGGGTCCATATATATTCTTTCTCATTTTCTGGCAGTAAATCATATTCATCATATACTTCCCAATTTTGCACACACAAAAAATGAAAATAGCCCCCAAAAGAAAGGCAGGATAATGCGATCTATCCTCAAAAGACCCCGTGCTGTCATTTCTCAACAAAGGCGCAGAGAGAAATCAAGGTATGGAATCTAATGAATGTCCGTGAAGGAGGTACTTTTGAATGCTTTAAAGAAAGTCTAAATAAAGTTGCGTTTTCTTTTCTTTTTTTTTTTTTTTGAGACAGAGTTTCACTTTTGTTTCCCAGGCTGGAGTGCAATGGCGCAATTTCGGCTCATTGCAACCTCTACCTCAAGCAATTCTCCTGCCTCAGCCTCCCAAGTAGCTGGGATTACAGGCGCCCACCTGTATTTTTAGTAGAGACGGGGTTTCATCATGTTGGCCAGGCTGGTCTCCAAAGCCTGACCTCAGGCGATCCACCCGCCTCAGCCTCCCAAAGTGCTGAGATTACAGGTGTGAGCCACCGCACCCAGCCGAAATTGTGTTTTCTAAAGCTATTTACATATAAGCTGCCGCTCCTTAGGAAAATTTGGTCCTGTGGTTTATATTTTGGCATGAAACAGCATTGGGCTGTATTCCAGAATCCTGCTTGAAGATTTCTTTTGAAGAAATCAGAAATTTTCTTTGCATTTTTTTTATTTTTTTGAGACAGGTTCTCAGTCTGTCACCTAGGCTGGAGTAGAGTGGTGCCATTATAGCTCACTGCAGACTTGAATTCCTGGACTCAAGCAATTCTCCTGCCTCAGCCTCCCAAGTAGCTAGGACTACAGGCAGGCGCCATTCCTCTCAGCTAATGTTTTTATTTTTTATACATATGGGGTCTCGTTGTGTTGCCCAGGCTGGTATTGAACTCCTGGCCTCAAGCAATCTTCCCTCTTCGGCCTCCTAAAATGCTGGGGTTACAGGTGTGAGCCACTTCACTCACTTTAGAGATTTTCACTTTATGAATTGATAAATACAGCATTGCATCACTTAATAGGGATACATTCTGAGAAATGCATCATGAGGCAGTGTCATGATCGTGCAAGCATCACAGAGTGCTGATACAAACCGAGATGGTACAGCCTACTAAACACCTAGGCTATATGGTAGAGCCTGTTGCTCCTAGGCTACAAATCTGTACTGCATGTTACTGTGCTGGATACTATAGGCAATTGTAACACAATGGTAATTATTTGTATATGTAAACCTATCTAAACACAGAAAAGGTACAGTAAAAATGTGGTACTATAATCTTTTTTTTTTTTTGAGACAGAGTCTCACTCTGTCGCCCAGGCTGGTGTGCAGTGGTGTGATCTCGGCTCATTGCAACCTCCGCCTCCTGGGTTCAAGTGATTCTCCTGCCTCAGCCTCATGAGTAGCTGGGACTACAGGTGCACACCACCAAACCCGGCTAATTTTTGTATTTTTAGTAGAGACGGGGTTTCACCATGTTGGCCAGGATGGTCTCAATCTCCTGACCTCGTGATCCACCCGCCTCGGCCTCTCAAAGTGCTGGGATTACAGGTGTGAGCCACCATGCCTGGCTGGTACTATAATCTTATGAGACCACCATTATATATGCAGTCCATCATGGACCAAAATGTCATGTGGTGCATGAGTATTTTTCATCTAACTTATATATTGCTCAATGAAGTTTGGGCAACTCTAAGGAGCAAACATGTTTATAGAATCTAAGTCAACTTGACCTAAACATATACGACAAAATAGGAGTGATTTTACAAATTCATATTTTGTAGACCTAACTGCAAGGTCATAAGGCATATGCAAAATGAGTTCATCAGTTCAGAGGACTAACAGGACTCCACAGAGCATACCCAGGAAATGTTTTTACTTAGAAGCAAAGGATGTGGCTCAGCAAAAGAAAGGGAAGGTAAGCATTAGGGCTCAGAATCATCTAGCTGCACATTCCTCAGTGGTTTTATTCACACACAGACCGCACACTGTCTCTGAACTGAAGCACTAAGACCTGTATCAAACTTGATTTGGGGAGAGCTGACAGCAGAACTTCTCTACATGGGTTTTTTTGTTGTCATTGTTTTGTTTTTTGAGACAGAGTCTTGCTCTGTCACCCAGGCTGGAGTGCAATGGTGCAATCTCAGCCCACTGCAACCTCCGCCTCCCAGGTTCAAGCAAGTCTCCTGCCACAGCCTCCCTAAGTATCTGGGATTACAGGCATGTGCCACCACAACCAGCTAGTTTTTGTGTTTTTAGTAGAGACAGGGTTTCTCCATGTTGGCCAGGCTGGTCTCGAAGTCCTGACCTCAGGCAATCCTCCGCCCACCTCGGTTTCCCAAAGTGCTGGGATTATAGGCATGAGCCACCGTGCCCAGCCACTGCATGGGTATTTATGCTTCTCTGTTCACTGGTTACATAGTCAAGCCAGGCTATCTAACTGGTTATGTAAGTTTAAAAAAGTTAAAAAGCCATCATAAACAAATTGGCTCTGGGAGTCTCCCAGGGAATATCAGACTTTAACTAGTACCTTGTATAGCTCACTGGCCTTATCCCAACCAAGAGTCAGAGCCAGACATCTGGGCATCGTGGAGATAATTTTAGAGCTTTGCAGTCTGACTGTAAATCAGCTCCATCTTATAAACATGGTTCCTATAACTGCTGTGTATTTCCTGATAATGTATGTGAACAAGCATATCTCCTCACCCTCTGTGTCCCCAGTATCAGATAGTGCACAGTACATCTCAAATGTGATCATTTCTTGTCAGCTAATGCTTGAATTTCTCCACTCAGTTTCTGGTCTAGCAATAGAGCCAGGCTTGCCATGTCCTGCTTCACAAGTAATGTGCAACAGCAAAAGCACAGGCTCCAACACTAGTCTACAACATGCACCTGGGATGTTCTAGATATTTATCAGTTTATAATCAGGCTTTTTTTTTTTTTTTGAGACAGTGTCTCGCTCTGTCGCCCAGGCTGGAGGCAGTGGCTCGATCTTGGCTCACTGTAAGCTCCGCCTCCTGGGTTCACACCATTGTCCTGCCTCAGCCTCCTGAGTAGCTGGGACTACAGGCACCTGCCACCATGCCCAGCTAATTTTTTGTATTTTTAGTAGAGACGGGGTTTTACTGTGTTAGCCAGGGTGGTGTCGATCTCCTGACCTCATGATCCGCCCACCTCGACCTCCCAAAGTGCTGGGATTACAGGCGTGAGCCACCGCACCCGGCCTATAATCGGACTTTTCAAAACCCTAGATATGTGACAATACCAAGTGCTGACAAGAATGTGGAACAACTGGAACTCTTTCTTTTTTAACTTTTGTTTTAGATTCAGGAGTACAGGTGTGGATTTGTTACTGGAACTTTCATACATTGCTAATAGGAAAGGCAAAATGGTAAAGCCGGTCTGGAAAACAATATGCCAGTCTCAAAAAGTTACACATCCAATATGACCCAGCAATCCCACTTATAAGTACTTATCCTAGAGAAATGAAAAATTATGTGCACACAGAAACCTGTACATGAGTGTTTGTAAGTATTATTTATAATTAAAAAAAAAACTAGAGACAAGCAAATGTTCTTCAGTGTGTAAATGGATACACTGTGGTACATTCCCAAGATGGAATTCTACTCAACGATAACAATAATGAGCTACTGAAACATGCAGCTACATAGATGAACCTCAAATGCATTACGCTAAAGGAAAGAACCCAGTCCCAAAAAGTTACATACTGTATGATTCCATTTATATGACATGCTGGAAAAGGTGAAAATATAACAACAGAAAACAGATCAAATGTTGCTGAGTGTCTGGGGTGGGGTGGGGTCTGAATACAGAGGGGTTGCACGAGGCAATTCTTTGAGGTGTTGGAATTGTTTTGTATCCTGCTTGTGGTCATAGATAAAAAATCTATGCATGTGTAAAAAATAGAAGTATACATACAAAAAAGTGAATTGTACTGTCTGTAATTTTTTTAAATAAATAAAAATCCCTAGCTCTGCTTCATCAGCAGCAGTACCTCCTGATTTGTGTCTTCAAAGATATCTTTAGACTGGCTTCTGAATTACATATCCAGTAGTAGTCAGCCTACACACACACAGGCCTTGCCACATGGTCTCATCATTGTTCCGCAGGTCAACTCACAACACAAGTAACACATTACAGTTAGCCCGTATTTGTAAACTCCATCCAGATGATCAGCCCCCCATTGGAGTGGCAGGCTTCATGTCTGGGGGTGGCACACCTATGGAAGATGGAACTCAGTGTGTGTGCTCTGTTGGGCGTCTCCATCACATCTAACAGTGGCTGACAAACCAGCCAATACATAGTCATCAGGGCATATGCAATCATTGGGAATAATACTAAGTGGGGCCAATTCTGCTATCCCTTGGTTCTCAGTGGTATTCTTAATTCCAACACAGTGCCATTTAAAGGTCCCTGATTGTATATGTGCAGTGGCACAATCTCGGCTCACTGCAGCCTCCGCCTCCCAGGTTCAACCAATTCGTCAGCCTCAGCCTCCCAAGTAGCTGGGATTACAGGCATGTACCACCATACCCGGCTAATTTTTGTATTTTTAGTAGAAATGGGGTTTCACCATGTTGGCCAGGCTGGTCTTGAACTCCTGACCTCAAGTGATCCCACGCCTCAGCCTGCCAAAGTGCTGGGATTACAGTGTATGTTTTTATTGCTGCATAATGATTGTACATATTTATGGGATATGTGTGATATTTTGATACATGCATACAATATGTAATAAATCAGGGTAATTA
The DNA here is from genome assembly GCF_000001405.40 of Homo sapiens. Lineage (NCBI taxonomy): Eukaryota > Metazoa > Chordata > Mammalia > Primates > Hominidae > Homo > Homo sapiens. The sequence continues at coordinate 36,634,882 of NC_000019.10, forward strand.
GGATATCCACCTCAAACATTTATCATTTCCTTGTGTTAGAAACATTTCAAATATTCTACCTATTTTGAAATATACAATAAATTATTAACTATAGTCATCCTACTATCCTATCAAACACTAGAACTTATTCCTTCTATCTAACCATATATATATTTTTTTGAGACAGTCTCGCTCTGTTGTCAGACTGGAGTGCAGTGGTGCGATCTTGGCTCACGGCAACATTTGCTTCCTGGGTTTAAGCAATTCTCCTGCTTCAGCCTCCTGAGTAGCTGGGACTACAGGCGTGAGCCACCACGCCCAGCTTATTTTTGTATTTTTGGTAGAGATGGGATTTCACCATGTTGGCCAGGATGGTCTCGACTCTTGACCTCGTCGTGATCCACCCACCTCGGCCTCCCAAAGTGCTGGGATTACAGGCATAAGCCACCGCACTCGGCCCTATCTAAGCATATTTTTATATCCATTAACCAACCTCTCTTCACCACTAGCCACTCACTTCCGAACCTCTGGTAACCATCATTCTACTCTGACCTCCATGAGATCAACTCTTTTAGCTCCCACTTATGCATGAGAACATGCCAAGTTTGTCTTTCTGTTCCTCGCTTATTTCCCTTAACATAATTAACCTCCACTTCCACCCATGTTGCTGCAAATGGTAGGATTTCATTCTGTTTATGGCTGAATAGTATTCCATTGTGTATAAATCCATTATGCATTGATGGAGACTTAGGTTGATTCCATATTTTGGCTGTTGTTAATAGTGCTGCAGTAAACTTGGGTGTGCAGATACCTCTTAGATATACTGATTTCCTTCCTTTTGGATATGTACCCAGTAGTGAGATTTCTGGATTATTTGGTTGATCTATGTTTAGTTTCTTGAGGAAACTCTATAATTTTTTCTATAGTGGTTATACTAATTTACATTCCCACCAGCAGTGTACTAAAGTGTTCCCCTCTCTCTGCCCTCACCAAGATCTCTTATTGTTTGTCTTTTTGATAGTGGTCATTTTTTTATTTTTATTCATTTTTTTGAGACAAAGTCTCGCTCTGTTGCCCAGGCTGGAGTGCAATGGCGTGATCTCGGCTCACTGCAACCTCTGCCTCCTGGGTTCAAGCGATTCTCCTGCCTCAGCCTCCTGAGTAGCTGGGATTACAGGTGCGTGCCACGACGCCAGGCCAATTTTTGTATTTTTAGTAGAGAGGGGTTTCACTATGTTGGCCAGGCTGGTCTCCAACTCCTGACCTCAGGTGATCCACCTGCCCCGGCCTCCCAAAGTGCTGGGATTACAGGCATGGGCCACCACACCCGGCCTTACTTTTTGAGACAGAGTTTCGCCCTTTCACCCAGGCTGGAGTGAAATGGCGCGATCTCGGCTCACTGCAACCTCCGCCCTCTGGGTTCAAGTGATTTTCCTGCGTCAGCCTCCTGAGTAGCTGGGATTATAGGGGCCTGCCACCACACCTGGATAATTTTTGTATTTTTAGTAGAGACGGAGTTTCACCATGTTGGTGAAATTTGCATGAGATTTAGAAGGTGGAAGTGAAGCACTGCCACTATTCTTGGAAGGTTTTCATGGATGAGCAAATGGCTACATGTGGCATGTCCTTCTCATGGCCAGTGGCAAAAGCCAAGTCATAATATGAAAGCACATGTAAAGTTCTGTTGGGGACCAGCCTCAACACCACCTGTAGGGTACCTGAAGTCCGGTGGCGACAAAGGAATGAGAAGAGACAGGTTAAGAGTTCATAAAGGTGGGAGCCAAGGGGCCAGAGCAAATCAAAAGCTGCAAAGGCGCCAAGCTCTGGTCTCCACACTATTTATTGAGTACAATCACTTAGATCTAAGAAGCAGATGTTCAGGGGTGAAACAGTGAAAGGGGGGCAATGGCAGTTTAGGTACATTTTCTTTGTGCTGAAGCAGCATAAACTTAACTACTGATTTATTCTTTTACTTATCAGAGAGCAGCTGTGGGGAGTGGGCCTAACTAGAAGCCAGCATATCTGGCCACATTCCAATGCTTCAAAGGAGTGTCTTTCTCCTTGAGCACAGTGTTTATAGATAAGAGAGCAGGTCACACTCTGGTCATAGGAACGTGATGGCAATTAGGAGGCTTTCCTCCTCAGAGGCCTCTTGTGGCTTTCCACAACTTATTGTCCCATATTTTTATGGCCAGTTTATGCAGGCACTCCACAAGCCCTTTTCCCAACAGTTCTACCAAAAGTAACTTCCACTCACATTCTATTCGCTAAATCCAATAAATTGCATGTTAGAATGCATGTTAACATTATCTATTGGTTGTGTTTTGACAATTTTCTTTTTTTTTTTTCTTTTTGAGACAGAGTCTCACTGTGTTGCCCACGCTGGAGTGCAGTGGCGCGATCTCAGCTTACTGCAAGATCCATCTCCCAGGTTCACGCCATTCTTCTGCCTCAGCCTCCCGAGTAGCTGGGACTACAGGCACCCACCACCACGCCCAGCTAATTTTTGTATTTTTTTTTTAGTAGAGACGGGGTTTCACCATGTTAGCCAGGATGGTCTCGATCTCCTGACCTCGTGATCCGCCCGCCTCGGCCTCCCAAAGTGCTGGGATTACAGGCATGAGCCACCAAGCCTGGCCAATTTTGATAATTTTCATCCACATCAAATAAGAATAAATATAGCTTATTGGCCGGGCATAGTGGCTGCGCATGCCTGTAGTCCCAGCTACTCAGGAGGCTGAGGCAGGAGAATTTTTAACCTGGGTGGCGGAGGTTGCAGTGAGCCAAGATTGCACCACTGGACTCCAGCCTGGGTGTGTCTCAAAAAAAAAAAAAATGAAGTAGGCCAAATGTGGACTAATAATGAGAATGTGTAATAAATCACATATTATGAATAACCTACTTTTGTCCAAAGAATTTATGAAATTTACATGAAATATTCCCGTTAGAATAAAAGGAAACTGATAGCAGTTGTTGCATCTGTGGAAAGTGAGTGGCTACAGAACTGGATGTTAGGGGAGAATTAATTTTCACATTTTTGGTAATTTTTGAATTTTTATAATGTGTGCTTTTATTAAACAAAAAATTTAGAAGATTTTAAAAAATAAATGTAATGTCAAAATATATACGCCAGATACTCTTTAATCCCACTGTTGGGAATCTGCACAATAGAAACAAAAGAAGGTAAAATTAGAGTTCTAGGTGAACATTAGAAACAACTTCAATGTCTGTAGTAGGTAATGGCCCAAAATACGGACATACATTCCATTCTAGAAATATTCTGAACCTTACAAAGAATGGGTTACATCTTTACGTACTGACCTGGAAAAGTATTCATGATTATTATGAAAAGGACAAGACGCTGTCAAATGTCTGTATGGGGGTAAAAGCTCCTCCAAACACATGCAAAAAATGCTTTCTGTGTACAGGTTGTTTGAGCATAAAGGAAGAAGAAATACACATACTGGTTATCTCAGAGATTTGAGGGAAGGGAGGAAATTGTTTTCATTTTATTTCACTGTTTCAGTGAAATATTTCACTGGTTTCAGTGAAACATGTAATTTTAGAAAATTTATTCTCAATAAAAAAATTTATTCTCAATAATGGTTAATACAATAACTCAGAAACAGCATTAAAATGAGACCAAAATTTACACTTTAGTTATCCACTTTCTCACTTAAAAACATTTGATTTTCAAGGATTATTTAAATAAATAAATACTAATGAAACTGGTGGCTTACCAACTTTTTCCTTAAATAAAACAAAGACAATGTATATTTCCATCAACAAATTTCATGATGCTAGACTAGGATGGGGAGGGAGGAGAGGAAACCTGACTGGCTTCTCGCCAGTATGAAGAGTCTGATGTAAGTTAAGTTGTAATCTATGATTAAACGCCTTCCCGCATTGATAAGGTTTCTTTCCAGAATGAATTCTCTGATGGTGTGAGAAGCTTGAATGATAGCTAAAGGCCTTCCCACATTCCTTACATTCATAGGGTTTCTCACCAGTATGAATTCTTTGATGTTGAATAAGGTGTGAATGAAGTCTAAAGGCCTTACCACATATCATGCATTCATGAGGTTTCTCACCAGTATGAATTCTCTGATGTCTTTTGAGGTGTGAACACTGTCTAAAAGTCTTCCCACATTCCTTACACTCATAGGGTTTCTCACCAGTATGAATCCTCTGATGTAGGGTTAGTTGTAAGCCATCACAAAAAGCCTTCCCACATTCATGACATTCATAAGGTTTCTTGCCAGAATGAATTTTCTGATGGTGTGAGAAGCTTGAGTGATAGCTAAAGGCCTTCCCACATTCCCGACATTCATAGGGTTTCTCACCAGTATGAATTCTCTGATGTATAGTAAGATGTGAGCGATGCCTAAAAGTCTTTCCACATTCTTTACATTCATAAGGTTTCTCTCCAGTATGGAGTCGCAGGTGTTCAGTAAGTTGAAAGCCACGAATAAAAGCCTTCCCACATTGCTTACATTCATAGGGTTTTTCACCAGTATGAAGTCTCTGATGTTGAGTAAGCTGTGATCGCTGTCTAAAGGCCTTCCCACATTCTTTACATTCATAAGGTTTCTCACCAGTGTGAATTCTTTGATGTAGAGTAAGTTCTGAGCCATAATTAAAGGCCTTCCCACATTCGTTACATTCATAGCGTTTTTCACCATTATGAATTCTTAGATGTTTAAGTTGTGAGCAATGAACAAAGGCCTTCCAACATTCTTTACACTCATTGCATTTGTCACCATTTTGAATTGTCTGTTGTTTAAAAAGGCATGGTGTATTAACAATTTCTGTGCATTCTTTACATTCAGAAAGTTCTTTAGAATGAGTTCTTTTGTGGTGACTAAAAAATAAATGGTAACTGAAGATTTTTCTACACTTTTTACATTCAGAGATTTTCTCTCTATCATAAAATTCTTGAGTGAGTAAAGTATGTTGGCTAAAAATGGGCATGTTTTCATGGTTAATCATAAGTTGTCTAAAATAACCCTCCTCTTGTCCCTGATGTTGCTCAAAATGACAGTTGCCTTCCCAGATAGCGCTGAAAATTGATCTCTCAGGACTATGGCTTTTAAATTCTTCCATGTTAACCCACTGGGATAATTCTGTTTCATAAATATCCCTTTTTGGAGATAACTTCTGGGGCTCATCTCTGGATGCCAAGTCTGAAAGATAAGAAATATATTTTAACTCCTGGTTTTGTACTATAAGAGAAATAAAATATCTATGGTAGCAATGAGAGATAACTGCAAATAATTCATATAAGAAATAAAAGGCTTGGAGAACTCTTAAATGGGTAAAGGAGCACAGGGAAATGAGAGCACTCAAATGAAGTAGTTAATTAGGGAAATAATTCAATGGTGCTGAAATTTTGATCCACCTCTGAATTACCTTGAGAGTTTGTTGCAATTATGGATGTTCAGGAAACATTCTAAATCAACTCAATCAGAATCTAAGAGAGTTGGTCTTAGAATGAGGTCAACTGAGTCAGAGTTCATATGTTTAACACTATCAGGCCAAAGGTTTATGCAGCAGATTGTCAGCTGTTGCCAAATATCTATTTTTTTCCCTTTTTAAAAAATATCAATTGAACCCATGGCTTTTTATTTGAGAATAAAGCTGCCAATATAAACTCTGCATTTCCCAAGCTCTTTCACAGCTGAGAATGCCATGCAACTGGGTTCTGCCTAAAGAAATACAGAAATATTATGTAATACCATCTGAGTTCTTTCGTTAAGAGCCAGGTGGCCCACGCCCTATATTGCCTGTTTTCCCTCTTCCTCAACAAAGCTGATGGCAATATTGATTTGCTGTCATGTCTATCAAATAATGGTTTTGCAGAGTAGATACCTTTCTAGCTTGGATTTTAATGCGAGAGAAAATTAAATTTATATGCCTGGGTTATAGACATTGTATCAAAAAAAGAAAATTAATTTAAACATCTATATGGTTTCAATCGCTATTGTTCTGGGTCTCTGTCACAAGCAGCTTAACCTACAAATACAGCTTCCCACAGAAATTTTAAAACTTCAGCTCCTAGGCATGAGAATATAGGGCTTCTGCTAACCAATATAATCTCATTTTGAGTCCAATTCCTTTTTATTCATTAAGCTATAACCAAATTAATCTGTCAACAATTAGGACATGCCAAAGCCTTTTCCTATGTTAGAGCTTCATAGCTTCTTCCATGTGCTAAGAATCTTTTTGCCTAGATTTTTTGTATAGCGGGCTTCATTTCATCTAAGTCTCAGAGTAAAAGTCACTTCCTCAGAATTGTATTCCTGATAATATTATCTAATGAAGTCCTTCCTGAAGTACTACTGGAATTACATATTCATTTATTAATCTTTTTAATATTTGGCCAGGCATGGTGGCTTATACCTGTAATCCCAGAACTTTGGGAGACCTAGGCGGGTAGATCACTTGAGGTCAGGCATTGGAGACCAGCCTGGCCAACATGGTGAAACCTGTCTCTACTAAAAATACAAAAATTAGCTGGACGTGGTGGCGGATGCCTGTAATCCCAGCTACTCGGGAGGCTGAGACAGGAGAATTGCTTGAACCGGGAGGTGGAGGCTGAAGTGAGCCAAGATCATGCCACTGCACTCCAACCTGGGCAACAGAGTAAGACTGTCTCAGAAACAAACAAACAAACAACAAAATATATATATATATAATATATATATATGTTTTTTTACCCATAAAGCTACTCAAGGATAGAGAAATCACTATAAAAACAACCTTTACAATATAATAAGTATTCAATAATCAGTTGCTGAATGAATGAATTATTAAGGAAAAGGAATTAAGATGAAGAGAAACAATACAAAGATAACAATTGACAATCATAATCATTTAATGCCCTTAAATTTGTAATAACTACTGAACATCTCTCCATGCTTCTATTCACTCCTACATCGACTGCACTGATTTTATATATAAACACATACATAAATAAACCATGTACTTGCTTATCTATAACAAGCCACTCCAACTGAGTGGCTTAAAACAGTAAGTCATTTATTATTATTATTACTATTGCTGTTGTAATTATTAGTGAAGACCAAGTCATGCTCTGTCACCCAGGCGAGAGTGAGCGCAGTGGTGCAATCACAGCTCACTGCAGGCCCGACCTCCTGAGCTCAAGAAATCCTCCTACCTCACTCAGCTTTTGGAGAAGCTGAGACTATAGGGGTGTGCCACTATGCCCTGCTAATTTTTAAATCATTTTTTGTAGAGAAAAGGCTCTCACTTTGTTGCCCAGGCCGGTCTTGAACTCCTGGTTTCAAGTGATTCTCCTGCCTCAGCCCCTCGAAGTGCTGAGATTATAGGCACGAGCCACCACACCAGACCCATTTATCATTATTGTCTTTCAGTCCTGAGGATTAACTGAGCTCAGCCAGGCATTCCTTACTTGGCATTTCTCTAGTGACAGTCACACACTGGTCAGGCTGGATCATTCCAATGGCTTCCTCCACCCACATGTCGGGTACCAGGCCTGAGGAAATATGTAAAGCTTGGGACTGTAACAGCTGTGATGCCTGGGGCTTTCTATCCTTATGTGGTCTCTCTACATGGTGTGTCCAGCATAGCTGTTTCAAGGTAAGAGATGCCCTCTTACCTGGCAACTCCAGACTCCAAAAGCATATGGGGAAGTGCAGGCAGGGAGGGCGGGCATATGAGCATATGCCAGGCACAAGCTGTCTACTTTTATGACCTAGCCTCAGAAATCACAAAGTATTTCTATTTATTGGAAACAATTCACTTAGGGCTGTCCCATTTTCAAAGCAGGAAGTTAGACTTCTTTTTTTTTTTTTTTTGGTTTGAGGACTGTCACAGAAGCACAGAAGTGGCAGACATGGTGTGTGTGTGTGTTTTTGGTGGGGGGGGGTGGGGCACAGAGTCTTGCTCTGTAGCCCAGGCTGGAGTGCAATGGTGCGATCTCGGCTCACTGCAACCTCCGCCTCCTGGGTTCAAGTGATTCTCCTGCCTCGGCTTCCCAAGTAGTTGGGATTACAGGTGCTCACCACCTGTAATTTTTGTATTTTTAGTTGAGATTTTTGTAGTTTTAGTTGAGATGGGGTTTCACCATGCTGGCCAGGCTGGTCTCGAACTCCCGACCTCAGGCCATCCACCCGCCTTGGCTTCCCAAAGTGCTGGGATTACAGGTGTGAGCCACCGCACTCGGCCAGCGGACATGTTTACAACAACCACTACACTCATACACATACTTATTTATGTACAGATATAAACACAAACACACACTTTTCTACATCACTTCCTTACAGACGATGTTTTTACTAAGTGAACATACCTGTGAAACCACCACTTAACCAAGAAACAGAACATTACCAGAAACCCCAAGCCTTCAAGGCCCTTCCCAGGTTTACCTTACCCACCAAAGGTAGGCGATATCCTGCCTTCTTACACTATGCAGTGGTTTTTGTCTATTTCTGAATTTCCAATAAATGGAATGATATAGGAGGTACTTTTTTCTCCAGCATCTTCTGTCCAGTACCACATGTGAGGTTCATTTGTAATATTACAAATAGTAGTAGTTTCTTAATTTTCATTACTATATAGCAGCAGTACTCAATGGGTGGTCCAAGGACCACAGAGGGTACCTGAGACCCTATCAGGAAGTCTATAAGGTCAAAGCTATTTTCATACTAATTCCGAGACATTTGCCTTTTTTACTTATTCTCTTACCACTGGACAGGAGAGATTCTGAGAGACTACTAGAAGTGTGATAACGTCACATTCTGAAATCTAACAGAATGCGTGATTATGTATTTCTGTGTGTTCTAGAAGTTTCTAGAGTAGTAGGTTTGGGGAATAAACATGTACTTTCAGAAATTAGCTGACTTTGTTACCAGTACTTCTACTGTACTCTTAAAAACTGTATTTATTTATACCTGCATTTATGTCTGTAGCCTCATTATTGTCCAAGAAATTATTGTGAAATCCCCAAGTTTTCCATGTACCTACATGGAAACAAAAGAATAAATACTTCATTTTAGAATAATATTTTATTATACAATAAAAAGAGAATATCTATTTCTTTTTCTTTTTAGACAGAGTTTCGCTCTTGTTGCCCAAGCTGGAGTGCAATCACACAATCTCAGCTCACTGCAACCCCCGCCTACTGGGTTCAAGCGATTCTCCTGCTTCAGCCTCCCAAGTAGCTGGGATTACAGGCACGTGCCACCATGCCTGGTTAATTTTTTGTATTTTTAGTAGAAACGGGGTTTCACCACTTAGCCAGGCTGGTCTTGAACTCCTGACCTCAGGTGATCCGCCCACCTCGGCCTCCCAAAGTGCTGGGATTACAGGTGTGAGCCACCACACCCAGCAGAGAATATGTATTTCTTATACTTGAAAATGGATATTGGTTTTTTGTTTTGTTTTGAGATGGAGTCTCGCTCTGTCCCCCGGGCTGGAGTGCAATGGTGCGATCTTGGCTCACTGCAACCTCCACTTCCCAGGTTCAAGCGATTCTCCTGCCTCAGCCTCCTGAATAGCTGGGATTACAGGCGTGAACCACCGCATCTGGCTAATTTTTGTATTTTTAGTAGAGATGGGGTTTCACCATGTTGGCCAGGCTGGTCTTGAACTCCTGACCTCAGGTGATCCTCCCGCCTTGGCCTCCCAAAGTGCTGGGATTACAGGCGTAAGCCACCACGCCCAGCCAGTTTTTTGTGTTTTTTTTTGTTTTGTTTTGTTTTTGTTTTTTTTGAGATGGAGTCTTGCTCTGTCACCCAGGCTGGAGTACGGTGGCGCAATCTCGGCTCACTGCGGCCTCTGACTCCCGGGTTCAAGCAATTCTCTGCCTCAGCCTCCCAAGTAGCTGGGATTACAGGCACATGCCACCACATCGGCTAATTTTTTTTGTATTTTTAGTAGAGACGGGGTTTCACCACGTTGGTCAGGCTGGTCTTGAACTCCTGGCCTCAAGTGATTTGCCCACCTCGTCCTCCCAAAGTGCTGGGATTAGAGGTGTGAGCCACCGTGCCTGGCCAGGTTTATTTTTTGAGACTACTTTTATTATTAAAAAATCTGGCCTGGAGTGGTGGCTCACATCTGTAATCCCAGCACTTTGGGAGGCTGAGATGGGAGGATTACTTGAGTCCTGGAGTTTGAGACCAGCCTGGACAACATAGTGAGACCTTGTCTCTACTAAAAAAAAATAAAAATAGAAATGTAGCTGGGTGTAGTGGTGTGTACCTGTGGTCCCAGCTACTTGGGAGGCTGAGGTGGGAAGATTGCTTGAGCCTGAGAGGTCCAGGCTGCAGTGAGCTGTGATCACTCCACTGCACTCCAGCATGGGTAACAGAGTGAGACCCTGTCTCAACAACAACAAAAAAGATCTGTTGTATAACCCTGTGCCCACACTGGACAATACTGCATTGTACACCTAAAATTCCATTAAGAGGGTAGATCTCATGTAAAGTATTTACAACACAAGAAAATTTTTTAAAGTGTTTACATATTTAATAAATACTTTTTTCTATTTCTTAGCATACAGCACCAATGTAAATAAATATTAATTATAGCATCCACAGTTAAATTTCTCAATATTTGTTTTTGAGAAACACTGAGTATTTTTTGAGAAACACTTTATTTCCCACTTTATTGAGGGAAAATTGACAATTAAAATTTATATATTTAAAGGATACAACCTGATGATTTGATATACATTTACATTGTGAAATAATCACCACAGTCAGCTAACTAACCTATTCATCACCTTACATAGTTAACTGTTTTCTTTTTTTTGTGGTAACAAAAAAACATGTACCTTCAGCACGTTTCAAATATACAATACAGTACTGCAAACTAGAGTCATAATATTCTGGAGTCTGAATGTGGATATTCAGAATCCACTCATCTTGCATAACTGAAGCTTTATTTTATTTATTTTTTTGAGATGGAGTCTAGCTCTGTTTCCCAAGCTGGAATGCAGTGGAGCGAACTCAGCTAACTGCAACCTCCACCACCCGGGTTCAAGCGATTTTCCTGACTCAGCCTCTTGAGTAGCTGGGACTACAGGCGTGAGCCACCATGCCCGGCTAATTTTTGTATTTTTAGTAGAGGCAGGGTTTCACTATGTTGGCCAGGCTGGTCTGGAACTTCTGACCTCATGATCCACCCGCCTCAGCCTCCCAAAGTGCTGGGATTACAGGCGTGAGCCACCGTGCCTGGCCAGATTTTGACTATTTTGTTGTTGTTGTTGTTGTTGTTATTGTTGTTGTTGTTATTGTTGTTGATTGAGATGGAGTTTCACTCTTGTTGCCCAGGCTGGAGTGCAATGGTGTGATCTCAGCTCACTGCAACTTCCGACTCCCAGGTTCAAGCTATTCTCCTGCCTCAGCCTCCCCAGTAGCTGGGATTACAGGCGTGTGCCACCACGCCCGGCTAATTTTTTGTATTTTTAGTAGAAACGGAGTTTCACCATGTTACCCAGGCAGGTCTCGAACTCCTGACCTCAGGTGATCCACCCTCCTCTGCCTCCCAAAGTGCTAGGATTAGAGGTATGAGCTGCCACACCTGGTCAAAATTAGACTTTAGGAAAGTTTGTGTCAGCCCCTGTGAGCTTGACAGCTTCCAAATACTTAAAGACTTACCTGATTAGATTCGTGGTGTTATTAACAAGTATGATTTTTTGGCTATTTTATAAGAAAATGTGTCAAAGTCTGGAAGATCTGCATAACTAATTGGAGCAATATTTTCCAAATAACTAATGCATCATGTTACAAAACAGGTACCACAGATAAGAGATCCATTCAAAAAACAAGACAGACTAGTGAGTTTTAATTTAATAGATTAAATTCAGAGGCAGATGTGAGATCCACGTGTCTTCTTTTAATCCAAGCATTAAAGAAACGTGCAAAAAATGAAAAACATTGCCACTTTTCACAATAACTATTTTCGTTTTGTTTTGGAAAATATAACTTATTTATGTTAACATATAGTTTATTATTTTTAAATGAATTAAATGAATATTTCATTTTTCCTAGATTTAATTTCTAAGACAGTTAATATTGAAGGATATAATCTACATATGCAAGAGCTCTTGGGGTTCTCAATAGTTTTTAAGAATATAAAGGCATCCTGAGAATAAAAAGTTTGAGACTGATAACTATATATAGCATTGCATTCTAACACAATTTATTTTCCCATATACCTAATGATGGACATTCTGGTTGCTTCCAATAGTTGACTATTATGATTAGTGCTGCTATGAACATTCCTGTACATTTCTTTTGGTGGAAATAATTACTCTTTTCTGTTAGGTATGCACATCAGAGTGAAATTGCTGCATCATAGGATATAAATTTCTTCAGCTGTAGTTGACATTATGCAACAATTTTCTAATTTAGGCCAGGTGTGGTGGTTCACGCTTGTAATCTCAGCACTTTGGGAGGCTGAGATAGGCATATCACTTGAGGTCAGTAGTTTGAGACCTGCCTGGCCAACATGGTTAAACCCTGTCTCTACTAAAAATACAAAAATTAGCTGGGTGTGGTGGTGGGTGCCTGTAATCCCAGCTACTTGGGAGGCTGAGGCAGAAGAATCGCTTGAACCCAGGAGGTGGAGGTTGCAGTGAGCTGAGATGCGCCAGTGCACTCCAGCCTGGGTGACAGAGCAAGACTCTGTCTCAAAAAAGCAAAAAATAAATAAATAAATAACATTCTAATTTAAAATTCCACTTTCAATTTACTTTCAATTCTTTTGCGTATATACCTAGAAGTAGAATTGCTTGATTATATGGCAATTCTATTTTTAATGTTTTGAGAAATTACCATACTGTTTTCCATAGTGGCTGTATGATATAGCTCGGATATGTGTCCCCTCTAAATCTCATGTGGAATTGTAATCCCCAGTGTTGGAGGTGGGGCCTAGTGGGAAGTAACTGGATTATGGGAGCGGTTTTCTCATAAATGGTTTAGCACCATTCCCTTGGTGCTATCCTCATGATGGTGAGTGAGTTCTCATGATATCTGGTCCTTGAAAGTGTGTGGGCTGGGTGTGGTGGCTCATGCCTGTAATCCCAGCACTCTGGGAGGCCGAGGTGGACAGATTATCTGAGATCAGGAGTTCAAGACCAGGTTGACCATCATGGTGAAACTGTGTCTCTACTAAAAATACAAAATTAGCTGGGTGTGGTGGCAGGCACCTGTAATCCCACCTACTCGGGAGGCTGAGGCAGGAGAATCGCTTGAAACCGAGGTGGAGGTTGCAGTGAGCTGAGATTGCACCATTGCTTTCCAGCCTGGACAACAAGAATGAAACTCCGTTTCAAAAAAAAAAAGAAAATGTGTGGCACCTCCCCACGCCCCCCACTCTCTCTCTTGCTCCTGCTTTCACCATGTAAAGTGCCTGCTCCTGCTTTGCCTTCCACCATGAATAAAAGCTCCCTGAGGCCTTCCTGGAAGCTGAGCAGGGCCATGCTTCCTATAAAGCCTGCAGAACCATGAGCCAATTAAACCTCTTTTCAAATTACCCAGTCTCAGGTATTTACAGCAATGCAAGAATGATCTAATACCTTGTACCATTTTACATTCTCACCAATAGTGCACAAAGGTTCAAATTTCTCCACATTCCTGGCAACACTTGTTATGTTTTTTTTTTAAATTAACCATCCTATTGAGTGTGAGGTGATATCTCATTGTGTGCTTTTTTGTTTGTTTGTTTTTGTTTTCGTTTTTGGTTTTGTTTTTCAGACTGAGTCTCGTTGTCACTCAGGCTGGAGTACAGTGGTGCAATCTCAGCTCACTGCAACCTTCGCCTCCCAGGTTCAAGTGATTCTTGTGCCTCAGCCTCCCAAGTACCTGGGACTACAGGTGCATGCCACCATGCCTGGCTAATTTTTGTATTTTTTGGTAGAGACGGGGTTTCGCCATGTTGGCCAGGCTGATCGCGAACTCCTAACCTCAAGTGATCCACCTGCTTCGGCCTCCCAAAGTGCTGGGATTACAGTCATGAGCCACCGTGCCCAGCCTCATTGTGGTTGTGACTAGCATTTCCTTAATGGCTAGTGATTTTGAACATCTCTTCATGTGCCTGTTGGCCCCAGCAGCACAAGAAGTATGGAGCAGATCAGAATAGCAGTGTAATGGTTCTGAAAACTAAACTGTCATTGGAACTAAAGCCTACAAAAGTAGATCAGATCTTTACTAAATCTAACAGGATAACTACTTGCTCAAATTGATTAAATAGAATCAAGACTCTCTGAAACATAATAACGAAAATATCCAAGGTACAACTGAAAATCACTTCTCATACCAAAAACCAAGAAAACCAAAATCTGAAGGAGAAAAGGCAATCAACTAATGCAAATACAAGGATGAAGCACATGTTGGAATTATCTGACAAAGACTTTAAAACATGCTTCACAAAAAGGCTTTGCCAATCAATTTTAAATTCTCTTGAAACAGTATATTTTATTATTTATTTATGTTTTTTTTTGAGACAGAGTCTCACTCTTGGCGCCCAGGCTGGAGTGCAATGGCATAATCTTGGCTCACTGCAACCTCTGCCTCCCAGGTTCAAGCAATTCTCCTGCCTCAGCTTCCTGAGTAGCTGGGATTATAGGCTGGGCCATTGTGCCCAGCTAATTTTTTGTATTTGTAGTAGAGATGGGGTTTCACCATGTTGGCCAGGCTGGTCTTGAAATCCTGACCTCAGGTAATCCACCCTCCTCAGCCTCCCAAAGTGCTGGGATTACAGGTGTGAGCCACTGCGCCCGGCCTGAGCCACCACGCCTGGCTGAAACAGTGTACTGTAAACTTAAAAACTTCTAGGAGAGTAGATGTTAAATGTTCTCCCACACACAAAAAAATAAGTTTATAAGATAACTATTGTGGAAGAACAAAAAAAGAAGCATGTCAGGTAACAGATATGTTAATTAGCTAGATTTAATCGTTTCACAACATATACATATATCAAAACATATTGTAGACCATAAATACATACAATTTGTATTTTTCAATTAAAAGTATTTAAAAAATAATCTGGCTGGGCGTGGTGGCTCACACCTGTAATCCCAGCACTTTGGGAGGCCAAGGTGGGTGGATCATGAGGTCAGGAGTTTGAGACCAGCCTGACCAACATGGTGAAACCCCGTCCCTACTAAAAATACAAAAATTAGCCAGGCATGGTGGTGGGTACCTGTAATCCCAGCTACTCAGGAGGCTGAGGCAGGAGAATCACTTGAACCCAGAAGACGGAGGGTCCAGTGAGCTGAGATTGCTACTGCACTTCAGCCTGGGTGAAAGAGTGAGACTCCGTCTTAAAACAAAAAAATTAAATAATAATAATAAGAATCCATGAGTCAAAGAGGGAGTCTCAAAGGAAAAAATTTTCAAAACAACTATAAGTACATATATACATCCTTTATATATATGAATATACAGAATAATAACACCACATACAACTTCATACTTATAACTTCAACAAATTAGAAGATATGGACGAAATCTTTGAAAATCACAAACTACCAATACTCTACTAAGATAAAATAGGCAATCTGAATAGTCCTACAACTATTAAATAAATTGAATTTATAATTAAAAAGCTCCCAAAAAGAAATCTCTAGGTTCAGACAGTTGCTCTGGAGAAGTTTACTAAACATTCATGTGATGTTTTACACAACGTCTTCCAGAAAACAGAAGAAAAGACAACACTTCTCAACTCACTTTATAAGGCCAGTATTACTCTGATACCAAAACAAGACTAGGGTGACACAACAAAGAAAATACAAATCAATTATCTTTCATGAACTTAAATGAGAAAATTGTTAACTAAATTTTAGCAAATCAAATCCAACCCAACAATGAATAAAAAGCATAATATACCATGACTAAGTGGGATTTATTCTAGGTATAAGAAGCTAATTTAATATTTAAAAACAGTTCAATGTAATATATTATATAAATATGATAAATAAGAAAAATAACATGATCACATCAATACTCATTCATATTAAAAAAAAAAAAAACCTCCCAGAGCATTAGAGAGGGGAACTCCCTCAACCTTATAATATAAAGTATCTACAAAATTCCTAGAGCTGGCCGGGCGTGGTGTCTCACGCCTGTAATCCCAGTACTTTGGGAGGCTGAGGCGGGTGGATCACGAGGTCAGGAGATCAAGACCATCCTGGCTAACACAGTGAAACCCCGTCTCAACTAAAAATACAAAAAATTAGCCATGCATGGTGGCAGACGCCTGTAGTGCCAGCTACTAGGGAGGCTGAGGCAGGAGAATGGTGTGAGCCTGGGAGGCGGAGCTTGCAGTGAGCTGAGATTGCGTCACTGGACTCCAGCCTGGGGCACAAAGCGAGACTCCGTCTCAGGAAAAAAAAAAAAAAAAAAAAAAAATTCCTAGAGCTAACATCATACATAATGTTAAAAGACTGAATGCTTTCCCTTCAAAATGGGGAAAACACAGGATGTCCACTTTTACCACCCTTATTCAACATAGTATTAGAAGTTCTTGCCACTCCAATAAGGCAAGAAAAAGAAATAAAAGGCATAGATTATGAAATAAAAAGAAAATTATCTATTTGTCGATAATTTGTTTATAAGTAGGAATCTCTAAGAAAAAAAAACTAGTACTAATATGCAAGTTGAGTAAGATCACAAAATATAGGATTAATATATAAAATTAACTACACTCCAATATAAAAATGCAATGCCATTTACAAATGCTCCAAAGAAAATGAAATACTTAGGTATAAAACTAACAAAACTTGTACAGATTCTGTATGATGAAAATTGTAAGATGCTAATAAAAGAAATCAAGGAAAACAAAAATATTTGGAGAGGCACGCTGTGTTCATGCTTTGGAAGACTGAATAGAATAAAGGTGTTCTCTCTTACTTCATCTATAGGCTTAACACAATTCCCATGAAAATCTAAGCAAATTTTTTGTAGATACAGACAAGCTTTTCTAAAACTTATATGGAAAGAAAAAGGTCCTAAGGATAGCCAAAATAATTATGAAAAACAACACAGTGGGAAGAATCACTCCTTCCAATGTTAAGGTTTACTGTATAACTGCAGCCATCATGAAAGGTGGCACTAAAAGAGAGATGGTCACAAAGATCAATGCAACAGAACAGAGAATGCAGAAAGAGAGCCACACAAATTTGCACAACTAAGTTTTGACAAAGGTGAAAAAGCTATTCACTTGAGAAGGGATAACTTTTAAATAAATGCTATGGGCATCCATAGAAAAAAAAGAACCTTGATCTAAATTTCACAACTTTACAAAAATTAACACAAAATGAACCACGAACTTAAATGAAAAATGTAAAACTATAAAATTTCTGGCCAGGCACGGTGGCACATGCCTGTAATCCCAGCACTTTGGGAGGTGGAGGCAGGCAGATCGCCTGAGGTCAGGAGTTCGAGACCAGCCTGGCCAACATGGTGAAACCCCGCCTCTACTAAAAAAAAAAAAAATACAAAAATTAGCTGGGTGTGGTGGCACGTGCCTGTAATTCTAGCTGCTTGCAAGGCTGAGGCAGGAGAATCACTTGAACCTGGGAGGTGGACGTTGCAGTGAGCTGAGATTGCCCCATTGCACTCCAGCCTGGGTGACAGAGCAAGACTCCGTCTCAAAAAAAAAAAAAACAAAAACTATAAAATTTCTAAAAAAGAACATTGGAGAAAATCTTAAGGACCTTTGAGTAGGCAAACAGTTCTTAGACGTGACACTAAATACACATACACACACCAAAAACACAATTCATAAGAGAAAAGAAGATAAACTAGACCTCATCAAAATTAAAAACTTTTGCTCTGCAAAGACCCTGTTAAAAGGATAAAAAGACAAATTACAGGGCAACCCGCTGGGGTCCCCTTCCATGCTGTGGAAGCTTTGTTCTTTCGCTCTTCACGATAAACCTTGCTACCGCTCAAAAAAAGACAAATTACAGACTGGGAGAAAATATTTGCAGGTCATAAATCCAACAAAGGCATTCTGTCTAAGATACAAAAAGAACTTTGAAAACTCAACAATATAAAACTAACCAAATTAGAAAATGGGCAAAAGGCATGGAGAGACATTTCACTAAATAGGATAGACAGATGGCACACACAGATGTTCAACATTACTTGCCATTAAGGAAATTCAAAATTAAAACCACAATAAGATATAATTACCCACCTATTAGAATGGCTACAATGAAAAACAATTAGAACACCAAGTGCTGACTATGATTAGAGAAACTGGATCACACATACATTGCCAGTTAAGAATGTAAGACGGTACAAACATTGTTGACAATAATTTGGCAGCTCCTTGAAAAACTAAAAATGGACTTATTACACCACCCAGCAACTACACTCTTGAGCATTTATCATAAACAAATGAAGACTTGTTTTCATGTACAAGTTTGTACATGAATGTAAAAAACAAAAACCCATATATATGTGTATGTGTATATGAAATAAAAGGAAAAAAGCCATTTTCCAAAGGACAAGTATTGCAGGATTCTATTTATGTAACATTTATGAAATTACATAATTATACAGAGAACAGAACAGTGGTTGCCAAGGTGTATTAGTCTGCTCTCATGCTGCTGATAAAGACATACCCAGGACTGGGTAATTTATAAAGAAAATGGTTTAATGGACTCACAGTTCCATGTGGCTGGGGAGGCCTCACAATCATGGCAGAAGGCAAAGGAAGAGCAAAGGCACATCTTACATGACAGCAGACAGGAGAGAATGAGAGCCAAGCGAAAGGGGAAACCCCTTATAAAACCATCAGATCTTGTGACACTTATTCACTACCACGAGAACAGTATGGGGGAAAGTGCCCCCATGATTCAATTATTTCCCACCTGGTCCCTCCCACAACACGTGGGAATTATGGCAGCCTACAATTCAAGATGAGATTTGGGAAGGGACACAGCCAAACAATATCACAAGGGTTAGGAAAAAGAGAAATGGGATAAGTATAGCTAACACAAGGGAGTCTTGTGAGGTATTGTTGAGTATTTTGGCTATTGTGGTGGTGACACAAGGCTACATGTGATAAAACTGCATAGAGCTATAAATATACACACAGAAATGAGTGCATGTATAACTGGTGAAATCTGAGTAAGTTCTATGAATTGCAGCAATGTCAATTTTTTGGTATGGTATTGTACTATAGTTGGGTAAGGTATTAACCCTGGGGGAAGCTGCAAAGGGGGTACACAGGACTCCCCTGTACATTTCTTTGCAACCTCTTGTGAATCCATAATTATTTCAAAATAAAAAGTCTTTTTTTAAAGAAAATTCATGCCAAGGAAAAGGCCTACCCAGGTATAAAAAAACTGGTAAAGGAATGTTATCTTTACATTAAAATATGTATGAGAATATGTACCATTTTTCCATGATTCCTCTCTATTAGTTTCCTAGGGCTGCCATTAACAAAGTCCCACAAACTGGGTGGCTTAAAACAACACAAATGTATTCTCTCACAGTTCTGTAGCACTTGATTGATTGATTGATTGAGACAGGGTCTTGCTCTGTTACCCAGACTAGAGTGCAATGGCAGAATCATGGCTCTCTGCAGCCTTGACCTCCCAGGCTCAAGCAATACTCCCAACTCAGCCCCTTGAGTAGATGGGACTACAGGTAGCATGCCACCATGCTAGGCTAATTTTTTTTTTTCTTTTTGGTACAGACAGGGTCTCACTATATTGCCCAGACTGGTCTCAAACTCCTAGGCTCAAGCAATCCTTCCACCTTGGCCACCCAAAGTGCTGGGATTACAGGCATGAGCCACCATGTTCAGCCTATAGCACTTCAATGAATCACAGACATCATCAAAGAACTCTAGCCTGTAGAATGGATCTGCCCTTGGTCTATAGCACCCCAAACTTTCCTGGTTGATCTCCTTCCTTCTCAATCATCCCTCTGCCATCTCTACCTCCTCAATATAGTCATATATTACTTTCTCTAACTTTCCTAATTTCTGATCAACACTATTTTTTTGCCTAGTGATTCTATTAGAACATCCATCCATGTATTGTTGATCCCCTGTTAGATTGAAAACGTCTCTATAACACTTTAAAAATGTATTCCCATCACCTAGCAAAGCAACTTGTATGGATCTTTTATCTATTTATTTAGAGACAGCATCTTGCAGTGTCACCTAGACTGGAGTAAAGTGGTACAATCTTGGCTCACTGTAGCCTCAAACTCCTGGGCTCAAGTGATCTCCCACCTCAGTCTGCTGAACATCTGGGACTACAGGCATGTACCACCATGCCTGGTGAATATTTTAATTTTTAATTTTTTGTAAAGACAGGGCTTTTGCTATGTTGCCCAGACTGGTCACAAACTCCTAAGCTCAAGTAATCCTCCCACCTGAGCCTCCCAAAGTGCTGAGATTACAGGTGTGAGCCACTGAGCCCAGCCTGAATCTTTTAAAAAACTAATAAGCAGGCTGGGCACAGTGGTGTATGCCTGTAATCCTAGCACTTTCAGAGGCTGAGGTGGGAGGATTGCTTAAGGAGGTCGAGACCAGCCTGGGCAATACAGTGAGACCTCATCTCTGCAAAAAATTAAAAAATTAGCCATGCATGGTGGCATGGGCCTGTAGTTCCAGCTACTCAGGAAACTTAGGTGAGAGGATTGCTTGAGCCAGGGAGGCAGAGGTTGCAGTGAGCTGAGTTTGCACCACTGTACTCCATCCAGCCTGAGTGACAGAGTGAAACCCTGTCTCAAAACAAACAAACAAAAATTAATAAACACTATAGATTGTGTCCTTTGATGTACAGAAGTTTTTAGGTTTGATGTAGTCCCATTTGTCTGTTTTTGCTTTTGTTGCCAGTGCTTTTGGTATTATACACAATAAATCATTGCCAAATCCAATGTCATGAAGCTTTTCTCCAATATTTTCTACTTAGAGTTTTATTGCTTTAGCTCTCACATTTAGGTCTTTGATCCATTCTGAGTTAATTTTTCTATATGGTGTAAGACAAGGGTACAACTGTATTCCTTTGCCTGTGGATAATCCAATTTTCTCCATGGAAGTGTTGGCACCCTTGTCTAAAATAATTTGACTATTTATGCAAGGGTTTATTTCTGGGCTTTCTATTCTATTCCTTTAGAATATCTTTTTTTTTTTTTTTTTTTGAGACGGAGTCTCGTTCTGTCGCCCAGGCGGGAGTGCTGTGGCGCGATCTCCGCTCACTGCAAGCTCCGCCTTCCGGGTTCACACCATTCTCCTGCCTCAGCCTCCCGAGTAGCTGGGACTACAGGCGCCCACCACTGCGCCCGGCTAATTTTTTGTATTTTTAGTAGAGACGGGGTTTCACCGTGGTCTCGATCTCCTGACCTCGTGATCTGCCCGCCTCGGCCTCCCAAAGTGCTGGGATTACAGGCGTGAGCCACCGCGCCCGGCCTAGAATATCTTTATGCCAGTACCACACTGTTTGATTACTATATCTTTGTAATATGTTTTGAAATCAGGTTTTCCCAAAGTTTGGTTTAAAATAAACTTGCCAGCCCAACATTCTGACCAGCTGGCCTGCTCTCTGCAAGAGCTTCCTGTGCTTGCTCACTCACCTGGGCACCATCTTCCTGTCTCTTCCCTCACAACCATCCAGGGCTCCTTCCCTTGCTCCAATGAGGAGATTACGGCTGGCTTAGAAACAGAAAGTCCTAGTTATAAGAAAAGAAATTGAGATGAGATGGAAATGAATGTATCCAAATACAGTGATTTAGAACTGATTAAAATAAAAATAAATCACAGATAAAAATGGTACTTGATAAGGGATACAGAGGAAATAAAGGAGAAGAGATGAAACACTCATATTCAGATGAACACAGGATCATAACAAACAAAGCAAACAAACAGGCGATAAAATAGTACTTAAATTTATGTAAGGTTTCTCTTTTTTGCTGTGAGGAAAAAAAAGAAGCTTCTTGAGATATTTATTCTTTTTTTTTTTTTTGAGATGGAGTTTTGCTCTTGTTGTCCAGGCTGGAGTGCAATGGCACAATCTTGGCTGACTGCAACCTCCACTTCACGGGTTCAAGTGACTCTCCTGCCTCAGCCTCCTAAGTAGCTGGGATTATAGGCGCACACCACTCTGCCTGGCTAATTTTTGTATTTTAGTAGAAACGGGGTTTGGCCCATATTGGCCAGGCTGGTCTCAAACTCCTGGCCTCAGGTGATCCACTTGCCTCAGCGTCCCAAAGTGCTGGGATTACAGGCATGAGCCACAGCACCCAGCCTCCTTTTTTTTTTTAATGTTAACTGTACAAAGTTCTTTAAAAATAACTTCCAAAGGCAAATCACTTAAAAGAGAGTACAGGTCAGGCGCGGTGGCTCACACCTGTAATCCCAGCATTTTGGGAGGCCAAGACGGGTGGATCACTTGAGATCAGGAATTCGAGACCAGCCTGGCCAACATGGTGAAACCCTGTCTCTACTAAAAATACAAAAATTAGCTGGGCGTGGTGGCGGGCACCTGTAATCCCAGCTACTCAGGAGGCTGAGGCAGGAGAATTGCTTGAACCTGGGAGGCAGAGGTTGCAGTGAGCCAAGATATGCCATTGCACTCTAGCCTGGGCAACAAAAGTGAAACTCTGTCTCAAAAAAAAATTAAAAAGGCCAGGTGCGGTGGCTCATGCCTGTAATCCCAGCACTTTGGGAGGCCGAAGCAGGTGGATCACCTGAGGTCGGGAGTTTGAGACCAGCCTGACCAACATGGAAAAAACACATCTCTACTAAAAATACAAAACTAGCCAGGCGTGTTGGCACATGCCTGTAATCACAGCTACTCGGGAGGCTGAGGCAGGAGAATTGCTTGAAGCTGGGAGGCAGAGGTTGTGGTGAGCCGAGATCACGCCATTGCACTCTAGCCTGGGCAATAAGAACGAAACTCCGTCTCAAAAATAAATAAATAAATAAAATAAAAAGTGAAAGATTACATTTATTATAGGAAATGGAGTGGTGCTCATTTGAGAATAGTAAATGAACCTTTATTACTCCAGCCTATCACTCTATTACCCAGGAAAGAAAAAAGCTTCACTCCTGGAACCCATGTGTCTAGTTTTAATCTTATGCTAGTACACTAGCAGATTTAGCACAGTGGAAGTGAAACAAAAGACAGAGTCTGCTTTCTTTGACAGTGTTATGCTTTAACATTGCAGATTTCCAATTCTGCCCCTTAAACATCAAGGAGGAGTTATTATAAGAAAGGACCAAAAGAACGTGTAAGGATGGGGAAAATGAAAATGTACCTCCATTTAGCTGTGCTGGTTTCTACAATACATAAAGAGAAAATTCATCCAGTTATTTGAAAGCTAGCCCTAAATTAATAGGGGGGAAAGCAGAAATTCCAAGAAGTAGATTGTGAATTGTTAGCGGAATTCTGAATTGTCAGGTTCTTAATTTTTAGATAACTTTACCAAGTGACACCAAGTTGCTATAATTCTCCAACATCACCTCCTTGTACAAATTCCTCTGCGCTGGGTTCAGGCATTCCCATTCCTCCTGAGAGACATCTATAGCCACATCTCTGAACATCACCAACTCCTAAAATGACAAATAATAGTACTATTTTTGAAATTATAAGAAATGTTTTTAAAAAGAAAAGAGAAGTGCTAAAAGAAGGTACTGCAAGGAAGGAGACAGTCTACTGAATATATAGGCTAAGCCTGGGACATGGGTCAAAGAGGAATTTAGTGTGACTGAAGCGGAGTGCCCATATGTTCTTAAACAATTCATTTTCTGCAGACACATCTTCTTGTGTAGGTGGGAAACTCCTGTTAATCAGTCATCTCAAAACTAAGAAAATAAGTAGAGGCTCCCAATTAAATTAAATAGTCAAAAACTTTTAAATCTTTCCAAAATGTCTTATTAAAATCTCTATCTTGAGAAAAAGAACTTGAAGATTTTTATTCATGATTATGACTATCATGCCATAGGCATTTTTAGTTTTCCTGCAAATTCTTTAGTACACATCTGGTGCAGACTATATTTTCCATAGATGGACACTGCTGTATCTTGCATCCCAAATATTCTTCTTCAGTGTAACCTTGACATCCCCCTTCCAATTGGCGTAAAGGTCTGTGCCCCCTTCTCTTGAACCTGAAAGGACATCTGTGACTTATTCAACCTATAGAATACGGCAGAAGTGATTATGTGACTTCTGTGGTTAGATCACAAAAACGTCTCATACTTCTGCCTTACTTTCTGGGGATGTTCCTTCTGGAAACCCAGCCACCATGTTCCTAGGAAGCCTAACAAGCTCTCCATGGGAGAGCTCATGAGGAAAGGAACCAAGCCTCCCCAAACAACAGTCAGCAACAGCTTGCAAACCATGTGAGGGAACTATCTTGAAAGTGGGTCATGTAGTTCCCAATCAGACCATTTCAGCTGATACCACATGGAACAGAGCTGAGCGATCCCTACTGAGCTCTGCTCAGATTGTGGATTTGCAAGCCCAACCATGATTGTTGTTTTAATCTACTAAATTTTGGGTTGGTTTATTATCTGGAAATAGTTATTGTAACTGTAATATGATTTTTATTGGTAGCATAACATTGGTAGCATAACATTTTTAAGAGACAGGGTCTCACTATATTTCCTTGGCTGGTCTTGAGCTCCTGGGCTCAAGCAATCCTCCCACCTTGGCCTCCCAAAGTGCTGGGATTACAGGTATGAGACACTGCACCTAGCCTCATTTAATCTTACAACAAGAGATTTAATAATTCTCTTAAACTTGAATCTCTGGAGTGAACAAAATCTCTACGGTATTTTCTAAGGTACATATTCCATTGTTTTGCAATCACACCTGAGAGGTCTTAACTGTTATCATCCACCACCTCTCCCTGTATATTTACTGTGTTCCCAAAGAATATTAATGTAGAATGATCCAGACTCTCATAGATGTGGCCCAAGTCTAACATATGCTGTTCAATCTAAAACCGGAGTTTGTAATTGGTGATCATATATTTTCTGGCAAGATCTCCAATTTTTCCATGCAAGCACTAATCCTATCTCCATCTAATTCTAAAGCCTCACACAGCAAAGTCTCTCTGCTCAGTGAGATCATCCAACACCAATTCCTATCACATCTCACTGGAAAATCCCAAATTGTGAATTTCAAAGATTTCCCACGTGTGATTTAATTAACCATTCATTCCCTGAGGACACCTCAAGTGGTGGCTTTTTTTTTCTCCCACAGCCTTCGTACCACTGTCATCCTTGTTTCTCATTGTTGGTGTCAGACAACTGTCTTTCCTTCTCTAAAATCTTTTTTTTTTTTTTTTTTTTTTAAGCAGAATATCACTGTTGCCCAAGCTGGAGTGCAGTGGCATGATCTCAGCTCACTGCAACCTCTGCCTCCTGGGTTCAAGTGATTCTCATGCCTCAGCCTCCCGAGTAGCTGGGATTACAGGTGCACACCACCGCACCCGGCTAGTTTTTGTATTTTTTGTAGGGATGGGGTTTCACCATCTTGTCCCGGCTAGTCTCAAACTCCTGACCTCAAATGATCCACCTGCCTCAGCCTCCCAAAGTGCTGGGATTACAGGCATGAGCCACTGCACCTGGGCCCCTTCTCTAAAATTTAATGTCACATTTCATCAGTCTATACCATGTATTATCCCTCTCTGTTGCAGTGATGTGTTCACATGCAGGTTTTTGCCCCTCAGGAATTTTAGCTCCTGGCTCAGTATCACTAACTCTAATACTACTAATCTTTATTTTCAGTGATTTCAAATGCTGAAAACAAAACATCTTCAAAACCTATGATTCTATACCTAGCTAAAATCCTTTAAAATGAAGGTGAAATAGTTGATTTTTTTAAAAAAAAAAAGACAAACAAAAGCTGAAAGAATTTGTCACCAGAACACCTATGCTACAAAAATGTAAAAGGAAATTCTTCAGGTGGAAAAAAATTGATACTAGATAAAATCTTCAGTCTATATAGAAGAATAAAGAGTGTTAGAAATAGTAAACATAGGGGTAAATACATAAGCTACTCTTTTCATTTAATACTTTCTTTAAAAGATAATCAACTAAAGAAAGAAATATATGCTTTAAGCAAATTTAGAAATAAAATATATGACAATAAAAAAGATGGGAAGGGGAAATAGAAGTATCCAGTTGTGTCTGGCGCAGTGGCTCACCCCAGTAAGCCACTGCAGGGAGGCAGGATTGCTTAAGGCCAGGAGTTTGAGACCAGCCTGGGTAACAAAGCGAGATCGCATCTCTACAAAAAAATTTAAAACATTAGCCAGGGGTGGTGGCACACAACTGTAGTCCTAGTTACTTGGAAGGCTGAGGCAGGAGGATCACTTGAGCCTAGGAGTTCGAGGCTGCAATAAGCTATGATGACACCACTGGAATCCAGCCTGGGAAACAGAGCATGACCCAGTCTCTTTAAAAAAAAAAAAGAGTACCCAATTGTAATATGTTTACATTATACCTGAAGTGTTCTAAAATGACTTGAATAGTGTAAAGCACATTGCAAACCTTAACCCCTAAAACAGCAAAACAAAGAGATATAGCAAATAATCCTATAGTGACGATAAAATTAAATACTAAAAAAATAAGATTAATCCAAGACGAGGTAGGAAAACAGGAAAAAAAATTTAAAAAGAACAGATGACAAGATGGTAGAGTAAAACCTAACTATATTGCTAATTACATTAAATTTAAGTGGTCAAACTACAGTATATTCCCTGATTTATTTTATAGAGCCAGCATTGCCTTGACACTAAAACTTAAAAATTAATTAAAAATTAAGATGAAATAAAGTCACTTTTACATAATAAAATCTGAGAGAATGTGTCACCAAAGACCCAAACTACAGGAAACACTAAGGGAAGATCTTCAGGCTAAAGAGAAATGATACAGGATGGAAACTCAGATCACAGGAAGGAAGGAAAAGCAACTAGACATTTTTTCCTGTTTTCCAACACATATAATTTCTTATCTTTGTAAATTCTTTCCACATTTCCAAGTATTTCTTTTTTATTTATTTATTTTTTTGAGGCGGAGTTTCGCTCTTTTGAGGCTGTAGTGCAATGGCACAATCTCGGCTCACTGCAACCTCTGCCTCCCGGGTTCAAGTGATTCTTCTGCTTCAGCCTCCTGAGTAGTTGGGATTACAAGCATGTGCCACCACGTCTGGCTAATTTTGTATTTTTAGTAGAGACGGGGTTTCTCTGTGTTGGTCAGGCTGGTATCGAACTCCCGACCTCAGGTGATCCGCCCGCTTCAGCCTCCCAAAATGCAGGGATTACAGGCATGAGCCACCGAGCCTAGCTATTTCCATGTATTTCTAATTCATATATTTTAACTCTTTTTGGTAGGAGCATTCAAAGCTATGATTTTTCCTTAGGGTCCTGCTTTTTAATTTAATTTAATTTTTTTGAGATGGAGTCCTGCTTTGTCGCCAGGCTGGAGTGCAGTGGCAGGATCTCGGCTCACTGCAATATCCTCCCCGCCGGGTTCAAGTGATTCTCCTGCCTCAGCCTCCCGAGTAGCTGGGATTACAGATGCGCACCACGACACCCAGCTAATTTTTGTATTTTTAGTAGAGATGGGGATTCACCATGTTGACCAGGATGGTCTCCATCTCCTGACCTCGTGATCCGCCCGCCTCAGCCTCCCAAAGTGCTGGGATTACAGGCATGAGCCACTGTGCCTGGCCAGGGTCCTGCTTTAACTAAATCTCATTTGTTTCTTGTTTCAATATGCAATGCTATCATTGATTACTAAAAATTCTTTACTTTTAGATTATATTTCCTCTTTGTTCCCATACTTATTAAGACATAATTTATAAACTTTTGATAAAATTAGCTTTATTTCTCTGATTTTATTATTAAATTCTAGTTGTATTTCACTATATTCAGGCAACATTATCATTTCTAATTACTGGATATTACTGTGGCCTCAGATTTTGTCATTTTTTAGTGAATGTTCCACAGCCACTTGAAAGAATGAATATTAACAATTATCAGGATACCAAATTTAATATATATATCAATAATATAGATCTGATACAGTATGTGATTTAGTACTTCTATTTCCTTATTAAATTTTGTCTACTTGGCCTGGTTTGGACTGAGAAGAGTGAATTAATGTCTCTTACTGCTGGTAAGTGTCTATTTCTTCTATCTGCTCTAAATTTTACTTTAGGAGGTAATGCTATGATATTCAATATATATTCAGAACTGTTATATCTTCATTTTGAAATTTATACTTTAAAAGTATATAATGTCTTTCTGCCATGTTTAATTCTGTGATGTGGCCTGAATCTTACTTAGTCTGTTTTCTTTATTCTGTCTTTTTTTGTAGAGACAGGGTCTTGCTATGTTGGCAAGGCTGGTCTAACTCCTGTCCTAAAGCAATTCTCCCGCCTTGGCCTCCCAAAGTGCTGGGATTATGGGCATAAGCTGCCATGCCCAGTCCTGTTTTCTTTTCATTCTATTTGCCTGGTATAGTTGTTCGCCCATCCTTTTCTTAACCTTTCTAAATCAGTGAATCACTCAGGTGTCTGGGTTTTTCTTTGTAATTCAATCTGAAAGGTCTTTTAATAGATGAGTTAAACCCCATTTGCATATGTTAATAAGGTATATATGTTTGCTCTCTGGTCTTAACTTTATTATGTAATTTTTTTTTTTTTTTTTTTTTTAGACAGAGTCTTGCCTTGTCACCCAGGCTGGAGTGCAGTGGTGTGATCATAGCTCACTGCAGCCGCAAACTCCTGGGATAAAGTGATCCTCCCACTTCAGCCTCAGCCTCTCGAGTAGCTAGGACTACAGGTGCACACAACCACAAGCAGCTGATTAACACAAATTTTTTTTGTAGAGGTGGAGTTTTATTATGTTGCCTAGACTGGTCTGGAACTCCCAGACTCCAGCGATTCTCCCACCTCAGCCTCTCAAAGTGCTAGAATTACTGGCGTGAGTCACCGTGCCTGGCTTTTATCATGTGATTATTTTGTTAATTCTGTCTTGCTCACTCTCTCTGCATATATCTGGGAAGTCTTACTATACATAAGTTATTTTCTGTCTCTCACTACCAGTTAAGCTTCAGAAGGGAAGATATGTATGTATGTGATATTTTTTTCCCCACTGATTTATTCCGTTACCTAGAAGAATGCCTGTCACATAGTAGGTACTCAATAAATATTCGTTAATCACCTCATCAAATCAAAGTTCTGACAAGAGAAACACTAATATTTTCTTCAAAACAATATTATTTGTGTTCTCTCCTTGTGTCTGTTAAAAGATTTCACGTAAGGGAGATGAAGAATCATTTATTCAACAAGTATATGAACATGAGTTGGAGATGAGAGGAGCAAAAATGAAGGCCCTGAAATTCTGGCACCGTCACTTACTCACTAGTAAGTTATTGTATAATTCCCAGGTAAGAAACTATGTCAGAATAAATAATGCAGGCCAGGCGCAGGGGCTCATGCCTGTAATCCCAGCACTTCGGGAAGCTCAGATGGGCAGATCACTTGAGGCCAGGAGTTTGAGACCAGCCTGGCCAACTTGGCAAAACCCCGTATCTACTTAGAGTACAAAAATTAGCTGGGTGTGGTGGCACGTGCCTGTTGTCCCAGCTACTTGGGAGGCTGAAGTGGGAGAATCGCCTGAACCTGGGAGGTGGAGGCTGCAGTGAGCCAAGTTCGCACCACTGCACTCTAACCTTCCCACCTGGGAGACAGCGAGGCTATGTCTCAAAAAAAAAAAAAGCAAATAGTCACATGCCCTATACAAAAAAAACAAAAACAAACAAACAAAAAATCAAGTATTGTAATTAGGAGCAAGAAAAAACCAACTTACATGGGCCATGTCTTATTTTAGAATTGAATGTATTATTTAATCCTCTTCTTCGTTCCCTCTGGAAGAAACTCAATCCAAAGAAGGTGTTGCTGGGAGAGAGGGGAGTTAAAAAAAAGACAGGAGATTATTGCCTCTAAGCTCCCAAAATGTTAATTCAGAATGACATTTTTCTTCCCCCTTCATATCTCCTATTCCCAGACCTGATACATACATACATAAATTATTAGTGGGAATTTGGACAAATCCTAGCTTTACTCAAAACCATGAGGAAACTCAGCTACAGCAGGATAGACTCAAGAAAAGCAAGGATCATGCCCTTCAGCAGAAGGGATAGTTAGGCCAGCCCATTGTCCCAATACTATGATGAAATCGAAGCCAGGATCAGGGTGCTGAGAACTGCACTGGGTAGATTTTCACTGAATTAAGAGGAAAAAGAAAAGGTAATGAACATTATGAGAAAAGATTAGGGAAACAGAAAACAGACCCAAAAGACCCAGTGTATGTGTAACAGAAATTTCAAAAATAGAGGCTGAAACAACACAGATGGAAGAGAAAAAATAAATAGAACAAAAATTTGCAGACCAAAATAAATTCTTGAGTCTTTAGTTTGAAGTACAGTGCTGTAAGAATTAAAGAAGAATCATACCTGGAAACATCCTGAAAAATATTCTTAAGTTTGTCTTTGAATACAGACAAAAGGACATAAATATCTTTTAGTAAGAAGTTGCAGAGGCCGGGCGCGGTGGCTCACGCCTGTAATCCCAACACTTTGGGAGGCAGATGCGGGCGGATCACGAGGTCAGGGGCTCAAGACCAGCCTGGCCAACATGGTGAAATCCCGTCTCTACTAAAAATACAAAAATTAGCTGGGTGTGGTGGCGGATGCCTGTAATCCCAGCTACTCGTGAGGCTGAGGCAGGAGAACTGCTTAAAACCCGAAGGCGGAGGTTGCAGTGAGCCGAGATCGCGCCACCGCACTCCAGCCACGGTGAAAGAGAGAAACTTCGTCTCAAAAAAAAAAAAAAAAAAAGGAAGTTGCAGAACAATGTGTATTGTGGCCAAATCTCAGAAAAAAAAAATCAAACACATAGGTACATAAGCATACTACATATGTGGTGTTTTTCTGAGGCTGTAATGATAAATGCGGGGTAGCAATGTGATTTTCGCTTGTGTTGTGTGTGTAAATCTACAGCTAACTCCTCAAGTAGTCAGGAAAGGATGAGAGATGGATGAATGACAGATCTCTGGAGTGGGGCGTCCTGAGCCTTAGATGTGTGCACAGGAGCGGGGTGAGGTGAATGTGCGTGTGTCTGTGTGTGAGAGACCAGAGTTGACTGAGAGGAGTGGAAGCTCTCTGCCTGATCGTGTGAGCCTGAGGATAACGTGAATGTTTTTTTGTTTTTTTTTTTTTGAGACAGTTTCGTTTCACTCTTGTTGCCCAGGTTGGAGTGCAATGGCGCGATCTCGGCTCACAGCAACCTCCGCCTCCCGGGTTCAAGCGATTCTCCTGCCTCAGCCTCCCAAGGAGCTGGAATTACAGACATGCACCACCATACCCGGCTAATTTTGTATTTTTAGTAGAGGTGGGGTTTCTCCACGTTGGCCAGGCTGGTATCGAACTCCCGACATCAGGGCATCCACCCGCTTCGGGCTCCCAAAATGCTGGGATTACAGGGGTGAGCCACCGCTCCCGGCCTGTAAATGTGCTTTTTCTTTCACGTAAATAAATGAGATTTACACAAATAGCCATTCACAATCATGGTCACAGTCACCTACAAACCCCATTTACACAAATGATCAGGCACACAATCACACTGTCACTAAAGCACACCCACGCACCAGGTCGCTGTCCCAACAGTAACACACAGCCCAAAGAGAAACCCTACTTCCTCACGCATTCAAAACACACCCACCTAAGGGCTGATCCCGCACTCAGAGGCCTAAAACTATAGACATTCCCTTCCGCGGCACTGGTGAGCCAGGATTTCTTACCTTCAGCATTCTCAGGGAAGGCTCTGGTCCAAGCTCTGATTCGGATTCCAAGCGAAGCCACACGCCCAGCTCTTCCTTCTCCACCGGCCCGGGACATCCTTACCTGCCTCTACCCGGAGACCATTCCTGCGAGGCTCCTACCGGAAGTAGCTGTGGACAGCAGTGTCCTCTGGGAAATGCAGTCCGAGGGGAGAGCGCCTGGGGTGGAGCGGGTGTGTTCCGCCGGGCTCCGGGATGCACTTGCGCAGTTTCACCCGAGGCTGGAGTGACGCCAACCTGTTAATGTTCGTTTTCGGATTCTGGACTTCGGGTTCCGCTGAGGACGGATTTCGGAATAGGCACAGTGGCTGCCCCGAACCCCTCAAGGCGGCCTCCGCGGGCTGTGGCTGAAGATAATTTTCGGCGGGCGCGGACTAACCCGGCTTCCCTTTGTGGAGTTGTGGTGAGAAAGGTGTTTTGTTGTGCGCGTGTCCGAAGGTGACTCCGGAGGAGAAGGTGGATATGAACTGACGGTGAGGGTGTAGCGCGTGAGATTTGTATGTGAAACGATTTAAAAAAAAATTTTTTTTTTGGCCGGGCGCGGTGGCTCACGCCAAGGCGGGCGGATCACCGAGACCAGCCTGACCAACATGGAGAAACCCCGTCTCTACTAAAAATACAAAATTAGCCGGGCGTGATGGCGCATGCCTGTAATCCCAGCTACTCGGGAGGCTGAGGCAGGAGAATCGCTTGAACCCGGGAGGCAGAGGTTGCGGTGAGCCGAGGTCGCGCCATTGCACTCCAGCCTGGGCGACAGAGCAACTCCTTCTCAAACAAACAAACAAAACTGTATGTCATATATTTGACTCCATTTATTTATTTATTTAGAGACAGAGTCTTCTTGCCCTGTTGCCCGGGCAAGAAAAAACAAACAACAACAACAACAAAAAACTGTACGTCATATATTTCACTCAACTTTTTTTTTTTCTTTTTTTTTTTTTGAGACGGAGTCTCGCTGTCGCCCAGGCTGGAGTGCAGTGGCGCAATCTCGGCTCACTGCAAGCTCCGCCTCCCGGGTTCACGCCATTCTCCTGCCTCAGCCTCCCGAGTAGCTGGGACTACAGGCGCCCGCCACCTCGCCCGGCTAATTTTTTGTATTTTTAGTAGAGACGGGGTTTCATCGTGTTAGCCAGGATGGTCTCGATCTCCTGACCTCGTGATTCGCCCGCCTCGGCCTCCCAAAGTGCTGGATTACAGGCGTGAGCCACCGCGCCCGGCCTCTTTTTGAGACAGGGTCTTCATGCCCTGTTGCCCAGGCTGACTGCGGTGGCGCGATCCTAGCTCACTGCAGTCTCCACCTCCTCAGCTCCTCCCGCATCCACCTCCCAAAGTGCTGGGATAGCAGGCGTGAGCCACCGGGTCAGGCCAAAACGATTTATTTTATTTTTATTTTTTTGGTAAAGACAGGGTCTCGCTATGTTGCCCAGGCTGGTGGTCTCGAACTCCTGGGCTCAAGCGATCCTCCCGTCTCAGTGGCCAAAGTATTGGATGACAGGTGTGAGCCACCGCGCTGGGTGGTGAAACGGTTTTGAGGCTTTTTGAGAATGGCTGTTCTATATGCCCGCGTGGGGCTCATGCGGCGAGCGCCGCCACTCCCGCAGTGGCCCCTGTGGGGGTGATACGTGATGTGGCTTAAATGTGAGAGGCCACCTGGACCCGTGTGATTGCCACGTTTGCAGGAGCGCAGCCACGTGCACAGGGATCTTGTGACATTCTGTGTGAGGCTTTTTGCGCTGGGTCCACCCATGATTAGAGGACTAGTGTGACTGTGGCGGCCCCTGAGAAGGGAAGAAGCTGGTTGCGACCAGGAAGGTCTGAGATGGATGAATGACAGATCTCTGGACCAGGGCGTCCTGAACCTTAGATGTATGCATAGGAGCGGTGTGAGGTGACTGTGTATGTTTGTGTGTGAGAGTCCAGAGCCGACTTAGAGGAGTGGAAGCTGGCACATGTTATCTGCCAGAAGGGACAGATCCATGGTAAGGATTTTTAACCTTGCTGAGAGACCAGTAACTCCATCACCAAGTGTAATATGAGGAAATGGTGCTTGTTTGAGAACAAGTGATTCTGCTTGTGTCTGATTCTCATTCATGTATGTGAGATGGTTTGCACTTGAAACTGTCAGTGAGAGAGAAAGTAGAGTGAAATATATGACGTACAGCTGGCCCTCCCTATCCATGGGTCTTGCATTGTGGATTCAACAAACCTTCAGTTGAAAATATCTGGGAAAAGAAGTTGATGTTTGCATCTGTACTGAACTTGTACAGGCTTTTTTTCTTGTCATTATGCCCTAAAAAATAGAATATAACAACTATG
The DNA here is from genome assembly GCF_000001405.40 of Homo sapiens. Lineage (NCBI taxonomy): Eukaryota > Metazoa > Chordata > Mammalia > Primates > Hominidae > Homo > Homo sapiens. The sequence continues at coordinate 36,669,045 of NC_000019.10, forward strand.
TACATAGTATTTACATGGTTATTAGGTGTTATAAGTAATCTAGAGAGGGTTTAAAGAATATGGGAGGATTTCCATAGATTATATGCAAATACCGTGTTCATTTTATATAAGGGACTTGAGCATCTGTGTATGTTGGTGGGGAGGGGTCCTGGAGGGACACTGAGGGATGACTATGTGAAAGTGGTTTGCGAATATGCTCAAGTCTCTGGATGAATTGTATGACAGTGAAGGGGTATGTGATTAGACTGTTGTGGCTTTGAGGTTGATGTGTATGTTTTAAAGGATTATGATTGAGTTGGAGATCATGTGAGATTTGGTGTGTTTAAATGTGACATGAATTAAAATCCGAATGAAAGATTGCGAAGTTATATGAATGTAGTAACTACATAAGAGAATGCAGGTATCTGGGACCCATGGATACGTTACAGTGGGGAAAATAAATAATCAGACCTTTCAGGGATTACTTTTCAGGGTAGTTTGGTGGCAGCACTTTGTATAAGGAAGGCAAATCCATATCCATAGTGTCTATTTCAGTGAGAAAAAAGCAGTCCGATGTAACCAACCTGCCACCAGAGAATGGTGTCATGTTGGGACTCAGTGTTGGTCTCTGCACAGTCACTCTAATAAAAGCCGTAGGTCCCTTTTGGAAGACTGGGAGAAAGATTAACAGTATAAATTTCTGGAAGTATACTGGTGCTCTTCCTTAAGGGGACCTGGCCTCCCCTTTGTTCAAGGGCTTCTGGGTCTCTTCACTGGCTCAAGTCTGGGTATTCATTGAGGGACACTGACTTTCTGTCTTTATGAATCAAGTTATACTTTTGTTCACTTGACCTAGAAGTCTTCCACTTACACAAATCAATTAACTCTTTAGTAGATTTCCTATCTATTTAACTTCCATCAAAGAATATCAGCCATCTTCCCAGACAGTTACCCTGTAACAGATATTTTCTTTGAAATGTTCTTTCATGGCCATTTTGCATTCTTTATCACAATAAATTATTGTTTCATTTTTATTAAATTGTTTTAAATTAGACACTGGCTCTGAACTGACCTCAATTCCAGGAGATCCAAAACATCACTGTGATCTACCAGTCAGAGTAGGGGCTTATGGCAGTTAGGTGATGAATGGAGTTTTAGCTCAGGTCTGTCTCACAATGGGCACAGCAAGTCCCAGAAGCATTCTGTGGTTGTATCCCCAATACCATACACATAATTGGACTAAATCTACTTAGTAACCGGCAGAATCCCCACATTGATTACCTGACCTGTGGACTGAGGGCTGTTATGGTGGGAGAGGCCAGGTGGAAGCGACTAAAACTGTCTCCACCTAGAAAAATAGTAATTTTTTTTACTATTTTTGTAAATAGTAAAAATTTACTATTTACAAAATAATAGTAATGGATTCCCACCCCATCACCATTCAACTTGCCTATTTGGCCCTGCAGAAGACAAATGGGTCTTGAAGAATGACACTGGATTATCATAAGCTTAACCAGGTGGTGACTCCAGTTGTAGCTGCTGTACCAAATGTGGTTTTGTTGCTTAAGGATATTAACACATCCTCTGCTACCTGATGTGTAGCTACTGAATTGGCAAATGCTTTTTTCTCCATCCTTGTTATTTAAAACCACCATAAATAGCTTGCTTTCAATTGGTAAGGCCAGTAATACGCTTTCACTGTGCTGCCTCAGGAGTATATCAGCTCTCCAGACACATATCGTAAGTTAGTTCACAGGGATCTCGATTGCCTTTTCCTTCCACGAGATACTGCACTGGGCCGGGCGTGGTGGCTCACACCTGTAATCCCAGCACTTTGGGAGGCCAAGGCATGTGGATCATCTGAGGTCAGCAGTTCCAGACCAGCCTGGCCAACATGGCAAAACCCCGTCTCTACTAAAAATACAAAAATTAGCTGAACATGGTGGCATGCACCTGTAATCCCAGCTACTCGGGAGGCTGAGGCAGGAGAATTGCTTGAACCCAGGAGGCAGAGGTTGCAGTGAGCTGAGATCGCACCACTGCACTCCAGCCTGGGCGACAGAGCAAGACTCCGTCTCAAAACAAACAAACAAACAAATAAACAAAAGATACTGCACTGATCCATTACATTGATGACATTACACTGATTCAACCTAGTGAACAAGAAGTAGCAAGTACTCTAGATTTATTGTTAAGACATTGCATGTCAGAGGATGGAAATAAACCCAACAAGAAATCAGGGGCCTTCTACCTCACTGAAATTCCCAGAGGTCGGGTGGTGTGGAGCATGGTGAGATATCCCTTCTAAGATGAAGTATAAATTGTTCCATCTGGCTCCTCCTACAGTCAAAAAGGAGGCACAATGCAAAGGGGGTCTCTTCGGATTTTGGAAGCAACGCATTCCTCACTTGGATGTGTTATTCTGCTGGCCATTTACCAAGTGATCCAAAAAACTGTTAGTTTACAGCGGGGCCCAGAACAAAGGAAAACTCCCCAACAGGACCAGGCTGCTGTGCAAGCTGATGTGCCACTTGGGCCACATGATCCAACAAATCTAATGGTGCCTCAAGTGTCAGTAGCAGAGAGGGATGCCGTTTGGAGCCTTTGGCAGGGCCCAGCAGAGGAATCACAGTGCAGGCCCTGAGGATTTTGGAGCAAAGCCCTATCTTCCTTTTTAGAAAACGACTCTTCAGAGGCAGCTTTTGGCCTCCTACTGGACCTTAGTAGAGACTGAACATTTAATCATGGGCCACGAAGTTACCATGCAACCTGCACTACCCATCAGGAAATGGGTGTTACCTGACCCACCAAGTCATTAAATTGAGTGTACACAGCAGTACTCCATCATAAAATTTAAGTGGTATAAATGTGATCAGGCCTAAGCAGGCCCTGAAGGCACACATGTGAAGAAGTGGCCCAAAAGCCCATCGTCCCCCCTCTTGCTACAATACCTTTCTCTCCCAGCCTGCACTCGTGGCCTCATGGGGAGTTCCCTATGATCAGTTGATAGAGGTAGAGAAGACTCAGGCCTGGTTTACAGATGGTTCTGCATGATAGACAGATACCACCTGGACAGCGCTACAGTCCTGTTCTGGGACATCCCCAAAGAACAGTGGTGAAGGGAAATCCTCCCAGTGATTGGAACTCTGAGCACCGCACCTGGTTGTTCATTTTTCCTAGAAGGAGAAATAGCCAGATGTGACATTATATACCAACTCATGCACTGTAGCCAATGGTCTGGCTGGATGGTCAGGAACTTGGAAGGAACATTATTTAAAAACTGGTGACAAGGAATTCTAGGGAAGAGATATGGACCTCGCTGAACAGGTAAAAAATATAAAGATATTTGTGCCCTATGTGAATACTTACCAAAGGGTAACCTTAGCAGAGGATGTTTCATAATCGGGTGTATAGGATGACCCATTCTGTGGATATCAGTCAGCCTCTTTACCAAGCTACCCTTATCATCACCCAATTGGCTCATGAACAAAGTGGTCATGATGGCAGTGATGAAAGTTATGCATGGGCTCAGCAACATGGACTTCTGCTCACCAAAGCCAAACTGGCTACAGCTACTGCTGAGTGCCCAGTCTGCTGGCAGCCAAGACCAACATTGGCTCCCCAATATGGCACCATTCCCTGGTGGCAGGCTGATACATTGGATTGCTTCCATCATGGAAGGGGTAGTATTTTTTTCTTACTGGAATACACACTTTAGATACAAATTTGCCTTCCTGACACAAAATGCTTCTGCCAAAACTACCATCCAGACCCTTAACGAATGAAGGTTTGGGTCACCCCACCAGTTAAAGAACCACAATCAGCTGAGGAGCTCGCTTGCTGAGGGAAAAAGGAATACATAATGGATAATGGAAGAAGGTAGGTATGAATACCAGCTATAACCACGTGAGCAGTTACAGAAACAAAGACTAATTGTCATGAATGTGTCTTCTTTATTTTATAATGAATGTGTATACAACACAGCTTTGTTTTCATCCCTTTCATATCTCTTTATCATGTACAGTATGATATACTGACTTTATATTAGAGTATTTAAATATTGTTAACTTTATATCAGTTTTTAAGTTATGGGATATCAGGGAGAAGCATTAACATCATCCAGACTTTGCATCCTCTTCTGGGGAAGTGTTAGTTATTTTTGGTTTTATGCAGGATAGTTGTATCATGTTAAGCAGAAGTATAACCTTGTTACTGCCTTTATTCAGATATGAAGTATGGTTTTAGGAGATGCTTATGGGTACCAAGTCGACAAGGGTGGACTTATGATGGTTAATTTTATGTGTCAACTTGACTGGGCCATGATGCCCAGATATTTGGTCAAACATTATTCTGGATGTTTCTGTGAAAGGTGTTTTTTTGGATGAGAGTAACACTTAAATCAGTGGACTCTGAATAAAGCAGATTACGCTCCACACAATGGATGAGCCTCATTCAATCAGCTAAAGTTCTTAATAGTACAAAGGCTAATGTCTGAGCAAGAGGGAATTGTGTTAGCAGACTGCCTTTAGACTTCGAATCACAACTGTTTTCTGGGTCTTCAGCCTGCTGGCCTGCCTTGCAGATTTTGGACGTACCAAGGCTCCACAATTGCATGAGCCAGTTCCTTAAAATAAATCTTTCTGTGTGCATGCATACACACAGACACAGACACAGACACACACACACACACACACCCTGTTTGTTCTGTTTCTCTAGAGAACCTTAATATACTATCCTAAGTATTTTACATGTATAGTGTCATTTAACTCCCCTCAGAACCCTGAGGGAGTTATTGATACCTTTCCCGGTAAACTGATGATGCAGGTGAGGCATCAAGAGCTTAAATAACTTGTAAAATGTCACAGAGTTCCTAAGAGAAGGAACTGGAATTTGAATTTCAAAGTCCTCAGTCTTTAACTATTAGATTACCATTTTCTAACTTGACACCTTCTATTCTATATCCCACCCGCTTCACAAAGCCATTCCTGATGAGTGCCAACTAATTTGGAATGAAAATCATTAGGATTATGGGTTCTATTATATGATATTTAACACACTGTTTATTCTCAAACATTTTTATTTACTAATTATTATCAGGAATTCTTCAATGGCATTCTTGTAATACTATTTAGTTCATTTTTATAATTACTTCCTAAGAGACAAATTGTCCTAGAAGTGGGGGGTTTCTGAGTAAGACACTGGCATGCCTGGCAACATGCAAGACCTTGTGCTTCAATACTTGGAAGAAGCACAAATTACTAAGATATAATTGCTGCTTTTGTATTGCTTATAATTCAACAGGGGAAATAAAAGTAAGTCAAAGGTAGAGCATGACAAAGACTTCTAGAGAAGTACAGGTGATAACCCTGGGAGTTCCCAAGAATTCATAGGAGCTCTGGGTGTGAATGAATGTCCTCTCGTCATGTGTATGCCTTACAGATTAGAGTCTGTTGATGTTGGGTCTAAAGGGTACTAATGGAGCAAGGCTGTCCTCTTACTGATAGCAGGGCATTATGGCTAATATTTCGGAAGTGAAATAAATCCTTCTGTCAAGAAGGCATAGAAAACAAAGCAGCAAGTCCAAGGTAAGGTTTAAACCTCCTAGCTCTTCTTCCCTGGGCAGAATACCCACAGTCATAGTTGGGTCCAAATTAATATTTTTTTTAACATAAGAGAAATAATTCATCACATAGTATTTAGAATATGCTTAGCTGTAAATCTAAAGACTTCTTAAAGCTTTTTTTTTTGGAGACAGAGTCTCACTCTGTTGCCCAGGCTGGAGTGCAGTGGCATGATCTCTGCTCACTGCAACTTCTTCCTCCTGGGCTCAAGCGATTCTCGTGCCCCAGCCACCCAAGTAACTGGGATTACAGGCATGCACCAACATGCCTGGCTAATTTTTGTATTTTTAGTAGAGATGGGTTTCACCATGTTGGCCAGGCTAGTCTCAAACTCCTGGCCTCAAGTGATCAGTCCACCTCAGCCTCCCAAAGTGGAGGGATTATAGGCGTGAGCCACTGCAGCCGGCCTAAAAGCTTTTTTAATCTACTTTTTGAAAATCTTCCATTTAATAAAATGCCTTAAACATACATTCTAAAATCAACAGATGTTTCTTGCAAAGAAAATAGCAAGTATATGTAACAAGTATACTTAAGTTTAAATTTATAAAAGTATATTTAAAACAAAAAATCAGTATCACAGCCTATTAAATGTTAAATGTTAAAGGTATACCTTGGCTGGGTGTGGTGGCTCACACATGTAATACCAGTACTTTGGGAGGCTGAAGCAGGAGGATTGCTTGAGCCCAAGGAGTTGGAGACCACTCTGGGAAACAGAATGTGACCCCATCTCTACAAAAAATAAAAAATTGGCCAGGCGCAGTGGCTCACGCTTGTAATCCCAGCACTTTGGGAGGCTGAGGCAGACAGATCACAAGGTCAGGAGTTCAAAACCAGCCTGATCAACATCGTGAAACCCTGTCTCTACTAAAAATACAAAAATTAGCTGGGCGTGGTGGCGTGCACCTGTAATCCCAGCTACTCAGGAGGCTGAGGCAGGAGAATCACTTGAACCCGGGAGGCGGAGGTTGCAGTGAGCCGAGATTGCACCACTTCACTCCAGCCTGGGTGACAGAGCGAGACTCCGTCTCAAAAAAATAATAAAAAATAATAATAAATTAGCCAGGTGTGGTGGCATGTGCCTGTGGTCCCAGCTACACAGGAGGCTGAGGCAGGAGGATCAGTTGAGCCCAGCAGGTCAAGGCTGCAGTGAGCCATGTTCACGCTGCTGCACTCCAGACTGGGTGACAGAGCAAGACTCTGTCTCAAACAAAAACAAAAACACCCAGTATACCTCTATAGATATTTTTATTTCTATTGCTGATGTCTGGCATTCTATTTGTATGTATATGTACATGTATCTGTATGTACATATGTACACTTTGATAAATGGCATAGCTGTACATATAATAACCTACTGTAGCCACTGTCAGCATGTTTTGGATTTGTCTATATTTTTCTATTATTCTACACCTTTTTTTTTTTTTTTTTTTTTTTTTTTTTGAGACAGAGTCTCACTCTGTTGCCCAGGGTGGAGTGCAGTGGCACCATCTTGGCTCACTGCAACCTCTGCCTCCTGGGTCAAGCGATTATCCTGCCTCAGCCTCCCGAGTAGCTGGGATTACAGGCACCTGCCACCATGCCTGGCTAATTTTTGTATTTTTAGTTGAGACGGGGTTTCACCATATTGGCCAGGCTGGTCTCGAACCTCTGACCTCAAGTGATCTGCCCGCCTCAACCTCCCGAAGTGCTGGGATTACAGGTGTGAGCCACTGCACCCAACCAACTTTTTTTTTTTTTTAACTGATCACTTAACAGTTCGTTCTGAGGAAGTTCTGGAATTTTTAAACTAGTATATTCCTGCTAGACTCAAAGCTGAACCATGCCAGAGAAATTCCTTCCATATGCTGCCCAGCTGCTATGTATACCCCACCCTCCCATTTCCCTCAGGGTCCTGTGGGACTTACTTTCAGTGGCAAAAAGCGTAATTACTTTTGCACCAACCTAATAGATTTGGAGTGTTTTTGTCATTTGCAGGACTGTCACTTCGAGGGATAACCATCAAGTTCTCCAGGTGCAGAGTGAGTGGCTGAACCCTGCTTAAAGGGATGTAACTATAAGGATGTGATGTCAGAGCCTAGTCTTGCTAGTTAAGAATAATTTCGGTGGCTCGCGCTTGTAATCCCAGCACTTTGGAAGGCCAAGGTTGGGGGATCGCTTGAGCCCAGGAGCTCGATACCAGCCTGGGCAACATGGTGAAACTTCATCTCTATTTATAAAAGTAAAAGATAGGGCCGGGCGCGGTGGCTCATGCCTGTAATCCCAGCACTTTGGGAGGCCGAGGTGGGCAGATCACCTGAGGTCAGAAGTTCGAGACTAGCCTGACCAACATGGAGAAACCCTGTCTCTACTAAAAATACAAAATTAGCTGGGTATGATGGTGCATGCCTGTAATCCCAGCTACTTGGGAGGCTGAGGCAGGAGAATCGCATGAACCTGGGAGGCAGAGGTTGTGGTGAGCCAAGACCATGCCATTGCACTCTAGCCTGGGCAACAAGAGCGAAACTCCGTCTCAAAAAAAAAAAAAAAAAAAAAAGGCTGGGTGTGGTGGCTCACGCCTGTAATCCCAGCACTTTGGGAGGCTGAGGTGGGTGGATCACGAGGTCAGGAGTTCGAGACTAGCCTGGCCAACATAGTGAAACCCTGTCTCTACTAAAAATACAAAAAATTAGCCCAGTGTTGAGGCGGGCACCTGTAATCCCAGCTACTCGGGAGGCTGAGGCAGGAGAATTGCTTGAACTTGGGAGGCAGAGGTTGCAGTGAGCTGAGATCATGCCACTGCATTCCAGCCTGGGCAACAGTGCGAGACTCTGTCTCAAAAAAAAAAAAAAAAAAAAAAAAAAGGCCAGGCATGGTGGTTCATGCCTTTAATCCCAGCACTTTGGGAGGCCGAGGCGGGTGGATCACCTGAGGTGAGGAGTTCGAGACCAGCATGGCCAACATGTCGAAACCCCATCTCTACTAAAAATACAAAAGTTAGCCAGGCATGGTGGTGCGCGCCTGTAGTCCCAGCTACTTGGGAGGCTGAGGCAGAAGAATCGCTTGAACCCAGGAGGTGGAGTTTGCAGTGAGCTGAGATCATGCCACTGCACTCCAATCTGGGCAACAGAGTGAGACTCCAACTCAAAAAAATAAATAAAATAAAAATTTTTAAAGAATATTTTCCTTTATTATTTATAATCTGCTTGCTGGGAGTATTTTCTTTCATTGTGAGTCTCTTGAGAGCCTTGGAAGAACTGATCTGACATTTTTATAGCTGCAAACACTCAACTGTGTTTTTATTATTGAGGCTTCATTTTCTTGACACCTAAAGTGACTTTATCTTCCTCTGTCTCATATTTTCCTCTCCCTGAATTGACATCACCACAACAGGCCTAAGTCCAATTTCTTTTCCTATATACAGGACCTTTTATCTCTAAGCCAGATGTGATTTCCCCATTGAAGAAAAGGAGATAGCCGTGAATGTGTGGAGAGTAATGTGTTAAGGTGGCTCAAAGAAGAGGGAAGCCATTGCAGATAAATGCTCAGCTGATATGAAGAGTCAAAACTTCAAGGTATTGTTTGAGAAACTTTTCCCTCAGTGGCCAGTGGAGAGAACTGAGGTCCCTTCAGTCTGAGTTCCCAAAGACACCTCACCATCATGCCTCTGTGTCAGTGTGCCCATAGCTCCTTCTATAATTCTTCCAGTTTTAAGGAGGGAAGGATTAGCCTTATAGAGTTTCTAATTATAAAAGAAATACACACTGAGCATTAAAATTAAGAAAACAGAGAATCCTATTCCACATAGCAAAGGAAACAATAGGATGAAGAGACAACCCAAAGATTAGGAGAAAATACTTGCAAATCATATATTGGATAAGGGGCTAATATTCAAAATGTAAAAGGAACTCACACTTCTTAATAACAAGAATACAAATAACTGGCCGGGTGCGGTGGCTCACGCCTGTAATCTCAGCACTCTGGGAGGCCAAGGTGGGTGGATCATGAGGTCAGGAGATTGAGACCATCCTTGGGGTTAGGTGAAACCCCATCTCTACTAAAAAATACAAAAAATTCGCCAGGCGTAGTGGTGGGTGCCTGTAGTCCCAGCTACTCAGGAGGCTGAGGCAGGAGAATGGTGTGAACCTGGGAGGCGGAGCTTGCAGTGAGCCGAGATCGCCCACTGCACTCCAGCACTCCAGCCTAGGTGACAGAGTGAGACTCTGTCTCAAAAAAAAAAAAAGAATACAAATAACCCTATTAAAAATGGGCAAAGGACTTGTATACATTTCTCAAAAGAAGACATACAAATGGCCAGCACATATACGAAAAATGCTAAACATCTCTAATCATCAGATAAATGCAAATTAAAGCCACGATGAGGGGCCGAGCGCGGTGGCTCACGCCTGTAATCCCAGCACTTTGGGAGGCCGAGCTGGGCAGATCATGAGGTCAGGAGATCGAGACCATCCTGGCTAAGATGGTGAAACCCCGTCTCTAATAAAAATACAAAAAATTAACCAGGCATGGTGGTACGCACCTGTCGTCCCAGATACTTGGGAGGCTGAGGCAGGAGAATCGCTTGAACCCAGGAGGTGGAGATTGCAGTGAGCCGAGATTGCATCACTGCACTCCAGCCTGGGCGACAGCGCGAGACTCCATCCCCCCCAAAAAAACCACAGTGAGATATTACCGTGCACCTGTTAGACACCTGCTATTACAAACAAAGATGAAAGGTTAGTGTTGGTGAGGATGTAGAGAAAAGGAACACTGTTGCGAGCACTGTAAATTACTACAGCCATTTTGGGAAACAGTGTAGAGCTTCCTCAAAAAACAAAAAATAGAATTACCATATGAGCCAGCAACCCCACAAGGAATTGACATCAGTATGTCAAAGATGTCTGCACTCCCATGTTAACTGTAGCATTATTCACAATAACTAAGATATGGAAACAAGCTAAGTGTCCATCAATGGATGAATGGATTTTTTAAATGGAGGATATATACACAGTGGAATACTATTCAGCCTTAAACATGAAATTCTGTCATTTGCAACAACATGGGTATACCTAGAGGATATTATGTTAAGTGAAATAAGCCAGACACAGAGAGACAAATACTGTATGATCTCACTTACATGTGGAATCTAAAAAGTTGAACTCTTAGAAGTAGAGAGTAGGAGGGTGGTTACCAAAGGTTGGGGGGTGGGGATGTGGTGGATGGGGAAAGGGGAAATGCTGGTTAACAGGTACAAAGTTTTGTTTAGATAGGAAGAATACATTCTGCTGTTCTTTTGTCCAACACAGTGACTATAGTTACTGTATTGTATATTTCAAAATAGCTAAAAGATAGGATTTTATATGTTCTTACCACAAAGAAATGGTAAATATTTGAGGTAACGGATATGCTAACCAGCCTGATTTGATCATTCCATCATGTATTGATGCATACAAATATCACATTGTACCATATAAATTATACAATTATTGTACAAATATATACATCAATATACAATTGTACATACAATACATACAATTGTTGTACAAATATATACAATTATTACTTGTCAATTAAAAATTTTAAAAAAGAAATCTGAAATAACAGTTGCCCCCTATGAGCATCTCACGATAAATCCCTTTAATCTCCTCTACATATACTGAGTATTAAAAAACAGAATCGTCTAGAACATTGTTGCTGTTCTGAGACCTGTCTTTCTCATTTAACACAAGTGAACATTTTTCTTTGTCAGCAAGTAGCGGTAAACATCATCCATTCTAATGGCTGTATTTTTTAATAGGTGGAGTTGTATCTTCAGGGCAGATTCCTAACAGTGGAATGGCTGGGTCACAAGGGAAATGTGTAGGTAGTTTTTGTACATGTTGTCAAATTTCCCACCATAAGGGTTGTGCCGGTTTGTTTTCCCACCATCAGTGTATGAGACTGCCTGATTCCCTGTACATTCATTCCTGTGGCTGCTCTAACAAGTTACCACAAACTTGGTAGCTTTAAACAATAGTTTACTCTCTCACATTCTGGAGGCCAGAACTCCAAAAATCTAGACATCAGCAGGGCTGGAGCGCTCCTAGAGATTCTAGGGGAGAAGCCTCACTTTGCCTCTTTTTCTGGTGGCTGTAGCCATTCCTTGACCATTCCTTGACATTCCTGGCCCCATCACTGAGATTTCCACCTCCGGGGTCACATTGCTGCCTCTTCTTCCTCTGTCTGCCAGTCTCCTTGTGTCTCTTTTAAGGTTGCTTGTCACTGGATTTAGGACCCAACCCACCCAGACAATCCAGGATGAACTACTCATCTCAAACTTCTTAATTTAATTTCATCTGCAAAGACCCTCTTTCCAAATTAAGTAACATTCACAGTTTCCAGAGATTAGGACATGGACATATCTTTTTGCAGGGTCATCAGTCAGCCGACTATATCCTGTCTCACCAACAGAATACATTGTTATATTTTTTAATTTTTGTCATCTTGATAGGTTAAAAATGGTCTCAGTATTCCCCCTCTCCCCCTGCCAAGAGACAGGGTCTTGCTTGTTGTCCAGGCTAGAGTGCAGTGGTGCAATCATAGCTCACTGTAATCTCAACCTCCTGGCCTCAAGCAATCCTTCCACCTCAGGCTCCCAAAGCACTGGGATTACAGGTGTAAGCCACCTCACCTGGCCTGTCTCCATATTATTTTAATTTGTATTTCTCTTTTTACACATTTAAGGGTCCCTTTTACATATTTTTTGTGAATTGTTAATTTCTCTTACCCATCTTTTCTGTCAGGTTTTTGGGTCTTTCCCTTGACATTAAGAGGAGTTTTGTTTCTTTGAGACAAGGTCTCACGCTGATGCCCAGGCTGGAGTGCAGTGGTGCAATCACGGCTCACTACAGCCTTGACTTCCAGGGCTCAAGTGATTCTCCCACCTCAGCCTCCCAAGTATCTGGGACTACAGGCACACAACCACACCCAGCTAATTTTTTGTATTTTTTTGTAGAAATGGAGTTTCACCATGTTGCCCAGCCTGGTCTTGAACTCCTGGGCTCAAGCGATTGGCCCACCTTGTCCTCCCAAAGTGCTGAGATTACAAGGTGTGAGCCACTGCACCTGGCCAAGTTTTCTTTTTTTTTTTTTTAATTGGGAATTGTTATAGACTGATTTGTTCCCCCCCAGTTCATATGTTTAATATTATTAACTATAGTCATCATGTTACACAACAGAACACCAAAACTTATTCCTCTCATATAACTGAAACTTTGTATATACTGATCAACCTAACTCCTAATTTCTAGTAGTATAAGACTTAAGACATACAACCAGATATATGTAGAGAGAGTGAACAAGAGGGAAGTAACAAAATAATTACATGATAAAGGGTGGGTGCTATGGCTCACACTTGTCATCCCAGCACTTTCAGAGGCTGAGAGACAGGGGGATCACTTGAGGCCAGGAATTCAAGATCAGCCCGGGGAACATAGTGAGACCCCATCTCTATAAATTTTTTAAATTGTCTGGGTGTGGTGGTGGTATGCACCTGTAGTCCTAGCTACTTGGGGAGCTGAGGCTGAGGTGGGAGGATTGTTTGAGTCTAGGAGTTTGAGGTGGCAGTGAGCTATGATAGTGTCACTGTCACTCTAGCCTGGAGTACAGAATGAGACCCTGTCTCAAAAAAAAAAAAAAAAAAAGGTTAAATTACAAGCTACTACTATGTACAGCAACATGGATATAATGTTATCTATATGTATCTATATACTTAGAAATAATGTTGAGCAAAGGAGGTCAGACACAAGAGTACATACTATATGATTCCACCTATATGAAGTTCAAAACCAAACCAAACTATTCTATTATAGAGGTCAAACTAATGGTTAACTTTGAGGTATAATGATTGGGAAGAGATATGAGGGAGCCTTCTGGGATGTTGGAAAGTTTCTATGTCTGTAATGGCGGTTGCATGGGTTTTTTTTTTATTATTTTATTATTATTATTATTATTATTTTTTTTTTTTGAGACGGAGTCTCACTCTGCCGCCCAAGCTGGGGAGCAGCGGCACCATCTTGGCTCACTGCAAGCTCCACCTCCCAGGTTCACGCCATTCTCCTCCCTCAGCCTCCCGAGTAGCTGGGACTACAGGTGCCCTCCACCACGCCCAGCTAATTTTTTGTATTTTTAGTAGAGACAGGGTTTCACCATGTTAGCCAGGATGGTCTCAATCTCCTGACCTCGTGATCCGCCCATGTCAGCCTCCCAAAGTGCTGGGATTACAGGCGTGAGCCACCACACCCAGCTGGGTTTATTTTTTTAAAAAGCCAGCACGCTATAATTTTAAAATTTGTGCTTCCTCTCTCTCTCTTTGTGTGTGTGTGTGTCTGTGTGTGTGTGATTTCATGTGTTCATTTCTTTTACTCACTTTTTCTATCGGGTTTTTGGGTCTTTCCCTCGATTTTAAGAGTTTTTTGTTTTTGTTTTTTTGAGGCATGGTCTCACTCCAACGCTCAGGTTGGAGTGCATTGGCACAATCACGGCTCACTACAGCCTCAATATCCTTGGGCTCAGGTGATCCTCCCATCTCAGCCTCCCAAGTAGCTAGGACTACAGGTGCACCACCACACCCAGCTAATTTTTTGTATTTTTAGTAGATACGGGGTTTCACCATATTGCCCAGGCTGGTCTCAAACTCCTGGGCTCAAGTGTTCCACCCGTCTCAGCCTCCGAAAGTGCTGGGATTACAGGGGTGAGCTATACACCCTCAAAATAAATGGCATATCTGCATTTTTAAATCACATTTTTCTACCTACAAAACCAATTTTCTTTCAGTTCTGGTTTTTGTTTCTGAAGCCCATATTTTATTACACTGAATGAAACCTGTGCATGGGTAATTCATTTAAATAAATATAATTTCTACTGGATTGGTGGATTTAAAAGACTAATGATGGCCAGGTGCAATGGCTCACGCCTGTAATCCCAGCACTTTGGGAGGCCAAGGCAGACGGATCACAAGGTCAGGAGATGGAGACCATCCTGGCCAACATGGTGAAACCCCGTCTCTACTAAAAACCAAAAATTAGCCATGCGTGGTGACATGCGCCTTGTAGTCCCAGCTACTTGGGAGGCTGAGGTGGGGGAATTGCTGGAACCTTGGAGGCGGGGGTTGCAGTAAGCCGAGATCATGCCACTGCACTCTAGCCTGGCAACAAGAGTGAGACTCTGTCTCAAATAATAATAATAATAAAATAAAATAATAATAAAAGACTAATGATACCATATAGTAGCGAATAGACATTCTCATAGTATGTTGAATATTGGTGCAAACTTAATCAGGGCAATTGATATAGATGTGTAAACAGGTTTTAACTATGAAAACCTCATTCTCAGCAAAATATCTAAGACTATCCAAAATATACAATTCACATGTGCACAGAAAAGGCATATGCAGTAAAACATTGCATATAATGGGAAAAAGCTGGAAAGAACTTACATATACAAACAGAACAGTGCAGCCATTAAAAGATTATGACACAGTTCATAATTTAGTGACATGAAAATTTGTTCACTATATTTTGTTAGAAGAAACAAGTAGATTTCAAAACAATTGTTATATAACCCTGTTTTGAATGAAAAAGTCCTATAAGCCTATATCCATGCACTTATTCACAAATGAGGTGAAGTGATTTGGAATAAAGTGTTCAAAGTGCTTTACTTTAAGCTTTTTTTAATATTCTCCAATCTTCTGAATTAAGAATCTACTAATTTTACAATGAGAGAAATCTGCTTTGAGAGCAGAAAAAATAATAATAAAAGGAGATATGTGTATGATACATGGAATGCAATGTTGAAATGGTCTGAATTCTGGCTGAAGAGACCCAAACTTTCTTCATAGACATTCCAGAGCACTAATTCAAATACTGCCTTAAAGGTCCTAAATCTAGAATCCTAAGATTTTATACACAACGAGTTCCTCTTATCAGTTGCCTCTCATTTACCTGGGCACAGAACTGCTGTTAACCAACCTCTTCACGAACTATTGCTCCAAGAAGGAAATCACATCTGGTTTGGACATAAATTAATAGGGTAATTAATAATAAACCCTTCACATAGGCAAAGAAATGGAATTTTGGTCTGATGTGGCTATGGAGAATTGAGACCATTCCTTAATCATCAAGCAGAAAGAAGTCAAGAAAGTATTCTGAAGGATTAGGATGATAACACTTTAGAAATAACACAGGAGAGACGCCCATTTCCAACTCTAGGAATCTTAAACCAGTCCTTCAGAAAGTTACCTAAGAACCCTGAAGTTTCCCTAATCAATCAGGGTGAAGAAAGTAAGATGTTCCCAGAATACAGAATTTGAACTGGAAAGGGGAAAACAGATGTAAAAAGGGAGACCCGGCTGGCCGAGGTGGCTCATGCCTGTAATCCCAACACTTTGGGAGACTGAGGCAGGCAGATCACGTGAGGTCAGGAGTTTGAGACCAGCCTGGCCAACTTGGCGAAACCCCATGTCTACTAAAAATACAAAAATTATCCGGACATGGTGGTGGGCACCTGTAGTCTCAGCTACTCGGAAGGCTGAGGCAGGAGAATCCCTTGAACCTGGGAGGCGGAGGTTGCAGTAAGTCGAGATCACGCCACTGCACTCCAGCCTGGGCGACAGAGCAAGACTCGGTCTCAAAACAAAAAAAGGGGAGACCAAATTGGCTAGTTAAATAAATGTATGTAGGTGTTATATCACACCCCTGAATAATTCCTCCGAATCGGGGTGGGGGTGTCAGTCATCTGTACTCCACCCAGAAGTCAATGCCACATTCCTGAGTCTACATACCCGTGAAATGATAGGAACCCATGTGCCCATAAGGTCCTGGAGGGGAATGCAAAGTTGGTCAAGACATGGGAGCTAGACAGCAAGGAAAAGGAATTGCAAAGGGAAGTTAGTAGTTAAATAAGTTACCACATATCCATGTAATATAATACTAAGATAGACAAATGCAAAGTTGTAGAAAATAGTTAAGGAATATTTTCAAGATACTGTATCAGAGAAATCACTTTACAAAACAGGTTGAACAATACAATTATATCAATATGGTCATTTAAAAAGTCTAGAAAGTTAAACACCTGTTTCAGTTATTTATTGCTATATAACCACCTCAAAAGTTTATGGCTTAAAACAAAAAACAATTAGCTTATTATTTGGGGGGCTTGGCAATTTGGGCTTGGCTTGCCTGAGTGGTTCTTCTGCTGATCATATTCATGTGACAGCTGTCAGCTGTTGGCCTGGTGGAGGCTGGATGGTTCAAGATGGTCTCCCTGAAATTTCTGGCCGTTGTTGCTCACTGGACCTCTCTCTCCAAGTGATCTTTAATGCGCAAGCAAGTTGCTCTTAGCCTTCAGTCATGGTGGTCTCAGGGCAGGAAAAGGGGAAGAGAAAAAGCTGCAAGACTTCCTGAAGCTTTGTCTCAGAAGTCTCACAATATCACTTCCACCACATTCTATTGGTCAAAGCACCTCACAAGGCCCTGCCTAATAGTAACCTAACCACTGACTAGCATTTCAGGAGGAGAAAAAATACTCCCTTGCTGAAAAACAAAATCAAAGAGAACAAAAATAGAAAATACAACAAAACTTCCTTGACCTTGGTTTTCAGATATGCTCAGCAATGGTTCCCTTTCCTCAGGGCTCTTAGAGAACCTCAAGGCAAGGGAGAAGGGGTAAGGAATCATGAGACATCAGACCTTTCTTGGAACCCAGATTGGCTAAATTGGAAAAAATTATTGCCACCACACGAGCTCTCATCATCTACCATAAACATACTCAGATGGAAGTAAAAGGGAGATGGGAGTACTGCTAACCCTTCTTAGTATTCAAGGGAAAGGCCAGGGTCACTGATATCCAGGACTGGGGACTTTCTCAAAATTCACGTTAAGTCTCCTGCGGAGACAGCTCTGGGAATGATGTGGATCACATGGAACCTGACCTCTGAGAGTTCCCAAGGGAGAGCCTCTGAGGAAGGAATCCTACTCCTAGGTTCTCCCCACGACGTCTTCCCAGAACTCTGCTTAAGGGACACTTACAACTCGAAAAGCCTCGTTCCGAAAACAGGTCTGTCCTTTTTCTGTTTGCAGATTTTATTCCACCACTCGATTATCCCTTCCCTTTTTGATGGCCATTTCACTGCAGCTGGGGTCTATACAGCTATAAAGCGGGAGAAAAAAGGAAGCTGGGAACTCAGAGATGCAGAGCCCAAGAAACAATCGAGTCTAAAACTGCCGCTTAGGTGGGCACTCCGCCAGGATCCCCTGTGTCAAACACCAGGCTGAGAACTGGGGACAGGTGTGCCCTGAGAAGACAACGCGGGCCATGCTTCATTGCAAGATGACTCTGCTTAACATAGGCATGGATCATAGTCCTCACAGGCACATTGGGGAGATCTTCGACAGACCCCTCAGTCCCAACATTAAACACAGCACTGCAGAAATGAAGCTTTACCCGTTACACACACAACACCACAGACCTAAAAGGCTCTTCCATCACACGGCCACAGCAGCACTGTCATGATGGAAGGTCTCAAACCCTACAGTGTCACACACCCGACAGCCGACCACGGCCACCCAAAGGTCCCGCATCCGAGCAGGGACAGGAACACAATCACGCACCTGTCGCAGCCTCCTCGCCGCGCACACCGCCGCCTTGTCCTGGCATCAAACACACACGCACAGGTGCATACACAGGCCCGAGCTACGGCCCTGCACACCCTGTCTGCGTCCCGGGAGCTCGGGGCTTCCTCACCGTGAGCGCCGCCCTCATCCCAGCCACGCACTATGAGAATTTGGAAGGGGAACCAGAGATCAAAGTTCGAAAACCGCCCGGGCGCCTGTGGGAAATGTAGTCCAAGGCCGGAAACGCCCGGATGTGGAGAAGGCGCGCGTAGCCGGTGGACAGCAGGAACGCGCCGCGGAGACACCTGGGAGGCATCGTCCGCGTGGGAGTGCGCATGCGCAGACGCCCGGCCGGCAACCGAAGGTGAGGCTGGTGGGTCCCGCGGGCGCGGAGAAGGCGGGTGACGGTGTGACCCGTAAGGAAGGCTGAGGAGGGAGGCGGGAGCCTGGGCTGGGGAAAGCAAGAAGGGAAGAGGAGCAACCTGGGACGAGGAGTTGGCTGGAGGAAAGTGCGAGTCCGGGCCTCAGAGAAGGCTGGGAGGGAAGCAGGAACCAGAGCGCGGGCCCGGGAGCACCTGAAGAAGGGAACCGGTTGCCCGAGGCGGGGGGTGAGCTCCCCAGTGGCAGGAATTTCGTCTGATTTTCGTCCCCTGGCTCCTGGAGCACGGCCTGGCACACAACAGGCGCTCCGTGTGTGTGTGTGTGGCTTTTCGTACCTGTCCTGTGTGTTGTGGTAGGGGAATGTGTTATTCTGTGTGACGTTGTGGAACCGGTTGTTTATGAAAGTGATAGGGTCCCTGCGTGTCTTAAGTTTTAATTTAAATTAGATGCGAGTCGATTTGTGTTTGAGCCTGTGTCCGACTCTGGAGAGGCGACAGTGAGGGCATTGTGAGTGAAAGGTTGTTACTTTTTGTAGAAGTTCTGTGAAATTGTGCACGACGTGGGGGCCTATGGGATTATGACTATGTAGTGGGTGATACAGCTATGAATATGCCTAATTTTAAAAGTATTTGGTGTACACGACCTATGATGACTGTGAATGTGGCACACTGTGTGACTTAGGTGGAGTGCTTGAGAAACCGAGTGTTGACTAAAGTATGCATTGTTTAGATTGATTTATGAGTATTGGGCATTTTATATATGCCTGTAGAATTTGACTCTGGTAATTAGACAAGTAAAATAAGTAGTGATTTTTTTTTTTTAATGGAGAGGAAGAGGCAAAATAATTTTCAGAGGGTAAGATTGGGCCCATGCGGGCCGGGCGCGGTGGCTCACGCCTGTAATCCCAGCACTTTGGAAGGCTGAGGCGGGCCGATCACGACGTCAGGAGATCGAGAACATCCTGGTTAACATGGTGAAACCCCGTCTCTACTAAAAATACAAAAAATTAACCGGGCGTGGTGGCGGGCGCCTGTAGTCCCAGCTACTTGGGAGGCTGAGTCAGGAGAATGGCGTGAACCCGGGAGGCGGAGCTTGCAGTGAGCCGAGATCGTGCCACTGCAATCCAGCCTGGGTGGCAGAGCAAGACTCCGTCTCAAAAAAAAAAAAAAGATTGGGCCCATGCGCGGTGGCTCACGCCTGCAATCCCAGCACTTTGGGAGGCTGGGGCGGACAGATCACCTGAGGTCAGGAGTTTGACCAGCATGGTGAAACCCCGTCTCTACTAAAAAATATAAAAATTAGCTGGGCATGATGGCGCATGCCTGTAGCCCCAGCTACTCGGGAGCTGAGGCAGGGGAATCGCTTGAACTCGGAGGTGGAAGTTGCAGTGAGCCAAGATCGCGCCACTGCACTCCAGCCTGGGCGACAGAACGAGACTCCGTCCCTTCCCTTCCAAAAAAGATCATTTATTGGGAAACCTGGTATTGACTGATGACTGATATGCTTAAATGAATAGAATACCACTGGGACCACACAGAAAAAAACTTTATCTCATAACTGCCACTCTCAAAATTCCTATTTGAGAGTGTGTGTGTGTGTGTGTGTGTGTGTGTGTGTGTGTGTATTTATTTTTTTTTTTGCTGGATGAATTTCTTCTGCTGGAAGCCTGAAATGTGAAAGGATACATGATTAGTTTCTTCTCTAATTCCCCAACCTTTATTTTGTCTCCTCTTTACTCCCTATAGGCAGTCTTTAGCTCTCATGGATTGGGAGCTGGGAAAGGAATGAGAAGACAGAAGTCAGAGACAAGAAGAGGCTAACATGACTGATACCACTATAATTTAGTGTAAGTCATCTCTTACCTTCCAAGAGAACCTGCTGCTTGGAACCTCCAGATACACTTCCCTTCTCATGGGCATAGCCTCTTCTCCAGCTGCTGCCCCAGTGCTTCCTCTGGGCATTCAGTGGCCCACCGACTCTGGTGGGTGGGTTTGTCCAGTCATTCCTCTTTGATAGGACCCAAGACAACCCAGACAGCCTCCACCCATGGGGTCTTCACCTAGTGCTAAGGTGAGAATTAGCCACCTCAGTCACTTTGCCCTCCCAAATCTTAGAAATATGTAAAATTTTTGCCAAGAATTCTCTCACCACTTTGGTTCCTGGTGGCCTCAGGGTCTGAGGGACCCCTTGTGTGTTGTAAAAAAGGGAGAATCACTCACGTTTTTCCCCCTGGAAAAACACTGTTCTAAAAATAACAGTCTCTTAAAAATACATGCTCCTCTCTCAGCCTCTCCACTGTCTTTAAAGGAGGAGTTTAATGATAGCAAAATTTTACACTCAACAGCTCTATAAGATCCTGTTCTTGAATGAAGTTCTCTTAGAATTTTGTTTCATTTGCTATCTTTGGGATATCAGCTGAGGCTGAGGCAGAAATATTTCTAAGTTTTCATCCTATTAAAAATTGAACAGTGATAACAATTAGAAAACTCAGGGTTGTTGGAAAAAACATTAACAAATAAATAGGGGGTGTGTGTGTATGTGGAAAGTATGGGGAAAAAGACTTATTTACAGTGGTCATCAAAAATAAGAGATACAAAGGAAGTGACTTTACTAATTACATGATATGTTATTAAAGAGCACATTTTAAAATAGGACTTTTGGTGGGGCTTGGTGGCTCATACCTGTAATCCCAGCACTTTGGGAGGCTGAGGTGTGTGCACTGCTTGAGTCCAGGAGTTCAAGACCAGCCTGGGCAACTTAGTGAAACCCTGTCTCTACAAAAATACAAAAATTAGCCAGGCGTAGTGGCACGCCCCTGTGGCTAGCTACTCAGGAGACTGAGGTGGGAGGATCACCTGAGCCCAGGGAGGTCGAGGCTGCAGTGAGCCGTGATCACACCACTGCACTCCAGCCTGGGCAACAGAGTGAGACTTTGTTTCAAAACAAAACAAAAGAAACTATAAAACTCTTAGGAAAAAACACATAGGCATACATCTTAATGATCTTAAATTTGGCATGCATTCTTTTGGAGTTTCTTTCATGGTGATTGAAATGTTCTAAAATTAGGTTGTGGATGATTGTTCATTATGATGGTTTGTGAATATACCAACAACCATTGAATCGTATACTTTAGATGGATGAATTTTATGGTGTGTAAATTATATCTCAATGCTGTCATTTAAAAAATCTTGGCTAGGCCACCTCTGCAATGTGTAACACTGAGCAAGCCATGAGTGTCTCCTGTGTTAGTCATGTTAGTCAATTTCAGGTATAATAGGACCTACCTCACTCAGGGTTTTTGTGAGGGTCATTGGATCTACATCACAGGGAATTATTTTGGAAAGTGTAAAGAAATAATTGAATTCCAAATATCCAAGAGAAGGAAACTGGTTGGATTAACCAAGTACAGTGCCACTGAGGAGTATTATGCAGCCATGAAAAGGGATCAGTTGCATGGATTTATGGAGAAGGGCCTCCAGGATACTTTGGATTTTTTTGTTTTCTTGTTTTGTTTGTTTGTTTCTGAGACAAGGTCTCCCTCCGTTGCCCAGGCTGGAGTGCAGTGGCTTGATCATGGCTCACTGCAGCCTCGATCTCCCTGGGCTCAGGTGATCCTCCCACCTCAGCCTCCCAAGTAGCTGGGACTACAGGCATGTACAACCATACCTGGCTAATTTTATTTTATTTTATTTTTGTACAGTTGGGGGTCTTGCTATGTTTCCTAGGCTGTTCTTGAACTCCTAGGCTCAAGTGATCTGCCCACCTTGGCCTCCTCAGGTGCTGGGATTATAGGTGTGAGCTACCTTGCCTGGCCTCCAGGATACTTTGTTAGTGACAAAAGCAACCGAATATTATATTCTATCTTTTATCTAAGCTTTCAGCTTATCCTTTCATTATTTTAATATAAGCAAATGTATATATTTGGATTTTTTTAAACTCATGTCACCACCATCACCCAAATTTAAAAAGAAAACAAAAACAGAACACTTCTAGCCCCCATCCAATCACCCTGGCACAGAAGTAACCTCTGTTGTAATTTCATCTCATATAAAAGGAGTCATGCAGAATGTAGCCTTTTGAGTCTGGCTTCATTCAGTAAGGATGTTGCAATTAGTAAACTGTAGCTGGGACTACAAGTACATGCCATCATGCTGGCTAATTTGTGTATTTTTATTTTGCAGAGACAGAGTCTCACTATGTTGCCCAGGCTGGTCTCGAACTCCTGAGCTCATGCAATCCTCCTGCCTTGTCTTCCCAAAGTGCTGGGATTACAGGCATGAGCTCAGTTCAGTTGCATGTTGCAATTCACTCATATTATTGCATGTATCATTGCTTCATTCTTCTTAGTATAAAGTAGTATTCCATTGTCTGGATGGATCACAGTTGGTTTGTCTGTGTATCCATTGATGCACACTTGGGTTGTTTCCAGTTCTGAGGTGGTTATGAATAAAACTGCTACGAACATTCACATTCGGGTCTTTTTGTAGATACATGTCTTTGTTTGTCATGGATAGATACTCAGGAGTGGTATTGATGGGTCGTTTAAACAATTACTTTAAAATGGTATCTTTACATGGAATAGTTTTGCCTCTTGATTGTGGTGGTGGTGACACAAATCTAAATGTGTGATAAAATGGTAAAAACACGCACATAATGAATGCATGGAAAACTAGTGATATCTGAAAGAAGTTGGTGCATTGTGTAATGACAATTTTCTGATTTTTTGTTTTTATTTTTTAGAGACAGAGTCTTGCTCTGTTGTCCAGGTCGAAGTACAGTGGCACAGTCATAGTTCATTGTAGCCTCAAACTCCTGGGCTTAAGTGACCCTCCTGCCTCAGCCTCCTGAGTAGCTGGGACTACAGGTACACGCCCCCATGCTGGCTAATTTGTGTATTTTTATTTTGTAGAGACAGAGTCTCACTATGTTTCCCAGGCTGGTCTCAAACTCCTAAGCTCATGCGATCTTACTGCCTTGTGCTCCCAAAGTGATGGGATTACAGGCATGAGCTACCTACTGTGCTCAACCAGTTTTCTGATTTTGACCATATGCTATGGTTATGGAAGATGTGACCATTGTGGAGACGCTAGGTGAAAGGTGAATGAGACCTCTCTGCACTATTTTTGCAAGCTTCTGTGGATCTATAATCATTTCAAAATAAAAATAAATAAATTTTAAAAAGAGCCTGCTGCAAGACTGAGAAGTGCCTATGGTGTCTGATTCCCTGTCGTTGGGCATGGATTCTGTTTCCTACTCTGGGCCCTTTTGGACAAAGCCATGCAGAATATCTTATCCCATACCTGCCCCTGTGAGCCACTTACTCTTTCTCAAAGTTTTCAGCAACCCTGGGAGTAGGCGGTATGTGGTGGTTCACACCTATAATCCCAGCACTTTGGGAAGCCAAGGCAGGAAGATCGCTTGAGCCCAGGAATTGGAGACTAGCCTAAGCAACATAGTAAGACCCCATTTCTACCAAAAAAAAAAAAGTTAGCCGGTCTTGATGGCATGCGCCTGTAGTCCCAGCTACCCAGGAGGCTGAGATAGGAGGATCACTTGAGCCCAGTGAGGCCGACGCTGCAATGAGCGGTGATAGGCCACTGCACTCCATCCTGGGCAACAGAGTGAGACCCTGTCTCAAAAACAAAAAAATTAAAATTAAAAAATAATTAGCTGGATGTGGGTGGTACATGCCTATGGTCCCTGCTATGCAAGAGGGAGAATTGCTTGAGCTGAGGAAGTCGAGGCTGCAGTGAGCCATGATCATGCCACTGTATTCTAGCCTAGGCAAAGAGTGAGACCCTGTCTCAAAAATAAAATAAAAATAAGACTTGAATAAAAGGACAGGAAGACACAACATGATAAAATGTCAAAACTTCCTTACATTTCATGGATTTCCATTAAAATTTTAATAAAAATGTTTGAACTTTCTAGCATTGTTAGGAGAAAATAAACACCAAAAATTCTGAGAGAGAAAAACTGTCAAGGAAGTAGCCCTAGTAGATACTAAGCTGTTTTAAAACTGATAACTGTAAGGTGATCCTGGCAATTAAATGAACAGTTCAGTGGAAATAAATATAAAGCCCAGCTCTACTTAGATATATGAAGGACATAAAATATGTGATAAAGATGGCAGTTTTGATGATTGAAGGAAATACAGATTCTGGAGTACTTTGTGATACCAAACTAGATGGCCAAATAATTTTTAAAATTGTATTTTTACATAGAAAAAAAACAGTCAAATGAGAAACTATAAAAAATTATTTGGGGCCGGGCACAATGGCTTACGCCTGTAATCACATATAGGAGGAGCACATGAGGCCAGGAGTTTGAGACCAGCCTGAGCAACATTGCAAGACCCCATCTCAAAAAATAATAATAATTTAAAAAATTAGCCAGGCATGGTGATGTGTGTCTTTTGTCCTAGCTACTTGGGAGGCTGAGACAGAATTGCTTGAGCTCAGGAGTTTGAGGTTGCAGTGAGCTAGAATAGTACCACTGTACTCCAGCCTGGATGGCAGAGTATGACACTGTCTCTAAAAGAGAAAAATTATTTGGAACTCCTACCACAAAAATAAAGGATTAATTTCCTTCCTTTAAAGAAGTCTAACAATTCAGAAAATAAAAATGATAGAAAATGAAATAAATGATGAGACCACAGATAAGAAGCTAAAAGCGTTCTTTAAACTTATGAAAAGAAGCTTCTTGTTCATGGTAAGAAAACTAGAAACTAGAACCACAATTTACATGTGTTAGATAGACAAGCATAAAAAAATTTGTATCAGTAGTATTCCTCAGTGTGGAATGACAGGTATTCTCATATATTGCTGGCAGTACTATGAATGGTACAGCCTTAACGGAGAGCAGCTTGGAAGTAGTTAATAACAGTAGGCTGACTAGGAGAGAAAAGGTAGTGCTTGAGGGGAGAGGAGCTTGCCCAAAATCCATCCTGCTGCCCCAAAAGCCTGTATCTCTGGCCTTGGGGATAAAACAGAATTTGCCTAGCTGGTTGTCCCATCTATATTTATGTGGCATGTTCAGAGTGGACAAGGATCAATACAAGGGAAATGGAGGCAATTTTAATAGAATTATAAGAGCTGTGAGGCACATGTGGTCTCATGTGGCTTTTTTTGTCTCGGCTTTGCCTCCTTAGGAACTGCCTCTTTTCTAAAGAGGACTCCAAAGGAAGGACTGGTCATCTCTTTCATATCTCAAAACCATGGCTCAGGTAAGGCGATGGTTTCTCTCTCCTTTCTGAAAGTCTTTTTTTTTTTTTTTTTTAAGGATATTTGGGCATGTGTCGGTCTTGTCCTACATCCTCCTACCTATCTTTCCCTTCAGAAAACTGGTCCTCACTTCTTCCCATATTGGTCAGATAAGACTCTACCTTCCACAAATGCTCCCAATTTTAACCAATGTTGACACATTAAGTGGATAAATCAGGCCAGGCATGGTGGCTCACACCTTAACAGCACTTCGCTCCCAGCACTTTGAGAGGCTGAGGCAGGAGAATTGCGAGTCCAGGAGTTCAAGACCAGCCAGCCTGGGCAACATAGAGAGATCCTTGTCTCCACCAGAAATTAAAAAAAAAAAAAATAGGCCAGGCGCGGTGGCTCACGCCTGTAATCCCAGCACTTTGGGAGGCCGAGGTGGGCAGATCACCTGAGGTCAGAAGTTTGAGACCAGCCTGGCCAACATGGTGAAATGCTGTCTCTACTAAAAATATAAAAATTAGCTGGGCTTGGTGGCAGGCGCCTGTAATCCCAGCCAGTTGGGAGGCTGAGGCAAGATAATTGCTTGAATCCAGGAGGCAGAGGTTGCAGTGAGTGAAGATTACGCTGCTGCACTCCAGCATGGGTGTCAAAGTGAGACTCTATCTCAAAAAAAGAAAAAAATTAGCCCAGTGCAGGTGCAGTGGCATGCACCTGTGGTCCCAGTTATTTGGGAGGTTTAGGTGGGAGGATGGCTTAAGCCCAGAGGTCAGGTCTACAATGAGCCATGATGTCACTGCACTTCAGCCTGGGTGACAGAACAAGACTCTCTTTATTAAAAAAAAAAAAAATAGTGGATATATCATTCACCATCTCCTCTCTCAGTCTTCTTCCAGAAGCTATGCAGGGACAAAAATGCATTTCCTTGAACTAAATGAAAATGTATTACTGAATGAACCTGTCTTGTGTAGATTAAAAAAATATATAAGGCTTTATTGCATCCACAGACTGGAGTCAAGATGGTAGTGAAATTGACAGAATTTATATAGAATTAGTAAGTAGCAAGAAGTCTTGTGTTGAGGCTTTGAGGATGGAAACGTGATTGGCAACTTGTACAAAAAACTGAGAATCTTGTGTTTCTTCTCTACCTTCAGTTTTGCTCACAGCTGCTAACAATTTCTAAAAATCTGTGGCCTTCCAATAACACCTTCTTAGTATATTAATTGTATTCTAGATTTATTTCTATTTTCACATTTCTTCCAATTTTATGTTTGCATGTAGAAGTAAATATATTTGTATAGACTGCCATACTAAACTAGAAGTGTAACTCCTAAAATATTCTGCTTCTGGTTTCAAAGACACTACTCTTTCTTGTTTCAGTCAGAACATTTATCTTCGTATCTGGACCTCTTAAATACTGGTGTTCTCCAGATTCTGTATTGGTTCTCTTCTATTTACACTCTCCTGTTCACTACCTACCACTATTATTCTAATGCTGCTCAAGTAATTTTGATTCTAAACCTCTGTCTTTTTTGATGTATTGTCGAAACTATATATCCAGCCTCCAGCTAGATATCGCCACCTACATGTTCCGCAGATCCTTCATGCACATGTCTGAGATTCACCTCATTGTCTCCTTCTGCCCATCCTATCCTTTTGTTTTTTTCCAATCTGGTTAGGGCCCCAACCCCTACCCACCTGCCAATACAGCCAACATGAGTTAAAAGTCTCCCATTCACTGCAAAACTATTGAGTGGTAAATTCTGTTCCTCTTACCACAGTTCCCTCCATCCTCCACTGATACCATCCTTATTTGGGTTCCTTTCTCATAGTGGTCACTTGTCTTCCCATTTAACATCTTCACTTATTTTCCACTTCTCCAAGGGCTCACCCCAATGCTTGCTTACATATTTTTGTTTTCTGTGCTTTTGTGTTTAACTTTTTATTATGGTAAAATATACATAACAGAGAGCTTACCGTTTTAACCATTTTTTAGCGTATAATTCAAAGCCATTAAGTACGTTCACAAGTTGTGTAACTGTCACCACTATCTATTTCCGGAACTGTTTTTCTTCATTTCACATAGAAATTCTGTACCAATAACACTAAACAGTTACTCCCAATTTTATTCTTTATAGCATCAGATGGAAAGTGCCTTAGAGGAATGTATATAGACATTTCATTAGGAGACAAGAAAATGTTAAAATGCTTATAACAGTTTAAATACGAGAATAATAATCATTAATGCTAATAGAGTTTTCCAGTTAATGAACATGATGCACATCTCCTTTTATTTAGATCTTCCTTAAATTCTCTCAGTAATGTTCCTTTCAGTGTACCAGTCTTGTAAATGTTTTTTATATCCTTGGATATTTTTTAATGCTGCTGTAAATGGTGTTCATTTTTATTTAAATTTCCCACTGTTTATTGCTAGTATGTGAAAATGCAATTGATTTTTTTATCTTGACCTGCAACCTTTCAAAACTCTCTTATTCTAGTAATTTTTTTTTTGTTAGATTCTTAGGATTTTCTATATGGACAATCCTGTCATATGTGAATAATGACTGTTTTCTTTCTTTCTAATCTATATTCCCTTCATTTCTGTCTTTCCTTACTACATTGTCTAGAACCTTCAGTACAATGTTGAGTAGAAGTTCTAAGAACAGACTTTCTTGTCTTGTGCCCAACTTAGGCAAAAGGCATTGTTTTTCATTATTAAGTTTGATATTAGCTATAGGATTAGGATTTTTTTTTCTTTTTTTTTTTTTCTTGAGACAGAGTCTTGTCCTGTCATCCAGGCTGGAGTGCAGTGGTGGATCTCAGCTTACTGCAACCTCTGCCTCCCAGGTTCAAGCGATTCTGGTGCGTCAGCCTCCCACGTAGCTGGGATTACAGGCATGCACCACCATGCTGGCCTAATTTTTGTATTTTTAGTAGAGACAGCATTTCACCATATTGGCGAGGCTGGTCTTGAACTCTGGCCTCAAGTGTTCTGCCTGCCTTGGCTTCCCCAAGTATTGGCATTACAGGTGTGAGCCACCATGTCCGGCTGGAATTTCTTTTTTTTTTTTTTTTTTATTATACTTTAAGTTTTAGGGTACATGTGCACAATGTGCAGGTTAGTTACATATGTATACATGTGCCATGCTGGTGTGCTGCACCCATTAACTCGTCATTTAGCATTAGGTATATCTCCTAATGCTATCCCTCCCCCCTCTCCCCACCCGACAACAGTCCCCAGAGTGTGATGTTCCCCTTCCTGTGTCCATGTGTTCTCATTGTTCAGTTCCCATCTATAAGTGAGAACATGCGGTGTTTGATTTTTTGTCCTTGTGATAGTTTACGGAGAATGATGATTTCCAATTTCATCCATGTCCCTACAAAGGACATGAACTCATCATTTTTTATGGCTGCATAGTATTTCATGGTGTATATGTGCCACATTTTCTTAATCCAGTCTATCATTGTTGGACATTTGGGTTGGTTCCAAGTCTTTGCTATTGTGAATAGTGCCGCAGTAAACATACGTGTGCATGTGTCTTTATAGCAGCATGATTTATACTCCTTTGGGTATATACCCAGTAATGGGATGGCTGGGTCAAATGGTATTTCTAGTTCTAGATCCCTGAGGAATCGCCACACTGACTTCCACAATGGTTGAACTAGTTTACAGTCCCACCAACAGTGTAAAAGTGTTCCTATTTCTCCACATCCTCTCCAGCACCTGTTGTTTCCTGACTTTTTAATGATTGCCATTCTAACTGGTGTGAGATGGTATCTCATTGTGGTTTTGATTTGCATTTCTCTGATGGCCAGTGATGATGAGCATTTTTTCATGTGTCTTTTGGCTGCATAAATGTCTTCTTTTGAGAAGTGTCTGTTCATATCGTTTGCCCACTTTTTGATGGGGTTGTTTTTTTCTTGTAAATTTGTTTGAGTTCATTATAGATTCTGGATATTAGCCCTTTGTCAGATGAGTAGGTTGCGAAAATTTTCTCCCATTTTGTAGGTTGCCTGTTCTCTCTGATGGTAGTTTCTTTTGCTATGCAGAAGCTCTTTAGTTTAATTAGATCCCATTTGTCAATCTTAGCTTTTGTTGCCATTGCTTTTGGTGTTTTAGTCATGGAGTCCTTGCCCATGCCTATGTCCTGAATGGTATTGCCTAGGTTTTCTTCTAGGGTTTTTATGGTTTTAGGTCTAACGTTTAAGTCTTTAATCCATCTTGAATTAATTTTTGTATAAGGTGTAAGGAAGGGATCCAGTTTCAGCTTTCTACATATGGCTAGCCAGTTTTCCCAGCACCATTTATTAAATAGGGAATCCTTTCCCCATTGCTTGTTTTTCTCAGATTTGTCAAAGCTCAGATAGTTGTAGATAAGTGGCATTATTTCTGAGGGCTCTGTTCTGTTCCATTGATCTATATCTCTGTTTTGGTACCAGTACCATGCTGTTTTAGTTACTGTAACCTTGTAGTATAGTTTGAAGTCAGGTAGCGTGATGCCTCCAGCTTTGTTCTTTCGGCTTAGGATTGACTTGGCGATGTGGGCTCTTTTTTGGTTCCATATGAACTTTAAAGTAGTTTTTTCCAATTCTGTGAAGAAAGTCAGTGGTAGCTTGATGGGGATGGCATTGAATCTATAAATTACCTTGGTCAGTATGGCCATTTTCACGATATTGATTCTTCCTACCCATGAGCATGGAATGTTCTTCCATTTGTTTGTATTCTCTTTTATTTCATTGAGCAGTGGTTTGTAGTTCTCCTTGAAGAGGTCCTTCACATCCCTTGTAAGTTGGATTCCTAAGTATTTTATTCTCTTTGAAGCAGTTGTGAATGGGCGTTCACTCATGATTTGGCTCTCTGTTTGTCTGTTATTGGTGTATAAGAATGCTTGTGATTTTTGTACATTGATTTTGTATCCTGAGACTTTCCTGAAGTTGCTTATCAGCTTAAGGAGATTTTGGGCTGAGACAATGGGGTTTTCTAGATATACAATCATGTCGTCTGCAAACAGGGACAATTTGACTTCCTCTTTTCCTAATTGAATACCCTTTATTTCCTTCTCCTGCCTAATTGCCCTGGCCAGAACTTCCAACACTATGTTGAATAGGAGTGGTGAGAGAGGGCATCCCTGTCTTGTGCCAGTTTTCAAAGGGAATGCTTCCAGTTTTTGCCCATTCAGTATGATATTGGCTGTGGGTTTGTCATAGATAGCTCTTATTATTTTGAGATACGTCCCATCAATACCTAATTTATTGAGAGTTTTTAGCATGAAGGGTTGTTGAATTTTGTCAAAGGCCTTTTCTGCATCTATTGAGATAATCATGTGGTTTTTGTCTTTGGTTCTGTTTATATGCTGGATTACATTTATTGGTTTGTGTATATTGAACCAGCCTTGCATCCCAGGGATGAAGCCCACTTGATCATGGTGGATAAGCTTTTTGATGTGCTGCTGGATTCGGTTTGCCAGTATTTTATTGAGGATTTTTGCATCAATGTTCATCAAGGATATTGGTCTAAAATTCTCTTTTTTGGTTTTGTCTCTGCCCGGCTTTGGTATCAGGATGATGCTGGCCTCATAAAATGAGTTAGGGAGGATTCCCTCTTTTTCTATTGATTGGAATAGTTTCAGAAGGAATGGTACCAGTTCCTCCTTGTACCTCTGGTAGAATTCGGCTGTGAATCCATCTGGTCCTGGACTCTTTTTGGTTGGTAAGCTATTGATTATTGCCACAATTTCAGATCCTGTTATTGGTCTATTCAGAGATTCAACTTCTTCCTGGTTAGTCTTGGGAGAGTGTATGTGTCGAGGAATTTATCCATTTCTTCTAGATTTTCTAGTTTATTTGCGTAGAGGTGTTTGTAGTATCCTCTGATGGTAGTTTGTATTTCTGTGGGATCGGTGGTGATATCCCATTTATCATCTTTTATTGCGTCTATTTGATTCTTTTCTCTTTTTTTCTTTATTAGTCTTGCTAGCGGTCTATCAATTTTGTTGATCCTTTCAAAAAACCAGCTCCTGGATTCATTAATTTTTTGAAGGGTTTTTTTTGTCTCTATTTCCTTCAGTTCTGCTCTGATTTTAGTTATTTCTTGCCTTCTGCTAGCTTTTGAATGTGTTTGCTCTTGCTTCTCTAGTTCTTTTAATTGTGATGTTAGGGTGTCAATTTTGGATCTTTCCTGCTTTCTCTTGTGGGCATTTAGTGCTATAAATTTCCCTCTACACACTGCTTTGAATGTGTCCCAGAGATTCTGGTATGTTGTGCTTTTGTTCTCGTTGGTTTCAAAGAACATCTTGATTTCTGCCTTCATTTCATTATGTACCCAGTAGTCATTCAGGAGCAGGTTGTTCAGTTTCCATTTAGTTGAGCGGTTTTGAGTGAGTTTCTTAATCTTGAGTTCTAGTTTGATTGCACTGTGGTCTGAGAGACAGTTTGTTATAATTTCTGTTCTTTTACATTTGCTGAGGAGAGCTTTACTTCCAAGTATGTGGTCAATTTTGGAATAGGTGTGGTGTGGTGCTGAAAAAAATGTATATTCTGTTGATTTGGGGTGGAGAGTTCTGTAGATGTCTATTAGGTCCGCTTGGTGCAGAGCTGAGTTCAATTCCTGGGTATCCTTGTTAACTTTCTGTCTCGTTGATCTGTCTAATGTTGACAGTGGGGTGTT
Organism: Homo sapiens; assembly: GCF_000001405.40. Lineage (NCBI taxonomy): Eukaryota > Metazoa > Chordata > Mammalia > Primates > Hominidae > Homo > Homo sapiens. The sequence continues at coordinate 36,701,527 of NC_000019.10, forward strand.
AAAGTCTCTCCCATTATTATTGTGTGGGAGTCTAAGTCTCTTTCTAGGTCTCTAAGGACTTGCTTTATGCATCTGGGTGCTCCTGTATTGGGTGCATATATATTTAGGATAGTTAGCTCTTCTTGTTGAATTGATCCCTTTACCATTATGTAATGGCCTTCTTTGTCTCTTTTGATCTTCGTTGGTTTAAAGTCTGTTTTATCAGAGACTAGGATTGCAACCCCTGCCTTTTTTTGTTTTCCATTTGCTTGGTAGATCTTCCTCCATCCTTTTATTTTGAGCCTATGTGTGTCTCTGCACGTGAGATGGGTTTCCTGAATACAGCACACTGATGGGTCTTGACTCTATCCAATTTGCCAGTCTGTGTCTTTTAATTGGAGCATTTAGCCTATTTACATTTAAGGTTAATATTGTTATGTGTGAATTTGATCCTGTCATTATGATGATAGCTGGTTATTTTGCTTGTTAGTTGATGCAGTTTCTTCCTAGTCTCGATGGTCTTTACATTTTGGCATGATTTTGCAGCGGCTGGTACTGGTTGTTCCTTTCCACGTTTAGTGCTTCCTTCAGGAGCTCTTTTAGGGCAGGCCTGGTGGTGACAAAAATCTCTCAGCATTTGCTTGTCTGTAAAGTATTGTATTTCTCCTTCACTTATGAAGCTTAGTTTGGCTGGATATGAAATTCTGGGTTGAAAATTCTTTTCTTTAAGAATGTTGAATATTGGCCCCCACTGTCTTCTGGCTTGTAGAGTTTCTGGCGAGAGATCCGCTGTTAGTCTGATGGGCTTCCCTTTGTGGGTAACCCGACCTTTCTCTCTGGCTGCCCTTAACATTTTTTCCTTCATTTCAACTTCGGTGAATCTGACAATTATGTGTCTTGGAGTTGCTCTTCTCGAGGAGTATCTTTGTGGCATTCTCTGTATTTCCTGAATCTGAATGTTGGCCTGCCTTGCTAGATTGGGGAAGTTCTCCTGGATAATATCCTGCAGAGTGTTTTCCAACTTGGTTCCATTCTCCCTGTCACTTTCAGGTACACCAATCAGACGTAGATTTGGTCTTTTCAAATAGTCCCATATTTCTTGGAGGCTTTGTTCGTTTCTTTTTATTCTTTTTTCTCTAAACTTCCCTTCTTGCTTCATTTCATTCATTTGATCTTCCATCATTGATACCCTTTCTTCCAGTTGATCGCATCGGCTCCTGAGGCTTCTGCATTCTTCATGTAGTTCTCGAGCCTTGGCTTTCAGCTCCATCAGCTCCTTTAAGCACTTCTCTGTGTTGGTTATTCTAGTTATACATTCATCTAAATTTTTTTCAAAGTTTTCAACTTCTTTGCCTTTGGTTTGAATTTCTTCCTGTAGCTCAGAGTAGTTTGATCATCTGAAGCCTTCTTCTCTCAACTCGTCAAAGTCATTCTCCGTCCAGCTTTGTTCTGTTGCTGGTGAGGAACTGTGTTCCTTTGGAGGAGGAGAGGTGCTCTGCTTTTTAGAGTTTCCAGTTTTTCTGCTCTGTTTTTTCCCCATCTTTGTGGTTTTATCTACTTTTGGTCTTTGATGATGGTGATGTACAGATGGGTTTTTGGTGTGGATGTCCTTTCTGTTTGTTAGTTTTCCTTCTAACAGACAGGACCCTCAGCTGCAGGTCTGTTGGAGTTTGCTAGAGGTCCACTCCAGACCTTGTTTGCCTGGGTATCAGCAGCAGTGTCTGCAGAACTGCGGATTTTCGTGATCCGCAAATGCTGCTGTCTGATCGGTCCTCTGGAAGTTTTGTCTCAGAGGAGTACCCGGCCGTGTGAGGTGTCAGTCTGCCCCTACTGGGGGGGGTGCCTCCCAGTTAGGCTGCTCGGGGGTCAGGGGTCAGGGACCCACTTGAGGAGGCAGTCTGCCCGTTCTCAGATCTCCAGCTGCATGCTGGGAGAACCACTGCTCTCTTCAAAGCTGTCAGACAGGGACATTTAAGTCTGCAGAGGTTACTGCTGTCTTTTTGTTTGTCTGTGCCCTGCCCCCAGAGGTGGAGCCTACAGAGGCAGGCAGGTCTCCTTGAGCTGTGGTGGGCTCCACCCAGTTCGAGCTTCCCGGCTGCTTTGTTTACCTAAGTGAGCCTGGACAATGGAGGGCACGTCTACCCCAGCCTCACTGCCGCCTTGCAGTTTGATCTCAGACTGCTGTGCTAGCAATCAGCGAGACTCCGTGGGCATAGGACCCTCCGAGCCAGGTGCGGAATATAATCTCCTGGTGCCCCGTTTCCTAAGCCCGTCAGAAAAGCGCAGTATTTGGGTAGGAGTGACCCGATTTTCCAGGTGCCATCTGTCACCCCTTTCCTTGACCAGGAAAGGGAACATCGTGACCCCTTGCGCTTCCCGAGTGAGGCAATGCCTCGCCCTGCTTCGTCTCGCGCATGGTGCGCTGCACCCACTGTCCTGCGCCCACTGTCTGGCACTCCCTAGTGAGATGAACCCGGTACCTCAGATGGAAATGCAGAAATCACCTGTCTTCTGCATCGCTCACGCTGGGAGCTGTAGACCAGAGCTGTTCCTATTTGGCCTGGAATTTCTTTTTTAAATGATTGAAGACATTCCAGTTTGCTGATAGTTTTTATCATGAATGAGTGTTAAATTTTCTCAAAAGTTTTTCTGGGCCAGGTGTGGTGGCTCATGCCTGTAATCTCAGCACTTTGGGAGGCCAGGGCAGGCGAATCACTTGAGCCAGGAGTTCAAGACTGGCCTGGGCAACATACAAAAATACAAAAAAAATTATCTGGATGTGGTGGGCGCCTGTAATCCTAGTTGCTCAGGAGGCTGAGACAGGAGAATCGCTTGAACCCAGGAGGTGGAGGTTGCAGTGAGCCAAGGTGGTGCCACTGCACTCCAGCCTGGGCAACAAAGAGTAAAACTCCATCTCAAAACAAAACAAAAAACAAAAAAAGTGTTTCTTCATCTATTGGTTTTTCACATTATATGGCTTTTTTCTTTTTTTAATATTACTATAATGAATTATGTTGATTGATTTTTGAAAAATTTAGTTGTCCTGGGATAAACTCCACTTGGTCATGATATAATACTTTTGTATATATTGTTTTATATATTAAATATGATGAATTTGCTAATATGTTGTTACTGATTTTTCTTGTCTGTGGTTCATAATGGATCTAATGTATAGTTTTTCTGTTTGATGTCAGGGTAATGCTATCTCATAAATGAATTGGGTTGTATTCTCTCCTCTTATTATTTTCTGAAAGAATTTATATAGAATTGGTATTATTTCTTAAACGTTTGTTAGAATTCACTGTGAAGCCATCTATCTGACTTGGAGATTTCTTTGTGGAAAGTTGTTTAACCAGTAGTTCAATTTTGGTAATAGAATGAAGACTGTTCAGGTTATCAGTTTTTCTTTTAATTCAATGAGCTTTTGTAGTTTGTGACTGTCTAGGAATTTGTTCAGTTCATCTAAGTTGTAAAATGTATTGGCATAAAGTTGTTGCCCTTTTTATCCTTTTGATGTTTGTATAATCTGTAACAATACCCCTTTTTTATTCTTGTTATTGATGATTTGTATGTCTCACTTTTTCCCCTGGTTCTTTGGCTACAGGTATATCAATGTAGTTGATCTTTTCAAAGTACCACAGCAGCTTTTAGTTTCATGGATTTCTTCTAGTATTTTTGTTACCTCATTTCTCCTCTTTTATTTTGTATTTCCTTTCCCTCTCATGACTTTGGGTATAATTAGCTCTTCTTTTCCAATTCTTACATAGATGGAAGTGTACATTGAGTTAAGACATTTCTTTTTTTCTAATAGAAGCTTTAAATGCTATAAATTTCTCTGTAAGCACTATTTAAAGGGCTCCCAAGTTTTGACATGTTGCATTTTCTTATTCAGTTGAAAATATTTTCTAATTTTCTCATGTTTGTTTTTTGCTCATTGGTTATTTAGAAATGTGTTTAATTTCCAAATATTTGGGGATTTTCCAAATAGCTTCCTGTAACTGGTTCTAGTTTAATTCTGTTTCAGTCAGAGCAGAGTCTATATGATGTCTTCCTAAATTTATGGAGACTTCTTTTATAGCACAGAGTACAGTTTAATTTGGTCAGTGTTCTCTGTGCCCTTGTAAAGAATGCATATTCTGATGTTATTGGGTGTACCCTGTAAATATCAGTGAGATTAAATTGGTTGATTGTGTTGAAAGTTTTCTGTATTCTTATTGTTCTTCAGTCTGTTAAAGCAATGACTGAAGGAAGAAAGTTGAAATCTTCTATTATAACTAAGCTTTGTTTTTAGATGCATTTATATTTAGGATTGTTGTATCCTCTCATGAATTCACCCTGTCCTATTATTATGAAATGCTTCAATTAATCCTTGATAATATTCTAAATAATATTGTCCTGAAATCTATTTTGGTTAATATTTTTATAGCCATTCTAACTTTCTTATGATTGTATGGTATCTTTGTTCTTTGTGCTGCTATAACAGAATGCCTGAAACTGGATAATTTATGAAGAACAAAAATAAATTTTCTCACAATTCTGGAGGCTGGGAGGTCCAAGATAAAGATTCAGGCAGGTTTGGGTTTCTGGTGGGGTCTGTTCTCTGCTTCCAAGATGGCACCTTGAGGCTCTGTCCTCACATGGCAAAAGTACAAGCCAGCCACATGCTACGTGAAGCCCCTTTTACAAGGGCCTTAATCCCATTCACAAAGGGAGAAATCTTAATGACTGGCCTAATCACGTATTAAAGGCCCTACTTCGTAATACTATCACATTGGCAACACCTGAACGTTGTTTGGTTTTTGTTTCGAGATAGGGCCTCGCTTTGTAGCCCAGGCTGGATTTCAGTGGCACAATCATGGCTCACTTCAGCCTCAACATCCTGGGCTCATGGGATCCTCTCACGTCAGCCTCCTGAGTAGCTGATACTACAGGCATGTGACACCATGCCCAGCTAATTTTTCTGTTTTTTATAGAGACACAATTTCACCATGTTGCCTAGGCTGGTCTTGAGCTTTTGGGTTCAACCAATCTGCCTGCCTTGGCCTCCCAAAGTGCTAGGATTACAGGTGTGAGCCACTGTGCCTGGCCTACACCTGAATTTTAGAGGGGACACATTCAAACTATAGTATATGATATACCTGATTTCCATCCTTTTTACTGTTGGTTTTTTTTTTTGTTTTTTTTTTGAGACAGGATCTTGTTCTGTCACCCAGACTGGAGGGCAGTGGTGCAATCAACCTCCCAGGATCCAGCAATCCTCCCACCGTAGCCACCTGAGTAGCTAGGACTGCAGGCATGTGCCACCTCATCTGGCTAATTTTTAAATTTTTTATAGAGGTGGGGTCTCACTATGTTGCCTAGGCTGGTCTTGAACTCCTGGGTCCAAGTGATCTTCCTGCCTGGCCTCCCAAAGTGCTGGGATTATAGGTGTGAGCCACTGCACCTTGCCCATCCTTTATACTTTTATTTACCTATGTTTTAACGTTTATAGTTAATCTGGTACAGCTAGTAGATGGTTTGGTTTTTCTTTTTTCCTCCAATCTGATACTCTTATCTTTTAATTGGAGTTTTTAGTCCATTCAATGTAATTATCAATATAGTTGAATTTAAATATGCCATCTTCCTATTTTTTCCAATTATGTTTTCTTTTTTTTTAGATTGAGAAATTTTTTATGATTTCATTTGTTTCTGTATTATTTATTCACTTATTAGAAGTACTTCTTTATTTTCTTGTTTGTTTTGTTTTTTAGTGGTTGCTCTAGGCCAGAGGTTGGCAAACCATTGCATTTGAGCTAAGTCAGGCATGATGCCTGGTTTTGTAGAGTTTTATTGGAACTCAGCCAACGGTGAAAGCATTTTGCTTAGTTTATATTGCTTTCTTTCTCTTCAAGTTCACTGATCTTTTCTTTCTTCAATGTGTAATCTGTTGTTACTACCACCCGTTGTATTTTTCATATCATGTATTTTTCTTCTCTAGAACTTTTCTTTGATCCTTTTTATATCTTCCATTTCTCTCATGTTTATCTTTTTTTCTACATTCTTGAGCTTATGGAGTATGTTTATAATCCTGTTTTGTTGTTGTTGTTGTTGAAACGGAGTTTTACTCTTGTCGCTCAGGCTAGAGTGCAATGGTGTGATCTCAGCTCACTGCAACCTCTGCCTTCCGGGTTTAAGTGATTCTCCTGCCTCAGCCTCCTGAGTAGCTGGGATTACAGGCACCTGCCACCATGCCCGGCTAATTTTTGTATGTTTAGTGGAGATTGGGGTTTCACCATTTTGTCCAGGCTGGTTTCGAACTCCTGACCTCAGGTGATCTGCCTGCCTAGACCTCCCAAAGTGCTGGGATTACAGGCGTGAGCCACTGCGCCCGGCCTATAATAATCCTGTTTTAACATCCTTGTTTTTCGTTTGTTTGTTTGAGACTCTGTTGCCCAGGCTGGAGTGCAGTGGTACAATCAGAGCTCACTGCAGCCTCTAACTCCTGGGCTCAAGCGATCCCCCCACCTCAGTCTCCAGTGTAGCTGGGACCACAGGTGTGTGCCACCACACCTAGCTAATTTTTAAATTTTTTGTAGAGACAGGGTTTTGCTATGTTGCCCAGGCTGGTCTCCTGGGCTCAAGTGATCTTCCTGTCTCAGCTTCCCAGAGTTCTGGAATTACTGGCATGAGCCACTGTGCCCAGCCCATCTTGTTTGTTAAATCCATCACCTCTGTCATTTCTGGGTCTGTTTCTTTTGATCATTTTTTTTCCCTCATGAATATTAGTCCTATTTTGCATGCTTGGAAATTTTTTACTTGAATTTTAAATTGCTGAATGCTGGATTTTGTTATGTTACGTTAAAGAATTAAGTTACTTCAGTCCATTTTGATCCTTTTGAGGCTTGCTTTTAAGTTTTTGTTAGTGTAGGTCAAGAGCAGCATTTTGGTCTACGGCTAATTTAGTCCGATTCCTGGAGCTACATTAACACATTATTTTCACCCAAAATTCATAGTTTACATTAGGGTTCACTATTGATATTGATAATGTGGGTTTTGACAAATATATAATGGCACATATTCACCATTATATTATCTTACAAAATGGTTTCACTGCCCTAAAAATCCTCTTTGCTCTGCCTATTTATCCCTCCCTCCCTGCTACCCCCTGGAAACCACTGATCTTTTTACTCTCTCCAAAATGTTGCCTTTTGCAGAATGCCATTTGGTTAGAATCTGGAAGACTATATACCATGTAGCCTTTTCAGAGTGGCTTCATTCACTTCGTAATATGCATTTGAATTCCTCCTAACCCGTTCTTGCTTATCTGTTCCTACATTCTGTTGTATTTTGTGTCAGTCACATACGTTTTAATGATTCATTTCATTCCTCTGTTAGCTTTTTAGTTATGCGTTTGCATTTTTTGTGTGATTGCCCTAGGATTACAGTATGGATCTTCAACTTACCAGGATTTTCTTAAGGTTAATATTAAATTAGTTATGGTAAAAATATATCAATCTTGCCACATTATAGTTTCATTTATTAATACCTGTCTTTTACTTTTTTGTTTGCCATGTATATGATATTTATGTTTGCAATAAGTGGTATTAGAAGGGTCTGTAGTCCACAGGCCAAAATCCAGCCTGTTTCCTATTTTGTACAGATTGTGAGCTAAGAATTGTCTTTGCATTTGAAACGTTTGAAAACATTTACAAGAAAAAATATTCCTGACACACTAAAACTTCATGAAATTTAAATGTTAGTGTCCATAACTAAGTTTTATTGAAACACATCTTTGCTCATTTATTTACATATTATCTATGGTTGCTTTCATGCTAAAATAGCAGAAGACATTCCCTGACTGCTGCTTGAAACAGTCATATCTCATAAAGAAGAAAGGAAATGAATATTTATACTCTTACAATTTTTCTTATTTTCTTCATACCTTCCTAAAGACCTTAGTGTTATTTTTACCTTAAGCCTGAAGAATTTCCTTTAGGCCCCACCACCCCTTCCCCTTCCCCCACTCCAGAGATAGAGATCTCACTTTGTTGCCCAGGCTGATCTCAAACTCCTGGCTTCAAGCAGTCTTCCTGCCTCAGCCCCACAAAGTGCCCGGATTACAGAAGTAAGCCACCACGCCCAGCCTATTAGCATTTTTGATGGTGCAGTCCTGCTGGTGATGTTGCCCAGGCTGATCTCAAACTCCTAGCTTCAAGCAGTCTTCCTGCCTCAGCCCTCCAAAGTGCCCAGATTACAAAAGTAAGCCACCACACCCAGCCTATTAGTATTTTTGATGGTGCATTCCTGCTGGTGATGAATTCTCTAGGTTTTATCTGAAAATATCTTTATGTTGCCTTCATTTTGAATATATAGTTTTGCTGCGTGTAGAATTCTTGGCTGTGTAGCAGTTTAATTAGGATTTGGCTAAGTGTGGTTTTCTTTGGTGTTTATCCTTTTAGGGTTAATTAAACTCCTTGAATATGTAAATTAAAAGTTCTTGCCAAGTTTGGAGTTAGGCCATTATTTCCATAAAATTTATTTATGCCCTTTCTTTTTCTCTCCCCATTCTGGGACTCTAATTATATCCATGTTGGATTTTTGAATATGACCTATGGATCTTTGTGAGTCTGTTCATTTTTCATGATTCTTTTTTCTTTCTGTTCAGATTACTTACTTTCTCTTGATTGATTTACACAGATACTGATTCTCTATTTCTGTGCTCCTATCGAGCTTCTCTAGTTAATTTTTTATTTCAGTTATTTCTTTGAATACATTTAGAACAGCTACTTTGAAGCCTTTTTTTTTTTTTTTTTTTTTTGGCAAAATCTGACATCAGGGCCCACTAGGAGTTAGTTTCTGTGATTGTCTTTTTGTGACTACAGGTTTTATTCCCCCCACTCCTTTTTGTTTTGTTTTGTTTGCATGTTTAGTAATTTTTGCTAGAAAACTGGACATCATAAATAGTATTGTAATCTGAATTCTGTTATATCTGTTATGTTCTTCTGAGAATTATTATTATTTTTAGTAGGCAATTAGCTTGCTTGTAATCAAACATCAAACTTTGTCTTCCTGCTCAGTGTAAAGCAGCTGATATATCCTCTTAGTTCTTCAAGCTTCTAGCTGCTGCCTTTTACCCTAACCTCCTGAAAGCAGATAGGTTCTCTCTTGTGTTCATCTGCTTTTCTCTCAATCAAGGAATTGGTGAGTGTTTAGATTTGGGGGCTCACGTCCTGCATTTCTCTTTTTCAAGTTTTACCCTCTACACTTCCTGCTGCTTTGTCAGTTCAAGCTCTGACACCTTAATCCCGTAAGCCTTAAATTTTATTCTTCTTGGGCTATGAGCAGGTTGTGGAATACCATCAGTCAAGAAGCAGAAGCCTTAGAATCTTATTAGGTGCACTTTTATTTTTCAAGATTCTTTTCTGTTGTATTTCTGCCTGCTTTTTGCTAAGCCCTCGGTGATCTCTCCAACACATGCATATTTTATCAACCAGGAGTTTGGCAGAGTTTATGCTCAGATTTTCATTTTCATCCGTTCTGTAGTTCCCTCACTTCCAGAATTAACCTAAATTTCCAGCTCTCACTTTTTGTGTGTGTGTGTGTGTGTGACACAGTCTCTCTCTGTCACCCAGACTGGAGTGCAGTGGCACAATCTCGGCTCACTACAACCTCCATCTCCCGGGTTCAAGCGATTGTACTGCCTCAGCCTCCCAAGTAGCAGGATTACAGGCACCCACCACCACACCCAGCTAATTTTTGTATTTTTAGTAGAGACAGGGTCTTGCCATGTTAGCTGGGCTGGTTTTGAACTCCTGACCTCAGATGAGCCACCACGCCCAGCCTCAAGCTCTCGTTTCTGTCCTCCCGTCACCTTTGAGGAAGTAAGTGGTGGTTTTATGCCATGAGAGCTGTGGGGTTTCAGGTACCATGATGCAAAAACAGCCACAAAATTAGCAGTTCTTGTACATTGCAGTTGCTATCCTTCAAGGATAAGCTCTTTTCCAGTTTCCGCCTGCTTTGGTTGCTTTCCAGTGCTATTAGTTGTTTATTGTATGGCATGTGCACATTTTATAATTATTATCTGAGGGAAAGTGTCCCTGACTGTTTTACTCTGTTAATGCTGCATGCTGAAAAATCTCACCATGCACATACAATATTCCTCCTTAGTGAAGCCTGAGAAATTGTTCTACCTTTGTGATACATGCTGTATCTTGTACATACTTCTTTGTTGTACCTGTGACACCTTCTTGCAGGTTTGTGTTTACTTACATTTTCTTGCAAGTATGTGTTACATGCCTCTGGTAACTTCTGAGCAGAAACAGTGTTTGTCTTGGCACTTCCATAAATAAATACAGTTTTTGGCATTAAGTGGCTTCACAGTAAATATTCTTAGAATGTGTTATTTAAAAACTAACTGATGGATATTTTTACCTTGATTTTTGTTTTCCCTACAATATAAATCATAAAACAGGGAAAATTGTAGTCTTTCTATATTAGGATTCGTATGACTGCCACAAGGAAGCAGGGTCAAAAGTAGTTCCCAATATCCAGTCCACCTGTTCTTTTTCTTTTCCTTTTTTTTGACAGAGTCCTGCTCTGTCGCCCAGGCTGGAGTGCAGTGGCATGATCTGGGCTCACTGCATCCTCCGCCTCCTGGTTTCAAGCTATTCTCCTGCCTCAGCCTCCCATGTAACTGGGATTACAGGCGCACACCACTATGCCCAGCTAATTTTTTGTATTTTTAGTAGACATGGGGTTTCACCATCTTGGCCAGGGTGGTTTTTAACTCATGACCTCAAGTGATCCACCTACCTCAGCCTCCCAAAGTGCTGGGATTACAGGCATGAACCACTGTACCTGGCTAAGTCCACCTGTTCTGATTACAGTTCCATCCATTCTAGGGATCAGTGTCTTTCAATGATGTGACTGTGGACTTCACTCAGGAGGAGTGGCAGCACCTGGATCATGCTCAGAAGACTCTATATATGGATGTGATGTTGGAAAACTATTGCCACCTCATCTCTGTGGGTAAGAAAAATCCTCTTTGAAACTTTAGTAGCATGCACTTCCTCTCAAAGTGCCTAATTGTGTATAATCTTGAATTTCAGGAATAAGAGGTGATGAATTCCTTTTCGTTAGCAGAATGAATGATTGTGTCTTCACTTACCCAGTGCAAGGTGCTACCTATATTGTTACACAAATGGGTGTCTTAATTTGCAGTACTGAACATGCCCCTTTCCTCATTTTTCAGTGGTATTATAGCCCAATCAACTTAAGTCTTTTTTTCACTTTTCAGGGTGTCACATGACCAAACCTGATGTGATCCTCAAGTTGGAACGAGGAGAAGAGCCATGGACATCATTTGCAGGTCATACCTGCTTGGGTGAGTTTCTGGCTCTTAGGCAGACACAGTCTAGCAGAATGTAAATTTAAAAGGGTCAAGTGGGGGTGATACCTTTGAAATGTTTCAGGAGTATCTTTTTTTAAAGGCTCTTGACCTCTGAAAACCTTCATGCCTATAAAACTCAAAACCAGACCTTTAGGCTAGGTATGGTGGCTCATGCCTATAATCTGACACTTTGGGAGGCCAAGGTGAGAGGATCACTTGAGGCCACGAGTTCAGAGCCAGCCTGGACAGCATAGCAAGACCCCATCACTACAAAAAGATAAAAATAAAAAATTAGCCAAGGTTGGGTGTGGTGGCTCACACCTTTCATCCCAGCACTTTGGGAGGCCAAGATGGGCAGATCCCTTGAGCCCAGGAGTTTGCAACCAGCCTGAGAATCATGGCAAAACCCCATCTTTACAAAAAAAATACAAAAGTTAGCTGGGCATGGTGGTGTGCACCTTTAGTCCCAGCTACTCAGGAAGCTAAGGTGGGAGGATCACTTGAGCCCAGGAAGTCAAGTCTGTGGTCAGCTGTGATTGCACCACTCCAACCTGGGAGACAGAGCAAGAGCCTGTCTCAAAAAAAAAAAAGCCAGGAATGATGGCATACACCTGTGGTTCCAGCTACTCAGAAGGTTGAGGTAGGAGAATCACTTGAGCCCAAGGATTCAAGGTTACAGTGAGCTAGGATTATACCACTACACACCAGCCTGGGCTACAGAGCCAAGACCCTGTCTCAAAAACAAAAACAGAACCAGACTTTTAAATATCACTCTCTCCGGCTGGGCACGGTGGCTCACACCTGTAATCCTAGCACTTCGGGAGGCTGAGGCGGGCAGATCACCTGAGGTCAGGAGTTTGAAACCAACCTGGCCAACATAATGAAACCCTGTCTCTACTAAAAATACAAAAATTAGCTGGGTGTGGTGGCACATGCCTGTAATCCCAGCGACTCAGGAGGCTGAGGCCGGAGAATCGCTTAAACCCGGTAGGCGGAGGTTCCGGTGAGCCAAGATCGTGCCATTGCACTCCAGCCTGGGCAACAGAGCAAGACTCCATTTCAAAAAAAATAATAATACACTATATATATCACTCTCCCCAAATACATTCTTTCCTAGTTTGCTTCATATTATCAAAAACAACTGCCACTCTGAATGTACCATAAGCCATCTTTCTTTTAGATCTTTTTTATTAGCTCGTGTATCTTTTTCCAGCCTTCTCAGTCCTTATCTTGCCATTGTGATAAGTTTTGTCAGGAAAGGTTTATTTATTTATTTACTTATTGGTTGTTTTTTGTTTTTGTTTTTGAGATGGAGTCTTACTCTGTAGCCCAGGCTGGAATGCAGTGACGTCATCTTGGCTCACTGCAACCTCCGCCTCCCAGGTTCAAATGATTCTCCTGCCTCAGCCTCCTAAGTAGCTGGGATTACAGGTGCGCATCAACAGGCCTGGCTAACTTTTTTGTATTTTTAGTAGAGATGGGGTTTCACCATGTTGGCCAGGCTGGTCTCAAACTCCTGACCTTGTGATCTGCCCACCTCGGCCTCACAAAGTGCTGGGATTACAGGCTTGAGCCACTGCACCTGGCACCATTGTAATAGATTTCTTTCAGGCTTTCTTCATCCTGTCTTTAAAAAGAGAAAATTATTGGTTAGTGGTCCTCTCCTTACTTACTTAACATTTCCTTTCCTTCATACCACCTCGGCTTTGTTTTCTGTGCTAAGCTCCCCTTCTCACTACAAATTTAGCTATTAATTTTAGAACTCACTTAACACAACCCAGGTTGATAAAGTCAAAGTTGCCATTTTCTTCCATAAAACCTTTGTGGTTCATTTTACATGGCTTTTCATCATTCCTGCAATCAATCCTTTGTTTAAGTGAAATAACACTAATTCTTATCCTAATTCCTTGAATGCTTATTTACAACTTGGCCTGTTTTCTTTACCACTGTGGCCATATCACCTGAAAAATGCTTGGCATATAATAGTCATAACAGATTTTATTTTTTTAAATAAATGTTTATTGTTTCACTTAACACTCGGTCTTATTTCTCTCATATGCCCTCACATGATCTACCTTTCAATTATAATGATTCCATGCATTCTCAGACTGATGCTGTTTATTTTATGTAGATGGCACTGACGTCAACATACAAAGCACATTTCTCCTACCTTCACTCCAGTTCATCAGGCGTACTACAGTCTATCATCTCACCTATTTTCTGACAATGTGTCAGAAATGAAAATCACTGACTTTCTCAGCTCTTAAATTTTTCCCCACTATTTATTTATTTATTTATTATTTTTGAGATGGAGTCCTGCTGTGCCACCCAGGCTGGAGTGCAGTGGTTCAGTCTCGGCTCACTGCAAACTCCACCTCCTGGGTTCAAGTGATTCTCCTGCCTCAGCCTCTGGGGTAGCTGGGATTACAGGTGCCCACCACCATGCCCGGCTAATTTTTGTATTTTTAGTAGAGATGGGGTTTCACCATGTTGGCCAGGCTGGTCTCGAACTCCTGACCTCAGGTGATCCACCTGCCTCAGCCTCCCAAAGTGCTCAGATTACAGGCATGAGCCACCGTGCCTGGCCTCCCATTATTTAACTCAAAATAATAATAATAATAATAATAATAATAATAATTATTATTATTATTATTATTATTATTATTATTATTTGAGATGGAGTTTCGTTCTTGTTGCCCAGGCTGGAGTGCAATGGCTCGATCTCGACTCACCGCAACCTCCGGCTCCCAGGTTCAAGCAATTCTTCTGCCTCAGCCTCCTGGTTAGCTGGGATTACAGGCATGAGCCACCACACCCGGCTAATTTTGTATTTTTAGTAGAGATGGGGCTTCTCCATGTTGGTCAGGCTGGTCTTGAACTCCTGACCTCAGGCAATCTGCCCGTGTCAGCCTCCCAAAGTGCTGGGATTACAGGCCTGAGCCACCGTGCCCAATCCCTTCAAATTTATTTTGTTTCTACTACAAAGTCAACTTGATTTTTCTGTCTCTCTTATCATTTCTTATGGATCTCTTCACAATTTGTAATATGTTTATCAGCTTGTGAAATATATTGACATCCTCCCATATTCTGATTTCTCACTGATGTCATACAAAATGACAACTATCTTATTTCATGTATTTATTACTGGAATTACCATTTGTCTTTGTGGTAAATTTTGTCTGGATTCATTCAATGTATATTGTTACTTTCCTCACAAAATATACCATCAGTTTTTCCCTTTTTTTTTATCATTTATTCTATGAAATGGAAATTTCTCTTCTTTCAGGAACTGTCACAATAAGCCCTCATCTGGTCTTTTCAACTTTCTCTTGGAGAAAATTCTTGATAATTTCCACTTGATCTAGTCTCCTAATTGTTGTTCATGAATGTAGGGTTTGTCATCACATAGATACTTTTCATTGTGTTGTGTTCTCCCTTTATACTATATCTTTTAAGTCTCAAGATTTCTCTGTGAAATCTTCCTTGATTACTGCACATCATATCTACCTTCCTTTTTTTCTGAATTCCTGTCCTAACTACTGACTATAACACAAACATGCACAACTCTTGAATAGTCATATAATTTCATTCCTAATTGTTTTTGCTTAAGGATTTTTAAGGATGCTTAAGGATTCTTTCCCTCAAAAATAAGATCCCTTTTGAATCTTCATTTCTTTGAAGGAATCAAGCATTCTTAAGGATTCTTTTCCTCAAAGATAAGATCCCTTTTGAACCTTCATTACTGTGGTATTATTTAACATGTTAGGTATTCAGTAGTTACTGTGTTAATTGCTTATGGAGCTATGTAAGGGAGATATCTTTTCATCCATTCAGAAAGCATATACTAGCAAGTTCCTTTTAGATGTACCTACTCATGCTGTGTCCCTACAGATTGTGCTTGAAGTGGTTGCATTCTGCCAGACACCACCTAACTATGAGTATGCAGTGATCATGTAAAATTTTTTTTTTTAAGATGGAGTCTTGTTCTGTCGTCCAGGCTGGAGTGCAGTGGCACGATCTCAGCTCACTGTAAACTCTGCCTTCCGGGTTCAAGTAATGCTCCTGACTCAGCCTCTGGAGTAGCTGGGAGTACAGGTGCATGCCACCATGCCCGGCCAGCTTTTTTTGTATTTTTAGTAGGGACAGTTTCACCATGTTGGCCAGGCTGGTCTGGAACTCCTGACCTCAGGTGATCTGCCCGCTTCGGCTTGCCAAAGTGCTGGGATTACAGGCATGAGCAACCGTGCCCAGCCCAAAAGAGTTTAAAGATCACCAATAAAGTATTTATTTCTATGAAGAAGGATCACTATCGAGTCTGCATTTTTCATGAAATATTTATGTCAAAGTGTAAGGTTGTTAAAAGATTTGTTAACAGAGTTTTCCTAGGCAATAATTATATTGCAAATTTTAAAGAAGTAGAGCTTAAAATGGTAGGGGAAACATATGAAGGGTTTATGAGATCATGGAATGGTATGATTTCTTTGAAGATTCTCTAAAGATAAATAGAAATAAACCTGGAAGGCAAGCTAATTAATTAAAAGAATGTGTGCACAAGTGTGTTATTAGGAATAAGTAAGGTATATATAGGGCAGTAAGTATCAGGCCTGACTGAGGCAAAAACTACCTGTTATAAACAGGTGAGATCTGTCAGGTATGTGGACAACCCTGAAAACTTGTGAGAATATAAAAAATGAATCTAGACAATATAGTTTTGTTTACAGGAGAAATTCCTTGTATATGTTAGAATTGAAGTTCTTGGACTCAATGAAGAAATAGATTTTTGAGCATAGCTTTAACATTGCTTCATCAGATATAGATGATTGCAAGGTAAGTAAAGTTAGAAATAGCTATACTTTTATAAGAGAAATGAAGGTTAAAGTTACTCTGATTTAGGACCAGATTGTTCAATCTACCATTTGAAATTGGTATTCTGATCTACCATATGAAAAACTGGAATAAAGGAATGTTACTGCATTGGGGAAGGATGTAAGCCAGTCTTAAACCTGGAAAAGTGAGTCAGTAACTGAAAAGAGGACTAGGCATGAGAGCTTTGTTATTGAACAATTCTGAAAGAAGTGATTTAGCAGCAGTCTGAATATAGCAATTGAATATATTCTGATCTTTTTTAAAGTTGCTATCGGAAGTATTTTCCTAATTTTCCATTCATAAGAGAAAATAATACATAATTATGTAGAGGATTAGAGCATAGACTGTAGAAAATGAATTGATAATTTAAAAGCTAAATTAATCAATGTTGACTACATAGAAAGAGGAGGTGGGTTGAACAGCTGGAAGTGTTTTACCACAGTCATCTAGGGATGTGTGTATAAAAGTATTGGTGATCAGCCGGGCACAGTGGCTCATACCTGTAATCCCAGCATTTTGGGAGGCCAAGGTGGGCAGATCATGAGGTCAGGAGTTCGAGACCAACCTGGCCAGCATGGTGAAACCCCGTCTCTACTAAAAATACAAAAAATTAGCTAGGCGTGGTGGCACATGCCTGTAATCCCAGCTATTCAGGAGGCTGAGGCAGGAGAATCGCTTGAACCCAGGAGGCAGAGGTTGCAGTGAGCCGAGATCACGCCACTGCACTCCAGCCTGGGTGACAAAGCGAGACTTTGTCTCAAAAAAAAATAATAATAATTATTATAGGTGATCTGTGTCCTCCAGAAGTAATCTTTCCTCTAGTATTTTCGCTAAACAAAGATTTCTGCTAATTTTTCTTGTCCATCCTACTTACATTTTAATGCTTTTGATAGGTTCACTTCATTTTTTCTGAACACTTATCTAACCATCAACCCCCTTCTACCATTCTTTGACTTCTTGGTTGGTTTCACTTTCTCTAAGAAGTTTTAGTGCAAAATGCAAAAGGTATTAATGTTTATTGTTTACATCTTCATCCTTTTCCACTCTGAAGCAGTTTTTGTTTAGGTTCCCCTCCCCGCACCCCTGCCAGGCCAGTGGTCATTTGTTCTGAGTCTCTTTTTGCGCCATGTGCTAGACCCTAGTAAAATTTCTTTGCATAGGAAATGTGTGAAGATTCACAAATTGTTATCAATTATATTCTTTTCTAGAAGAAAACTGGAAAGCTGAAGACTTTTTAGTGAAATTCAAGGAACACCAAGAGAAGTATTCTAGATCAGTTGTAAGCATCAACCACAAAAAACTGGTGAAGGAGAAGAGTAAAATATATGAAAAGACATTTACTCTAGGCAAAAACCCTGTGAATTCAAAAAATCTACCTCCTGAATATGATACTCATGGAAGGATTTTGAAAAATGTTTCAGAATTAATCATCAGTAATCTAAATCCTGCAAGAAAGAGACTTAGTGAGTATAATGGATATGGGAAATCACTCCTGAGTACTAAACAAGAGACTACTCATCCTGAAGTCAAATCCCATAATCAAAGTGCCAGAGCTTTCAGTCATAATGAAGTTCTTATGCAGTATCAGAAAACGGAAACTCCAGCACAGTCATTTGGATATAATGACTGTGAGAAATCATTCCTTCAAAGGGGAGGCCTGATTACACATAGTAGACCTTACAAAGGAGAAAACCCATCTGTATATAATAAAAAAAGAAGAGCAACCAATATTGAAAAAAAACATACATGCAATGAATGTGGGAAATCTTTCTGCAGGAAATCAGTATTGATTCTGCATCAGGGAATTCACTCAGAAGAAAAACCCTATCAATGTCATCAATGTGGAAATGCATTTAGAAGGAAATCATATCTCATTGATCATCAGAGAACTCACACAGGAGAGAAACCCTTTGTTTGCAATGAATGTGGTAAGTCCTTCCGCCTCAAGACAGCCCTCACTGATCATCAGAGAACACACACAGGGGAGAAATCGTATGAATGTCTGCAATGTAGGAATGCCTTCAGATTGAAGTCACACCTCATTCGTCATCAGAGAACTCACACGGGAGAGAAACCATATGAGTGTAATGACTGTGGGAAGTCCTTCCGCCAGAAGACAACACTCTCTCTACATCAGAGAATCCATACAGGTGAGAAACCCTACATTTGTAAAGAATGTGGGAAGTCCTTTCACCAGAAGGCAAATCTTACTGTACATCAGAGAACTCATACAGGGGAAAAGCCCTATATTTGTAATGAATGTGGGAAATCCTTCTCCCAGAAGACAACCCTTGCTCTTCATGAGAAAACTCATAATGAGGAGAAACCCTATATTTGTAGTGAATGTGGAAAGTCCTTCCGCCAGAAGACAACCCTTGTAGCACATCAGAGAACACATACAGGGGAGAAATCTTATGAATGTCCTCACTGTGGGAAGGCCTTTAGAATGAAGTCATACCTCATTGATCATCACCGAACTCACACAGGAGAGAAACCATATGAATGTAATGAATGTGGTAAATCATTCAGTCAAAAGACAAATCTCAATCTACATCAGAGAATTCATACAGGGGAGAAACCCTATGTTTGTAATGAATGTGGGAAGTCCTTTCGCCAGAAAGCAACCCTCACTGTACATCAGAAAATACATACCGGCCAGAAATCCTATGAATGTCCTCAGTGTGGGAAAGCCTTTAGCAGGAAGTCATATCTCATTCATCATCAAAGAACTCATACGGGAGAGAAACCATATAAATGTAGTGAATGTGGAAAGTGCTTCCGCCAGAAGACAAATCTTATTGTACATCAGAGAACTCACACAGGTGAGAAACCCTATGTTTGTAATGAGTGTGGTAAGTCTTTCAGTTATAAGAGAAACCTCATTGTCCATCAAAGAACTCACAAGGGAGAAAACATTGAAATGCAATAAATGATGTGGTTTCTTATATGAATTCTTTACAAGCTGTTGTAAACATTTAGTTTTAAAAAGAAAAGCATGCTGAAACATGTTAATGTAATTTTAAATCACAAGTCTAATAATTATTAAAGTACCATACGGAATAACTGTCTACTGTTTACTAGCATATAAAATAAGTATGATCATTATTATTGAACTCTATCAGCTATGAAGCTAAATTTTAAAGTCAACTGCTCTTCCTACTGACTCAAATAGTTTATTTTTTAAAAATACTTATATAATACATGCAGAGACAAGATACACAATGATTATAAGTATTAATCTCCATAAGAGAAAATATTTATGAACTATATTTCTCATTGCACTCTGTAATAAAAAGCAGTTAGTTGTTACTTACCTAAGAGTTACCACTTCCGTAGCCTATAACATCAAAACGTAGTTTTTGCATGTTTTCAATTTTATAAATATATATTTTATCAGACATCATGAATTATTTTGTGTCTTGCTTATTTCACTCAATTTTTTAAGATCTGTACATTATTGCATGTGGCAGTAGTGTATTTTCATTTTGCATACTATTCCATTTTAAGAATATATTGCTGTTTATCCTATTGATGGATATTTGTATTTTTTATACTTTTGTGTAATAATAAAAATACTGCTGTAAATATTCTTGTTTATATCATGTGTGTGTTTGCGTGTATGTATTTCTGTTGAATTTATACCTGGGACTGGACTTATTCATTCCAAGAGTATATATGAGGTTTTTTTGGTCATTCAGACTGGAGAATTTCTACTAAAAAGAAACCTTGCGGCTTTATAATTGTGAGAAGGCTATTAATAAATCATGGACATGTGAATGCAGTATATGTAGAAGGCCTTTAGCTGTCTCTCAATGCTTAAATGCAAAACAAGCAAATTCGTATTGGAGGGAAATCTTGTAGTTGTCATGATTTTAGGGGTACTTTAGCCATAGCTTATTACACCTTATTTAATATCAAGGAATTAGAATTCATACAAGAGAAAGGGACATTGAGAAGGGAAATAGGTGAGGAAAATTTGAGAGTACCAGAGTCTTTTTTTTTTTCTTTTTTTTTTTTTTTTTTGAGACAGAGTCTCGCTCTGTTGCCCAGGCTGGAATGCAGTGGAGCGATCTCGGCTCACTGCAACCTCTGCCTCCTGGGTTCAAGTGCTTCTCCTGCCTCAGCCTTCTGAGTAGCTGGGATTACAGGCATGTGCCATCACGCCCAGCTAATTTTTGTATTTTTAGTAGAGACGGGGTTTCACCACGTTGGTCAGACTGGTCTCGAACTCCTGACTTCATGATCCGCCTGCCTCGGCCTCCCAAAGTGCTGGGATTACAGGGTGACCCACCACGCCTGGCTACAACATAAGCCTTTTCTACCATAATCTATAAGAAATGTAAGTCTCTGAAAATCCCAAATAAGTGACTAGAGAGATTTTGATGTTTGAGAATTGGAAATCTGCGAAGACAGTGACTTCCACGGTATCCTTTTGGCGAGGAGAGTAAGCTCAGTGGCAACTTGAACAGCATTATTGCAGGTCCTTCTTGGGAAGGATTACTTATAACCAGTATTTACTATGTATATGAAGTCATTGTAATAAAATTCAGTAGAAATTGAAATTTATTAATTAATTTATTTTTTGAAATGGAGTCTCTATCGTCCAGGCTGGAGTGCAATGACATGGTCTCAACTCACTGTAACCTCTGCCTCCTGGGTTCAAACGATTCTCCTACCTCAGCCTCCCAAGTAGCTGGTACTACAGGCACGTGCCACCACACGCAGCTAATTTTTGTATTTTTAGTAGAGACAGGGTTTCACTGTGTTGGCCAGGCTGGTCTTGAACTCCTGACCTCGTGATCCATCCGCCTCAGCCTCCCAAAGTGCTGGGATTACAGGCGTGAGCCACCGTGCCCAGCCTGAAAATTGTTTTTTAAAAGATTTAGAACTGTAAACCATATCTGCATAAACAGAAAGATGGTTCAGGGTTCAAATATTTGACATTAAATATATTAAACAGACCCTCTGGCCTGTTAGAGAGGGACAGCCATTGCCAATCAGTAGTAAATGGAACCATTCTTGTCAATCCTTATTTTTCTGATAATTTCATAGCAAAAAATGAACAGGGCAATGAGACAAAAGCATAAAAATTTAGACTTGATAGTAGCACACAGAAAACACACGTGTGTGTATGTGTGTATATATGTAAAATGCCTTGTCTATAATGACTAGACATGTCATTAAATTTAGCCTTAATAATTTATATATGCATAAAGATTTTTTAAAGTATACATTTTTAAAGAATATAAAGAATTATTAATAGGTTTAATAAACCTATTAAAGTAACTAAAACAGGTAATTATAGGACTTATAATCAGAACTGTGAGAACCCAAGGATTTTGTCATTGTGAATTTATAGGGGAGTTATATACTAGTATATGCTAACAGTGGTGACTAACAGAAGAATTGTACTCATGACCAAAGATGGAAGCCTACCTTGTTTTTCTAGGTGGAGAGGATGGCCTAACTGGATGTTTATCCTAGCGTCAACCCACCAAAGATTTGGGGAACATGTGAGTCACATTCTCTGGGACATTCTACTCCCCTTTGATTTTGCATTTCCAGACATTTCAGTGGCTACCACAAAAAATAAAAAGTATCTGTGGCATCACTGCATGTGCTGCCCTGTCTCCTGATTTACTGATTATCATGAAATAGCCATGTACTGTTTCAGTAGAACATTGTATCCAATGTCCACTTTATTTTCAAACATACTACATATATTCATGTTTTATAGCTCTTGAATATGAAGAACTAGAAAGTATGAGATATTAACGGGCAGTTTTATAAATGGCCAAACTTTGAAACTTTTGAGGCTGGGCGTGGTGTCTCACACCTGTAATCCCAGCACTTTGGGAGGCCAAGGTGGGCAGATCACCTAAGGCCAGGAGTTTGAGACCAGCCTGGCCAAGAGTGAAACCCCCTCTCTACTAAAAATACAAAAATTAGCCAGGTGTGGTGGCGCATTCCTGTAATCCCAGCTACTCGGGGGCCTAAGGCAGGAGAATCACTTGAACCCAGTAGGTGGAGGTTGCAGTGAGCCAAGATGATGCCATTGCACGCCTGCCTGGCCAAGAGAGTGAGACTGTGTCTCAAAAAGAAAATATAATCATGAATATAATCATTATTATTTGTATAATAATTATTGGGCATCTTTCCATAATCATGCTCATAACTTTCAGTTTTAACATGTTCTTTGTATGAAAAACTGATGAGTTTCTTATGAAACTGTCTATGGCTGTATCATATGGCAATTCTGTATTTCTTTTTTTTTTTTTTTTTTTTTGAGACAGTTTCACTCTTATTGCCCAGGCTGGAGTGCAATGGTGCGATCTCGGCTCACCACAACCTCTGCCTCCTGGGTTCAAGCGATTCTCCCAGCTCAGTCTCCCGAGTAGCTGGGATTACAGGCATGTTCCCCCATGCCTGGCTAATTTTGTATTTTTAGTAGAGATAGGGTTTCTCCATGTTGGTCAGGCTGGTCTCGAACATC
The DNA here is from genome assembly GCF_000001405.40 of Homo sapiens. Classification (NCBI taxonomy): domain Eukaryota; kingdom Metazoa; phylum Chordata; class Mammalia; order Primates; family Hominidae; genus Homo; species Homo sapiens. The sequence continues at coordinate 36,724,233 of NC_000019.10, forward strand.
CGACTTCAGGTGATCCGCCCACCTCGGCCTCCCAAAGTGCTGGGATTACAGGCGTGAGCCACCGCACCCTGCTTTATTTAATTTTTTTAACAATCATCATTCTGTTTTCCACAGTGGCTTCACTATTTTACATTACCAATGGCAATGCAAAAAGGTTCAGATTTCTCAGGCCAGGTGTGGTGGCTCATGCCTGTAATCCCAGCACTTTCAGAGGCTGAGGCAGTCTGATCAATTGAGGTCAGAAGTTCAAGACCAGTCTGGCCAACATGGCGAAACCCCATCTCTACTAAAAATACAATAATTAGCAGGCATGGTGGCGTGTGCCTGTAATCCCAGCTACTCTGGAGGCTGAAGCAGGAGAATTGTTTGAACCAGGCAGGTGGACATTGTAGTGAGCCGAGATCACGCCACTGCACTCCAGCCTGCGCGAAAAAGCGAGACTTCATCTCAAAAAAAAAAAAAAAAATTAGCTGAGCTTGGTGGTGGGGTTCTATAATCCCAGCTACTTGGGAGGCTGAGGCAGGGGAATAGCTTAAACCTGGGAGGCAGAGGTTGCAGTGAGCTGTGATTGTGCCACTGCACTCCAGCCTGAGTGACAGAGTAAGACTCCGTCTCAAAAAATTAAAAAAAAAAAAAAGTTCACATTCCTCCATATTCTTTCCATCACTTATTTTCCTTCAAAAAATTTTTTGAATTAAAACCTTTTTTGTGGGTGTCAAGTATCTCATTGAGATTTTGATTTGTGTTTCTGTAATGATTAATGTAGGTTTCTTTCATTCTTGAACATAGTTTGCTGAAAATAGGATTTGGGATTGAGAGTTGTTCCTTTCAGCACTTGAAAAATGTCACTTCTTTCTGGTCTTCATGGTTTCTCATAAGAAATCTGCTATTTTAATTTTTTTCCTCTAAAAATATGGTATTTCTGTCTTACTACTTTCAAGATTTTTATTTTTTGTCTTTAATTTTATTTAATTTTATTTTATTTTTGAGATGGAGTTTCACTCTTGTTGCCCAGGCTGGAGTACAGTGGTGTGATCTCGGCTCACTGCAACCTCCACCTCCCAGTTTCAAGCGACTCTCCTGTCTCAGTCTCTCAAGTAGCTGGGATTACAGGTGCATGCCACCACACCCGGCTAATTTTGGTATTTTTAGTAGAAGCGGGGTTTCACCCTATTGGCCAGGCTGGTCTCAAACTCCTGACCTCAGGTGATCCACCTGCCTCGGCCTCCCAAAGTGCTGGGATCACAGGTGTAAGCCACTGCACCCGGCCTTGTCTTTAATTTTCGCAAGTTGGGTACAATGTGTTACGGTGTTACGTTTTGGGGATGGGAAGAAAGTTATCTTGTTTAAATTCACTCAGCTTCTTGAATCTGTCTTTTGCCAAATTTGGTGAGTTCTTAGCAATTACTACTTTAAGTCCTTTGTAGTAGGGGAGAGGGGATGTCTTGCTCTCTCACCCAGTCTGGAGTGCAGTGGCATGATCACAGCTCACTGCAGCCTCGACCTCCTGGATTTAAGCGATCCTCCCACCTCAGCTTCCTGAGTAGCTGGGACTACAGGAATGCACCAAGAGGCCTGGCTAACTTCTATATTTTTTACAGAGATGGTATCACCGTGTTGTCCAGGCTTCCTTAAGTACTTTTTCAGCCCTGTCTTCTTTTTCCTCTCCTTCCAGGATTTCAAGGGCATGAATGTTAATCTTGTGTTACATTCTCACAGTTCTTCATTCTTTTCATGTTATTTTTTTCAGTGTACTATCTCTCTCTTGTTCAGATTGGGTAGTTCCTATTGTTCTGTACTGCAGTTCACTGATTGCTCTGTCTCCTCTGTTTCCACTCTTTGTCCCTCCATTTGAGTTTATTTTAGTTATATTTTCAATTCTATACTATTTGGTTATTTTGTATGTCTTCTAATTTCTTGTCTGGACTAATTCTTTGTTGAGATATTGTATCTCATTTGTTTCAAGTGTGTGATTGTTCAGGCATTTTTATGATGTCTGCTTCATGTATTTATCATATAATTCTGACATCATTGTCATTTTCATGCTCGTCTTTTTTCATTTGAGATTTTCCTGGTTACAATTATTGAATTTCCATTGAAATGTGCAATTTTATCTATTATGAGATTGTAGATCTTATTTAAACCTGTTTTAGCTGGCTTTTTGATACCACCCTGGCATGGGGAGGGCAACTGTGCCATTTTGCTGTGCCACATAGGGGGTGAGAATCCAGATTTCCCACTCACCTTCTACTGACACCTGGGTGGAAGTGCTCCTCCTCACGGTTAGGTGTGACTGAGGAGTTCTGGCTCCCTATTAGTCACCTTTTTATACCTCTCTTATACCCCAGTAAGAGAGACAGCGGTGCCTTGTTAATGATTTCCATTTGCCTTCCATATACACCACAGAGGCAGGGCTGGCCCTGTTAGGCGGGATAGTAGTGAAGATCCTGACTTTACTATGCCTACTCCGACACTGGCCCAGCAGGTAGTTTAACAAGTATCTTTTTACTGCTGCATATGGGAATGGAAATCCAGATTCCCCAAATGACTCCAGGGGCCCTACGTAATTCCATCTGCAGTTATAGTCCTGGCTCCCTTCACAGTCTTCCTGAAACCATCCTGGCAGGGAGGTCAGAGTATCTTGTTACAGTCTACTGAGAGTAGAAGTCTAGGTTCCCTACTCAGCCTTTGCAAGGTGCATGAGTGGAGTGGCATCAGGTGTTTTGAGTTTCTTTCTTTCTTTCTTTCTTTTTCTTTCTTTCTTTCTTTCTTTCTTTCCTTTTTTTTTTTCCTGTGCTTTTTCGTTAGAGTAGATCAATTTTATTTATTTATTTATTTATTTATTTATTTATTTTTTGAGATGGAGTCTCACTTCTTCACCCAGGCTGGAGTACAATGGTGCGATCTCGGCTGACTGCAACCTCTGCCTCCCGGGTTCAAGCAATTCTCCTGCCTCAGCCTCCCAAGTAGCTGGGATTACAGGTACGTGCCACCACACCCGGCTAATTTTGTATTTTTAGTAGAGAAGGGGTTTCCTATGTTGGCCAGGCTGGTCTCACAAACTCCTGATCTCAAGTGATTGGCCTGCCTCAGCCTCCCAAAGTGCTGGGATTACAGGCATGAGCCACTGCGGTTGGCCAAGTAGAGCAATTTTTTTTTTTTTTTGAGACGGAGTCTCGGTCTATCACCCAGGCTGGAATGCAGTGGCGTGATCTCAACTCACTGCAAGCTCCACCTCCTGGGTTCATGCCATTCTCCTGCCTCAGCCTCCCGAGTAGCTGGGACTACAGGCACCCATTACCATGCCCGGCTAAATTTTTGTATTTTTAGTAGAGATGGGGTTTCACTGTGTTAGCCAGGATGGTCTCGATCTCCTGACCTCATGATCCGCCTGCCTCGGCCTCCCAAAGTACTGGGATTACAGGTGTGAACCACCGCGCCCGGCCTTGCAATTCTTATCTAGACGTTTTGTCTTGCTCGGGTGCCCTTTTCTTGGTCTGTTTCTACACAGAGCATCCTTTTATTAGGACTTTTTTTTCTTTTTGAGATGGAGTCTTGCACTATCACCAGGCTGGAGTGCAGTGGCACAATCTCGGCTCACCACAACCTCCACCTCCCAGGTTCAAGCAATTCTTCTGCCTCAGCCTCCCAAGTATGGGATTACAGGCATGCACCACCACACCCGGCTAATTTTGTATTTTTAGTAGAGACGGGGTTTCTCTATGTTGGTCAGGCTGGTCTTGAACTCCCGACTTCGTGACCTGCCCGCCTCGGCCTCCCAAAGTACTGGGTTTACAGGCATGAGCCACCGCTCCTGGCCTGTTTTGTTTGTTTGTTTGTTTGTTTTTTGTTTTTTTCTTTGGGCCAATAATAGATAAACCAATGCCATGTGCCTCCTAATGACATGCACTGAGAAGGATACATCATTGCTGTAATGGTATTTCTGTTTAAAATGTATAACCTGTATCTAAAATGAGGAAACATCAGATAAATCCAAATTGAGGTTATTGAGAACAATGATTCTAATTAAATAGTATGAAATAGAGAAAACGTAAGTAAATACTCTATATTCCTGAATTTTAATTGGTGGGAGTATCACTTTGACCAGTCCAGCAGCAATACACATCACTAGCACATACATTATGGTATTTATGGACCATTTCCTGCTAAAAGAAACCAGGATTTCTTGGGAGAAGTGGCTGATTCCAAGTATGGGCAGAAAATTTTTAATGAGCCTGCAGTATTTTCTCATACCAGATAATAACAAAGCTAATTTAAAAAATCAGTAGATTAATGACAAAGCACTGCCAACTTGGAAAGGTTTCCAATGACCAAGGATAGGACAAATCAAGCTTAAATATAAAAATAATTTATATTTGAAACACACCAAATACATTTATAGTTGAATAAATATAAATCTACATTTATAGTTGAATAAATATAAATCTACATTTATAGTTGAATAAATATAAATCTACATTTATAGTTGAATAAATATAAATCTACATTTATAGTTGAATAAATATAAATCTACATTTATAGTTGAATAAATATAAATCTACATTTATAGTTGAATAAATATAAATCTACATTTATAGTTGAATAAATATAAATCTACATTTATAGTTGAATAAATATAAATCTACATTTATAGTTGAATAAATATAAATCTACATTTATAGTTGAATAAATATAAATCTACATTTATAGTTGAATAAATATAAATCTATATTTATAGTTGAATAAATATAAATTTACATTTATAGTTGAATAAATATAAATTTACATTTATATTTATAAAAATTTATATTTGAAACACCAAATACATTTAAATTCCCAAATTTATAGCAATACCAAAGAATCAGTGATCACAGAACAATAAGGAGCAAAGTTATTATCTTAAAAACTGGTATCTAAAAGGAAAAAATATATCTTGGTTATCCTATGTGAACAATACCAGTGGGGGGTATCCAAGTAGCATCAGTGGGCAGCTTCTCTTTGTGAAGTATTCCAGCTAATGTATTTCAAAATTTTTTCTTCTGGAAATAATGTATTTGTGTCATACTTGGTCTCCAAACCTGAAAAAAGCAAGAAAACAGATGTTTTCCTGTACCAGGAAAAAAACCCAAAACCTTGGAGATAAGTGATGAATTGAAAATAAGGTACACTAGAAATATATTTCAATAATGTTTTTACACAACTTGAAGGAGGCAAAGAGAGTTTAGAGAATAATGAAAGAGGATGTGGTGAGGGTGGTGATAAAGCAAATAGGTTGTCATCAGCTCTAAGATTTAAGTGTTCGAAGACTACTGGTTCCAAATGATGGAGCAGAAGAAAACTGGCTTCACTGCCCACCAACAGAAAACCAAAAACAAGTGTGCATCACCAAGATTATCACCAACAATATTCTAGAACTCAAATATGAAGATGAGTCAGTTCTGGAGCTACAAAGAAGTGAAAAATCTCTGAGCAGTGGTAGGAGAATCAGACTTCCACATCCATGACACCTCTTCCCCCATTCTGCCTGGCACCAAACATAGAAAATTTCCCCTCAACTCATGGTTTCTGTAGTGGAAAAAGTGAGATTGAGGTGCACCACCAGCTTCCCCACCATCTTGGGTGTCCTGGCCTTGCCTTAACCCATGGGAAACTCTGGTTTGTAACTTGGCCAGAGGAGATGCAAAATCAGTGTGGTTAGGCCAGGCGTGGTGGCTCACGCCTGTACTCCCAGCACTTTGGGAGGCCAAGGTGGGCGGATCAGGAGATCGAGACCATCCTGGCTAACACGGTGAAACCCCGTCTCTACTAAAAATACAAAAAATTAGCCAGGCGTGGTGGCGGGCACCTGTAGTCCTAGCTACTCGGGAGGCTGAGGCAGGAAAATGGCGTGAACCCGGGAGGCGGAGCTTTCAGTGAGCCGAGATCATGCCACTGCACTCCAGCCTGGGAGACAAAGCAAGACTCTGTCTCAAAAAAAAAAAAAAAAAAAAAAAAAAAAGATATATAAGAGCTTTATCCTCTAAGCCCAACATGTAGATCTTGTTTAAACTCAGTGTGGCTGTTCAGCAGCAGCATGCTGTAGGAGGTTCATTCCACAGATCTCTTGGGCACAAACCCCTAGCCAGCCCTCCCACACGGCCAGAATACCCTCTTTGGGACCTACCCCATTAAGGAAGTGAATTGCTCCAACCGTTACTAAAGCTAAGGCGAACCAGGTTTTAAGGCACCACCTAGAGCTGAAAAGGAGGCAGCAACCTCATGATAAAAAAACCTCTAAGCCAATATGTCCAGTAAAAATTGTAGGCTGGGCGCGATGGCTGACGCCTGTAATCCCAGAACTTTGGAAGGCCAAGGCGGGCAGATCACGAGGTCAGGAGATCAAGACCATCCTGGCTAACCCGGTGAAACCCCGTCTCTACTAAAAAAAATGCAAAAAAATTAGCTGGGTGTGGTGGCGGGCGCCTGTAGTCCCAGCTACTTGGAGGCTGAGGCAGGAGAATGGCGTGAATCGGGAGGCGGAGCTTGCAGTGAGCCGAGATCGCGCCACTGCTCTCCAGCGTGGGTGACAGAGCGAGACTCCGTATCAAAAAAAAAAAAAAAATTGTAACAAGCCAGTCAGAGAACATTGGAATAAATAAATAATACTTCAATGCAAAGACATCAATGTACATCCATAAGCAACATGCCTAAAGAGGGAACCATGATCTCACCAAATGAACAAAGCAAGAAACCAGTAACTAACTCATCCTAACAAGATGGCAATATGTGAGCTGTCTGATAAAAATTGAAAATAGCAGTTCTAAAGAAACTTAGTGATTTCCGAGATAAGACTGAAAAGCAATTCAGAAATGTATCAAAGAAATTTAACAAAGAAATTGAAAAAAATAAAAAAACGGAAATCAAATCTTGCAACTAAAAAATGAAATTTCTAAACAGAATTCATTATAGGCTCTCAATGGCAGAATGGGTCCAATAGAAGAAAGAATCCATGAGCTCCAAAATAAGTTATTTGAAAACACAAAGTCAGAGGGGAAAAAAAAGAACACAGAATGAAAAGGAACAAAGATCATCTACAAGATGTAGAACATTACCTCAATAGACCAAATTTAAGAATCATTGATGTTGAGGAAAGAGTTGAATAAGAGACAGGGGTACAAAGATTATTTTTAAAAATATTAATAACTTTCCAGTCTTCTTTGGAAAGAAAACTTTCCAAAACTTGAGAAAGATATACATTTCCAGGTACAGGAAGGTCAGAGAACAACAAACAGAGTTGACCCAAATATGATTACCCCAAGTCATATAATAAACTCTCAAAGGTCAAGGAAAAAGAGAGGATCCTGAAAGCAGTAAGAGAAAATAAACAAATGGCATTTAAAGGAGCTCTAATTCATCTGGCAACAGACTTATCAATGGAAACCATACAGGACAGGAGGGAGTCAAATGACATTTTAGAAGTGCCATAAGAATAAACATTGCCATCCAAGAATACCCTATCCAGCAAAGTTAGCTTTCAAATATGAAAGAGAAAGTTTTTCCCAGACAAACAAATGCTAAGAGAATTCACCACCACCATACCCCTGTTACAAGAAACGCTAAAGGGAATTTTTGTTTTTTCTTTTTTGTCCTTTTCTTTTTTATTTTTTGAGACAGGGTCTCACTTTGTCACCCAGGCTGGAGTGTAGTGGTGCGATCTTGGCTCACTGCAGCCTCAACTTCCCAGGTTCAAGCAATCCTCCCACCTCAGCCTCTCAAGCAGCTGGGACTACAGGTGTGTGCCACCATGTCCAGCTAATTTTGGTATTTTTTTTATAGAGATGGGGTTTTGCCATGTTGCACAGGTTGGTCTCAAACTCCTGAGCTCAAGTATCTGCCCTCCTTGGCCTCCCAAAGTGCTAGGTTTACAGGCATGAGCCACTGCACACAGCCTAGGAGTTTTTCAATCTGAAAGAAAGAACATTAATGTGCAAAAAGTTTTTTCAAAGAAGGTACAAAACCCACCAGTAAAATTAAGTAAACAGACAAACCCAGGATACTCTACTACTATAAATGTGTGTAATTCACTTATAACTCTAGCATGAAGCCCAAAAGACATATCTATCAAAAACAATAATGGCCACAGCAACCTCTTAAGAGAGAGGTAATATAAACATATGTAAATTTGGAGAACTAAAAGTAAAAATATGGGGGGAAAGGGTTAAAGTGTGGAAAATTTTTTCCATTTTTCTTTATTTCTATTCTTTTATTTGTGATCTAAGATAGGTTGGCACCTCTTTAAAGTAATTTACTGTATCTATACTATGTTTTTTGTAAGCCTCATAGTAACCACAAAGCAAAAACCTATGAAAGAGTCACTAAAAATAAAAAGCAATGAATTAAAACACCTTACCAGAGAAAAATCGCTTAATTACAAAGGGACACAGGAAAGAAGAAAGGAGGAGAGGAGTAAAACAGGCAACAAAATGGCACTTTTAAGTACTTATTTATCAAAAATAATACTAAATGTAAATGAACTCAATTCCCCAGTTAAAGGCATACAGTGGCTGAATGAATAAAGATAAAACACAACTATATGCTGCTGCCAAGAAACCCACTTCACCTATAAAAATATGCACAGATTGAAAGTGAAGACATGGAAAAAGATACCCCATGCAACTGGAAACTAGAAAAGAGCAGAAGTAGCTATAGTTTTATGAAGTAAAATAGACTATAAATCAAAGACAAAAAAGAGACAAAGATGGTCACTATATAATGATTAAGGGGTCAATTCAGAAACAGAATATAACAATTACAAATATATTTGCACACAACACTGGAGCTCCCATGTATATAAAGGAAACAATATAGCTAAAGGGAGAGATGGACTACAATATAATAATATTAGGAGATTTAACACACCATTTTCAGTAATGGACATATCATCCAGAGAGAAAATCAACAAATATTAGAGGTAAACTACACACTAGACCTAATAGGCCTGATATTTACAGAGCATTTCACCCAACTGCTGGAGAATACACATTCTTTTCATTAGTACATGGCATATTCTCCAGAATAGACCATATCTTCGACCACAAAACAAGTCTAAACAAATGTTTAAAAGTAGAAATCATATCCAGTATCTTTTCTGACCACAATGGAATAAAACTAGAAATAAATAACAAGAGGAACTTCAAACACTTCATAAACACATAGAAATTAAACAACATATTAATGAATGACCAATGGATCAGTGAAGAAATTAAGAAGGAAATTTAAGGCCAGACACAGTGGCTCATGCCTGTAATCTCACTACTTTGGGATGCTAGGCAGGAGGAAGGCTTGAGTCCAGGAGTTTGAGACCAGCCTGTGCAACATAGACCTTGTCCCTACTAAAAATTAAAAAATTGACTGAGCATGTGGCATATGCTTATAGTCCCAGCTACTTGGGAGCCTGAGGCAGGAGGACGCTTAAGCTGAGGAGGTTGAGGTTGCAGTGAGCTATGATCATACCACTGCACTGGGCAACAGAGCAAGAACATATCCCAACAAAAAAAGGAAATTTTAAAATATCTTGAAACATATGAAAATGGAAATATACCAAAATATATGGGACACAGCAAAAGCAGTATTAAGAAGGAAGTTTATAGAAATACATGTCTATATCAGAAAACTAGAAACACTTCAAATAAACAATCTAATGATACACCTCAAGGAACTAGAAAAGCAAGAACAAACCAAACCCAAAACAGTAGAAGGAAAGAAATAATAAAGATTTGAGCAGAAATAAATGAAATTGAGGCTAAAACAACAACAACAACAAAAACAGGCTAGGCACGGTGGTTCACACCTAGAATCTCAGCACTTTGAGTGGCTGCAGCAGGTGGATCACTTGATGCTAGGAGTTCAAGACCAGCCTGGGCAACAAAGTGAGACCCCCATCTCTACAAAATAAAATAAAAAATTTTACTCAGGCACAGTGGCAAGTGCCTATACTCCCAGCTACTTAGGAGGCTAAAGGCAGGAGGACAGCTTGACCCCATGAGTTCAGAGGGTGCAACAAGCTTTGATTGTGTGACTGCACTCTAGACTGGGCAACAGAGTGAGACCCTATCTCTAAAAAAACAGAAAAGGCCAGGAGCAGTAGCTCACGCCTGTAATCCCAACACTTTGGGAGGCTGAGGCGGGCAGATAACCTGAGGTCGGGAGTTCAAGACCAGCCTGACCAACATGGAGAAACCCTGTCTCTACTAAAAATATGAAAATTAGCTGGGTGTTGTGGCACATGCCTGTAATCCCAGCTACTTGGGAGGCTGAGGCAGGAGAATTGCTCGAATGCCAGAGGCAGAGGTTGGGGTGAGCTGATATCGCGCCATTGTACTCCAGCCTGGGGAACAAGAGCAAAACTCCATCTAAAAAAAGAAAGAAAAAAGAAAATGCAGTAGATCAGTGAAATAAAAAGTTGATTCTTTGAAAAGATAAAGTCAACAAACCTTTAGGTAGACTAAGAAGAAAAAAAAGATCCAAGTAAATAAAATCAGAAATGAAGAAGGTTGTTGGGCATGGTGGCTTATATCTGTAATCCCAGCACTTTGGGAGGCCAAGGCAAGAGGAGCACCTGAGCCTAGGCAATGCAGTAAGACCCCATCTCTACAAAATTAGTCCCATCTCTAAAAAATTAGCCAGGCATGGTGGTGCACGCCTATAGTTCCAGCTACTTGGGAGGCTGAGTCGAGAGGATCCTTCCAGCCCAGGAGTTCAAGACTGCAGTGAGCTATGATTGTGCCACCGCACTCCAGCCTGGGCCACAGAGGGAGAGATCCAGTTTGTTTTTCTTAATAAAAGGACACATAATAACAGACCACAAAGAATCATCAGAGACAATCATGAACAACTATATGGCAACAAGTTGGAAAACCCAGAAGAAATGGATAAACTCTTGGAGACATACCACAGATTGAAGCCATAATAAAATGTCTACCATTGAAGAAAAGCCCAGGACCTTATGGCTTCACTGCTGAATCAAACATTTAAAGAAGAACTAGTACCAATTCTACTGAAACTCTTCACAAAAATTGAAGAGGAGGGCCAGCATAACTCTGATACCAAAATCAGACATGAGTACAACAAAGAAAGAAAACGACATCTTCACTGATGAAGAAAGATGCAAAAATCCTTAAGAAAATAATAGCAAACTGAATTCAGCAACACATTTAAAAGATCATTTACTGGCCGGGCGTGGTGGCTCACGCCTGTAATCCCAGCACTTTGGGTGGCCGAGGCGGGTGGATCACTTGAGGTCAGGAGTTCAAAACCAGTCTGGTCAACATGGTGAAACCTTGTCTCTACTAAAAAACAAAAAAATTAGCTGGGCACGGTGGCATGTACCTGTAATCCTAGCTGCTGGGGAGGCTGAGGCAGGAGAATCACTTGAACCTGGAAGGCAGAGGTTGCAGTGAGCTGAGATCGTGCCACTGCACTCCAGCCTGGGGAACAGAGCAAGACTCTGTCTCAAAAAAAAAAAAAAAAAAAAAAAAATCATTCACCTTGATCAAATGAAATTCATCCCAGGGATGCAAGGATGGCTCAACATACACAAATCAATAAATGTGGTACATCACATTCACAGAATCAAAAAGAAAAACCACATGATTATTTGAATAGATGCTGAAAAAGCATTTGATAAAATTCAACATCCGTTTATGATAAAAACCCTCATCAAAGTGGGTATAGAAGGAACATACCTCTAGATAATAAAGGCCATATATGACAGACTTACAGCTAACATTGTACTGAGTGGGGAAAAATTAAAGGTATAGTAGGGAGACCCCATGAAACTATTGCTATGGAATAAAAGATGAAATGCTCCTGATTATTGTAAATACAAAGTTGCATGCAGGATTGTGTAAAAACAATGCCAAGTTGGACTGCCAGAATGAGCCAACAGCACGTGATGTGCTTTCCTCTGCAGAGAGCCTATAAACGGACGTGCAGTCAGGGAGGTTTCACATCACCAAGATTCCTATCCCAGAAAAGCAGATGTTCATAGCTCTGGGAATGGAATGCGACCCTTGTGGAGAGCCTATAAATGGACGCATGGGGGCGCCTGTTCATATGGATAAGATAGGGCTATAAACGCCCTCATCTTGCCACAGCTCTTCTAGGTCTCTTTAGGGTTAAGGCATACTCCCTTCTGAGAATTTCTGGTCTAACCGGTTGTCTGGCTTCACGTCCTGTTTCTATGGATTGTTTGTAACCAGCTTTTGCTGCAACTGTTACTGCTGATTAATATCTTGCTAATCATAGGTTATGGAGACTGCGTTTCTGTTTTAAGGCTCTGTTAGAAATTACTGATGCACACTATTGTAAATTCTTATCTCTGTATACTGTACTTCTGCATACAGATGTTATGTTAAAGAATTACTTCATCCCCATGTGACCATCTCACCTCATAATCAAATGACCCTAAATCCCTCACTAACCTACCCCCGCCCTCATTAAACTTAGTAATAAATGCTGGTATATCCAGTGCATTGTTGGCACCGCGGGACCAGAAGGTGGTGACCCCCCTGGACCCAGCTTTCACTATCTTGTGTGTGTCTATTATTTCTCAACCTGCCGATCCGCCTGGGAACAAAGAGAGAGCCCCGTTGCATTGCAGGCTACTGGCCAGATCCCGCAATAAGGTATGTTCTCTAAGATCTGAAACAAGATAGAAATGCTCACCTTTACCACCTTTATTCAACATAGTGCTGGAAATCCTGGCAAGAGCAATTAAGCAAGAAAAAAAAGGGCGTCCAAATTGAAAAAGAAGTCAAATTCTGCAGAAGACATGATCTTATATACTTAATAACCTAAAGACTCCACCAAAAAACCGTTAGAACTGAAAAATGAATTCAGTAATGTTGCAGGATACAAAATCAACATATCAAAATCATAACATTTAATATACACTAACAGCAAATAACCTGAAAAAAGAAATCAAGGAAAGCAATCACACTTAAGAAGCTACAAAGAATAGAAAATAGCTACAAAGTATAGAAAATACCTAGGAATCAAGTTAACCAAAGAAGTGAAAGATGTATATGAGGAAAACTATGAAAAACTGATGAAAGAAGTAGAAGATGACACACAAAAAAGGGGAAGATATTCCATGCTCATGGATTAGAATAATTAAAATGACAATACTACTCAAAGCAATTTATAGATTCAATATGATCTCTATCAAAATGCCAATGACATTCTTCATAGAAATAGGAAAAAAATCCTAAAATGTATGTAGAACCACAAAAGACCCTGAGTAGCCAAAGGAATTCTGAGCAAAAAGAACAAAGCTGGAGACATCATATTACCTGACTTAAATTTTCTACAAACCTATAGTAACCAAATCAGCATAGTACTGGCATAAAAACAGACACAGACCAATGTCATAGACTAGAGAACCCAAATATCAATCCATACATTTACAACCAAATAATCTTTGACAAAGGTGCCAAGAATATACAATGGGGAAAGGAACGTTTTTTTCATAAATGGTGCTGGGAAATTTGGATAATTACATGCAGAAGAATGAAACTAGACCTCTATCTTTACCATACACAAAAATCAAGTCAAAATGTAAGACCTGCTACTAGAAGAAAATATTGGGGAAACACTCACAGACATTGGTCTACACAAAGACTTTTTTATATAAGACCATAAAAGCACAGGCAACAAAAGCAAGACTCCACCAAAAAACTGTTAGAACTGAAAAATGAATTCAGTCAGACAACTGAGATTACATCAAAATAAAGTTTCTGTGCAGCAAAGGAAACAATCAATAACATGAAGAGACCACCCACAAGACGGGAGAAAATATTTGCAAACAACCCATCTGACAGGGGATTAGTATTCTCTTATATAATTATATATATGAGAATATATAAGAACATATAAGGAGCTCAGACAACTCAATAGCAAAAAAAAAAAAAACCCAATTAAAAAAAATGGGCAAAAGATCTGAACAGACATTTCTCAAAAGAAGACATACAAATGGCCAATGGGTATATGAAAAAAATCTCAATATCACTAATCATCAGAGAAATGCAAATCAAAACTACAAAGAGATATCATCTCACCCCAATTAGGACAGCTATTATCAGAAGGACAAAAAAATAACAAATGCTGGCAAGGACGCAAAGAAAAGGGAACCCTTATATGCTGTTGGTAGGAATATAAACTAGTATAGCTACTATGGAAAACAGTTTGGAGGTCCCTCAAAAAACTAAAAATAGAACTATCATATGATCCAGCAATCCCACTGCTGGGCATATACCCAAAAGAAAGGAAATCAGTATATCAAAAAGACAACTGCACTCCATGTTTGCTGCAGCACTGTCCACAATAGCCAAGATTTGGAAGCAACCTCAGTGTCCATCAGCAGATGAATGGATAAAGAAAATGTAGTTTGTGTACATGAGGGAATAATATTCAGCCATAAAAAAAGAATGAGATCCTGTCATTTGCAACAACATGGATGGAATTTGAGATCATTATGTTAAGTGAAGTAAGCCAGGCACAGAATGGCAAACATCACAGGTTCTCACTTATTTGTGGAATCTGAAAATCAGAACAATTGAACTCACAGACAGACAGAGTAGAAGGATGGTTAATGGAGGCTGAGAAAAGTCATGGGGGAAGTGATGAGGGTTAATGGGTAAAAAAAGAATGAATAAGACCTACTATTTGATAACACAACGGGGTGACTATACTCAATAATAAAGTAATTTTACATTTAAAAATACCTAAAAGAGTATAATTGGATTATTTGTAACACAAAAGATAAATGCCTGAGAGGATGGATACCCCATTCTCCATGATGTGATTATTATGCACTGCATTCCTGTATCAAAACATCTCATATACCCTATAAATATATACACTTACTATGTACCCACAAAAGTTACAAATTAAAAAAAATTAAAAAAGATTTTAAGGCCGGGCACGGTGGCTCATGCCTGTAATCCCAGCACTTTGGGAGGCCAAGGCAGGTGTATCACCTGAGGTCAGGAGTTTGAGACCAGCTTTACCAACATGGCGAAACCTCGTCTCTACTAAAAATACAAAAAATTAGCTGGGCATGGTGGTGTGTGCCTGTAATCCCAGCCACTTGGGAGGCTGAGGCAAGAGAATCGCTTGAACCTGGGTAGCGGAGGTTGCAGTGAGCTGAGATGTTGCCATTGCACTCCAGCCTGGGCAACAGAGCAACACTCTGTCTCAAAAAAAAGAAAAGAAAAAAGATTTAAAAAAACCACAGCCAAATAGCAAGAAGGAGTATACTGAATATTCCCAACAACAAAAAAGATGTTTGAAGTGGTGGTTATACTATTAATAATTACCCTGATCTGCTGACTATATGTTATGTGTACCAAAACATCACTATGTTCCCCACAAATGCGTACAATTTTTCTATGTCAATTTCAAAAATAAAATATTTGTGAAAAAAAAGAACATGATAAGGCCAGGTGTGGTGGCTCACTCACGCCTGTAATCCCAGCACTTTAGGAGACTGAGGCAGGTGGATCACTTGAGCTCAGGAGTTCAAGACCAGCCTGGGCAACATGATGAAACCCTGTGTCTACAAAAAATTAGCAGGATACAGTGGCACATGCCTGTAGTCCCAGCTACTTGGGAGGCTAAAGCAGGAGAATTGCTTGAGCCCGGGAGGCAGAGGTTGCAGTGAGCCAAGATCATGCCACTGCACTTCAGAGCCTGGGTGACAGAGTAACACTCCCCCCACTGCCACCCCCCAAAAAAGAACATAATACATAAAGAATACATGTATATTATAGACATTAGAGCAAATCCTAAAAAATATAAAAACAAAGAGGTATAACTAATAAACCATAGTAGAGATAAAATGGAATCATAAAAAACAATTGTAAAGAAGAAAGGAAAAGGCCAGGCATGGTGGCTCACGCCTGTAATCCCGGCACTTTGAGAGGCTGAGGCAGGCAGATCATGAGGTCAGGATATCAAGACCATCCTGGCCAACATGGTGAAACCCCATCCCTACTAAAAATACAAAAAATTAGCTGGCCATGGTTGCGTGCACCTGTAATCCCATCTTGGGAGGCTGAGGCAGGAGAATTGCTTGAAACCGGGAGTTGGAGGTTGAAGTGAGGCGAGATCACCCCACTGCACTCCAGCCTGGTGACAAAGCAAGATTCCACCTCAAAAAAAAAAAAAAAAAAAAAAAAAAGAAGGAACAAACAACAGTTAGGACAAAACAAATGGCAAGCTAGTGGAACTAAATCTAACCATACTGATACTTACTTGAGATGTTAATAATCTAAACCAGGGATCAGAAAACTTTATCAATAAAGGGCCAGAGTGTAAATACAAGTTTTCTGGACCCACAGAGTCTCTGTCAAATCATTCAACCCCTTAGTTGTAGCAGAAAAGCAATTTAAAACATGTAAACAAATGAGCATTTGTTGTATTCCAACAAAGCTTTATATATAAAACAGGTGACAGGCTGGATTTATCCTGGGAACCATAGTTTGCCATTCCCTGACCTAAACACTCCAACTAAAGACAGAGATTGTCAGATTGTATAAAAATGTAAGAACACAGCCAGGCCTCATGGCACGTGCCTGTAGTGCTAGCTACTGGGGAGGCTGAGGCACAAGGATTGCTTGAGCCCAGGAGGTTGAGGCAGCAGTGAGTTGTGACTGCACCACTGCTGTCCAGCCTCGGTGACAGAGCAAAACCGTGTCTCAAAACAACAACAATAACAGCAAAACACCAAACTAAAACTATACATTGTCTACAAGACACCCACTTTAAATTTAAACACCTAGATAGTTTAAAAGTAAAAAAAATGATGGGAAGAGCTATACCATGCAACCACCAATCATGGCTATATTAATATCAGACAAAGTAGACTTCAGAATAAGGACTGTTACAAGGAACAAAGAGGGAATTTTATAATGATAAATGGGAAAAACAATCCTGAATGTGTAAGTACATGATAACAGAGCTCCAAAATGCACAGATTAAAAACAGATAAAACTGAAAAAGATATAGAGAAATACACAATTATAGTTAGATATTTCAACACTCCCCTATCACTGATAGAACAAGTAGACACAAGACTAATTTTAAAAGGAGAAATATTCTGTGATTCCACTTTTGTGAGGTACTTAGAACATTCACATTTATACATACAGGAAATAGAACAGTAGTCACCAGAGGTTAGGAGATTGGGGAAATGGGAAGTGTTGTTAGAAAGGCTTACAGTTTCACTTTTACAAAATGAAAAGGGTTCTGGAGATGGACGTTGGTTGTACATTATGAATGTACTTAGTACTGACTGTACACTTAAAAATAGTTAAGATGGTTAATTTTATATGTATTTTACAATAAAAATTTTGAACAAAATATTAATTGGTTTTTTGAGAAGATCAATAAAATTGATAAACCTCTAAGCAGACTGATCGAAAGAGAGAGAGAACACACAAATTGCCAATGTCAGAAGTGAAAGTGTGGACATCAAAACTACAGGCTGGGTGCAGTGGCTCATGCCTGTAATCCCAGCACTTTGGAGGGCCGAGGCGGGTGGATCACCTGAGATCAGGAGTTTGAGACCAGCCTGGCCAACATGGTGAAACCCCGTCTCTAAAGTACAAAATTAGCTGGGCATGGTGGCACTTACTTGTAATCCCAGCTACTTGGGAGGCTGAGGCAGGAGAATCGCTTGAAACCAAGAGGCAGAGGTTGCAGTAAGCTGAGATTGTGCCATTGCACTCCAGCCTGGAAAACGAGAGTGAAACTCCGCCTCAAAAACAAAAACAAAACCTACAGTTATAAAAAGCAGATCTGGCTGGGCGTGGCAGCTCACGCTTGTAATCCCAGCACTTTCAGAGGCCGAAGCAGGCAGATCACCGGAGGTTGGGAGTTCCAGACCAGCCTGACCAACATGGAGAAAACCCATCTCTGTTAAAAATACAAAATTAGCCAGGTGTGGTGGCGCATGCCTGTAATCCCAGCTACTTGGGAGGCTGAGGCAGGAGAATCACTTGAACCTGGGAGGCGGAGGTTGCGGTAAGCCAAGTTCGCGCCATTGCACTCTACCCTGGGCAACAAGACCAAAATTCCATCTCAAAAAAAAAAAAAAAAGAAGAAGCAGATCTGCAGTTGAAGCAAGCTGTGAATAAGCAGGGAGGGAAGGACCGACTGCAAAGGGACATGAGGGGACTTTTTGGGATGATGGAAACATCCTCTATGATTGTGATGGTAGCTAAACAAATACCGATATCAACATTAATCAAGTTGTTCATTTCAAAGTATGAATTGTAATCTATGTAAATTATACCTCAACCAACTTAACAAAAATATAACAAGTCTTGAGGTCTTGTCTTTGAATAGTGGAAGATACAATCTCTGGCTAAATATAGGCCCAAGTGGTTTTATTTATAGCTTGACATAGTTCCTTTATTAAAATTTGTTTTTGTTTTTTGAGACAGTCTTGCTCTGTCACCCAGGCTGGAGTGCAGTGGCGAGATCTTGGTTCACTGCAACCTCCACCTCCTGGGTTCAAGCGATTCTCCTGCCTCAGCATCCCAAGTAGCTGGGATTACAGGCGCCCACCACCATGTCTGGCTAATTTTTGTATTTTTAGTAGAGGTGGGGTTTCACCATGGTGGCCAGGCTGTTCTTGAACTCCTGATCTCAAATGGTCCACCCACCTCGGCTTCCCAAAGTGCTGGGATTACAGGTGTGAGCCACCATGCCCAGCTAAAAATTGTTTTAATTAACAAAACCATAAACGTACAGCAATCATCCTTAATGGCGAACATTAAAAATATTTCCTTGGCCAGGAACAATGGCTCACACCTGTAATCCCAGCACTTCAGGAGGCCAAGGACGGCAGATGGCTTGAGCCCAGAAGTTCGACAGTGGCCTCGACAACACGGCAAAACCCCATCTCTGCAAATACAAAAATGAGCCGGGCATGGCAGTGCACACCTGTAGTCCCAGGTACTTGGGAGGCTGAGGTGGAAGGACTGATTGAGCCTGGGAGGTTGGGGCTGCAGTGAGCAGTGATCATGCCACTGCCCTCAAGCCTGGTGACAGAGTGAGACCCTGTCTCAAAAAAAAAAAACACCAAAAAAAAAAAAAACCTCACTTAAAGAAAGGGTCAAGTGAGGAAACTAGTTAGTGCTGTAGACATTCATATTACACATATGATCCAAGCTACAAGTATAAATTAAGAAATAAGGCATATAGAAAGGAATAGGCAAATACTTTTATTTACAAATAATACCAACATCTCTTTAGACAATTCAATCTCATGAAGAAACCATTTCATCTACTAAAGTAGTTCATCAATGTTACAATCCTTAGACAAAAACCAACAGTTTAGTACATAGTAATAGTAATCAATTACACAACAGAAAAAATATCCCAATCATATTATAAACAAAAGCCATTAAGTATCTAGAAATAAGTAAAACAAGAAATGTGTACACTTTTATGCTAAAAATATAAAGACTTACTAAAGCACATAAAAGAATACCTACTGAAATAAAGACACACCAGGTACAAGAGAAAAACTCAATGTCGTAAAGATGTCAATAATGATTCTTTTCTTTCTAATACTATGGCAGAGGAGAAATATTGAAACTCCTCTATTAAAAGGATTTACCGGCCGGGCACGTGGATCCTGCCTGTAATCCCAGCACTTTGGGAGGCCGAGGCAGTCAGATCACCTGAGGTCTGGAGTTCAAGCCCAGCCTCAACATGGAGAAACCCTGTCTCTATTAAAAATACAAAATTAGCCGGGCGTGGTGGTGCATGCCTGTAATCCCAGCTACTCAGGAGGCTGAGGCAGGAGAATTGTTTAAACCTGGGAGGCAGAGGTTGCGGTAAGCCGAGATCGTGCCATTGCACTCCAGCCTGGGCAACAATAGCAAAACTCCCGTCTCAAAAAAAAAAAAAAGGATTTACCCCAAATAGATCATCTTTGGTCAATAAGAATATACAGGTGATCTTTCTGTCTTCATTGTGCTTTTCTCTGCTCTTTAAAAAATTCTACTTTTTTCATAAAAAGAGTTAATTTTTAAAAGTGAAAAGTAAAAACGTTAAGAGTATTGGCTGAACACAGTGGCTCACACCTGTAATCCCAGCACCTAGGAGGCTGAGGTGCTAGGACCAATTGAGCCCAAGAGTTCAAGACCAGCCTGGACAACATGGTGAAACCCTGTCTCTACAAAAGATACAAAAATTAGCTAGGTGTGGTGGTGTGCGCCTGTAGTCCTTGCTACTCGGGAGGCTGAGGTGGGGGATCGATTGAGCCCGGGAAGTTGAGGCTGCAGTGAGCCAAGATTGTGGCATTGCACTCCAGCCTGGGCAACACAGCAAAAACCTGTCACACATGAAAAAGACAACTGTGAACTGTAAAAAGCACTCCTCCATCTTCACCCTCTCTGTATATATTTATGTTTAAATATCTCCAAGGAAGCAGTTACAAAAACATGGAGAATAATAAATGACAGAGTAAGAATTTGAGAACAAACATTTGATTTGTTTCCATAAATTGAGACAAACCTCAACTGACTACAAATTGAGACAAAAGAATCAATTGAGCCGGGCGGGGTGGCTCACGCCTGTAATCCCAGCACTTTGGGAGGCCGAGGTGGGCGGGTCATGAGGTCAGGAGATTGAGACCATCCTGGCTAACATGGTGAAATTCCGTCTCTACTACAAATACAAAAAATTAGCCAGGCGTGGTGGCGGGCACCTGTAGTCACAGCTACTAGGGAGGCTGAGGCAGGAGAATGGCGTGAACCTGGGAGGTGGAGCTTGCAGTGAGTCGAGATCACGCCACTGCACTCCAGCCTGGGCGACAGAACGAGACTGTCTCAAAAAAAATCAATTGAGACAAAGCCTCAATTGATTAACCTTAAAATAACCTTCTTAAAAGATATGTGTGTGTGTGTGTGTGTATATAAATCATCCATAAGCATATTAGTAAAAGTACAAATCAACAGATATGTTTTAGAGAAGTGTTAAATTTTTTAAACGCAAGTGTAATTTAAATAGAATGAAATACAACAATCCGAAGTGCATAGACGATGAGGTAAGATTTTTTTCATCAACTTTATTGAAGTGTAATTTACATATAATAAAATGCAACCATATGTCTACATTCATGCAAATACCACCTTGTAAGAAATGCCTTTCCTGACTACCTTATCTAAATTAGTCCTGCCCAGAGTTCAGAGACCAGCCTGACCAACATGGAGAAACCCCGTCTCTACTAAATAATACAAAAATTAGTCGGGCATGGTGGAGCATGCCTGTAATCCCAGTTACTCAGGAGGCTGAGTCAAGAGAATCGCTTGAACCTGGGAGGCGGAGGTTGCAGTGAGCCAAGATCGTGCCATTGCACTCCAGCCTGGGCAACAAGAGCAAAACTCCATCTCAAAAAAAAAAAAAAGAAAAAAGAAAAAGAAAGTCCCAGGTGCAGTGGCTCATGATTGTAATCCCAGCACTTTGAGAGGACAAGGTGGGCCATTCTTTATATTCATAAGGTGGGAAGATTGCTTGAAGACAGGAATTCAAGACCAGCCTGGGTAACAAAGCAAGACTCCAACTCTACTGAAATAAAAAATAAAAACTTAGCTGGGTGTCATGGTGCTGCTGGGAGTATAGCAGTGAGGACGACCAGAGGTCACTCTTGTCACCATCTTGGATTTGGCCGACTTCTTTACTGCAAGATGTTTTCTCAGCAAGGTCTTTATGACCTGTATCTTATGCTGACCTCATATCTCATCTTGTGACTTAGAATGACTTATCTGTCTAGGAATGCAGTCCAGTAGGTTTCAGTGTTACTTTACACAGCTCCTATTCAAGAAGAAGTTGCTCTGGTTTACACGCCTCTGACGTAACCATGCAGTGAACAAGTCTATTGGCTCCATTTATTCACCAGCATGTGCTCACTTTGTATCTGTGTCATATTTGGATGATCCCAACAATATTTCAACTTTCTCATTGTTGTTATATCTGTTATGGTGGCCTATGATTATCTTAGGCACCACTACTTGTTTTAGGGCATCACAAACTGTGTCCATATAAGACAGCAAACTTAATTGATAAACATGGTGTGTGTTCTGACTACAAACTTAATTGATAAACACTGTGTGTGTTCTGACTGCTCCACTGACTGGCTCACTGCAACATCCGCCTCCCAGGTTCAAGCGATTCTCCAGCCTTGCCTCCTGAATAGCTGGGATTACAGGCATATGCCACCATGTCTGGCTGATTTTGTATTTTTAGTAGAGATGGGGTTTCAACATGTTGGCCAGGCTGGTCTTGAACTCTTAACCTCAGGTGATCCACCCACCTCAGCCTCCGAAAGTGCTGGCATTACAGGCGTGAGCCACCACGCCCGGCTTGGAATTTCTAATATAAATTGCCCACTGGATCCAAAGGAGAAGGTGCGCACAGACTTTAGTTTTGCTTGCTTTCTTTCCAGCAAGGACTTTCTTAGCCACCTTTGCAGTTATGGGCTAAAGTAGACAGGGAAATAGACAGGGAAGGCGAAGCTTAAAACAAAGTCAGTAGTCAAACATGAAAAATATAGTCACACTTATTTATTATAAAAAAACTATTACTAGCCAGGCGTGGTGGCTCACACCTGTAATCCCAGCACTTTGGGAGGCCGAGGTAGGGGGATCACGAGGTCAAAAGTTTGAGACCACCCTGACCAACACAGTGAAACCCCGTCTCTACTAAAAATACAAAAATTAGCCAAGCATGGTGGTGCATGCCTGTAATCTGAGCTACTCAGGAGGCAGAGGCAGGAGAATCACTTGAACCCAGGAGGCAGAGGTTGCAGTGAGCCAAGATAGCACCACTGCACTCCAGCCTGGGCAACAGAGCAAGACTCTGTCTCAAAACAAAACAAACAAACAAAAAATACACAAAAACAACTATTGCCATCAACATTTTATCAATTAGTAATTTTGGCACAGAGAATTTACATAACTAGCCTAATGTCACGTAGGTAGTAAATGGTTGTCTTTTGTCATTGACCACATTCTCTAATATGAATTTGTATAACTTCAATAAGCTTTGAATCATGATAGAAAACTCATCTACATTCATTATCAATTTCTTTCAGTATTAAATGTCCTAATTTTGGTGGGTGGATCACCAGGTCAGGAGATCGAGACCATCCTGGCTAACACAGTGAAACCCTGTCTCTACTAAAAATACAAAAACAAAAAAATTAGCCAGGCGTGGTGGCAGGTACCTGTAGTCCCAGCTACTAGGGAGGCTGAGGCAGGAGAATGGCATGAACCCAGGAGGCAGAGCTTGCAGTGAGCCGAGATAGCGCCACTGCACTCCAGCCTGGGCGACAGAGCAAGACTCCGTCTCAAAAAAAAAAAAAAAAGTCGTAATTCTGGAAAAAGTGAATATGAAGTAATACACATCCATTGTATTTGACCCACATATGGAATCTGCTGATGATCCATGACAAATGGCATGAGAACAGTTTCCTACATTAATTATGTTAGGTCATGAATTCTCTGATGTCGAGTAAGCTGTGTAAGCTGTTTAAAGGCCTTCCCACATGTCTTACATTCATAGGGTTTCTCGCCAGTGTGAACACTCTGATGTCGGCTGAGTCCTGAGGCATAGAAAAAGGCTTTCCCACATTCCGGACATTGATAAGTTTTCTCACCAGTATGGATTCGTTTATGTTGACTAAGTTGTGAAGGACATCTAAAGGCCTTCCCACATTCCTTACAATCATAAGGTTTCTCACCAGTGTGAGTTCGCTGATGTCGAATTAGTTCTGAGCCGCAAGTAAAAGATTTCCCACATTCTTTACATTCATAAGGTCTGTCACCGGTATGAATTCTCTGATGTAGAGTAAGGTGTGTACGCTGTCTGAAGGACTTCCCACATGTCTTACATTCATAGGGTTTCTCGCCAGTGTGAATACTGTGATGTTTGGTGAGTCCTGAGAAACGGACAAAGGCTTTTCCACATTCATGACATCGATAAGGTTTCTCACCAGTATGGATTCGTTGATGTTGAGTAAGTTTTGAACGACGTCTAAAGGCCTTGCCACATTCCTTACAATCATAGGGTTTCTCACCAGTGTGAATTCGCCGATGTTGGATTATTGCTGAGCGAAAAGCAAAAGATTTTCCACATTCCTTACAATGATAGGGTTTCTCACCAGTGTGAATTCGCTGATGTTCAATTAGTGTTGAGCGAGAAGTAAAAGATTTCCCACATTCTTTACAACTGTAGCGTTTCTCACCAGTGTGAACTGGCCGATGTTGAATTAGTGCTGAGCGAAGAGTAAAAGATTTCCCACATTCCTTGCAATGATAAGGTTTCTCACCAGTGTGAAGTGGCTGATGTTGAATTAGTGTTGAATGAGAAGTAAAAGATTTCCCACATTCCTTACAATCATAGAGCTTCTCACCAGTGTGTATTTGCTGATGTTGAATTAGTGTTGAGTGAGAAGTAAAAGATTTCCCACATTCCTTACAATCATAGGGTTTCTCACCAGTGTGAATTTGCTGATGTTGAATTAGTGTTGAGTGAGAAGTAAAAGATTTCCCACATTCCTTACCATCATAGGGTTTCTCATCAGTGTGATTTTGCTGATGTTGAATTAGTCCTGAGCAGAAAGTAAAAGATTTCCCACATTCTTTACATTCATAAGGTTTCTCACCAGTATGAATTCTCCGATGTTGATTAAGGTATGTACGCTGTCTAAAGGCCTTCCCACAGTCCGGACATTCATAGGGTTTCTCACCAGTGTGAATTCTGTGATGTTGGGTGAGTCCTGAGACACTGACAAAGGCTTTCCCACATTCCTGACATTGATAAGGTTTCTCACCAGTATGGATTTGTTGATGTTGAGTAAGTCGTAAACGAAGTCTAAAGGCCTTCCCACATTCCTTACAATCATAAGGTTTCTCACCAGTGTGAATTTGCTGATGTTGAAGTAGTGTTGAGCCAACAGTAAAAGATTTTCCACATTCCTTACAGTGATAGGGTTTCTCACCAGTGTGAATTCGCTGATGTTGAATTAGTGCTGAGCGAGAAGTAAAAGATTTTCCACATTCTTTACAATCATAGGGTTTCTCACCAGTGTGAACTGCCTGATGTCCAATTAGCCCTGAGCGAAAAGTAAAAGATTTTCCACATTCCTTACAATGATAGGGTTTCTCACCAGTGTGAATTCGCTGATGTTGAAGTAGTGCTGAGCCAGAAGCAAAAGATTTTCCACATTCTTTACAATTATAGGGTTTCTCACCAGTGTGGATTCGCTGGTGTCGATTGCGTGTTGAGCGAAAAGTAAAAGATTTTCCACATTCCTTACAACAATAGGGTTTCTCACCAGTGTGAATCCGCTGATGTTGAAGTAGTGCTGAGCCCGAAGCAAAAGATTTCCCACACTCCTTACAATCATAGGGTTTCTCACCAGTGTGAATTCGCTGATGTTGAATTAGTGTTGAGCCAGCAGTAAAAGATTTTCCACATTCTTTACAATCATAGGGTTTCTCACCAGTGTGAATTGCCTGGTGTCCAATTAACCCTGAGCGAAAAGTAAAAGATTTCCCACATTCCTTACAATCATAGGGTTTCTCACCAGTGTGAATTCGCTGATGTCGAATTAGAGCTGAGTGAAAAGTAAAAGATTTTCCACATTCCTTACAGTCATAGGGTTTCTCACCAGTGTGAATTCGCTGATGTCGAATTAGTGCTGAGCCTGAAGCAAAAGATTTTCCACATTCCTTACAATCATACGGTTTCTCACCAGTGTGAATTTGCTGGTGTCGAATTAGTGTTGAGCCAACAGTAAAAGATTTTCCACATTGCTTACAATGATAGGGTTTCTCACCAGTGTGAATTTGCTGATGTTGATTTAGTGTTGAGCCAGAAGTAAAAGATTTCCCACATTCTTTACATTCATAAGGTTTGTCACCAGTATGAATTCTCCAATGTTGAATAAGATGTGCAGACGGTCTAAAGGCCTTCACGGATTCCTGACACTCATGAGGTCTCTCATCTGTATACATTTTCTGGTGTTGAATAAGATGTGAGCCAGAAATAAAAGCTTTTCCATATTCTTTACATGCACAGGGCTTTTCCCCAGTATGAATTCTCTGATGTTTAACAAGATAGGAAAAGTGATGAAAGGCCTTCCCACACTCCTTACATTTATAGAGTTTTTCACCAGTATGGGTTTCTTGCTGTTGTGTAAGTTCTGAGCCATACTTAAAAGCCATACATTCTGTGGATTTATACAGTTTCTCTCCAGGATGAATCCGATGATGCAGAGTGAGAGATGTCTGTAGGCAGAAAGTTGGTGTTGTTTCATAAGTCATTATTGCTTTTTCCAAATATCGCTCCTGATTTATATCTTGGTGCTGAAACTGGCCTTTGCATTCCCAGTCATCTCTGACACTGGAGCCCACAAGGCTATGACATTTTTCCATTCTCACCCACTGAGATGATGTTACTTCATAGATTTCTTTTGGCAAACATGAATCTTTGGTCTTACATCTAAACTCCGAGTCTGAAAAATAACCAGAAAGCAAAAACATAGCATTTCCTTGTTGAGTAGAAATAAAAACATCTATGGTAGAAAGGGGAGACAAACTGAAAATAATGTCCTTAAGAATTAAAGATGTGTTGGGCGTGGTGGCTCATGCCTGTAATCCCAGCGCTTTGGGAGTCTGAGACAGGAGGATTGCTTGAGCCCAGGAGTTCAAGGCTGCAGTGAGCTGTGATTGTGCCACTACACTCCAGCCTGGGCCACAGAGCAAGACCCTGTCTTAAAAAAAAAAAAAAAAAAAAAAAGATGGTGTACATACATGGTATACATGGTGATAGTATGTACCCTTATATGATGTGATGAGAACAGTATTTTATCTCTGTGATCTTCCTTCTAAAAATACTGAACTCCAGTCTAATCACTGGAAAAACACCAGACAAATCCCAAAATGAGAGACAATCTATGAAATACCTGGCCAGTACTCTCCAAAACTATTGAGATAATCACAAACAAGGAAAGCCTGAAAAGCTGTCAAAGCAAAGAGGAGCCAAGGGAAACATAATGACTCAATGCAATGTGTTAGCCTAGCCAAGATCCTAGAATAGGAAAAAAGGACATTAGGTAAAAGCTAAGGAGGCCAGGCACAGTGGCTCACACCTATAATCCCAGCACTTTGGGAGGCTGAAGCGGGCGGACCACAAGGTCAGGAGTTCAAGACCAGCCTGGCCAACATGGTGAAACCCTGTCTCTATTAAAAATACAAAAATGAGCCAGACGTGTGGCCCATGCCTGTAATCTCAGCTACTCGGGAGGCTGAGACAGGAGAATCACTTGAGCCCGGGAGGCTGAGGTTGCAGTGAGCCAAGATCGTACCATTGCACTCCAGCCTAGGCAACAAAAACCAGACTCCATCTCAAAAAAAAAAAAAAAAAAAAAAAAAAGCTAAGGAAATCTGAGTAAAGTAGGGGTTTCCATTAATAATAATAGATCTCAGCACCATAGGAAAGGTAAATAATAATAACAACATTGCTTCAACAATGTTATTATTTAATAGGATCAACATTCATTCATTAATTATGACAAATGTACAAATATAAAATGTTAATGGGAAACTACATGTGATGTATATGGGAAGTCTCTGTACTAACCTCACAACTTTTCTGTAAGTCTAAAACTATCCTAAAACCTAAAGTTTACTTTTTTAAAGTGAGAAAGTAACATCTCACTAGCAAAAAGGCCAAGCAAATTTTTGTAAAAGACACAAATGGGGTATCAGTATCTAAAAATTAAAAAATGAATCATTGAAACTTAAAATTCAATGAATGAATTTGAATTGGCAGTATAAGAGTGCAATCATGATTTTTAAAAAATACTATACATCTTCATCCATTGAAGCCTTAGAAACAACCAATCTGGCAGCAATGAACACGCTAATGACAGATTACTGTCTCTAAATACCATTTCTTACTACACAGAACCTAGGCTCCT
Organism: Homo sapiens; assembly: GCF_000001405.40. Taxonomy (NCBI): domain Eukaryota; kingdom Metazoa; phylum Chordata; class Mammalia; order Primates; family Hominidae; genus Homo; species Homo sapiens. Next base: position 36,752,272 of record NC_000019.10, read on the forward strand.
TGGAGCATCTTGGGATTAGAACAGAAAGTGTGCATTATGAGCATGGAAAAAGCTGGCATATTAGAAAAGCAAAGAAGCTTATTCAAGACTCCTAGGGTCATGTCAAAAAGACTCAGGAACCATTGTGAAGAGGGTCCCATTGGCCAAAGATGGGACAAGTTGAGCATGAATTCAAGAATAAAAACTGTAATCATTGTAATGTAATTACAATAAATCACATCAAATTTTTTTAAATCTGTGTGTTCATAAGGACAATTTTAAAATTACCTAGTAATTTTTAGGGGATGAGATGAGGAATGGCTGCTAACTTCACAAAAACAGAAACAACCAGATATGTGCTTCTTGATGAAATACACAATACTAATATCACATAGTCTGTTTATAGGAAAGAAAGGAGTAAAGGGAGGAGAGCTAAATGTTAAATGACAGATGATCCAGTTTCTTCAACATATAAATTTCAAGGAGAAAAAGAGAAAGAAATCAACAACAAAACCTCACTGGAATGGTTAAATAACTGGAAATGCAAAAGCAAGGTTAAAAGTCATAAAGAAAAGTCAAAGAATTCATTTGTCTTCCTGAAAGTAATACTGAAAGAACAGGGAGCAAACTATATTCAAGATGGAACAGCTAAAATTTATTCAGAAGTGATGAGGTTTTCTAAAAAAAATCTGAGGTGCCATGAGTGCCATGGATGGTAAATTTTAAAAGTTCTACGGGGCCAGGTGCGGTGGCACACGCCTGTAATCTCAGCACTTTGGGAGTCTGAGGCAGGTGGATCACCTGAGGTCAGGAATTCAAGACCAGCCTGGTCAACATGACAAAACCCCGACTTTACTAAAAATACAAAATAAGCCAGGCATGGTGGTGCACGCCTGAATTCTCAGCTACTCAGGGGGCTGAGGCAGAAGAATTGCTTAAATCCAGGAGACAGAGTTTGCAGTGAGCCGAAATTGTGCCACTGCATTCCAGCCTGGGCGACAGAGCGAGACTTCATCTCAGGAAAAAAAAAAAAAAAAAAAAAGTAAAAGTTCTATAAGCCAGGCATGGTGGTTCATGGCTCTAATCCCAACACTTTGGGATGCCAAGACTGCAAGATTACCAGAGCCCAGGAGTTCAAGACCAGCCTGGGCAACAGCCTGGGACACTGTCTCAAAAAAAAAAAAAAAAAAAAAAAAGCCGGGTGTGGTGGCACATGCCTGTAGCCTCAGGTACTCGGGAGGCTAAGGCGGGAGGATCACCTGAGCCCGGAAAGTCAATGCTGCAATGAGCTGTGGTCAAGCCACTGCACTCCAGCCTGGGTGACCACGGGAGAACCTGTCTCTTAAAAAAAAATTATGCATGATGAAATCCCAATAATAAGAACAAAATGGACAGGAAAAAAAAAAATAGCTTACACACCATGCTTGCTATATGCCAGGCACTATTTTCACTGCTTTACACATTTACTATATAAGCTCATTTAATCTTCAGAAGAATCCTGTGAATAGCATATATATTTGCAAATGAGGACCAGAGAGGTTAAGTAAATTGCCAAAAGTCATAGAGGTATTAAATAGCAGAGCTAGGATTTGAATGGAGGCAATCTGGCTCAAGAGTCCATGCTTTCAACTTCCAAATCAGTGGAATCGAACTAAGTATGGGCATCAGATTTTTTTAAAACCTCAAATCTAAAACAGTGTAAAATAAAACAGGCAACAGAAGACAGGAAAAGTGAGACAAATAGAATAAGCTGGTTAAAAAAATTCAAACAGGCCAAGAGAGGTGGATTGTGCCTGTATTTTCAGCTACTCGGGAGGCTGAGGTATGCAGATTGCTTGAGCCTAGGGGGTTGAGGCTGTGGTGAGCTGTGATTGCTCCACTGCACTCAGCCCGGGCAACAGAGAGAGAGAGACCCTGTCTCAAAAAAAAAAAAAAAAAAATCCAAATACATCACTAATTATAAGGAATGTAAACAAAGAAAAAGTAAATTTCAACCCTTTTAAAATAAAAAGTGACTAAAAACATGAGGACACAAAAAAGTTGAAGTAAAAACTAAGAAAATGAAAATCAGGCAAGTATTCATGAATAGAAAGCTAGGGTCTTAGCACTGGAAAAAAATAGACTTTAAGGTGAAAACATTCTTGGGAATAAAGAGGATTACTACATAATAAAACGTTCATTCACCAAAAAGATATAACAATTCTAAATTTGTAAGCATCCAGTAAAATAAACTCTAAATATGCAAAGTAAAAATTGAGAAAATACAAAAAGTTTAGGCTTCATCTTGATTGTGGGAGATTTCTTTTTTTTAGTTATTTTTTTTGAGATGGAGTCTCACTCTGTCACCCAGGCTGGAGTACAGTGGCACGATCTCAGCTCACTGCAACCTCTGCCCTCCGAGTTCAAGCGATTCTCCTGCCTCAGCCTCCCAAGTAGCTGGGATTACAGGCGCCTGCCACCACGCCCGGCTAATTTTTTGTATTTTTAGTAGAGATGGGGTTTCACCATCTTGACCAGCCTGGTCTTGAGCTACTGACCTTGTGTTTCACCCACCTCGGCCTCCCAAAGTGCTGGGATTACAGGCGTGAGCGACCACGCACGGCTGATTGTGGGAGATTTCAATACACCTCTTTTAATAACTGAGAGGTCAAGCACCCAGAAAATATAAAAGGATACAGAGGATCTTTACATCAAATTAACAAGCATGATATGTTGAACATGTGAGAATTCTACACGCAGCAATTAAAAGAAAGCACAGGAACACGTGAATCCCCACCCCCACAAAAACACTGACAATTCAGCAGTGCGTGAAGTAAGTCTGAACACACTTCCAGAAACTGGTCTCATACTGACCATGTAAATATTGACTATAGTGCAATTAAGGTTGAATTCAGGAATAAAAAATGGGAAAAGAATTTAAATGCAAAACATTTACAAAAGCTTATGGGTTAAAAATGGCATCATGCAAATTAAAAAATTCTTTTTCGGTTTTTTTGAGACAGAGTCTCGCTCTGTCACCCGTGCCGGAATGCAGTGGTGCAATCTCGGCTCACTGCAACCTCCACCTCCCAGGTTCAATCAGTTCTGTGCCTCAGCCATTTGAGTAGCTGGGATTACAGGCATGCAACACCACACCCAGCTAATTTTTGTATTTTTAGTACAGAAAGGGTTTCGCCATGTTGGCCAGGCTGGTCTCAAACTCCTGGCCTCAAGTGATCCACCCACCTCCCAAAGTGTTGGGATTACAGGCATGAGCCACCGCACCTGGCCTAAAAATTACTTTGATGCTAAGTGATGACAATAAAAATTGTATCATGGGCCGGGCTGTGTCTTAGGCAACAGGCAAAAAGCAAAGACAAAACCTCTGTGGACGAAATCAACCTCAACTCAACGCTCAAAATATTCTCACAAAGTTTCAAGGAAAGAGAGAGCACTTCGCAATAAAAAAAAAAAACAAAAAACAAAAAAACTAACACGTACAGGGAAATGGGAAATCACATGAAGAAAAAAAACAGCAGAAACAGAACCAAAAGGCTTCAAATACTAATATTAAAGAGAATTATTATGTTTAATAATGCTTAAAGAAGTTAGAAAGTCTTGACACCACTAGTAAATAAAGTAACTACATAGTTTTTTTATATATCTAGTTTTTAGCCTTTTTTTTTTTTTTTTTTTTTATGGAGTCTCACTCTGTTGCCAGGCTGGAGTGCAGTGGTGTGTTCTTGACTCACTGCAACCTCCGCTTCCTGGTTTCATGCGATTCTCCTTCCTCAACATCCCTAGTAGCTGGGATTACAGGCGCCCGCCATGACACCCAGCTAATGTTTGTGTTTTTAGTAGAGACGGGGTTTTACCATGTTGGCCAGGATAGTCTCAATCTCCTGACCTTGTGATCCACCTGCCTTGGCCTCCCAAAGTGCTGGGATTACAGGCATGAGCCACCGCACCTGGCCTTGAGCCAATGTTTTAAGTGCCATATCACCTACTTGTTCACTAAGATCTCAACTATACTTTCAGCACACTACATAACCTTATTTCCAGGAAGATGTGTATTTGCAAATGTTTACTTCTATTTGGAACACATGTTTTTCTACCCCCAGAGGAATGCATTCTTGTCTGGAGTGTTTCTTTTCCCAAGTTGATGCACATCCACATATTCACCCATTCATATGTGATGTATGTGTATCTATGTGTGCATTTTTTTCTTTTTATAAAAATAGAATTGTCCTATACATATTGATGTGCAACTTTTCCCCCCAGATAACAACAGATAAAGGATAGTTATATAGTTACTATTTATAGATTTACTTCATTTCCTTGAATAGCTGCATAATATCCCATTATGTGGATATACCATAATGTCACATTTTTTTTCCCCCTCAAGACAGAGTCTTGCTCTGTTGCCTAGGCTGGAGTACAATGGCATGATCTTGGCTCACTGCAACCTCCGCCTCCTGGGCTCAACCAATTTGCCTGCCTCAGCCTCCCAAGTAGCTGGGACTACAGGTATGCGCCACCACGCCTGGCTAATTTTTTGTATTTTTAGTAGAGATGGGGTTTTCACCATGTTGACCAGGCTGGTGTCGAACTCCTGACCTCGTGATCCACCCGCCTTGGCCTCCCAAGGTGCTGGGATTACAGGCGTGAGCCACCGAGCCTGGCCTGTAACAGTTTTTGTTAATGCCCATTTAGATTGTTACTGCTGTTCCAGGAAATGTGTTTCTGTATATATCAGAATTAGCTACTTCTTTTATTTCTGTAGCAGACAGTCCAAAAAGTGAGATTACTCATTCCAAATGTAGGCACATTTTCATTTGACTGGCTAGTTTGATGCTTCCTGGCAGTGTCAGAGATGGTCTGTTCCTAGCCAGCAATGAATATTCCCATGCTATATAGTGTTGAATTTTTGTTTATCTGAGGGGCAAACTTTGGCAGGGGTCCGTTGGGATATGCTAACAATAAGATAACTAGTAAATAGAAGCTTTTCTTAACCCAAATGGGTAGATCCGTCGTGATTATGTTGGAATTTCAGGAGTTCTAGAAATGAATGTGCAGATGGTTGCACAATATGAATACAATCAAAGATGGTTAAAATAGTAATACATTTATGTTATGTATGTTTTACCATAATTATAAATAAATGAAAAAATGAATGAATGAGTCACTCCTAAAAATTAGTAAGAAAATAAAACCAAATAATGAAGTAGAAAAGATGAAACATAAAAAGGAAGCACAAACAGGAAATATAGTTTCTTTTTTTTTTTTTTTTTTTTTGAGACAGAGTCTTGCTCTGTTGCCCAGGCTGGAGTGCAGTGGTGTGATCTTGGCTCACTGCAACCTCTGCCTCCTGGGTTCAAGCGATTCTCCATCCTCAGCCTCATGAGTAGCTGGGATTACAGGTGACTGCCACCACACCCGGCTAATTTTTTGTGTGTTTGTTTTAGTAGAGATGTTGTTTCACTGTGTTGATTAGGCTGGTCACCATGTTGACCAGACCACTCCTGACCTCAAGTGATCTGCACACCTCAGCCTCCCAAAGTGCTGGGATTTACAGGTGTGAGCCACTGCGCCCAGCCTCTTTTTCTTTTTGAGACAGGGTCTTGCTCTGCCACCCGGGCTGGAATGCAGTGGTGCAATCACAGCTCACTGCAGCCTTGAACTCCTGGACTCAAGCAATCCTCCTGCCTCAGCCTCCCAAAGCCCCGGAGTTACAGGTGTTAGTCACTGTGCCTGGCCAAAAAGTGAATTTTTCATTTTAATTTCAATTACTTTACAGTTAAATCTAATTAGCCCCATGTAGCTAGCGGCTACTGTATGGAACAGCACAGCTTTCATGAACCATCTGTTGAAACTGGATTGCAAGAACCTTTGTGTTGTCCCTTCACATAAAAAACTAAAACCTTAAATGACGACTCATGCCTTACAGGTGTAGTATGTATACAAAATGAGGCAGAACTCCTAGCAGGGTGCCCATTTTCAAACAAAATGCTTTGCCCTACTATCAGAGACTAGTAAGTAAGCAAATAAATAAATTCAGTAACAAAAACAACTATTAAAAATGGGAAAAAATTAAAGGCAAAACATTTACAAAAGCTCATGGATTAAAAATTGTATCATGAAAATTAAAAAGTTCTTTTTTTGTTTTCTTGAGACAGAGTCTCACTCTGTCACTCACACTGCAGTGCAGTGGTGTGATCTCGGCTCATTGCTCCTCCTCCTCCTCCTGGATTCAATCAATTCCGTGCCTCAGTCATTCAAGTAGCTGGGATTACAGGCATGCAGCACCACACCAGGCTAATTTTTTTATTTTTAGTACAGAGGGGATTTCGCCACATTTGCCAGGCTGGTCTCAAGTGATCCACCCATCTCTGATTAAATGCTCTCATCTAAAATCATATGGTTGTGGCATATCAGATCTTTTCACTTTAAACTTTTAAATTAACTAACCAGCTACGAATACTTGTCTGAACTGAGTTGGATGAGGCAGCTCCAGTGGATCATGCATTTCTGTCCTAGACTGTCATGAGCTTTAAAAAGTTAAAACCAGGCCGGGTGTAGTGGCTCATGTCTGTAATCCCAGCATTTTGGGAGGCCAAGGCAGGCAGATCACGAGGTCAGGAGATCAAGACCATCCTGGCCAATGTGGTGAAACCCCATCTCAACTAAAAATACAAAAAAAAAAATTAGCTGGGTGTGGTGGCACATGCCTGTAATCCCAGCTACTCAGGAGGCTAAGGCAGGAGAATCACTTGAACCAGGAAGTCGGAGGTTGCAGTCAGCCAAGATCGTGCCACAGCACTCCAGCCTGGCAACAGAGCAAGACTCCGTCTAAAAAAAAAAAAAATATTGGCCCAGGAATCTCACATCTGAAAGATTAAATATGAAAATGTCCATTTAAATAAAGATACATCAGAGCAGTCATTTTAAATAGAAGAAACACCTGGGCACAGTTGCTCATGCCTGTAATCCCAGCAGTTTGGGAAAGTGAGGCAGTGGGAGGACTGCCTGAGCCCAGGAGTTCCAGACCAGCCCGTGGCACACAGGGAGAACCCATCTCTACAAAAAAAATTAGAAATTGACTGGGTGTGGTGGTGTGTGCTTGTAGTCTGAGCTACTCAGGAGGCAGAGGTGGGAGGATCACTTGAGTCCTGGAGGTCAAGGCTGCAGTGAGCTGTGATTGTGCCACCGTACTCCAGCATGGGCAACAGAGAGACCCTGTCACAAAAACAAAAAAAGAAGAAGCAACACTGAAAAGCTACCTATACATTTAATATTATTGAACTCATGATATCCAGGACTTGCTTTAGTTAAGGGAAGGTGCAGAGGTCAACAGGCATAGATCAAGTAAGATTGGAAACATGGAAACTCATTGATAACTACTGCAGCTAGGAAATGGATTTGGGGGATGTCCATTACACCATCCTTTCTACTTTTGTGTATGTTCAAAGACCTCCGTAATCAAGTTAATAATTAAAAAAAAATTTTTTTGTAATGTTCTATGGATAAAGGGAAATAGTCATCTATATCCTACAATTAAAACGCTTTTTAAAATGGATAGTTTGCATTACTTAAAAGCACATTTTGAAAAACAAAATGCCTTATCTTTTCTACTTCAAAAGAAAAATCCCTCAGTCTATGCTACTTACAGCCCAATTTTTGTCCATGTTAACATTGTCACCAACTTATTGAAAATGGATCACTCCTTTTCCTTGACACTTAAGTCTTCTATATTTAACTTATTGTCCTCTTTTATACACAATCATTTCAGTGTACCTTTTCCTCCTAAAAGCAGGCATATCCTATTCCTTCACATTTATATCTACAGTTCTTTCTTCTAAGCACCATATTAGAAATCTCCTGGTTGAGTCTACTTTTTAGAAAGTGATTTATACAATGATTTAGACCCTTTATTAGGCTGGGTGTGGTGGCTCACGCCGGTAATCCTAGCACTTTGGGAGGCCGAGGTGGGCAGATTGCCTCAGCTCAGGAGTTCAAGACCAGCCTAGGCTATGTGGCAAAACCCTGTCTCTACTAAAAATACAAAAAATTAGCCAGGTGTGGTGGCGCGTGCCTGTAATCTTAGCTACTCCGGAGGCTGTGGCACGAGAATTGCTTGAATTCAGGATGCAGGGGATGCAGTGAGCCGAGATCACTCCACTGCACTCCAGCCTGGGCAACACAAAGAGATATTGTCTCAAAATAAATAAATAAATAAACCCTTTATTAGACTGTAATTCTGATAGCTTATATCTTCCATAACTGTCACCCACCAAGAAAAGAAGGCTTTATGATTTTTTTTTTAAGTCAATAAATTTTGACTAAAAGTGAATGAGGTCAGACGTGGTGGCTCACACCTGTAATCCTGGCACTTTGGGAGACCGAGGCAGGTGGATCACCTGAGGTCAGGAGTTCAGGACCAGCCTGGCCAACATGGTGAAACCCTGTCTCTACTGAAAATACAAAAAGTAGCCAGTTGTGGTGGTACATGCCTGTAGTCCCAGCTACTCAAGAGGCTGAGGCAGGAGAATTACTTGAACCCGGGAAGTGGAGGTTGCAGTGAGCCAATATTGCACCACTGCACTCCAGCCTGGGTGACAGAGTAAGACTCTGTTTCAAAAAAATAAAGTGAATGAATATCCATTGATGCATGAAATGTCTGCATCAAAGGAAAACTAGACAAGACAACACACAAAAAAAGTTAAGGATCAGTATGAAAAATAAATATATTTTGAAAAAAAAATTTTTTAAAGCAAGAACACAGGTTTAAATTTCAAAGGGAAAGAAGTAGCTTGAAGACAGAGGAAACAGGATGGCTCCCGAAGAAGGGAACTTTATTCTTTGAAATGGGAAGAAATTATGACAAGAGGGTAGCACAGACTGAAGAGGTGGAAGTAAAAGGGGATTCTTGGCCAGGCGCAGTGGCTCACACCTGTAATCCCAGCACTTTCAGAGGCCGAGGCAGGTGGATCACTTGAGGTCAGGAGTTCGAGGCCAGCCTAGCCCACATGGTAAAACCCCGTCTCTACTGAAAATACAAAAATTAGCTGGGCATGGTGGTGGATGCCTATAATGCCAGTTCCTTCAAAGGCTGAGGCAGGAGAGTCGCTTCAACCTGGGGACGGAGGTTGCAATGAGCCGAGATCATGCCACTGCACTCCAGCCTGGGCGACAGAGCGAGACTCCATCTCAAAATAAATAAATAAATAAATAATAAAATTTTAAAAAGTGTGTGTGGGGGTGTATCGTGACTTCTCTTCATGTGTCTTAGGCCACCACCCTTACATGGGACCTTGAAGAAGAGACTCCTCAACCAATACCTGTACGGTGCTGCCTCCCTGACAGGCTGGCTTCTAAACAGCAGTGTCTTCCCCATGTGCTCAGTCCTTACTCACCTCGGCACCATCCTCCCAGCACGTCCCTTGAAACCATCCAGGGCTCTTTCCCTTGCTCCAGTAAGGAAATCACATCAGGCTTTGGGATAGAGAGACCTGTTTATAAGAAAAGAAGTAAGATAGCCAGGCATGGTGGCTCACTCCTATAATCCCAGCACTTTGGGAGACCAAAACAGGTGGATTGCTTGAGGTCAGGAGTTCAAGACCAGCCTGACCAACATGGTGAAACCCTGTCTCTACTAAAAATACAAAAATTGGCTGGGCATGGTGGTGGGTGCCTGTAATCCCAGCTACTCAGAAGGCTGAGGCAGGAGAGTCGCTTGAACCCGAGAGACGGAGGTTGGAGTGAACCGAGATCATGACATTGCACTCCAGCCTGGGCGACAGAGTGAGACTTTGTCTCAAAAAAAAAAAAAAAAAGAAAAGAAGTGAGACATACTCCTGCTGTTCCTGAATTCAAAGTTAGTCCCTTAGTCCTCATGAAGGACTAGAGGAAGGTGTAGAGTTCTGAAGCATGGAGAAGATGGAGTGACCCCAAAGAGCTGCCCATCTATTAATCTACAAAACACAAAACAATTCCCTAGGCAACAGGTGAAAAGTCACCCAGACAATTGAAAGCTACACCCAAAATTCATGAGTTATTTGCGGATAGACATCCTTACCTAGTGAGACCAGGCTGCTGTAGTTCTCCATCATTACATCTCTGTATAAGTCCTTCTGAGCAGCGTCCAGGCACTCCCATTCCTCCTGAGAGAAGTCTATAGACAGATCCTGGAACATGACCAACCCCTGAAATGACAAACCCATGCAGCGCTGTTGAAATTAAAGGAAAGGTTTTTAAGATGAAGGAAGAGATGGAAGGGTGCTGAAGGATGGAGAGAATACAGTGAGCAGACCAGCTAGGATGAGAGTGGGGAAGAGTAAAAAAATTAGTGTAACTTCAACAAAGTACCTCCATGTTCATGAATATTCCTGTTGCAGCCAGCAAACCTCCTTCATAGAATGGGACATTCCGAATATTCCATGGTTAGAGCTGGGAATGAATAAAACACATTGATATATTATTTCCCAAATAAATGAACTAGAGTACAAAAGCACACAGCAAGCTGTAGGCCTAGCAAAGCTGAAAGAATATTACAGTAAACATCTGATATGCAAATTACTATTTACAACAAAAGCTTAATAAACAGGCACTCCTCCCTTACCACTTTCTTTCTTGTTTTTTTTTTTCCTCTTGTTTCATTTTTTTGTTTTTGTTTTCGTTTTGAGACAGGGTCTCGTTCTGTTGCCCAGGCTGGAGTGCAGTGGCATGATCACAGCTCACTGCAGCCTCAACCTCCCAGGCTCAGGTGATCCTCTCACCTCAGCCTTTGTGTTAGCTGTGACTATAGGCGTGCACCACCATGTCCAGCTAATTTTTTGTATTTTTAGTAGAAACGAGGTTTTGCCATTTGGTCAGGCTGCTCTCAAACTCCTGGGCTCAAGCAATCTACCTGCTTTGGCCTCCCAAAGTGCTGGGATTACAGGCATGAGCCACCACACCCAGCCTTTCCTCATTTCTTAAAGGAAGACAGGATCTTTCAAAAATATCTACAAAAAGTTTAAAAACCTCTATTGGCTGGGCGCGGTGGCTCACACCTATAATCCCAACATTTTGGGAGGCCAAGGCGGATGGATCACCTGAGGTCGGGAGTTTGAGACCAGCCTGACCAACATGGAGAGACCATTTTAGTCTCTACTAAAAATACAAAATTAGCTGGGGGTGGTGGCGCATGCCTGTAATCCCAGCTACTTGGGAGGCTGAGGCAGGAGAATTGCTTGAACCTGGGAGGCAGAGGTTGCGGTGAGCCAAGATCGCACCACTGCACTCCAGACTGGGCAATAAGAGCGAAACTCTGTCTCAAAACAAACACAACAACAACAAAAAAAAACCTCTAATGCACTTCACTAATTAGTACTTCCATAAAATAGTATAGATAGCACTTCGATAATTAAATGTACATTGGCTGGGTGTGGTAACCCACACCTGTAATCACAGCACTTTGGGAGGCCAAGGCAGATGAATTGCTTGAGCTCAGGAGTTCAAGACCAATTCTGGGCAATGTGGCAAAACCCCATCTCTACAAAAATATATATCATATACAAATTAGCCAGATGTGGTGGGACATGCCTGTAGTCCCAGCTACTTGGGAGGCTGAGGTGGGAGGATTGCTTGAGCCCGGGAGGTCGAGGATGCAGTGAGCTGTGATCCTGCCACTGCACTCCAGCCTAGGCACCAGAGCAAGATCCTGTCTCAAACAAACAAACAAACAAACAAACAAAGGCCAGGTGTGATGGCTCATGCCTGTAATCCCAGCACTTTGGGAGGCTGAGTCGGGCGGATCACGAGGTCAAGAGATAGAGACCATCCCGGCCAACATGGTGAAACCCCGTCTCCACTAAAAATACAAAAATTAGCTGGGCATGGTGGCACACGCCTATAGTCCCAGCTACTCGGGAGGCTGAGGCAGAAGAATTGCTTGAACCCAGAAGGTGGAGGTTGCAGTGAGCCAAGGTCATGCCACTGCATTCCAGCCTGTGAAGGATCAAGACTCCGTCTCAAAAAATAAAATAAAGTAAAATAAAATACAAAAGTGAGTATCATGGTATGAATAAACTGCACACAGGTCAGACAAAAGTTACAGGGGCATCTGCCAGTATAAGCAAGTTTCCTGTGAGACACCTGGTCATGGGTCAGACACTTGAGCATTAGGCTGTGGGCCAGGAAAAATAAATGTCTGGTGAAAGGCTACTGTAAAGACCCACAAGCCCCTCCCCTAGAGCCCCATTAGGGTGAGGCTAGAGTTTATTATAGCCATTCTCCTGAGAGACCTCAAGACCCAATTAGAAGAAAACTACAACATTTGTTACATAGAAGGCATTTTCCAAAGAGTAATTCAAAGATAGTCTTCCTTTGGATATAAAACAAAATCTCAAGATACGCCAAAACTGTTTTGTTTTTACTGAATAATTTTTGTGCATGTGTGTTGTTGCTTTAGCTGCAAGTGGCTAACAAGCTGTGATTTTCTTTTCTTTCCTTTCCCTTTTTTTTTTTTTTTTTTTTTGAAGCAGTCTCGCTCTGTCGCCCAGGCTGAAGTGCCTGATCTCAGCTCACTGCAACCTCAGCCTCCTTTAGCTGGGATTACAGGCGCCTGCCACCATGCCGAACTAATTTTTGTATTTTTAGTAGAGACGGGGTTTCACTGTGTTGCTGAGGCTGGTCTCGAACTCCTGGCCTCAAGTGATCCACCCACCTTGGCTCCCAAAGTACTGGGATTACAGGCGTGAGCCACCATGCCCGGGCAACTCTGATTTTCTAACTTGCCCCCTGTATTAGGGTCATACTAGGAAAAAAACAAGTCAGAACCATTGGAGCCACGTGTACAGATGTGCAGTAGCCCTGCTAGCAACATTGCTGCTTGCTTTGGCTCTTAGGAGAGATGAGTTCAGCACATGTCTGCCCTTGCTCTAGCTGTCTCTGATTCCCAACAGATGCACAATCATTTCACTCCATTAGTTTCACTTTGGATATCCCATCATTAGATTAAAACCAGCAGGCCAAAAAGCTAACTTGAAGAAATGCTTTCACATCCACAGCATTCTCATAGGGTCAGTATCATTTAGACATGACAGGACCGTGGTTGCAGGGGACAGAATGAAGTGTCATCCTTAACTGGCCATCCAATGTCATCAGCATGAACAGGAGGACTTTATATGATATTATCTGATGTTTTCTGAATATTACCTTACAAATGCTGCTTTATTTATAACTAAAGAATAGGGACCCTGTCTTTTAAAGCTTTATATTTCCTCAAGTAAATGTTTTTCGTATTAAATCCATTAATAATATCTAGTGGCTGACCTGGAAATTCCATTTCTAAGTACTTATCCAAAGTAAAGATTTTTTTTTTTTTTTTTTTGAGATGGAGTTTTACTCTTGTTGCCCAGGCTGGAGTGCAGTGGTGCGATCTCGGCTCACTGCAACCTCCTCCTCCTGGATTCAAGCGATTCTCCTGCCTCAGCCTCCCGAGTAGCTGGGATTACAGGCATGTGCCACCACGCCTGGCTAATTTGGTATTTTTAGTAGAGATGGGGTTTCTCCATGTTGGTCAGGCTGGTATCAAACTCCTGACCTCAGGTGATCGGCCCTCCTCGGCCTCCCAAAGTGCTGGGATTACAGGCGTGAGCCACCACGCCCGGCCAATAATTTTTTATTTTTATTTTTTGAGACAAGTCTCAATCTGTTGCCCAGGCTAGCGTGCAGTGAGGTGATCACAGCTCACTGCAACCTCTGCCTCCTGGGTTCAAGTGACTCTTGTGCCTCAGCCATCAAAGTAGCTAGGAATACAGGCACACACCACCACACCTGGCTATTTTTTTTGGTATTTTTGGTAGAGACCGGGTTTCACCATGTTGGCCAGGCTGGTCTCAAACTCCTGGCCTCAAGCAATCCACCCAACTCGGCCTCCCAAAGTGCTGGGATTACAGGCATGAGCCACTGAGCCAGGCCAGAGAATTTTAAAAGTATGAAGTTGTATGCAGAAGAATGTTCCTTGAAGACAAAACCAAAAAATCTGAAACAAATGTCTTGTTGGTAGATATATAATACAATACTTTTTAATGGGAAAGATATGCAATATTGAGGGAGACAGGGAAAAGAGAAAGCAGAAAAAAGAAGAGAGAAAATGAAAATTACTATTAGGACTTAAAGCTATTTCTCCCCAGTCTGTTTTCCATACACAGAACAATACAGATGTGACCGCAGTACACATATAATTTTGTATTCTCCTTTACACTTTGATTTTTTCTTATCAAAAACACTTTATACATGGCATTTAAATGGCTTATAACTTTCCTAAATGGCTACTACACTGTGTACTTAACCATTCTGTTTCCTTCTACTTATGATTTTTGCTGCAAACCTTTCCCCTCCGATCTGTCCACATTTAAATTCCTTTAAGGAAGGGGGCTGTATAGAAATTTTAATTTATGTGCATTTTACTGAAGCCTACCTTTTTCTTTATGGTTTCTTTTCTTATTTCTAAACGCTAATCTATTTGAATGTGGTCAACCATTCCTTAAAATGAACACAAACAGGAAAAAATTGGGGAACTGTGTCCTTCAAAATATAAGTATTTTGGCCATGTGTGGTGGCTCATGCCTGTAGTCCCAGCACTTTGGGAGGCCAAGACGGGTAGATCATTTGAGGTCAGGAGTTCGAGACTAGCCTGACCAACATAGTGAAACCTGGTCTCTACTTAAAATACGAAAAAGGCCAGGCGCAGTGGCTCAAGCCTGTAATCCCAGCACTTTGGGAGGCCAAGGTGGGTGGATCACCAGAGGTCAGGAGTTCGAGACCAGCATGGCCAACATGGTGAAACCCTGTCTCAAATTAAAATACAAAAAGTAGCCAGGCGTGGTGGCAGGTGCCTGTAATCCCAGCTACTCGGGAGGCAGAGGCAGGAGAATCGCTTAAGCATGGGAGGCAGAGGTTACAGTGAGCCAAGACCGTGGCACTGCACTGCAGCCTGGGCAACAGAGCGAGACTCAGTATCAAAATATAAATAAATAAATAAATATAAAAATACAAAAAAGTCGGGCACAGTGGCTCATGCCTGCAATCCCAGCACTTTGGGAGGCTGAGGCGGGCAGATGACTTGAGGTCAGGAGTTCCAGACCAGCCTGGCCAACATGGCAAAACCCTGTCTCTAGTAAAAATACAAAAATTAGCCGGGTTTGGTGGCTCACACCTGTAATCCCAGCTACTCGGGAGGCTGAGGCAGGAGAATCGCTTGAACCCAGGAGGCAGAGGTTGCAGTGAGCAGAGATTGTGCCATTGCACTCCAGCCTGGGCAACACGAGTGAAACTCTATCTCAAAAAAAAAAGAATACAAAAAATTAGCAGGCTGAGGTGGCGCATGCCTGTAATCTAGGCTACTCGGGAGGCTGAGGCAGGAGAATCGCTTGAACCTGAAAGGTGAAGATTACAGTGAGCTGAGATCACACCACTGCACTCCAGCCTGGGTGACAAGAGCGAGAATCTGTCTCAAAAAGAAAAAAGAAAATAAAAAAGAACTTTTATTTGGGGGAAAAAAAAAAGAACTCCAAAAAAACAAAAATGGAGTGAAAGGGATTTAAGGAAATTGAAAGTCAACAGGCTAATAATGCCAATAAATAATGATGGAGCAAAGAAATCCATGTTGGCCAAATAACACCAACGTGTTTTTAAATAGTTTTTCAAAATTTAGACAGTTTTCCAGTACACTGAGACACTTCTGCTATCAAGACTATAATAGTGGCTGAGCACAGTGGCTTACGCCTATAATCCCAGCACTTTGGGATGCCAAGGCAGGAGGATGGCTTGAGCCCAGAAGTTCAAGTCAAGCCTGGGAAATATAGGGAGACCCCCGTCTCTGCAAAAATAAAATAAAATAAAATAATAAGCCAGGCATGGTGGTGTACATCTGTGAACTGTGACCACCCCACTGCACTCTAGCCTGGGTGACAGAGCAAGACCCTGTCTCAAAAAAAAAAAAAACTATAATATAGAGTAAATGACATTCAGGTAAGTGGAATATTAGGTGTTCAATAAACGTAGGTTATTCCCTCCCTATCTCCATAAAATCATCAATTTTTTTAAAAGAGAAATTTTGATTAGAATCTTTAAAAATATCAATACTTCTCTTTCCAAAAAAGGAGGGAAGATTTAAATATAACAATTTCTCAAGTATTTCTATTTATTTTCATTGTTGCTTAATATTACTCATAATAATGAAAATGCAATTGCTCTCTTTCAAACATAGTTTTAATTAGTTGTACAAAATGCCACCTTATAGTCTGATGTACTTCAAATTTCCCTATCTATGAAAGCTAAATTTGGATATTTTCATCTCAAGTATATTGTAATCTCTGTCTTTAAATCTATCTAGGGTTCTACCTTTTCTGTCATCCTTAGTGAATCTCACTATAGTCCTCCTTCCCTTTAAAAATGCAGTGATAGGCCAGGTGTGGTGGCTCTTCCCTGTAATCCCAGCACTTTGGGAGGCTCAGGTTGGAAGATTGCTGGAGCTCAGGAGTTCGAGACCAGACTGGGCAACATGGCAAAACCCTGTCTGTGCAAACAATACAAATATTAGCCCAGCATGGTGCCATATGCCTGTAACCCAGCTCCTTGGGAGGCTGAAGTGGGAGGATCCCTTCAGCCCTGGAGGTCAAGGCTGCAGTATGCCATGATCCTGCCACTGCACTCCAGTCTGGGTAACAGAGTGAGACCCTGTCTTTAAAAAAAAAAAAAAAAGGCCGGGTGTGGTGGCTCACACCTGTAATCCCAGCACTTTGGGAGGCAGAGGTGGGTGAATCACTTGAGATCAGGAGTTCATGACCAGCCTGGCCAACATGGTGAAACCCTGTCTCTACTACAAATACAAAAATTGGTTGGGTGTGGTTGCGGGCACCTGTAATCCCAGCTACTCAGGAGGCTGAGACAGGAAGACTCACTTGAACCCGGCAGGCGGAGGCTGCAGTGAGCTGAGATTGTGCCACTGCAGTCCAGCCTGGGCAAGGCAGAGTAAGACTGTCTCAAAAAAAAAAAAAAAAAAGAAAGAAAGAAAGAAAGAAAGAAAGAAAAAGAAAATCAGTGATAGGTGAGGCAGCTCAGGCCTGTAATCCTAGCACTTTGGAGGCAGAGGTAGGAGGATCACTTGAACTCAGGAGTTCAAGACCAGCCTAGGCAACCTAGTGAGTCTTTCCTAGTGAAAATTATTTGTAATTATGCCAGAGTGCTGGTGTGTGCCTCTGGTTTCAGCTTACTTGGTAGGCTGAGGTAGGAGGATCACTTGAGCACAGGAAATCAAGGCTGCAATGAGCCGAGATCGTGCCACTGCACTCCAGCCTGGGAGACAGAGTGAGACCCTACCTCAAAAATAAAAATAAATAAATAAATAAAAATTCAGCGATGGAGTTGATGGATTCGAGGTTGAGAACCCCCAATGTGAACCCATTTGGAAAAAACTCAAACTATGTTCTTCCTCTGCTTCACAACAAAACCACAACAATCAAACCAGAAGACTTCTGTGGCCTCAAAATCCAAGGAGATTTCTCCCCATCAGCAAGCAAGGAATCAGTTCTGCAGCAGACACCAGCTGGGTGTCCACCAATTCGATTCTGACACTATCTACCATGAGATACTGTCATCCCACAGGCTAAGGGCTCAGCCCCCAAAACTGGTCCCCTTTCAGACACCAGTCACAAGTCCCAGCCTCTACAACTTCTGACTGACGGGTTCAATTTGGGATTCCTACGACCCCCTCTTTGGGTTCGATTAATTTGCTAAAATAAAATGGCTCACAGACCTCAGGGAAACACATTTACTGGCTGATTATAAGGATATTCCAAAGGATACAGATGAAGAGATGCCTAGGGCGAGGTATGGGGCAAGGGGCACAGAGCCTCCATGCCCTCCCTAGGCACGACCCTCCAGGAACCACCATGTGTTCAGCTCTCTGGAAGCTCTCTGAATCCACCCCTTTTGGGTTTGTAAGGAGGCTTCATTACATAGGCATGATTGATTAAACCACTGGCTACTTGCCATCAACTTAATCCTCAGTCCCCTCCACTCCCCAGGGGTGGGAGGGTAGGGGCTCAAAGTCTCAACCCTCTAATCCTGCCTTGGTCTTTCTGATGACCAGCCCCCATCCTGAAGCTTTCGGTCAATCACTAACATACAAAAAGCCAAAGGCTGGGTGCAGTGGCTCACGCCGGTAATCCCAACACTTTGGGAGGCCGAGGCAGGCAGATCACCTGAGGTCAGGAGTTCGCGACCAGACTGGCCAGTATGGTGAAACCCCGTCTCTACTAAAAAAAACAAATACAAAAATTAGCCGGGCGTGGTGGCGCGTGCCTGTAGTTCCAGCTACTCGGGAGGCTGCGGCAGAAGAACTGCTTGAACCCGGGAGGCAGAGGTTGCAGTGACTGGAGATTGCGCCACTGCACTTCAGTCTGGGCGACAGAGAGAGACTCCATCAAAAAAAAAAAAAAAAAAAAAAAAAAAAAAAAAAAGCCAGCACTTAAGAGATTCCAAGGACTTTAGGAGTTGTATGCGAGGAAATAGGGACAAAGACCAAATCTGTATTTGAGAAAATCACAGAACCGTATGAGTATTTAATTCAATACAGACATGGAAACTGGCCCAAGCATTTACTCACAGATGACTGGGCAAATCCCTGGTGTTATTGGTACAAACTATTGATCGAGCCCCCAATCTCATTCCTACCCCTAAAATATAGCAAAGTGAAAGATCTTATCACTTATTTGGACTGAGATTAACACCATCCCATAAACTGCATGGCTTTCAATCCCAGGGCTATGGCGTGTGATGCCACATAGAATATGCACTAATCTCTGCAGCAATTGAGTTGTTAGGGTAAAGGCTCTTGTTTTTGCCTTCTTTCTCTCACGGCCAAGAAAATTAAGGAACAGGGACACAAAGGATGAGGTCGGAGCGGAAGTTTAATAAGCAAAAGAAGAAAGCTCTCCCCAGCGGAGGGACCCAAAAGAGGGTTGCCAACTAGGAGGCTGAATCTGGGGGGGTTTATTAACTGGGAAGGGGAGGAACGTGGGCTGTCTTGAAGAAAGCACTACCCAGCTTGGCCCTGGGACCTTAGCCCGGGACCAATCCCAGGCTGAAGTGAAAGTTTGGCCCAGGACCAATCAGGGGCTGAAGTGAAAGTTTGGCCCGGGACCAATCAGGGGCTGAAGTGAAAGTTTGGCCCGGGACCAATCAGGAGCTGAAGTGAAAGTTTGGCCCGGGACCAATTAGGGGCTGAAGTGAAAGTTTGGCCCGGGACCAATCAGGAGCTGAAGTGAAAGTTTGGGCCGGGACCAATCAGGAGCTGAAGTGAAAGTTTGGCCCGGGACCAATCAGGGGCTGAAGTGAAAGCTTGGCCCGGGACCAATGAGGGGGTGAAGTTATGATTCAAAGAGGCCGCGCTCACAGTCTAAAGCATGTCCAAAAAAGGAAAGTGGCCGCCGGAACCTGTTAGTCCAAGCTGCACCGTTTCGTAAGCCCCCACCATTTCACAGACCCTGGTCAGAGGGAAACATTCCACCCGGGTTTGGGCTGTGCGAAACATCCTTCCCAACCGCCTGACTTCCTTATCACATCCTGCTGGGCAAAAGCCCAAGAAACATCCTTATCAACTTTCTCCCAGGCAACAAGCCATACCGCCCAGACCCCTCCTGCCCAGGCCTGTAATTACCCCAGCCTGGAAGCGGCAGTGGGCTCTGGCATTTAGTTGGTCCCCGCCATAGAGCCGCCAACTCTCTCTCTTTCTTTAACCCTCGCCTTCCCTTCAAAATCTAACAGAGCCCACCGTGTACATGCCCACAAAAGAAGCGACTATTTCGTGGAAGCCCGCTGGTCACACAAAGGACAAAGGCGTTTCTATGTTGGGCCTCGGTCCCTTATCAGTGCAGCTGAGGAATGTCTTCAGGACAACCCCCCTGTGGAGTTTTCCTTATGTATGCCTGCAGCCTGATTTTTCAGGCTGTTTCTCTGTTTAAAGGACTTTTACCAAGGTCCCACCCTAACTGCCTAAAGAGTTTTTTCTCTCAAGGGGACACACAAAGTCCCAATCGCACACATGCCTCCGCATATCCACTTACCCACTGCCTCACAGCCAATCACACTCTCCTCTCTCACATACACCAAGGGGCCACACAAGTTGCACTTGCACAGCCACAGACCTGCAACTCACGCACACAAGGTACTGCACAGACACGCAAAGTCACACACCCACCCCGGGACACGCAGTCCAACCACACAGTCACCGGTTCTTCACATCCGCACGCACAACGAGGGTCGTCCAGGACACACACACCCACTCCGGGCGCGCACAGTCACAAGCGCCCACCTGATCACCCAGAGTCAGCACCACACAGCCACAGTCACAGACCACGGAGACCCACGGCAGCCATCGCGATCACACACGCAAACTCCTCTCCTCAGCCCTCCACACACAAAAGGACCGGAGCCGGATTCCTCACCCTCAGCATTCTCTGGTTCCGCTCGGGGCCAGCCTAGCCAAGTTCCTCAGGACTCCAAGGCGCGGCGGCAGCTAAATCGGCACAGCAAACGGTCCCGCCACCTGGCTAAGAGGAAGCCAAAATCTCGCGAGACGTGGCGTCGGCCTGCGGGATCCTCTGGGAAATGTAGTCCAGAGCCCGACTGCGGGCTTCCCTATGCCTCTCATTTCCAAGCCTGGCTTGTTTCCTTTTACCGCTCCTCTCCAACGAGGATCGCAGAGCCCTCATGCCGAGCGGCTCGCTATGGGGCCGGCTCGCCCGCTAGAGTGGTCAGGCCTGATTATCCCTGGCAGCTCTGTTATCTGGGGTAAGACACAGGAAAACGTGCTTCCGGTTCTCGGCGGAAGTAGCCCCGAACGGTAGAACCGATGGGAAATGTAGTCCAGGGCAGAAAAGCGGTCAACCCAGCCACGATGCGAGCCAAAGGATTCTTGGCTCCAAGCCTGGTCCTGGCTGTTAGTTTGGAACTCATGCACCCAGATGCTAACTCGCCCTCAGAATGCAGAGGGGATGAAACACTGACCGGACAATTCAATCTGTATATGGGTGAGTCCAGGGCTCAGTCTGCATTGCGCGGAAAATGAAGGTGAAGGTGGAGGTGGGACCTGATGGTCTCGTCCCGGATAGGGTTGAAGAAGTGGGAGAAAAGGAATCAAAATCGTGGATGGGATAAGATTGTGCGCGAATGCTCTCTGGGAGCGGATCGTGGCCGACGAGGGCCCGAAGATGCTGCCTTGTGATCGCAGGTGTGAGTGGAAGCTGTGTGAGTGTCAATGTGAGTTGCCTGTTTGGGAGACCAGCATTGTATTTTTGTATCAGGTAGTAACCTTGGAGCCAGGTATTTGTAAAATTATGATAAGAGGGCATCATTCTGGAGCATCGATTTTATTTGGAGGTTGACAGGAGAGGGAAAAAAACCCCTAATATCTGATAAACAACATAAATAGATTTTTATGTTAAAGTAGTTATATTTATTACGGTCTAGAATGCAAATCCAACATGGCTTTTAAAGCAAGAAAGATTTTTTTTATACAAAGTCAAAGGTATTATTTTTATACACTTACTACAAAACATACAAATAGTATACCAAGCCTAAGAATATAAAGAGTCTAGCTTTAATTAATTGAATGTAAATTTAAAAACAAGCATCTAATAAGTAGTCCTTTTCACACATCGAAAAGCCAATTTCGGAATTTTTTTAAAAACTCAAATTACAAAGTAACAAATATCTGGTGTCTTAGTAACTTGAAGATCAGTACTAATGATTAAGCCAGCTTATATGCTAATATGATACATGAAAAAGCCTGTATTTCACAAATAGCAAACCACTAAAACTTTAATTTTCCACAGAAGCCATTGTTTCACACCAATAATTATGTTAAAGATCAAGACAGGCTAAAAGTTTTTAATGAGCACTGAATCCATTAAAACTTGGCAAATTTTTCCACGAAGGTAGAATTTTAATTTCTGTTTAAACCATGGGTAGATGGTACACCCTTGTGAGGGTGTACTGTAAGTACTTCTAAGGAGCTTTATCAGACTTCATCCCAAATTATGTACCTAGTAAAAGATGTACCAATGTCTACTTTGGAATAAGAAATTATTCCTTGTTTGAGCAAGGATTAAGCAGAAACTGAAAGAAGTGTAGTTTATAGCTTCTTACATAAAGTAGATGGGCACCCCTCAAAAACAAACCAATATCCTGGCTCCTTAAATATCAACATTAATCTAAATAATGTATAGCATGCTCCTGTCCAATCTTTCCCGCTCATTTGTAGTCTTCTCAGATCGATGCTTCATTTTAGTCACACATTTCTATCCTGCAAGACTGGGTACCTGGGCTTTTTGTCTGGTTTTGTAACACTAGGCAGTTTTGGCCTTACTCAAAATATAAGACTGCAAAAGGCCTGTTTTACCTCAACCATACGGCTTCAGGAAATGGTCTGTATTTCCAACAGAAAAGTGGTATCTAACTCTCAGGATGGTTTCTAACAACTGGATAGATACCTGGGTCTTTGCGGCCTGTGATGCAGCCTAACAATACAGGACCTTGTGTGATCAGCTAGGTCTGCTAAAGCAAGGGGACATCCATGTTCTAGATTTTTATTTATTTATTTTTTTTTGAGACGGAGTCTTGCTCTGTCGCCCAGGCTGGAGTGCAGTGGCGTGATCTCGGCTCACTGCAAACTCCGCCTCCCGGGTTCAAGCCATTCTCCTGCCTCAGCCTCCTGAGTAGCTGGGACTACAGGCGCCCGCCACCACGCCCGGCTAATTTTTTGTATTTTTCGTAGAGACGGGGTTTCACCGTATTAGCCAAGATGGTCTCGATCTCCTGACTTCGTGATCCGCCCGCCTTGGCCTCCCAAAGTGCTGGGATTACAGGCGTGAGCCACCTCGCCCGGCCCATGTTCTAGATTTTTTATTCTGGTTTAGCAGGATCCAAACTGCCTGTCCTGAAGAGACTCTCTTTCTCTTCCATACAACGGCTGGCCTCTACCAAGTTAACTGCTTCGTGGGGGGAAAATATTGCCTTTCCTTTGGTCTGCATGTTTTAAGGGAAATACCAAATACACCTACAGGAGTTTATCAATAATAGACAAGGCTGATTTCAAACTCTTTCAGGAGATAAACTGGAGGGGAAGACGAATGGCAGGAGGGTGAAGAGGAAACTGAATTACTGTGCAAACACCCGCCACTCAAATCCGGGTGGTTACTGCAGAGTGAATAACGATAGGTACTATTTCGTGTAAGGCAAAGTCCTTTGAAAGGGCTCCTAGAGCGTCAAGGCCTCCACCTGATGAATGAATGAGTCAGGCAGGCCCAGCTCCACTTCACGGATGGGAAAACTGAGGTACGAGGCCTCGCTGAAAGATGCGAGGCAGAGCGGAGAACCAGAAGCACCACTTCTCTCAGGCTGATGCTCTAATCTCGGCTCCCCCCGCCCCTACAATGGCGTAGACGGCCTCCGCCGCCCGACTCACACACACCCTCCCCCGGGAACGGCAAGTCTCCTCGGGTTCCAAGGACAGGGTCAAAAGACAAGAGGCCCGAGGCGCTCCCGCCGTGATTTGCAGCCAGATACCGTTGGGAGCGCAGCCAGAGAGCGTTGGGAGCGTGCGTACCTCCAGCCCAACATGGCGGCGGCAGCGGCCGCCCCCGACCCCAAGCCCTCCCTCAGGGCCCGAGGCTTCTCCTCAGGGCCTTCCGGTGGGCGGGAAGACAGCGCAACCCCGCCAGGCCTTTCTCGTCGCTGCGCCTGCTCGCTGAAGGAGTCACCTACCCGACGAGACTAACGGCTGCGGCGCGGAAGCCCCACAGCCCGCCGAGAACCAGGAATACGAGAGCCAGGCGGCGCGGCGGCGGGACCTGTACTGAGCAAGAAAGAAGATTTCAAAGTAATTTATTGTTATGAGATCCGTGCTTTTATCTTGTCTCAGACTCCCAATGATAGGCACATACTCTCCTCTGTACATTTAATGAAACTACTAAAATATTTCGATTTAAATCTTCCACCTATTTGTTTTCTGTGTATCCTACCTGTTCCCGACCTTGACATTTTCAAAGAATACAGGTTACTTATTTTGTTTTTTGGTGGTGGTGAGTTTTTTTGGGGTTTTGTTTTTTGGTTTTTGGTTTTATTTTTGGAGACAGGGCTTTGCTGTATCGCCCAGGCTGGAATACAGTGGCGCGATGATAGCTCACTGCAGCCTCGAACTCCTGGGCTCAAGGGACCCTCCTGCTTCAGCCTCCCGAGTAGCTGGGACTACAGGCCTGCGCCACCACGCCCGGGTAATTTTTTATTTTTTGTAGAGATGGGGTGTTCTATGTTGCCCAGTGTGGTCTCAAACTCTTGGGCTCAAGAGATCCTCCCACTTCTGCTGCCCAAAGTGCTAGGATTACAGGCATGAGCCACCGCGCCGGGACAGTTATTTTGTAGAGTGTTCTTTAATTTGGATGTACCTCATCTTTTATGTATCTTTGGGAGGAATACCACATAACTCATGTGGTTTATCCCATCGAGAGACACACAGTGTCAATGTGTTCCATTCTTGGTGATGTTAACTTTTATTACTTAGTGAAAATAATTCTAAGAGATTTCACCACTGTAGAGTGAATAAATGAATATGTGGGATTCATCAATGAATAAGTAAAAGGATGCCAACTGGCAAAAGAACTGAGTTGGGAGGATGGCTTGAGCCTGGGAGGTCGAGGCTGCAGTGAGCCGTGATGGCACCACTGCCCTCCAGCCTGGGTGACAAAGCAAGACCCCGTCTCAGAAAAAATTAAATAAATAAATAAATACCCAGCACCTGAACATCTCGGGCATTTCCTGTGCCTCTTATATTGGGTCCCTGGTTTCTTGGAGCGTATGTCTTTTTTTTTTTTTTCTTGGTTTAGCTTCTCATTTTTGTAAAAAACACGTTCTTATTTTGTTTACCATTTTGACAAAGGCGAATTTGGGTTAAAACTTTGGGACCCTTATAAGCTTGACAGTGTCTGTATTCTACCTCTTTTGGATGACACCTTAACTAGGTTTGAAATTTTAGGTTGAATGTGGTTTTCACTTAGAATTTTGAATTATATAACATTGTCTGCTAGCTTACAGTGTTTATCTTAAAATATGACAATTTGATTTGTGTTCTGTTACTGTTCTTTGTCTTTCAAAGCATTTAAAGGCCAGGCTCAGTGATTCATGCCTGTAATCCCAGAGTTTTGGGAGTACGAGGCAGGAGGATTGCCTGAGCTCAGGAGTTCAAAACCAGCCTGGATGACATAAGGAGACCCTGTTTTCATAAAAGTAAAAATAGGCCGGGTGTGGTGGCTCACACCTGTAATCCCAGCACTTTGGGAGGTCGAGGTGGGCAGATCACCTGAAGTCAAGAGTTTGAGACCAGCCTGGCCAACATGGTGAAACGCTGTCTCTACTAAAAACACAAAATATTAGTTGGGTGAGGTGGCATGCACCTGTAGTCCCAGGTACTCAGGAGGCTGAGGCAGGAGAATTGCTTGAACCCAAGAGGGCATGGTTGCAGTTGAGCCAAGATCGCGACACTGGACTCCAGCCTGGGCAATGGAGTGAGACCCTGTCTCAATAATAATAATAATAATAATTTTAAAAAACATTTAAAATTGTCTCTTCGTACTAGTTTTCTGAAATTTCACAGAAATGTGTTTTGGTGTGGTTCTTGTTTCTTTCGTTGTACAAGGTACTCAGTGGATCTTTGTATTAATATTTTGAAGACTCATGATCTGTGTTTCTAGAAATCGCCTTTTGTTTGTTCTGTGAAGTTTTCTTCCATTCATTTTTCTTCTCTCTTTCTGAAATTCTAAACATCCTTTTAGTTGGATGTTATAATTTCTGATTTCTTCTGGTAGTTTTGTCATCTTTCATCCCTTTTATTTTTATTTATTTTTATTTTTTGAGATGGAGTCTCGTTCTGTCGCCAGACTGGAGTACTGCGGCGCGATTTCGGCTCACTGCAACCTCCGACTCCCTGGTTCAAGCAATTCTCCTGCCTTAGCCTCCTGAGTAGCTGGGATTACAGACACCTGCCACCACACCTGGCTAATTTTTGTATTTTTAATAGAGACGGAGTTTCACCATGTTGGCCAGGATCGTCTCGATCTCTTGACCTCGTAATCCGCCCACCTCAGCCTCCCAAAGTGCTGGGATTACAGGCGTGAGCCACCAAGCCGAACCACGCATTGTCTATTTTCTCATTATTTATAGCATTGTTTTGCAGCATACTTGTTGGAGTCAAACATTTGTTACTATCCAATTATTATTATTGTTATTTGAGATGGCCTTTTGCTCTATCGCCCAGGCTGGAGTGCAGTGCTGCACTCCTAGCTCACTGCAGCCTCAACCTCCTGGGCTCAGGTGATCCTCCCACCTCAGCCTCTCAAGTAGCTAGGACCACAGGTATGTGCCACCACACCCAGCTAATTTTTTTATTTTTTATAGAGACGGGGTTTGACCGTCTCCAGGCTGGTGTCGAACTCCTAGGCTCAAGCAATCTGACTGCATCAGCCTCCCAAAGTGCTGGGATTACAGGTGTGAGCCACTGTGCCCAGCCCAACTATCATCATCTTTATTTTTATTATTATTATTTTTTGAGACAGAGTCTCACTCTGTCACCCAGGCTGGAGTGCGATGGTATAATCTCAGCTCACTGCAACCTCCGCCCCCGCCCGGTTCAAGCGATTCTCCTGACTCAGCCTCCCAAGTAGCTGGGGTTACAGGTGCTTGCCACCGCGCCCAGCTAATTTTTGTATTTTTAGTAGAGATGGGGTTTCACAATCTTGGCCAGGCTGGTGTTGAACTCCTGACCTTGTGATCTATCCGCCTCGGCTTCCCAACGTGCTGGGATTACAGGTCTGAGCCACCGCGCCTGGCCACTATCTTATTATTAAATAATGTTACATGCAGTGTCTTTGGGGAGAGAATTCAGTTTTTCAGAGACAGACTTTGCTCATTTCCTGATTTGTTCATTTTAATTCAAATAGTAAAAGCTTTAGAAAGGCATGAGGATTGCTTGACTCCAAGAGTTCAAGACCAGCCTGGGTAACAAAGCAAGACCCCATCTCTACAAAAAACACTTTTTAAATTAGCCAGGCCTTGTGGTATGTACCTGTAGTCTCGGCTACTGGGAAAGGTGAGTTGCGAGGATCTCTTGGGGCCAGGAGTTGAAGGCTGCAGTGAGCTATGATTGCACCACTTCGCTCCATCCTATGCAACAGAGCAAGACTCTGCCTCGGTCAATCAATCAGTAAAGATACTTATCAAAAGTAAGCAGACATGCAGGCAGATCACCTGAGGTCAGGAGTTCGAGACCATCCTGTCCAGCATAGTGAAACCCTATCTCTACTAAAAATACAAAAATTAGCCGGGTGTGGTGGTGGGCGCCTGTAATCTCAGCTGCTCGGGAGGCTGGGGCAGGAGAACCACTTGAACCTGGGAGACGGAGGTTGCAGTGAGCTGAGATCGCACCATTGCACTCCAGCCTGGGTGACAGAGCAAAACTCCGTCTCACAAAAAAAAGTAAGCAGACATGTCTGCTGCCTACGTGAGGTTTACATTCTAGTCTGGGAGAAAAAAAAGATTTTAAAGTAAAAGGAGAAAATGAGGTAATTTTATATCGTGATCAATACTATGAAATAAATCAATAGGTGGTATAAGCAGTAACTTGAGGGATACTTCCCGTAGCATTGATAGGACAGGTGACTGAGAGATAACCCTTGAGCTTTGGTGGTGAGGAGTCAGCAGTGTGGAAGGGTATTCCAAGCAGAGGCACAGTTACACTAAAGATGCTGAAAAATCAGAGAGCACTTGGAGCATTCCAGAAACAGAAAGCAGCCTGGTGTGACTGAAGCTTAGCAAGTGAGTGGGAAATTAGTTTAGATTTAGGATGCAGAGGTCAGCATTTTCCATATCATGTGAGGAAATGATAGTGCTGAGATTACAGGCATGAGCCACTGCACCCAGCCCCAAACCAAGTTTTTACAGTGGTAAGAATAGATGTTCTGCTATGGTCAGTGTCTAAAGATTTTACAAACAATATCTCTTCTAGTTTGCAGTCATTATTGAAATAACAAACACGTTCTATTGTCAGGCCTTACTATCACTAACTAGTTTCATTGATCTGAATAGGAAACTTACTTGATTAATCAGCTACTCTGGTATTACCTGACATCTCATTAATGCATCTATGAATTGAATTGTTGCTCAATAGGAGTGATTGTTAAATAGTGGCAATGTGATATATCACTATTGAAGTTATGGCCTCTAATGTGGGTCCTATGACAGTTTCGGCAACTCTGTAAGCACTACGGGGTTTTACAATGATTTCTGCAATTTTTTTTTTGTTTTTTTTTTTTGAGATGGAGTCTCACTCTGTCAGCCAGGCTGCAGTGCAGTGGCACGATCTCAGCTCACTGCAACCTCCGTCTCCCTGGCTCAAGCGATTCTCCTTGCCTCAGCCTCCTGAGTAGCTGGGATTACAGGTGTGTGCCACCACGCCTGGCTAATTTTTGTATTTTTAGTAGAGACGGGGTTTCACCATGTTGGCCAGGCTGGTCTCGAACTCCCGACCTCAGGTGATCCACCTGCCTCGGCCTCCCAAAGTGCTGGGATTACAGGTGTGAGCCACCGCGCCTGGCTGATTTATGCAATTTTATAAGGCAATAATTTCATCATAATTTGTTTGCTTATCCTTTTTTTTTGTTTTTTGAGACCGAATGTCACTCTATCGTCCAGGCTGGAGTGTGGTGCTGCAATCTCAGCTCACTGCAACCTCTGCCTCTCAGGTTCAAGTGAGTCTCTTGCCTCAGCCTCCCGAGTACCTGGAATTACAGGTGCACACACCATGCCCGGCTAGTTTTTGTGTTTTTAGTAGAGACAAGGTTTCACCATATTGCCCAGGCTGGTCTCCAACTCCTGGGCTCAAGGGATCCACCCGCCTCAGCCTCCCAAACTGTTGGGATTACAGGTGTGGGCCACCTCACCTGGTCGCTTGTCCTTCTTAAATAAGGAAGTAACAGTGTTACAGTTCAAAATTCTATTTTAAACTTTTTAAATATTCTGCTTCTCGACTTTATCAGGATGTTTCTTTTTTCGATGATCCACAAATCTTGATGGTTTCATAGCCCTGTTTGTAAAAAAACAAAACAAAACAAAAACAAAAAAAATGATTATTCATAAGAAACAAGCTGTTTTGAGTTAAATGGGGTTTTCAATAAAACCGTAAGCTAGGTCGGGCGTGGTGGCTCACGCCTGTAATCCTAACACTTTGGGAGGCCGAGGTGTGTGGATTGCCTGAACTCAGGAGTGACACAGAGTGAGACTCCGTCTCAAAAAACAAAAACAAACAAAACAAAACCCGTAAGCCAGATATTCATTCATTCAGATGTAGTCAACATTTTTCATTTTCAACACTTAACACAATTAATGCTAGGTTGAATTATTTTCATAATATAACTATTTTACATAATTCCCAAAGCACTGAGGATCAATCATAAATACTATCCACAAGGCAGCCAATAGACACACACAGACCACCTCTCATGTAACTTTGGGATAGAGCATTCAATCAAGAAAAAGTCTTCCGATTATAGCCATCAATTTGCCATCATTTTGTAGCACTGATCTTGCATAGATTTTTTTTTTTTTTTAAGATGGAGGCTCCTTCTGTCGCCCAGGATGAAGTGCAGTGGCATGATCAGCTCGCTGCAACCTCTGCCTCTTGGGTTCAAGCGATTCTCCTGCTTCAGCCTCCCATGTAGCTGGGATTACAGGCACGTGCCACCACTTCCAGGTAATTTTTTTGTATTTTTAGTTGACACGAGGTTTTACCATGTTGGACAGGCTGGTCTTGAACTCCTGCCTTCGGTGATCTGCCTTCCTCGGCCTCCCAAAGTGCTGGGATTACAGGTGTGAGCCACTGTGCATGGCCTGATCTTGCGTGGACTTTTTATCTTCCATAAAATGTTCAATGCTGCCCATAAGACTTGAGAGAAATTAAATACCAAGGAGTAAAATTCTGTGCAATAGGCCAGGTGCCTGGTGGCTCACACCTGCAATCCCAGCACTTTGGGAGGCCGAGGCAGGCGGATCACTTGAGGTCAGGAGTTCTAGACCAATCTGGCCAACATGCTGAAACTCCGTCTCTACTAAAAATACAAAAATTAGCCGAACTTGGTAGTGCATGTCTATAATCCCAGCTACTTGGGAGGCTGAGGCAGGAGAATCTCTTGAACCCAGGAGGCAGAGGTTGCAGTGAGCCAAGATTGCACCACCGCACTCCAGCCTGGGTGACGGAGTGAGCCTCCAACTCAAAAAAAAAAAAAAAAAAAAATTGTGGAAGGCCACAAACCATTGCAACAACTATAATTCATTTTACCTTCAGTAACCAATGTTCACCCTCTTAGGGGCAATATCACACCCATTAAGAATGCTTGGCCAGGCACAGAGGCTCATGCCTGTAATTCCAGCACTTTGGGAGGCCAAGGGGGGGCAGATCCACTGAGGTCAGGAGTTCCAGACCAGCCTGGCCAACGTGGTGAAACCCCGTCTCTACTAAAAATACAAAAATTAGCTAGGCATGGTGGCAGGCACCTATCGTCCCAACTACTCAGGAGGCTGAGGCAGGAGAATCACTTGAACCTGGGAAGTGGAGGTTGCATTTGAGCTGAGATTATGCCACTGCACTCTAGCCTACATGACAGAGTGAGACCCTGTCTCAAAAAAAAAAAAAAAACTTACAGTAAGGCTAAATAAATATACAAATTAGGTGTGTGTGTTAGTATACATACATTTCCTAGTTCTGCCCACTAAGAGGGCCTAGAAGCAATGACACACCAGTAGCAATGAGCACACTTGTCACCCTGATCTTGGTGATTTTGTTTTTGTTTTGTTTTTAAAAATAGAGATGGGGTCTCACTGTGTTGCCCAAGCTGGTCTCAAACTCTTGGCCTCAAGGGATCCTCCTGCCTCAGCCTCCCAAAATGTTGAGATTACAGGCCTGAGCCACCTCACCCAGCCCAAGATTTTGGTGCTTTGTAAATAAAACTCTTCAATAAAAGAAACCAAGGATCTTTAAATGAATGGTTTATTCCACGTCTGGGTCAGGGAAAATATCAAATGAATCAAAACATTTTATGGTGCCAGAAAGTTGGGAATTAGTCCCGTACCCCAGCCCCCTGATAAAGGCATGCTATAAATGGAATACAGGAGCCAACCTAAAGAAACTCCCAAGGCCAGTGTTCTTTTTTTTTTTTTTTTTAAGATGGAGTTTCACTCTTGTCGCCCAGGCTGGAGTGCGGTGATGTGAGGTGTGATCTTGGCTCACTACAACATCCGCCTCCCAGGTTGAAGCGATTCTCCTGCCTCAGCCTCCCGAGTAGGTGGGATTACAGGTGCCCACCACCACACTCAACTAATTTTTTGTACTTTTAGTAGAGACAGGGTTTCACCATGTTGGGCAGGCCGGTCTCAAACTTGTGACCTCAGGTGATCGCCAAGCCTCGGCCTCCCAAAGTGCTGGGATTACAGGTGTCAGCCACTGCGCCCGGCCTACTTTCTTATTGTTTTCAGTATCATAACCATGTACATGTTCAATTGCGCATATACTATGTTCTCTACAAAGGTGCAGTTTGGACCTGACTCATCTCTATCTCCAGCTCCTAGGAACATAGGAGGTACTCAGTTACATGCTTGAAAACTGCTGGGGAACAGAAATATAAGTCTAAGGACCATGAGTAACATTCATTTTCATCTACCACAAACAGATATACAACTCATCTGAGCCTTGGTTTGATTCATTCATTCATATGTTCATTCTTTAATTTGTGAAGTACTTATAAATGTCAATACACACTTGATAATGTAGTGGATGCTGGAAATTCAGGAGTATCCATTCAACTTCCTTACGAGATCTATGGAATAAAGTATGTACTATGCTCAAGGTGAGCACATGGTTCTAGAAAAAGCCAGAGGAAAAGTAGCTCATTTCTGGAAAAGGTGATATCTGAGCTGAAAAAATGTTTTCACGTAGAAGTGAACAAGGTTACTAAAATAAGTACTACTCAGGAGTATGATAATGAGCACGGACGTCTGAGTAGAATAGAGGTAAAGGTCACTGGGATTAATAAAGCAAGGTGTGGCCAAGGCGAGCGGATTACCTGAGGTCAGGAGTTCGAGACCAGCCTGACCAACATGGAGAAATCCCGTCTCTACTAAAAATACAAAATTAGCCCGGTGTGGTGGTGCATGCCTGTAATCCCAGCTACTTGGGAAGCTGACGCAGGAGAATCGCTTGAACCCAGGAGGTGGAGGTTGCAGTGAGCTGAGATCACACCATTGCACTCCAGTCTGGGCAACAGGAGCAGAACTCCGTCTCAAAAAAAATAAAATAAAATAAATAATAAAGCAAGGCACACGGCCTGATCTTGCCTAGATTTTTTATCTTCCATGAAATGATTAATGCTGCTCATAAGACTTGAGAGAAATTAAATACCAAAGAGTAAAATTTTATGCAATTGGTCAGGCACGGTGCCTCACACCTGTAATCACAGCACTTTGGGAGGCTGAGGTGGGCAGATCACTGGAGGTCAGGAGTTCTAGACCAGCCTGGCCAACATGGTGAAACCCTATCTCTACTAAAAATACAAAAATTAGCTGTGGTGGCTTTCCTCTAGAAGAGCTGGGTGCAGTGGCTCATGCCTGTAATCCCAGCACTTTGGGAGGCCAAGGCAGGTGAATCACTTGAGCCCAGGAGTTTGAGACCAGCCTGGGCAACCTAGAGAGACCTGTCTCCACAAAATTATTGGGGCATGGTGGCACATGCCTGTGGTCCCAGCTACTTGTGAGTTTCAGGTGGGAGGGTCACTTGGACCCAGGAGGTCAAGGCTGCAGTGAGCTGTGATCACGCAACTGCACTTCAGTTCGGATGATGGAGGTGAGACCCTGCCTCAAAAATATAAAGTATTGGTACTCTACAACAAGAGCATTGCATTGTCACCCATGTAGACAATAAATTGACTCAGAATCACAAATACTTATATTGGGGACCTGTATGTCAAGCCCTAGGAAGAGTGCCAGGTCATCATCTGGGAAAGGAAATATTAGGAGTATTGGGGTGTGAATAGTACTGCACAGAATTCCAATTCATTTCAAAATATATTTCACAGATTATCACAAACCAGGAAATGAGTTGTGTGTAATTTTCTTTGTTTTTGAGACAGAATTTTACTCTTCTTGTCCAGGCTGGAGTGCAATGGCTCGATCTCGGCTCACCTCAACCTCCACCTCCCCGAAACCTCTGCCTCCCAGGTTCAAGTGATTCTCTTGCCTCAGCCTCCCGAGTAGCTGAGATTATAGGCATGTGCCACCACACCTGGCTAATTTTGTATTTTTAGTAGAGACGGGGATTCACCATCTTGGCCAGGCTGGTCTTGAACTCCTGACCTCGTGATCCACCTGCCTCAGCCTCCCAAAGTGCTGGGATTACAGGCGTGAGCCACCGCACCCGGCCAGTTTGGGTTGAGACAGAGTCTTACTCTGTCATCCAGGCTGGAGTGCAGTGGCATGATCCCGGCTCACTTCAACCTCCGCCTCCCGGGTTCAAGCGATTCTTGTGCCTCAGCCTCCTGAGTAGCTGGGACCACAGGCATGGGCCATGACACTCAGCTAATTTTTGTATTTTCAGTAGACACAAAGTTTCACCATGTTGGCCAGGCTGGTCTCAAACTCTGGGCCTCAAGTGATCTGCCTGCCTTGACTTCCCAAAGTGTTGGGTACAGGCATGAGACACGGCACCCAGCCAGTTGTATGTAGTTTTAATCAAACAACTCCCCAAATTCAATGAAGACACCAATTGTATTCATATCCTGCCCTACTAGTCACCCAAGTGAATATCATCATCCAATAATGAAATACCTCTAAAACAACCACATGCTGGAGGGCTGGGGGTTAAAGGAAGGAAATATATGATTTTTACTATTTGCTTTTTTTTTTTTTTTTTTTTTGAGATGGTCTTGCTCTGTCGCCCAGGCTGGAGTGCAGTGGTACAATCATGGCACTGCAGCCTCGACCTCCCCGGGCTCAGATGATCCTCCCTCCCCAGCTTCCAAAGTAGCTGGGATTGCATGCGCACACCACCATGCCTGGCTAATTTTTGTATTTCTTTGTAGAGGCCACGTTCTGCCATGTTGCCTGGGTTGGTTTCAAACTCCTGGGCTGAAATGATCCACCTGTCCCAACCTTGTGAAGCGCTAGGATTACAGGTGTGAGCCACCAGGCCTGGCCTGTTTTATTGTTTAATACTTTAACATTTGAGGCTTCCAATTGCAAGCAACAGTCTCAGCCTTTGGTAATTAAGCCAAAAAGGTAGGTAGCTCACAGAATGATTGGGAGGGATAGAAATCCAGGCTCCAGGCTAGGCTTCTAGGTGCTATGCCCAAAATTATGCCATGGGACAGGTATAGTGAGTAAGTCACCTGCCTCTCCTGCTGGCACAAGAACAATGGGAATTGCCACTGTTGCCACGCTGATGTGCTGTCTGCACCTGATACACGATATATGAGCAACTACTCTTGCCTGTGAAAGCCGGAACCTCTGCCTCCACCCTTGCACGCAAGATGAATTCATGTGAAACCTTAAGTTGATCAATTTTGAAATATCTTGATATGAGTTTCATTGGTGAAACTTAGACACATGACTTAGTCACGTGCCCTACTTCAAAAGAGCCCAAGGAACTGAAGAAATTTCCTAGAGCTGGCAAAAATGTTCAAAAGGGACAGGGAGTGGTGGCTCATGCCTATGTTCCCAACATTTTGAGAGGATGAGGTAGGAGGATCGCTTGAGCCCAGGAGTCTGAGGCTGCAGTGAGCTGTGACAGCACCACTGCACTCAAGCCTGGACAATGGAGTGAGCCCTTGTCTCAAAAAAATTTTAAAAATGTTCAAAAGGTACTGAGTGGCCAGAAAAACAGAACAAATGCCTCCTATCTTCTATCTTTTGACATCTCTTCAGTAACATACACCTTTCTTCCATAATCAAATTTAACATCTTCATCTACAACAAAATGGTCTTGCCCCATATACTGCCACTACCTCACTAACGTAAATGCAAAGTTCCTCCAAGTGTCATAAGTTACTGTGACCATTTTCTTTCTTTTCTTTTTGACATGGAGTCTCGCTCTGTCGCCTAGGCTGGAGTGCAGTGGCGCAATCCTGGCTTACTGCAACCTCTGCCTCCCGGGTTCAAGCAATTCTCCTGCCTTAGCCTCCTGAATAGCTGGGATTACAGGTGTGCGCCACCATGCCCAGCTAATTTTTGTATTTTTAGTAGAGACAGGGTTTCACCATGTTGGTCAAGCTGGTCTCGAACTCCTGACCTTGTGATCCACCCGCCTCGGCCTCCCAGCTTTTAGTTTAATTAGGTATCACTTGTCTATTTTTGTTTTTGCTGCAATTGCTTTTTTGGAAACTTAGCCAAAAATTCCTTACCAAGTCCAATGTTGAGAAGAGTATTTCCTAGGTTGTCTTCCTGGATTTTTATAGTTTGAGGTCTTATATTTAAATCTTTAATCCATTTTGAGTTAATTTTTGTATATGGTGAAAGGTAGGGGGCTCAGACTCAATCTTCTGCACATGGCTGGCCAGTTATCCCAGAATCATTTATTGAATAGGGAGTCATTTCCCCATTGCTCGTTTTTTTTGACTTTGTCGAAGATCAGATGGTTGTAGGTGTGTGGCTTTATTTCTGGGTTCTCTAACCTGTTCCATTAGTCTATGTGTCTGTTTTTGTACCAGTACTATAACATTTTGGTTACTGTAGCCTAGCAGTATAGTTTGAAGTTGCATATATGATGCCCATCAGCAGTGGACTGGATAAAGAAAATGTGGTACATATACACCATGGAATACTACATAGCCTTAGAAAACAGACAAACAAACCAAAAAACCCAAAAAACCTGTCCTTTGCAGCCACATGGATGCAGCTGAAGTCCATTATCCGAAATGAATTAATGCAGCATCAGAAAACCAAATACCTCATGTTCTCACTTATAAGTGGGAGCTAAACATTGAGTACACATGGACACAGAGATGGGAACAACAGACACTGGGGCCTGCTTGAGTGGGAAGGGTGGCATGAGGCTATGGGTCAAAAAACTGTTGGGTACTGTGGTCACTACCTGGGTGACGATATCATTTGTACACCAAACCCCAGTGACATGCAATTTACCCATGTAACAAGCTGCACATATCCCTTAAACCTAAAAATAGAAAAAACTAACAATAAATAAATGAGGTATGTCTAATTGTTGAATGCTATGAAAGGTAACCAATGGAGATATTGAACATCGTGAGAGTGGCCTGGCGCTGTGGCTCACACCTGTAATCCCAGCACTTTGGGAGGCTGAGGTGGGCGGATCACGAGGTCAGGAGTTCGAGACCAGCATGGCCAAGATGGTGAACCCTCGTCTCTACTAAAAATACAAAAATTAGCCGGTTGTGGTGGTACGTGCCTGTAATCCCAGTTACTCAGGAGGCTGAGGCAGGAGAATCACTTGAACCCAGGAGGCGGAGGTTGCAATGAGCCGAGATGGCACCACTGCACTCTAGCCTGGGTGACAGAGCAAGAGTATGTCTCAAAAAACAAAACAAAAAAAAGGAAAATAGTGAGAGCACCATATCTGGAAAGTGGTCCAGGCACTGGGGTGAGGGGTGAGTGTCAGCCAAGTCATCAGCTATCAGAACAGGAAGTCATCAGGTAATACATCAAGTGGATATATTGAGAAGGAGCAGGATCTACCTATTATATAACACAGAGATAACCACTCAGATATATAGATTAGAAATAGTTTAGAAAATTTAAACATCTGATTATTCAGGGAGTAGACCTGGGAGCATTGGAGAAATGATGGGGAGTAGACTGCATGGAAAGCTCTTTCTTAGTATGTGATTTTTCAATTATGCACATAGGTTTCTTACATAACATGTAAAATTCAATTAAAGAAGAAACAAAGTTGTGTTCTGGGGTCCCAAAGGTTCAGTGATTAATTAGAAGAACTCACAAAACTGAGTCAAGCTGTTATTCTCATGGTTATGGTTTATTACAACAAAAAGATGCAGATTAAAGTCAGCAGCAGCAAAAGGTGCGTAGGGCAGAGACCAGGAGAGACCAAGCGCAAGCTTCCAGTTGCCCTCTCCCAGCGGCATCATGTGTACAGTGCTTAATTCACCCAGCGATACATGGCAGAAAGTACAGAAAATACTCCCCAGCAAAAAGCTTACCTGAGCCTTGGTGTTGAGGGTTTTACTGGAGGTTGGTCACATGGACAAGAGCACCCATTTGGATGACCTTAGTTTCTCTGTCTCCACCCTTCCCAAGGTCAAGCTGACACTGCATGGTCCAGGGTCCCCACAATAAATCACATTGTTAACTCCTACAGAGGCAGGATATTCCAAGGACTTAGAGGTTATTTCCTGGGAGATGGACTAGAGTCAAACCTTTCTTTGGAGTGTGCGGGGTTTGGACAATTCAGGCCTACTTAGTTTCCTTGACTGCACACAAGTGATAGTGAGTATGTAGGAAATGAATAGTCTCATATATTGCTGGTGAAAGTATAGTGTTGTATAAACCTCTGGAAAGAAATCGAGTGTGTAGTGCATAAACATTATATTTGGTTTGTTTTTGTTCTTGTCTGAGACAGAGTCTCACTCTGTCACCCACGCTGGAGTGCAGTGGTATGATCACAACTCACTGCAGCCTCAACCTCCTGGGCTCCAGCTATCCTCCCACCTCAGTCTCCTGAGTAGCTGGGACCACAGGCACGTGCCACCACACCCAGCTAATTTTTGTGTTTTTGGTACAGGCAGGGTTTCACCATGTTGCCCAGGCTGGTTTCAAACTCCTGGGTTCAAACAATCCTCTACCTCAGCTCCCCAAAGTGCTAGGAATACAGGAGTGAGCCACTGCACCCAACCTATATTTGTATATACATTAAATTGTATATGCTAAGCCGGGCACGGTGGCTTACTCCTGTAATTCCAGCACTTTGGGAGGCCAAGGTGAGTGGATCACTTAAGGTCAGGAGTTCGCGACCAGCCTGGCCAACATGGTGAAAACCCATCTCCACTAAAAAGACAAAGTTAGCTGGACATGGTGGCAGATGCCTGTATTCCCAGCTACTTGGGAGGCTGAGGCAGGAGAATCACTTGAACCCAAGAGGTGGAGGTTGCAGTGAGCCGAGATGACACCACTGCACTCCAGCCTGGGTGACAGACTGAAATTCCATCTCAAAAAATAACAAAAAATTGTATATATTATTGTATGTGTGTGTATATATTAAGTTGTATATACACATATTAAATATATATACATATATTACATTTTATACACATACATTTGTTTCCTCATGCAATTTGTTTCAGCAGAAGTAAAAATTAAAGATATAAGTAAAAGAATATTTACAGAAGCATTATTTTTGGTGGCAAAAGTACTTTAATATCTTTAAATGCTCATATAATGGAAGATAGTTTAACTCTTACAAAGAACGAGTTAGTTGGCCGGGCGCGGTGGCTCACGCCTGTAATCCCAGTTTTTTGGGAGGCCGAGGCGGGCGGATCACTTGGGGTCAGAAGTTCGAGACCGGCTTAGCCAACGTGATGAAACCCTGTCTCTACTGAAAATACAAAAATTAGACGGGCGTGATGGCATGCGCCTGTAATCCCAGCTACCCGGAGGCTGAGGCGGGAGAATGGCTTGAATCCGGGAGGCGGAAGTTGCGGTGAGCCGAGATGGCGCCACTGCACTCCAGCCTGGGTGACAGAGTGAGACTCCCTCAAAAAAAAAAAAAAAAAAAGTTTGTGGAACCAATTCCAATCCAGTCCAGGGGAGCACACACTGGCGACCAACATCCCCGCTCAGGTCCCTTCAGGGTCGAGAGAGTGCGCCTGGAACAGACTGGGAAACTCCAGCAGGCAAAGTAATGTGCCAGGAATAAAGACACCGCCTGACACATTCTCCATGTTCCTTACACCCACCACGCTTCCATCCGGCTCCAACTCTGTCCTCTCCCCAGGAGCCTCAGATTAAAATACTGCAAGGAAGACACCGATTCTCAAAGTCACAGGCCTAGGAATCTGAGCTACAAAGAAAAATGAGCCCCTGCTCCCCCAACTCCCCCCTACTCCCCTCAGCCCCACTGCCCTGCACCTGCCCCCTCCTCCGTAATTTGAACTGTCCTCCCAGAAGCTGGAGAGACGGCCCGCCTGTGAGGAAATAGAGGACCAGCATGCGGCAAATGCCTGGGTTAGGTAGGAGCAGACGGCGAGATTAGCGCAGGGATGTAAGAAACAAGTGGCTCTCAGACCAAAGAAGACTCCGCGGCAGACGGCACACTAGGCCTTCATAGAGGCGTGCGCTGGACAGGAGCTCGCCAGTTACCGAAAGAATTGTCTGAGAAAGGCTCTGATCTGACCCGAAAGGCCCTTGGTTCCCACGGCAACGCCTCAGCGTCTGGCAGTAACAGGCTCTGTGCCCGGGCTCTCTGGATCTGCAGGTCCCGCCTCCGCCAGCCTCTCACAGCCCGGAGGCACCTCCCATTGGCGCCTGACGGGTTGGTTAGGGCAGCTTCTCTTCCGGCTGTGACAAATCCAGCCTGAGGAGCGCTCCTGTGTCTTTCTTAGTTGTTTCTTCCCGCCCACCTGCCCCTCAAAGCCACAACCCACTTGCACGCCACCGTGTGGACACCTTAAAGCGACCTTCTAGCTCTGAACCCCGCTGAGGGAATGGTCACCTTCGCTCCTATTAGATGGCTTGGCCCAAAGGACCTAGCGACGGCCCAGACAAAAATTTCTTCCTACAAGCTCCATGTGTCTGTGGTCTCTAAGACTCAAAAACAAACCCAAAAGAAAAAGCCAACCCCCACCCCCCGCAAAAAACAAACAAACAAAAACCCCCAAAACGCCGCCAACCCACCTTTCACGAGAGGAGTCCTTGAGAAGAGCCTCTCCAGCCAGGACCAGGTAAGGGAATCTGTGCACTTGGCCAGACCCAGAACACACAGTGGCAGGGACCTGACAGCCACACTCTTACCCCATAGAATCTCCACCACTGACACACAGATCAGGATGCGTCACCATGAGAGATGACACCGCAAATCTGGCTCTCACGGATTGATTCCATACTGTCTCATCGATCCCACACACATCCCATCACTGACACCAGATTCCCTCATCACTGACCCTACATACCCACAATCATTGATTCCATGGACCTCATCACTATCCCAAAGACCACCTATCAGTAATCTACAGACCCTCCTCTGTCACCCCGGGGACCTCACAGATTCCCCATCCCCGATTCCAGGATCTATAGAACCTCATCTCTTACCCCCACAGACCTATTAATAAGAGGGTACATTCATGGAAGACTGTGTTGACCATTTTACACACCCACTGCATGTGTGTATGTGTGTGTGTGCGCGCTGATTAATGGACTTAGGTAAACTTTAGCGTTTTGGTAGGCAATGCAGTTTTTCAATGCCTTTTCTTTTTCTTTCTTTTTCTTAACATCTTTAAAGGCCTTACCCCAGTAAGTGTGGATTGCAATTCATTAATGCCTATCCTTTATTGAGTCCTTGTCATGCATATTTATTAATAATAATTCATAATTCTTACAACTCAGAGACACCAGAGACTCACATGAGAAGAATGGCTGTGGATTTTTATTTACTTATTTATTCATTTTGGTTTCTGTAGATTATAAAAGTCATTCATTTGCATCAAGTCACCAAGTGTATACTTTGTTTTCTAAAAAAAAATTCTAATTACAAAAAAATTGTTTTTAGACAGGGTCTCACTCTGTCACCCAGGCTGGAGTGCAGTGGTATAATCATGGCCACCATTGCCTCGACATCCTGGGCTCAAGTGATCCTCCCACCTGAGCCTACCTAGTAGCTGAGACCACAGGCATGTACCAATACTTCCACCTAATTAAAAAAAAATTTTTTTTTTGTAGATATGTGGGTCTCACTATGTTGCAGAGACTGGCCTTGAACTCCTGGGCTCAACTGATCCTCCCACCTTGGCCTCCCAGTGTTGAGATTACAGGTGTGAGCCATTGCACCCAGCTGATAAAATCTTAAAAAGAGTAACTTTGGGCCGGGCGCGGTGGCTCACGCCTGTAATCCCAGCACTTTGGGAGGCCGAGGCGGGCGGATCACGAGGTCAGGAGATCGAGACCATCCTGGCTAACACGGTGAAACCCCGTCTCTACTAAAAATACAAAAAATTAGCCGGGCGAGGTGGCGGGCGCCTGTAGTCCCAGCTACTCGGGAGGCTGAGGCAGGAGAATGGCGTGAACCCCAGGGGGCGGAGCCTGCAGTGAGCCGAGATTGCGCCACTGCACTCCAGCCTGGGCGACAGCGAGACTCCGTCTCAAAAAAAAAAAAAAAAAAAGAGTAACTTTGGGACCTAATGTAAAATTTCCACTGAGATGATGCGTCAGAAATTAAGGTAGAATAAGATGGTCCTAGGGCATCTGAAACAACGGAAACTCAATCTTGGGCCAGGCGCGGTGGCTCACGCCTGTAATCCCAGCAATTGGGAGACCAACGTGGTTGACTCACTTGAGGTCAGAAGTTCGAGACCAGTCTAGCCAACATGGTGAAACACTCTCTCTACTAAAAATACAAAAATTAGCCAAGATTGCGCCACTGCACTCCAGTCTGGGCAACAGAGGGAGACTCTGTCTCAAAAAAAAAAAAAAAAGAAGAAGAAGAAGAAGAAACAAAATCTTAATTTCTTCATCAAGTGTAAAACTGTGGACTGGACTCTGGAGGAATAATACATAAAAAGACACACAGGCAATTTTTTTTTTAAGTTTTATTGAGAAATATTAATAACATACCACAGAAGCCACCCATTGAAACTGTAAAATTCAACGGTTTTCAGTATATTTGCACAGTTGTGCAAACAGCACCACAATAAATTTTAGATCATTTTCATTACCCTGAAGAAAACCGCATATCCCTCCATTTCCCCCCAACTCCCCTAACCCTGGGCCACCACCAATGTACTTTGTTTCTATGTATTGGTCTATTTTGGACATTTTATTTAAATGGAATTACAAAACGTGGTCTTTCGTGACTGGCTTCTTTCACTTAGCATCATATTTTCAAGGTTTACTCAATGTTTCATGTGCAGAGGGGGCACTTTATGTAAGGATAAACCTAGGAGGGAGGTGCTTATTGATTTTGAAACTTCACTCCAATATTGTAAAAGGGAAATGATTGGTTTCAAATAGAGGAAAAACCTATTCGGGCTAAAATCCTCCCTTTTCGCCAGTTTGTAATGTGGGGTTTTATTGCGAAGAATGGCAAGGTTTTTATGCATATTTTCTGCAAATTCTCCCTGTGTTTGGGGAACAGTCACAGAATGTGGAGGTGTGGGCTTCTGGACTCTGTGGCTGGAGATTCAAGTCCAGGAGAACTCAGGTCCCAGGTTAGGCAGAGAAAAACAGTCCAAGAGTGCCGATAGAACTCTTTGAAATAGAAAATTTAAAATGTCCCCTCCCAGAGAGTCCCAGATAACCACACAAAAGAGGAGTTTGCTGAGCTGGTCCGTCGCGATTGTCCAATAAGATGCAGACAGACTGGGAAAGAAAGGAGTTTATTTCTGCAACCGGTTAGACGGAGAAGCCAAGTAACTCACCAGACCAACTCAAAGTTTCAAGTTTTTTTCTAGTGCTTATATACATCTTAAGCTCAATGCTATGGTGGGACTGCACCTACAAGCAGAAATGTTGCATTCAATCAACATCTAATCTTTAACTACGGTCTAGGGTCTGGAAAGATTTCTCTAGAGTCTTGGAAAGTTTCTGAATCTTAAGACAGGCCCAGGTGAATGTGTAAGAATACTATTATTATTCGATCAGACTTTAGGGTCTGAGAGGACCCAGGCGGGGTCTTAATGGGTTCGTTTTCGCATTCCATCCCTGATACTCAGGCACCAGTTTCTCAATTTCTTTAACGTTTAACTTATGCATTCATCAAAATTATAGTAAAGTGTTAATGGAAACTGTTCTGGTTGCTAATGGAA
Organism: Homo sapiens; assembly: GCF_000001405.40. Taxonomy (NCBI): domain Eukaryota; kingdom Metazoa; phylum Chordata; class Mammalia; order Primates; family Hominidae; genus Homo; species Homo sapiens. The sequence continues at coordinate 36,795,372 of NC_000019.10, forward strand.
ACCTGGCCTGCCACACTGCCGAACTGAAGCCCACTGCAGAACACTGAAAATGCCTGCAAACACTGACTTTACTGACAACTCTTAAATTACAGAAAATCAAGTTCATGCTGCCTCTCCGATCTGTCCTACGGAATTGCTAGTTACAAACGTGCACATTGTCCTAGGTTCGGTTTTGCAAAGATGGAGCCCTTCAGCGAAAGCATTTGTTTGATTTCATGCATTAATGTTTCCTCTATCCATTTCCTTTTTACTTATTTATTTAAAGACGGAGTTTCCCTTACTGCAACCTCCGCCTCCCGGGTTCAAGTGATTCTCCTGCCTCAGCCTCCCAAATAGGTAGGATTACAGGCATGCGCCGCCATGCCCCGCTAATTTTTGTTTTTGTTTTTTTCTTTTTTTTTTTCTTTTGAGACGGAGTTTCACTCTTGTTGCCCAGGCTGGAGTGCAATGGCGCGCGCGATCTTGGCTCACCGCAACCTCCGTCTCCCGGGTTCAAGCGATTCTTCTGCCTCAGCCTCCCGAGTAGCTGGATTACAGGCATGCGCCACCACCCCGGCTAATTTTGTATTTTTAGTAGAGACGGGGTTTCTCCATGTTGGTCTGGCTCGTCTTGAACTCCTGACCTCAGATGATCCACCCGACTCGGCCTCCCAAAGTGCTGGGATTACAGGCGTGAGCCACCGCGCCCGGCCAATTTTTGTATTTTTAGTAGAGACGGGGTTTCACCACGTTGCCCAGGATAGTCTCGAACTCCTGAGCTCAGGCAATCCAGCCGCCTCGGCCGCCCAAAGTGCTGCGATTACAGGCGTGAGCCACCGCGCCCGGCCTATTTTATTTTATTTTAAGACGGAGTCTCACTCTGTCGCCCAGGCTGGAGCGCAGGGGCGGGATCTCGGCTCACTGCAACCTCCGCCTCTCCGGCTCACTGCAACCTCCGGCTCACTGCAACCTCCAACTCTCCAACTCTCCAACTCTCCAACTCTCCAACTCTCCAACTCTCCGGTTCACGCGATTCTTGTGCCTCCGCCTCCCGACTAGGTGGGATTACAGGCGCCCGCCAGCACGCCTGGCTAATTTTTGTATTTTTAGTACAGACGGGGGTTTCATCATGTTGGCGGCCGGACTGTTCTCTAACTCCTGACCTCAAGTAATCGGCCCGCCTCGGCCTCCCAAAGTGCTGGAACTACAGGCGTGAGCCACCGCGCCCGGCCCCATTTCCTTTATTTTATTTTACTATGTTCAGACGGAGTTTCGCTCTTGCTGTCCAAGCTGGAATGCAGTGGCGCGATCTCGGCTCACCGCAACCTCTACCTCCCAGGTTCAAGCGATTCTCCTGCATCAACCTCCGGAGTAGCTGGGATTACAGGCGCACGCCACCACGCCCGACTACATTTCCTTTATTTTATTTTTATACTTTACTAGCCTGTTTGTTGATCACAAGACTGGCGGTGCACAAGGTTGGGTCTCGGTGTTCACCGGGCGGTGGGCGTGGGCGAGGTGGGAGGGTCTCCAGCGCCTGGTGCTAATCTCCAAGAAAGTGCAGGAAACAGCACCAAACGTGATTGCAAAGTTTTGGTTTGGCGCGGCGGGTAGGCGTTCCAGCGCAGAAATGCGCAGGAAAGTTTCTGCTGTGCTTGTAGGAAGGTCGGCCACAAGCACTTCTTTTGTTTTTTGAAACCGAGTTTCGCTCTGTCGCCCAGGCAGGAGTGCAGTGGCGTGATATCCGCTCACTGCAAGCTCCGCCTCCCGGGTTCACGCCATTCTGCGGCCTCAGCTTCCCGAGTAGCTGGGACTATAGGCGCCCGCCACCACGTCTGGTTAATTTTTCGTATTTTTAGTAGAGACGGGGTTTCACCGTGTTAGCCAGGATGGTCTCGATCTTCTGACCTCGTGATCCGCCCGCCTCGGCCTCCCAAAGTGCTGGGATTACAGGCGTGAGCCGCCGCGCTCGGCCGGCCCCAAACACTTCTTATTGGCTAATCTGGAGCAAACCTGCATATCCATTGGCTGAAAGCTCCGTCTATTTTAGGGTGACTGAGAGCGTCTCTTCCTTCTGTGTTGCCTGGAAACGGACTGTTCGCCTAGTAACATCTGATCACGTTTCCCATTGGTCACCGTTTCCGGAAGCCCGCTCTCCCGTTTCCGGAATCCCCGCAGGCGCTGGGTCTGCAGATGGCGTCCAGGTACACAGTGGCGAGTGTGATTCCGCAGTCTTGGGCTGTTTGGCCAAGCGCCCGCCGGACATGGTACGCCGAAGGGTCATCGGCGTGGAGTCCTCGCTTTCAGCGTCCGCGGCTGGGAAATCGGCCATCGCTACGGCGGGAACTGGGACTCGGGCTGCGTCCCGGCCCTTCCACATCGGTCCACCGCACTCGTGGGCGCCCGCATTGGTGCTGACATAATTTCCTGACCTCTGACCCGTATTGTCTCGCGATTAAAGGTAAAAAACGGGGCTTTTTCATCCCACTGGGGTAAAACGCCCTTTTATTTCTAGCCAGGTGTTCTGTTGCAGAACGCCTCGAAGGGAGGGAGTGACCGGCAGGTTGAGGTTTATTAAATAAAATACATTCCTGGTTTATATTATGTTTATAATAAAGCACCCCACCCTTTAAAAAATCTCACGTTTTGCCAGTTGCATTATTTAGTGGACTGTCTCTGATAAGGACAGCCAGTTAAAATGGCATTTTGTTGTTGTTGCTAATTAAACCAATTTTTAGTTTTGGTGGTTTTCCTAACAGCAGCAACTTCTCAGGCTTTATAAAATCATATTTCTTGTGGGAAATTTCTGTGAAAGGCGCAGCGAGTTAGTTTGGAATTGTTTTAAAGGAAGTAAGTTCCTGGTTTTGATATCTTAGTAGTAGTATTTTCCCCAGTGTCTTTGAAATCTTATTTTTGGAGCACGTATGTAGAGTAACTTTTGTGAAAGAAACAACTTTTATTTTTTATTATTATTTTTTTTTGAGACGGAATTTCGCTCTCGTTGCCCAGGCTGGAGTGCAATGGTGCAATCTCTGCTCACTGCAACCTCCGCCTCCCGGGTTGAAGCGATTCTCCTGCCTCAGCCTCACGAGTAGCTGGGATTATAGGCATGTGCCACCACGTCCAGCTAATTTTGTATTTTTAGTAGAGATGGGGTTTCTTTATGTTGGTCAAGCTGGTCTCGAACTCCCGACCTGGGGTGATCTGCCCGCCTCGGCCTCCCAGAGTGCTGGGATTACAGGTGTGATCCACCGCACCTGGCTGATTTCATATATATATCTTCCTAAATCCTTTAAAAAGTTAGTGGATCTCTTACTTTTGTAGGATTTATTTCATAGTGTGAATGAGACACCTGTAGGCTCCAGGTCTCTGTCTTCATGAGGTGTGAAGATTCAGTGCTTTATAAAACAGTCCCCACATTCTTCAAAGGCCTTGTTCTTAATTCTCAGCACGCTTGTGCTTCTGACATTGTTACTAAAATTAAGCTAAGTTTTTCTGGTTATGTGAGAGCTGTGGAAATGTCCAGCGTTAGCCACTAATGTTTCTCCTTGATATTTCTCCGTATCTTAATACTGACTCTCAATCCATTACTCAGATGGGTGTCCTTTTCCTGGATGTCTGGAAACTAAGCCTGGCTATCCCTCTGACCTCCCTGCCGAGCTACCATTTTTTTCCTCTCTCTTTTCTTGTCTACACTTGAGTTGGTAACCTCAGCTCTTTCATGAGCAACCTTGATGCCTTTGACTCCTTCTGAGTTTATTACCCACAGTTCCATCAGCCAAGTTTAGGGGCCCATGAGAAGGGCTCGTGTAAATTTTCACATTCCTCTAACCAAAATGTAGTGTTTCCTTCCATCTTGAATATAGGCTGTAGACCCCTCGGGTATGGGGTATTGTTGGCAGTGAGACCACAGCAGTTTTTATGTCATCTGACAGCATCTACAAATAGCCTTCATGGTTGTCACTGCTTTCCAAGACATTTCCAAGTAACAGTTCCCAGTGATGATTTACTACTCGCTATTGTTACTTAATGTGTTAAGGTGGCTGTCATAGGCACTATTACTATGTCAGAAATTACACCAAAATTTAGTGGCTCAAACAATCATTATGTTATGTGGATTCTCATGCTCACAGTCAGGATTTCAGATATGGCACAAGGGTAGCCCACTTGTCTCTGTTCCATGATGTCTGGCCTCAGCACGGAAGACTCAACGGCTGGGGTCTGCAACCATTTGGAGGCTTGTTCCCTTGTGGGGAAAACAAAGAGAGATCAGACTGTTACCGTGTCTGTGTAGAAAGAAGTAGACATAAGAGACTCCATTTTGTTCTGTACTAAGAAAATTTCTTCGGCCTTGAGATGCTGTTAATCTGTAACCCTAGCCCCAACCCTGTGCTCCCAAGAGACTTGTGCTGTGTTGACTCAAGGTTTAATGGATTTAGGGCTATGCAGGATGTGTTTTGTTAAAAAAAAGTGCTTGAAGGCAGTATGCTTGTTAAAAGTCATCACCGTTCTCTAATCTCAAGTACCCAGGGACACAATACAAAGATTTCTCCTCATGCGATAGCCTGAGATATGGCCTCCTGGGAAGGGAAAGACCTGACCATCCCCCAGCCTGACACCCATAAAGGGTCTGTGCTGAGGAGGATTAGTAAGAGGAAGGCCTCTTTGTATCTTTGCAGTTGAGATACGAGGAAGGCGTCTGTCTCCTGCTGGTCCCTGGGAATAGAATGTCTCAGTGTAAAACCTGATTGTATGTTCCATTTACTGAGATAGGAGAAAACCACCTTAGGGCTGGAGGTGAGACTTGCTGGCGGCAATAGTGCTCTTTAATGCACTGAGATGTTTGTATACGTGCACATCAAGGCACAGCACCTTTTCTTAACCTTGTTTATGACACGGAGACCTTTGTTCACATGTTTTCCTGCTGACCCTCTCCCCACTATTACCTTATTGTTCTGCCACATCTCCCTGTCTGAGATGGTAGAGATAATGATCAATAAATACTGAGGGAACTCAGAGACCGGTGCCAGTGCAGGTCCCCTGGTCCCACTTTTCTTTGTCTATCCTTTTTTTTTTTTTTGAGATGGAGTCTCACCCTGTCGCCCAGGCTGGAATGCAGTGGTGCAATCTCGGCTCACTGCAACCTCCGCCTCCCGGGTTCAAGCGATTCTCCTGCCCCAGCCTCCCAAGTAGCTGGGATTACAGGCGCGCACCACTATGCCCAGCTAATTTTTGTATTTTTAGTAGAGACGGGGTTTCACTATGTTGGTCAGTCTGGTCTCAAACTCTTGACCTCGTGATCCGCTCGCCTCGGCCTCCCAAAGTGCTGGGATTACAGGCGTGAGCCACCATGCCCAGCCTTCTTTGTCTATACTTTGTCTCTGTGTGTTTTTCATAGTCTCTCGTCCCACCTGACGAGAAACACCCATAGGTGTGGAGGGGGCAGGCACCCCTTCAGTTGGGCAAATGGTCTAATATTTCTTTTTTTTTTTTTTTGAAACAGAGTCTTAGTCTGTCTCCCATGCTGGAGTTCTGTGGCACCGTGTCAGCTCACTGCAACCTCCATGTCCTGGGTTCAAGCAATTCTCTTGCCTCAGCCTCCAGAGTAGCTGGGATTACAGGCGCCCACCACGCCTGGCTAACTTTTTAATATTTTTAGTAGAGACGGTTTCACCATGTTGGCCAGGCTGGTCTCGAACTCCTGACCTCAGGTGATCTGCCCGCCTAGGCCTCCCAAAGTGCTGGAATTACAGGTGGGCGCTTGGCCAAGGGGCTGATATTTCTTAAGGGCTTCCCCTGAGAAAGAAGAAGCCAAACCTACTCAGGCAAATCTTGTTTATTTATTCTTCTAGGTCCAGATTTGGAACAAATCTCTCTAGAGATTGAACAGGTAAGGCTCACCTTTCAATAATTACACCAAGAAAGGCCTAGCTGATGACTTAAGCTATGGTTTTGGGCAGCACGAGAGTGGTCAGGTGGACAGTAGGGAAGTCTATACAACCCAAAGGGAAAAGAGAAAAGGCCCATGAGAAATCAGGGCAAATTGCCACAGTGTGTTTTTCTTGATGGTGTCACTGAAATGTGGGTTACCTTCCCACTGTGTCCCCCAAAGGACATGAGGCCACAGACTGCAGTGCCCGTGAGCAGAGGAGCTGTAGGGACGGTGGTTTGATCGCTCCATTCAAATGCACACCCCGGTGCCTGTGCGTCTCTTCTGATGCAGGGCCCCAGTGGGTAAGCTCTGTGCTTCTCCACACAGTGGATTAGGAGTGGAAACATTCTGTCTGTTTAGCGCTTGATGGTTTGGTGGTGACCTCATGTCATGGTGATTAGAGCCAGTGATCCTAACAGTTTAAAATTGTTGAGCTTGTGGGTAGGTATTTGGGAGATAGTATATGTGTTACCTAGTGTTTGTCATCCGCAGTGGTTTTGTTACTTTTTGCATAAACTGCGGAGAAAGTTTACTAACTGCAGATAGTAGAGAAATTACCAGTCACTCTAAAATCCTCCCATTTCTTGGTCTAGAGCTGCGCCTGGATCCCTCAGCAGTGAGGAGACCTGAAGACCAGAGGAAACACAGCAAGTAGGCCCTTTAAACCACTCACCTGTGTTGTCTTCCAATTTATTCTGTTTTATTTTGTTTCCATCATTTTAAGGGGTTAAAATCATCTTGTTCAGACCTCAGCATATAAAATGACCCATCTGTAGACCTCAGGCTCCAACCATACCCCAAGAGTTGTCTGGTTTTGTTTAAATTACTGCCAGGTTTCAACTGCAGATATCCCTGGAAGGAATATTCCAGATTCCCTGAGTAGTTTCCAGGTTAAAGTCTTATAGGCTTCTTCTGTTTTGAGGAGGAGTTCCTGTCAGAGAAAAGCCTGATTTGGATTTTTAACTTTAATGCCTGTGAAATGCTATAAAAAATAATTTTCTACCCCTAACATTAAAGTACTGTTAGTGAGAAATTAAAATTCCCTCAGGAGGATTAAACTGCCATTTCAGTTACCTGAATTCCAAATGTTTTGGTTGTTAGAATTTTCTTTAATGTTCATGAGGAAGTGTTTTATATTTTCTATCAAGATTAATTCTCTTTTTTTTTTTTTTTAGACGGAGCCTTGCTCTGTTGCCCAGGCTGGTGTGTAGTGATCTCAGCTCACTGCAAGCTCCACCTTCCGGGTTCACACCATTCTCCCACCTCAACCCCCGGAGTAGCTGGAACTACAGCCTCCTGCCACCACGCCTGGCTAATTTTTTTTTTGTATTTTTAGTAGAGACGGGGTTTCACCATGTTAGCTAGGATGGTCTCGATCTGCTGACCTCGTGATCCACCCGCCTCGGCCTCTCAAAGTGCTGGGATTAAAGGCGTAAGCCACTGCGCCTGGCTGTTTTTTCATTTCTATTATGATTTGTCCTGTGGAATGTCAGTGACTTAGCGGTATTTTTATCACACGTTTATAAAGCTGAATAGTTTTGTATGTCAGCTCAGCACCCTTAGTGTCAGCCATGCTAGTCTCCTGCTGTGCATAGATCGAGGCCTGTCCATACCCGAATCTCCTGGGTTCCCACTGTCAGCACCTGAAGGTACCCACCAGATGTGTCTGTCACTTCCCTACATCCACCTCTATTGTGGTTCTCATGTTTCTGCCTCCCTAGAGACCATTTCTCTGTAGAGCAGCGCTTTCGAATAGAAATACAATGCCAGACACATAAGTTGTTTTAGATTTTCTAGTAGTCACTTTAGAAAAGTTAAAAAGAAACAGGTGAAATTAATGTTTTATTTCACCTAAAATGTTAGCATTATCCAAAATATCACTTCAACATCTTATCAAAATAAAATTATTAATGAGATTGGTTACCGTTCCGATAAATAGGTGAACTGAGAGCATACACAGTAGTATTCTGTTCTAATTTCTGCTTCACTGTGAGTGTCTTGACATAGTCTTAAAAGAGTATTGCTGTGAAATATTATACATGTAACTCATAACCTCTACAATTCTGCAGTTGTAATTGGTTGTCTTACCTAATAATCAGTTGCTTTGCTTCATAATATTTAAATTGGCATCTCTATTTTCCAAAAGGCATAAATACTAGTATAGTTTTTTAGTTAAGCCAGGAGAAAGTTCACTTTATTTACATAACTTATACGTAAAAATTTAATAAATCTCCCTGCTTCTTTTCTTTTGCATCATAACAACCACTGAAAATAATATTTCTATGGCAGTTGGGGGTAAATGGACAATAGCTTTTGTGACCAGAGGTGAATGGCCCAGGGTCTCCAGCACTCCAGGTCCCACTGAGCCTGCCCCACAGCTGAGGGCATCGGTATTTCCACACACCTATAATGTACAGTGCCCCAGAACAGAGATCGGATGCTCTGCTTTATTCAGATGGGGTGTTGAGAGTATTGTCATTGTAATTGAATTAGTAAGTAAGTATTTATACACTGTTAAAATCTGGTTGGATTTGTGTCCCTTCACAAAACAAATTGCTTAAATGAAACCACAGAGTTAACATAATTGACTACATCTGCTTCTATGAGCTGCTGTTCTAACATTTAACTAGAATCTAATTTGAAATTAGTCAATAAAAAGTTTATTCAACTGAATTATATTTAGACTTTTTGTTGTTGTTGTTGTTTTGAGATGGAGTTTTGCTCTTGTAGCCCAGGCTGGAGTGCAATGGCGCGATCTTGGCTCACTGCAACCTCCTTCTCCCGGGTTCAGGCGATTCTCCTGCCTCAACCTCCCGAGTAGGTGGGATTACTGGTGCCTGCCACCACGCCCAGCGTGAAGCACTGCACCCGGCCTTCATAGATTATTTTACTTTATTTTAGTTACTTATTTTTATGACTTTATTGTTATAAAAATGCTTGTTTTTAAAAAAAATCAACCAGTATAACAAAGAACAAAGAAGATAATCAACAAGCATTCCCACCTCCATGATTTAGAAATAACTGTCATCAATACAGGAAAATACCATGCCATTCTTTCTCCTCTAGGCACATGGACAGACAGATAGAAGGATGGGAAAATAGATAGATGGTCCAGGCACAATGGCTCACGCCTGTAATCTCAGCACTTTGGGAGGCCAAGGCGTGTGGATTACCTGAGGTCAGGAGTTTGAGACCAGCCTAGCCAACATGGTGAAACCCCATCTCTACTTATAATACCCAAAAAAAAAAAAAAAAAATTGGCCAGGAATGGTGGTGGGCTCCTGTAATCCCAGCTACTCAGGAGGCTGAGGCAGGAGAATCACTTGAACCCAGGAGGTGGAGGTTGCAGTGAGCCGAGATTATGCCATTGCACTCCATCCTGGACAACAGAGTGAGACTCCTTCTCAAAAAAAAAAAAAAAAAAAAAAAGAACAGTTGATGAAGGATGGATAGACTAAAACAATGCTGCATTAATGAGGCTACGATAGTGCGTATTTGTATAAAAAGCATTAATTTGCATTTGTTGGCATTTTGAAGCTCTGTTGTTGGATGCATACACATTTAGTATCTATATGTCGTTATGATTTGTAAATCATGTAATGCGTCTCTTTACATAATGATTTTTAAATTATTTTGTAATGTTTCTCATTACGTTATGTAATGCCCTTATTAACTTTCCTTGGAAATCTTTTTTACCCGTTATCCATACAACCACTCTTGCTTTCTTAATACTGATGTTAGCATGATATACCTTTTTTCTTTTGTTCGTTTTTTATTTTAACTGTCAACTTACCTATGCTGTGTTTGAAGTGAGGTTCTTGTACGTGGCATGTAGTTGGGTTATGTTTTATTTTATTTAAACTGCCATCTCTGTCCTTTACATCAAAGGTAAATTGATGTTCTTAGACCACGTACCTTTAAAGTAATTCTTGATGTGTTAAAGCTTAATTCTGCCATTTTATTATTTGTTTTCTGTTTGTTTCCTGTTTCCCTGTTCTAGTCTTCCACTGGATACTTGATCACTTTTAAAATTCCATCTTGTTTAATTTATACTGTATTTGAGTATATCACTTACATAGTTCTTTTGGTGGTTGCTCTAGGTATTACAGTATATATCTATAACTTAGCCTATTGCTATCCACATTTAAGTACTTGCAGTGGAGCATTGAAAACTTACTTTCATTTAGGTCTTTACCCTCTCTACCTTTTAGATATAATTGTTTCCAATGTTTCCTTTTTCATATTGAGCATTCCAACATATGCTTTTATAATTTTTGCTTGAGTCATCAAATATGATTTCAGAAATTCATAAGAAGGAGATTCTTACGGCTTTGTGGCCCTAGATATACTGCCTGTAGTATACTGACCAGTGGCTCCAGACCTCTTTTCTTTGGTGGGAGAGGGTCTGGCACTTGGGTGGGCCTTGCCAAAATTTTCTTTCTCTGTTGTTGACCATCATCTCCCTCTGAAGTTTACTGCCTGACCTGTTTCTGTGTTTGGTTACTCCAGGTGAACTTGTGCTATTTCTGTTGTCTTTAGGTTGAGAGTGGTAGAACTTTTTTTTAACTTCATTCTATCATCTTTACCCCAAAGTCTTACATTTTTAATAAAATTAAAAGCCACCATTTTTGGTCCTTTGTCAGTGACAGCTATCTAAAGAAAGACATTAGCAGCTTTTTAGATATTTAAGGAAGTTTCTGTCATTCTTTGGTTGTCATATCTTTAGGAAACATTTTTTTCCCTAAATTACTCCAAATTAAATTAATCCTACAGTTGGTCTAATTTAATTTTTTTTTTTTTTTTTTTTGAGACAGGGTCTCATTCTGTAACCCAGGCTGAAGTGTAGGGGTGGAATCATAGGTTATTGCAGCCTCAAACTCCTAGGCTCAAGAGATCCTCCCACCTCAGCCTCCCAAGTAACTGGAACTGCAGGTGTGCACCGCCATGCCTAGCTAATTTAAAAATTTTTTTGCAGAGGTGGGGTTGGGTCTCACTATGTTGCCCAAGCTGGTCTCAAATACTTGAGCACGAGTGATTCTGTTACCCTGGCTTCCCAAAGTGCCGGGATTACAGGTATGAGCCACCATGCCTGGCCCAGTTACTTGCTTTTTAAATAGCTCAAAAGTTTTTCATCCTTTTAACCAAAGTTGCCAAATCTAAAGCATTATTCCTTTTGGTCATCAAGTAGAGGAATGGATGAATATATTTCAGTTTGCTTATTACTAAAATATGTTAGTAATAGCATATTTTATTCAAATCACTGCATATTAGCTCTGTCTTATTTTCCATTTTCATGACAAACACACCCAAAGCTCAGCTCACTGTATTTACTTTCTTTTCATGATACTGTTTGCTAAGTTTTTTCTGTTTGCTTCACCATATTTTGAACAATTTTCTATTAAACTAGGATATTTTAAAAGTTTGCCTTTTCAGGCCGGGTGTGGTGGCTCACGCCTGTAATCCCAGCACTTTGGGAGGCCGAGGCAGGCGGATCACGAGGTCAGGAGATCGAGACCATCCTGGCTATCGAGACCATCCTGGCTAACACGGTGAAACCTCGTCTCTACTAAAAAAAATACAAAAAATTAGCCGGGCATGGTGGCAGGTGCCTATAGTCCCAGCTACTCGGAGGCTGAGGCAGGAGAATGGCGTGAACCCTGGAGGCGGAGCTTGCGGTGAGCCGAGATGGTGCCACTGCACTCCAGCCTGGGCAACAGAGCAAGACTGTGTCTCAAGAAAAAAAAAAAATAGTTTGTGTTTTCAATTGTCTTATTTAGACAAACTCTGTAGTTTCAAAGTTATCTTTTTCTTGCCTGATGCCTTTGATGTTTGATGATGTTAATAATATACTATTTTCAAAGCCAATTTCTTATTTCTACACTGATATTGGAAAAAGAATAAAGTGATGAAGTCAACAGGTGTTATTAAAAAATGTGAATAACAGGAAAATGTTTTGTTGTTTGTTTTGTTTTGTCTTTGAAGTCTTTCACAGACTAGATTTGAAGGTTTATGAAGGATAGGGCAAAATTTTCTAAGGAAAGTTGCATCCTATGACCTCAGGCTGACTTCAAGTAAGAGTGGATTTGATAAAGGCATTGTCTTTCTTAGAGTATGTGCATCTTGGCAGAGGAGCCTGGAGAGGCAGTATAGAAGGATTGTTTTAGATGTTGGATCTCTGTAACCTGCATTTACATTTTGTTGAGCCGTTGTCATTTGGGGGAAAACACGAAAAAGAAAAGATCATTATCATGCTACTATAATGCACATCACATAGAATTGCAATGATTTGTTGGTTGTTCATTCCAGTCCAAGAACTGTGAGTTTCTCCAGCCAAAGGTCTTGTATTTATTGATCTTTCTGTCCCACAGGCCTAAAACAGCAGTTGGCCCATGGACAGTTTAATAAATGTTTGCTGACTAATAGATAGGGTATCTAAAATCTTTTCCATGGCCTTATCTCTGGAGATTAAAATTTTCCAGCACTTGTCTATAAAAGATGTCTATGCGTAACTGTAGGGAAGACATTGTAATTTCTGAAGAGGAGGAGCAAACCGACAAGGTTATTGTAGCATTGATTATAATGCATGGTAGCAGTCTATTCTCAGACCTTTAGATGCCTATTTACCTGATGCACTGGCACCAATGCCCCCATTTTGGTGTGCCATCTTCCCTTCACCACTTGGGACAACACAGATAATAAAATCAGCTCCAAAAGCTAACCCATGGTGGATCCCTTCACACCAGTTCACGGTAGAAAGTAACCCCCTTGCTTGTAGAAAACATTATTATTATTATTCTTCAGATGGAGTTTTGCTTTGGTAGCCTAGGCTGGAGTGCAATGGCGCGATCTCGGCTCACTGCAACCTCTGCCTGATGGGTTCAAACGATTCTCCTGCCTCAGCCTTCCAAGCAGCTGGGATTACAGGCGCGCATCACCATGCCCAGCAAATTTTTTGTATTTTTAGTAGAGATAGGGTTTCGCTATGTTGGCCAGGCTGGTCTTGAACTCCTGACCTCAGGTGATCTGCTCGCTTCAGCCTCCCAAAGTCCTGGGATTACAGGCATGAGCCACTGCACCCGGCCTAGAAAACATCATTAAATAGCAAACAGTAGCAGTGTGCTTGGGGATTTTAGGATTGATTATTTTCAAATCTCTAGAAAAGCTCAATGTATTACCTTAGGCTATAATCCCTGGGCAGAGTCTCATCTGTTAATGGGAGCTGGTCTAAGGGTCCTTCCAGCTCCCAGATTGATGATTTCCCAGGTTGATCTGCTCCCTGCCACCCACCCATCCTCGGTTTTGTTTGTTTTTACAGAGATAATGTCTCACTATGTTGCCCAGGCTGGTCTTGAACTCCTGGCCTCAAGTGATCCTCCTGCCTTGGCCTCCCAAAGTGCTGGAGTTCCTGATGTAAGCCACTGTGCTCAGCCCATCCTTGGCTGTTAAAGTGTGGAGGTAAACAGTAGATGCCAAGTTTTCCTCCAGGTTAGAAGTGGCAGATGCCCCAGTACAGAATAATGTCCCTAACCAGGCCTCCCACTGCATGAAGACCTTATTTTCTGGAGCTTAAACCTGGACAAAGGTCTGACCAGTAGCACTATGTTCATGAATATCAGGTCAAAAATTTAAAACTGGGACTATCCAGAGGAACCTGGTAGCTGCAAGTGTAGTCTGCAGTCCAATGGTCAGCTATGAAAACAGGCTACTTGTACTTTCTGTTTGTCATGGAGTCTGATGTAAAAATTGATGACACTTTCTAACTTCTGGTGTGCTTCCCTTCCTTGTTCATTTTCCATAAGTAGCTTCCTCCATCCCTCTTCCCAACAGGCCACAGTCAATTCAGGACATTTTAACCATGAAAATGAGTCTCTGTAAGAGGAATTTAGAGGCCAGGCACGGTGGCCCAGCACTTCAGGAGGTTGAGGCCAGCAGATCACCTGAGGTCAGGAGTTCTAGACCAGACTGACCAACATGGTGAAACCCTGTCTCTACTAAACATACAAAATTAGCCAGGCATGGTGGCGGGGGTCTGTAGTCCCAGCTACTTGGAAGGCTGAGGCAGGAGAATCACTTGAACCCGGGAGGCGGAGGTTGCAGTGAGCTGAGATTATGCCTGGGCAAGAAAAGCAAAACTCCGTCTCAAAAAAAAAAAAAAAAATAAGGAATTTAAAAATTAACATAGAGGAAGGAATAAAGGGGCCAGCCCCTTAAAAATCCCCCAAACCTCTTTAACAGGAGTTTAGGTTATAATATAAATGTGTTGAGGGTACTTTTTGCCTTTGTTGATGAAGGACTCTAGTGAGATTGTGCTGATGATATTGCTGTACTTGGAATGGACTGGTCCTTTCATTTCCTGGATTTGTCTCTTTGTTCTTTTGAGTTCAGGCATAACTTATGTTAATACACTTTGCAGATACTGTGTTTTTGACAAATTGAAGGTTTTGGCAACCATGCGTGGAGCGTCCATCTGTGCCACGTTTCTATCATCATGTGGTCAGTTGGTGACTCTGTCACATTTTGCTAATTCTTACAATACTTCAAATTTTCCATTATTATTACTCTGTTATGGTGATGTGTGATAGGTGGTCTTTGAGGTAACTGTTGTAACTATTTTGGGAGGTCATGAACCAGGACCCTATATGATGGCAAAATTAATTGATAAACATTGTATGTGTTCTGACTGCTCCCCTGCCCAGCTATTTCTCCATCTTTCTCTCCTTTGCCCTCCTTACTCCTTGAGACTCAACAATATTAAAATTATTTCAATGAATAATCCTCCAATGCCCTCTTAGTGTGCAAATTAAAGGAAGACACATGTCTTTCACTTTCAGTCAAAACCAAGAAACGATTAGGCTTAATGAGGAAGGCCATGTTGAAAACTGAGACAGGCTGAAAGCTATACTTCTTGTGCCAAAGTTAGCCAAGTTGTAAGTGCAAAGAAAAAGTTCTCAAAGGAAATTAGAAGTGCTACTCTGGTGAAAACATTCATGATAAGAAAACAAAGCCCTAATTACTATGGATATTGCCTAGGGTAGTACTCCACGCCCTCTGGGCACACAATAGATATTATCTGATGAACTGGAAAAGAGCAAACCAGAAGTGGCTTTATTTTCCCACTTGGACTCCCTTGGACTGCCTTGGACTAATTTTTAAGTCTTGGTTGGAAATCACCGAGTAGGTTCATAAGGTGCATGACAGAAATAAGCTTTATAGTGGCTTACTTTCATTTAGTTCTGGAAGTTTACCTTTGCCTTAGTTTTGGAAGTAAATTCTAGTTTGTAGAACCATTTTTGTTGCTCTTTCTTCAGTCTTGATATTCCATTCTCTTCTGTCCTTCCTAATGGAATTTATGCATTCTTTTACAACAGGTCTGTTGGTTATAAATTCCCAGAGTTTTCCTTCATCTGAGAATGTCTATTTTATGTTCCTTCCTGAAAGATATTTTTACTGGCTATAGAATTCTGGGTTGAAAGTTCTTTTCTTTCAGCACTTTTCTCCTACACAGAAAAATGCACTACTCCCTTCTGGCCTTCATGGTTTCTAACTAGGAATCCACCAGCATTAGAATCATTGTTATGGTAAAGTGATGGTTCTCAACTGCGAACATTTCCACACCCAAACAAGCATTTGGCAATGTCTAGAGACATTTTGTGCTTGTCACAACTGGAAATTGCTACTGGCATCTAGTGAGAAGAGGCTAGGGGTGCTGCTAAACATCCTACAACGTACAGCAAAGCCCACCAGAGCAGAGAATTATTTGACACAAAATGTCACTAGTTCCGAAGCTGAGAAATAGTTACATATGTGTCATTTCTCACTGAGTGCTCTCAAGAGTTTTGTCTTTAATTCTCTGAAATTTGGATTTGATATTCTAGACATGGATTTCATTGCATTTATTCTATTTGGGTTTCATTCATCTTCTTGAATGTGTAGGTTTACATCTTTTGCCAAAGTTGGGTAGTTTTAAGGCCTTCTTTCTTCAAATATATTTTTAGCTCTGCTCCTTTTCTGTTTCTGGGACTCTGATATGAATGTTTGATCTTTTGTTATTATCCCTATGGCCCATGGGCTTCCATTCTTTTTTTCCCCCAATTGATTTTATTTCTTGTCTAGAATGGATAATTTCTATTGATGAATGTTCAAGTTTATTATTTCCTCTGCCATCTCCATTCTGTTATTGAGCCAATCCAGTAATTTTTAAAAATTTACTTGTTGAATTTTTCATTTCCATTTTTTTCTATTTGGTTCTTTGTTATATCTTCTATTTCTTTACTTAGTGCCCCCTCCTTTAATTTGATTTAAGAGTGTTTGCAATTGCTTGGTGCATTTTAATGATAGGTCTCTTAAACTCATTGTCAGTGAATTATTAATGGCAAAAACTGAAATTACTTTTGCACCAACCAAATACAGTATCAGTGTAATCTTGGTGTTGGTATCTGTTCTCTTTTTCTATTAGGTTTAGATTTGCCTGGTTTTGGTATAATGAATATTTTTAATTGTATCCTTGATATTTTGAGTATTAGGTTATGAGGCCCAGGTTTCTATTCATTTTGTGTTTAACTTTTTAAGAAACTGCCACACTGTTTCCCAAAGTAATTGTACCATTTTAATTTCCACCAGCAGTATGAGCTTCACCTGCTTCTTATCTTCACTAACACTTGCTATACTTAGCTTTTTAAGTGCTAGCCATTATATTAGGCACATAGTGTTAACTTATTGTGTTTTAATTTGCATTTCACTTGTGACTAATCATATGTTTATTTGACATCTGTATATCTTCTTTGGGTTGTTGAATTTTAAGGTCTTTTTATATTCAAGTCTTTGTCAGATATATATAAGATTAGAAAATATTTTCTCCCAGTCTGTGGCTAATCTTTTCCTTCTCTTCACAAAGTCGGTTAAGAGCAAAAGCTTTCAATTTTGATGACTAATTAATTTATTTGTTAAGGACTTGCAGTTTCAGTAACATATATAAGAAATTTTTGCCTACTCCAAGGTTCTGAAAGTTTTATAGTTTTAAGCATATGATACATTTTTAGTTAACTTTTTTTTTTTAAGACAGAATCTCACTCTGTCACCCAGGCTGGAGTGCAGTGGCGCGACCTCTGCTCACTGCAACCTCTGCCTTCCAGGTTCAAGAGATTCTCCTGCCTCGGCCTCCCAAGTAGCGGGGACTACAAGCTTGCACCACCATGTCCAGCTAATTTTTCTTTTTTTGTATTTTCAGTAGAGATGAAGTTTCACCATGTTGGCCAGGCTGGTCACAAACCAGCCAGCCTCAGCTGATCTGCCAGCCTCAGCCCCCCAAAATGCTGGAATTACAGGTGTGTACCACCATTCCCAGCATTTAGTTAACGTTTTTTGTAGGTGCTTTGAGCTATAAATCAATGTAAATTTTTAAACATATATATAACAAGTTCTTCTAGCATTGTTTGTTAAAAAGATTACCTCTTCTTTAATAAATTTCCTTTGCACCACTGTCACAAATCAGTTGTCCATGTATGTGTGTTTCTCAACTCTCTATTTTATTCCATGAATACCACACAGTCTTGATTACTGTAGCTTTATAATAAGTCTTAAATTCAGGTAACATATGTTCTCCAACTTTTTCTTTTTTTTTTTTTGAGTCGGAGTCTCCCTCTGTCATCCAGACTAGAGTGCAATGGCGTGATCTCGGCTCACTTCAACCTCCGACTCCCAGGTTCAAGCAATTCTCCCTGCCTCAGCTTCCCAAGTAGCTGGAATTTCAGGTGCCTGCCAGCAGACCTGGCTATTTTTGTATTTTTTAGTAGAGATGGGTTTTGCCATGTTGGCTGGTCTTGAACTCCTGACCTCAGGTGATCTGTCCACCGCAGCCTACCAAAGTGCTGGGATTACAGGCATGAGCCATCGCGCCCAGCCTATTTTCCAACTTTCAGAATTATTTTTAAAAGTTGTTTTCACTAATCTAGGTCCTTTGCATGTCCATATGTATTTTAGAATTGAGTTCCCAATTTCTACAAAACAAAAAGCCTCCTGAATATTCAAAATGGGATTTCACTGAATCTATAGGTCAGGTTGGAAAGAATTGACATATTAATGGTATTGAGTCTTGTAGTCTCTGAACATAGTATATCTCTATTTAGGTCTTTTTTAAAGTTCTCCCAGAAGTGTTTTTAATTTTTATACTATACATCTTGCACTTCTTTTGCCAGATGCATCACTATGTATTTCATATTGTTTATGGTGTTATAAATGGCATTTAAGGTTTTAAGGTTCAGATTGTTCATGGCTAGTTCATGCAAAATCATCTGCTTTATATATATTGATCTTTATTTTGCAGTCTCACTAAGCTCATTTAGTTCTAATAGTGTTGTAGATACCTTCAGATTTTTTTTATATAGACAATCATATAATCTGTTAATAAAGATGATTTTACTTCCTTTCCAATCTGGATACTTTGTATTCTTTCATTTATTGCACTAGCTAGAACTTCCAGTATAATGCTTAGTGGAAGTGTTTAGACCAGGTATCCTCTTTTTGCTGATCTTTGGACTTTTACCATTAAGTATGATGTTAGCAGTAGGTTTCTCACACATACTCTTTATTGGTTAAGGAAATTCCCAGAATCCCAGAATTCTTTTCCTCCTTAACTGAATTATTCTCCTTAATGAATGCTGGATGCCTAGTAAATTTTTTATTTTATTTTATTTTTTAATTTTTATTTATTTTTTTGAACTGGAGTCTCGCTCTGTCGCCCAGGCTGGAGTGCAGTGGTGCGATCTCAGCTCACTGCAACCTCTGTCTCCCGGGTTCAAGTGATTCTCCTGCCTCAGCCTCCTGAGTAGCTGGGATTACAGACCTGGCGGGTTTTTTTTTTTGGTATTTTTAGTAGAGACGGGGTTTCACCATGTTGATCAGGCTGGTCTCGAACTCCTGACCTCAGGTGATCCACCCGCCTCAGCCTCCCGAAGTGCTGGAATTACAGGCTCGAGCCACCGCACCCAGCTGATGCCTAGTAATTTTTTATTTTCCACTTTGGCTACTGGGAAAAGGAATTATTCCTGGACGTTTTTGAGCTCTGTGGATTCTTCCCTCTAATCCTTTAAGGTAATTGTTTTTCCCTGGCTTCAGGTAGTTTTCACACACGCACGTGTTGATGAATATTTAGCTGAACTTAAAGGAAGATCCTCTGGAGATTTCCGTGCAGTTCTCTCCTCTTCAGTGTTTTGCCTTGTCAACTCGGGCCACTTTGGCCTCATCAGACTCCTCATTCTATCTAAACACTAGGAGACCACCAGGCTCTGCCTGAGTTACTCCTCCCAGCAGTAATCTGGAAAAACTAGGAAAAATTTATTTCTGTTTTTTTCAGGGATCACTGTTCTTCATTGGAAATTGACATTTTAGTATATTCAATGTCTTAAAAACCATTGTTTCACCTATTTCGTTTAGCTTTTTAGTATTTACAGATATAAGGGTAAATCTGGTCTGTTTCTCCATTTGATCAGAAGCAGACATCTGTTCATTCTGTTACTGGTGACTTTCAGTTAACAGAATAATAAAATTAATATGAATATGCCACACTTTTCTAGTTAAAATGTTTTGTCTAGGAAATATTCTTTACTGTGAGGTTATAAAATGATTCTCAGATAAAAACAAGGTAAAATCAAAGGTGACTACTTTCCAACCTTGCTCTCTCCCACCTATAGTTTGTATTTTAATTTTTCTTAAGAGACAGGGGTTTTGCTATGTTGCCCAGGTTGGACTTGAACTCCTATGCTCGAGGGATCCTCCTACCATGTCCTCCCAAGTAGCTGGGATTACAGGCGTGCACCACCACACCCTGCTCCCACCTATTATTTCATCATTTTGATTAGGTCTTGGCTTATCCTTCCACTGTTTTTGAAAGTATAAACATAGCTGGGTGCGGTGGTTCACGCCTGTAATCCCAGCACTTTGGGAGGCTGAGGCGGGCAGATCACGAGGTCAAGAGATCGAGATCATCCTGGCCAACATGGGGAAACCCCATCTCTACTAAAAATACAAAAACTAGCTGGGCATGGTGGCGCATGCCTGTAGTCCCAGCCTCTCGGGAGGCTGAGGCAGGAGAATCTCTTGAACCCGGGAGGCGGAGGTTGCAGTGAGCCAAGATTGTGCAAGCGCACTCCAGCCTGGCAACAGAGTGAAACTCCATCTCAGTGTACTTGTCACCTTAAAAAAGATCTAGTCAACATGAATGAAAATGGCTTATTACAATACAGTTACATAACAAAAAATTATTTTTCACACAAATTGTGAAATTCCATAGATGACAATAATTTAGGAGGGAACTACCTGTTAAAGGTGTGACTTACAAAATGTGCTAAATATGTGTACATATAGTCACCATTTCTTAACTCATGTAACACTAAAAGATACCAAGAACTTCACTTAGAAGAAATTGATAAAGTAACTTTTCATCATTCAGAATTACCCATCCAGGCTGGTCACGGTGGCTCACACCTGTAATCCTGGCACTTTGGGAGGCTGAGGTGGGCGGATCACCTGAGGTCGGGAGCTCGAGACCAGCCTGGCCAACATGGTGAAACCCCATCTCTATTGAAAATACAAAAATTAGCCAGGCATGGTGGAGGGTGCCTGTAATCCCAGGTACTCGGGAGGCTGATGCAGGAGAATCATTTGAACCTGGCAGGCAGAGATTGTAATGAGCCAAGATCACCCCACTGCACTCCAGCCTGGGCAACTAGAGTGAGACTCCACCTCAAAAATAAAAATTATCCATCCTGCTCAGAGCTTAAACATTATAAGCAAATATCTACTATATTATTCTTTGATTAAATATTGGGTTCATCTATGTAAGTTTTTTTCATGTATCTTCATGAGTGAAATTTTTCTGGAATTTGATGTTCAAGAGCTATCCCATCTACTTTTATTATAAAAATGTTAGTCTTTTAGCATGCCCTGGCAAATTTTCCATAGGATTTTCTATTCTTCAGGGTGTAGCCTGTACAGTTTTCTAGTCTTACATGTTTGTTTTGTTTTGTTTTAGACAGGGTCTTGCTCCATCACCGACTGCAGTGCAGTGGGGTGATCACAGCTTACTGCAGCCTCAAACTCCTGGGCCCAAGCAGTCCTCTCACCTCAGCCTCCTGAGTAGCTGGGACCAGAGGCATGTGCCACCACACCTGGCTAATTTATTTTTTGCAGAGATGGGGGTCTCCCTATGTTGTCCAGGCAAGTCTGGAACTCCTGGTTCAAGTGATACTCCTGTCTCAACCTCCCAGAGTGTTTGGATTACAGGCATGAGCCACTGTGCTCAACCTCATCTTACATGATACTTTTTTCTATTTTTTGAACTTTTTGGGTTGTTTTTGAAACTTAATCATATTTAATAATGTTTTCCTAGAAAAAAACCGTACACATATAAAAATCATGTCTAACAGAGTTCACATACTTAATACTAAAAAATATCTCCAAACATATAGTTATATTCCATTTCTCCTTATAATATAGTAGAGGCACTGACAAAGTCTAATGAATAATAGTTTTCTTCAAAGGACTAGATTTTGATGAAAAACCTGTATGGTTTTTTATTCCATGATTTCAGCTTTTCATTAAGCCTTTCCATTCATTCATTTGGGGTATTTGTTCTTATTCTACCTTGCTGTGTAATCATTATTTAACTCAATAAATATTTGAGGCCCTACAACATTATAGGCACTGTCCTAAGTGCTGTGGATACAGTGCTGTGGATACAGTGATGAAGAGAAACAAACTGCCCTCAGTCTTCTTGGTTTTATACACAGAGCAATTTCTATTGATAACTGTTTTAGTTATTTCACAGGATTTAAAATATAGGTCTCATTATCATTCTAAATACTCTGTAATTTCACTTTTTATTTGCTCTTTAATCTAAGAATGGTTTATATATAGTAGTAAATTTCAAAGAGGTAAGAATCCATATGGCTATCCATTTGCTAGTTTCTGAGTTATAACTGTGGTAAAGAATTATATAACACTTGGCTTTAGAAATTTGTTAGAGAGAAGTTATTTCTGAATGTCTTTTAAAAAACTGCTGAACACTCAACAACCCCACTTTTACTAAAG
Organism: Homo sapiens; assembly: GCF_000001405.40. Taxonomy (NCBI): domain Eukaryota; kingdom Metazoa; phylum Chordata; class Mammalia; order Primates; family Hominidae; genus Homo; species Homo sapiens. Next base: position 36,817,369 of record NC_000019.10, read on the forward strand.
TCATAAGGCTTTCTTTTATAGGTTTTTTTGATGTAGCATGTGAAATTAATATTCAAAGCTTTCTTCATTGTATTTTACTGATTTTTTTTCAGAATTAACATTCTGATGTTCAGTAAGACATAAATAGAGATGACATATTTGTCTATAATCATTATAGTCTTAAAAGTCCTCCTCTCATAAAATGGCTTAATACCAATACAAATGACAGTCACTAAGTCATGTAAATCTCAAATCATTCAACCCTTATAATCTAATGAATACGATTAAACAGACATAGATTTAAGATACTTTCCAAAAAAAAAAAATAGAGGCAGGATGTATTGAAACAAGACATGCCAAATAAATTGTATGACATAGTTCAAGGCTTTTCTAGATTAATTACATGATTTTTGTGGAAATACAACAGAATTTTGCTAATGATGAAAGATTTCCAAAATGAATTATATATAAATTCTTGTGGGTTTTTGTTTTTGAGATGGAGTCTTGTTCTATCACCCAGGCTGGAGTGCAGTGATGTGATCTTGGCTCACTGCAACCTCCACCTCCCAGGTTCAAGGAATTCTCATGCCTCGGCCTCCCGAGTAGCTGGGACTACAGGCGTGTGCTACCACGCCCGGCTAATTTTTGTATATTTAGTAGAGACAGGGTTTCACCATGTTGGTCAGGCTGGTCTCGAACCCCTGACCTCAGGTGATCCACCCACCTCTGTTTCCCAAAGTGCTAGGATAACAGGTGTGAGCCACCATGCTTGGCCAAATTATATATAAATTCTTTATGCAACATCTCTGATGAGAATGTTTTGAGAATGATTCAAAAAGAATTCATGCTATCTCATAAAATTTTACCCTGATATTCTGCAATTGATAACTGATCAGTAATTTCTTTCCTATATTGATTGCATGATGAATTCTCTGCTGCTGCTGCTGCTGCTGCTGCTGGATGTGTGCTCTGTTAAAATGCCTTCCAATATTACTTACATTTGTGGTGTTCCTCAAGAGAAAAAAATAAATGACATCAATTAATGAGTCATGAATAAAGCCCTTCCTACACTTTTATATAATATTTCACAAGAGTGAAATGAAGTGAGAGCTTGAAGAAAATGCTTTCTCAAAATCTTTAAATTCATAGGATTTCTCAAAAGTGTAAATATTCTGGTGTTGAGCAAAGTTTGACTCATGACTAAAGGTGTTCCCATAGTCTGTCCATTCACAGAGATTTGCACTATTATGAATTTTTTGTTCAGTAAAATATGAATGGTGACTAAAGATGTGGCTACTTTTCTTGCATCCATAAGGTTCTGCATCAGTATGAATTTTCTTATGTCGTGTAAGCTGTGAACCCCAGATAAAAGATTTCCCACATTCTTTACATACGTAAGGTTCCTCACCAGTATGCATTCTCTGATGTCGAGTAAGTTGTGAACCCCAGAGAAAGGCTTTTCCACATTCTTCACATTCATATGGCCTCTTTCCAGTATGAATTTTCTGGTGTCGATTAAGTTCTGAACCACGAAAAAAGGTCTTTCCACATTCCTTACATTCATAGTTTCTCTCACCAGTATGAATTTTCTGATGTCGATTAAACTCTGAGCCATGAAGAAAGGTCTTTCCACATTCCTTACATTCATAGGATTTCCTCTCATTGTGAATTTTCTCATGTTGAGCAAGATACGAAGCCCAAGTAAAAGTCTTCCCGCATTGCTTACATTCATAAGGTTTCCTGCCAGTATGAATTCGCTGATGTCGAGCAAGGTGTGAGCTCCAAATATAGGCTTTCCCACATTTCTCACATTTATAAGGTTTCCTACCAACATGAACATTCTGATGTTGAGCAAGATTTGAACCACGAATAAAGGCTTTTCCACATTCCTTACACTCATGAGATTTCTCACCAGTATGAATTCTCTGATGCTGAGTTAGGTGTGATCCACGAGTAAAAGCTTTCCCACACTCCTTACATTCATAAGGTTTTTCACCAGTGTGAATTCTCTGATGTTTAATAAGATGTGATCGCTGACTAAAGGCCTTTCTACATTCATTACATTCATAGGGTTTTTCACCAGTATGAATTCTCTGATGTCGAGTAAGATCTGAGCCACAACTAAAGGCCTTCCCACATTCCTTACATTCATAAGATTTCTCACCAGTATGAATTCGCTTATGGACACTAAGTTGTGAATGAAATCTAAAGGCTTTCCCACAATCCTTACATTTAAAAGGTTTCTCACCGGTATGAATTCTCTTATGACCAGTAAGACTCGAACGTAAACTAAAAGACTTCCCACATTCTTTACATTCATATGTTTTCTTAACAGTGTGAACTGTCTGATATTGAATAACTTCTGAATCAGGAAGAAAGGTATTCCCACATTCTTTATCTCCACAGAATTTCTCACTTGTGTGAATTAACTGATGTTGAGTATGATCTGAACCAGAAATAAAGGCTTTCCCCAGTTCTTTAAATTCATTCAGTTTGTCTCCTGTATTAAGTCTCTGGTGTAGATTAAACACTGTATGCTGGTTAAAAGTGGGCCTTTTTTCACAGGTGCGTATCACCTGCTTGAAGCATTCCTCTTGATTATCTTGAAGTGTTTGAAACTGAGTGTTGCCTTCCCAGTCACCTCTAAAACATAAACAGTCAAGGCTGTGGTTTTTACAAATTCTCATTATTTCCAATTGGGCTATTTCTCTCTCAAAAATGCCATTTTTTGGTAATAACTTCTTGGTCTGACACCTCGACTGCATGTCTGAAAAATAAGAAGGTAAAAACATCATACGGTTGTATGTACAAAAAGCAATACAACTTCTAAAATAGATATAGAAAATCTTGAAGTAAAGCATATGAGAAGTGAATGGCTTAGAAAATTCTCAAATATGAGCAATATGAAAAAAAGGGCAAGAAATAAGTAGAAATTTAAAAGAAATAAAAGTTGAGTCAAGTGATGAGAAATATGTTTTATTTTGATCATATTCATCTGAGGAGCTCAATAAAAAATGATTATCCAGGTATCACCTCAATAACAGAATAATAAGTCATAAAATACCTACAAGTTTCCAAGTACTATGATGAATGTCTTATATAATTCAGAGCTTAAAAATAGGAATGCTGGGAAATAGCAGAATATCAGTCTAATATGAGGGAAGTAATCTGATCCAGAGTTACCAAAGTACTAGGATCTCAATAGCAGGGTATGCTGCATTTAGGTTAAAGGAGATAATTATGGGTGATAGTTCAGACAGAAAAATAGTTTGAAGGCCAGGTACAGTGATTCACACCTTTAATCCCAGCACTTGGAAAGGCTGAGGCAGATGGATTGCTTGAGCCCAGAAGTTTGAGACCAGCCTAGGCAACATGGCAAAAACCCATCTCTATAAAAAATTAGCCAGGAGTGGTGGTGCATGCCTGTGGTCCTAGCTACCTGGAAGGCTGAGGTGGCAGCATCACCTGAGCCTAGGAGATGAGGCTGCAGGGAGCCATGATCACACTACCACACTCCAGCATGGGTGACAGAGTGAGACCCTGTCTTTTTTTTTTTTTTTTTTTTAATACTTTGAGTTTTAGGGTACATGTGCACAATGTGCCAGTTAGTTACATATGTATACATGTGCCATGCTGGTGTGCTGCACCCATTAACTCGTCATTTAGCATTAGGTGTATCTCCTAATGCTATCCCTCCCCCCTCCCCCCACTGACCCTGTCTTAACAACAACAAAAAAATAGTTTGAGAAATTTTTTCAAGGGAGAAGGAGTCTGGCACAAGCTAAGAATAAGTACTCCTCTGTGACTCTTTTTTCTAATGTATATATTTAGGATCGAGTACAATTGTTATCAGTTTTTCTTGGGAGACAGCAAGTACTCTAGCAGTGACTCAATGAATTGAAAGGCAGTTTAGTTACAAAGTATGAGCAGTAATGTACTGCAATGGAAAGATGACAAACTGCAGTTTCAGACTCTAGTTCTGTTTACTAAAACTACTTTTTAGGTGATTGGAAAATTACTGAGCTTGACTGAGCTCTTAATTTTTCATATTATAAAAAGGAATAAAACATCACTTTGCAGAGGTTTGTTGCAAGGATTGGGAATAATACGCTATTTCTATTAAGTGCCTGACACAGGATACGTGTTGAATAATCAGTAGCTGATGATTATTATTAGAGAGGAAAAGCTGGAGAATACGGGGAACTAGACAAGTCAGAGTTTGTCTTTTTATTTATTTATTTATTTATTTATTTTGAGATGGAGTCTCACTCTGTCGCCCAGGTTGGAGTGCAGTGGCGCAATCTCAGCTCACTGCAACCTCCGCCTCCTGGGTTCAAGCGATTCTCCTGCCTCAGCCTCCCAAGTAGCTGGGATTACAGGCGCCCACCCCCATGCCCAGCTCATTTTTGTATTTTTAGTAGAGATGGGATTTTGCCATGTTGTCCAGGCTGGTTTTGAACTCCTGACCTCAGGTGATGATTCACCCGCCTCGGCCTTCTAAAATGCTGTGATTACAGGCATGAGCCACCGCGTCTGGCTGGGCTTGTCTTTTATGACACTGTGTTCTTCTCGTTGTACTTCATAAGCCCTAACCTTTCTTCTGCCACTTCCTCCTCACTGTGACCAGAAACTGTTATCACCTGTTACTCTGATTTTCAACTAAGCAGCCTATTAGGTCTTCTCTTAATGTTCCCTGTATGCAGAAATGTGTGGCCATGTTCCAATCACAGAAGAGAACAAAAAGTTTCTTAAGAGACAATATATTCTTGTTAATTCTTTTAAACCTAAAATAAGAAAATCCATAAATGTTGGTTAAAAGAATGAACTAATAAGGAGAACTAATAAATGCAGGCAATGTACAATCAAGGAGAAGATAGGAAAAATGACAAAAATTCAAAAGGGATGGGTAAAATAAAAAAATGAGGTTAAAAAAATTTTTTTAACTGAATGAAGAATTTTACGAAAATTAAATTTTAAAAAAGGGAGATGAGAAGGAACTTGATCCAAATCATAGATAAAATAAGGGCCACTGGAGAAAAGAATGGCACTTACCTTTTTGTTACATGAGTGAAAAATGAGAGCACAAAAATAGAGTGGTATTTGGAGTGAAGAGAAAGTTCTTTGAGAAAAGGTTTTGTCTCTATCTAGGCCTCAGGCCCTTATTAAAGTGTTTTTTGTTTGTTTGTTTGTTTGTTTTGTTTTGTTTTTGAGATGGAGTCTGACTGTACTCCAGCCCAGGCTAGAGTGCAGTCATGCAGTCTTGGCTCACTGCAACTTCTGCCTCCAAGGTTCAAGCAATTCTCCTGCCTCAGCCTCCCGAGTAGCTGGGACTACAGGTGTGTGTCACCACACTGGCTAGTTTTTGTATTTTTAGTAGAGACGAGGTTTCACCATGTTGGCCAGGCTGGTCTCGAACTCCTGACCTCAGGTGGACTGCCTGCCTCGGCCTCCCAAAGTGCTGCAATTACAGGCGTGAGCCACGGCACCCAGCCAGTTTTTGTTTTTGTTTTTGTTTTCCCCTGAGACAGAGTCTCACTCTGTCGACCAGACTGCAGTGCAGTGGCACGATCTCGGCTCACTGCAACCTCTGCCTCCCTGGTTCAACAATTCTCCTGCCTCAGCCTCCCGAGTAGGTGGGACTACAGCTGCACGCCGACATGCCTGGCTAATTTTTTGTATTTTTTTGTTTTTGTTTTTGTTTTTGTTTTTTTAGTAGAAATGGGGTTTCACCATGTTGCCCAGGCTGGTCTTAAACTCCTGAGCTCAGGCAACCCACCAAAGTGCTAGGATTACAGGCGGGAGCCACCACACCCGGCCCATTTTTTGGTCTTAAGGGGATATTCCAGACCAATATTTCAGAGGTGTTGCTGCCTCACTGTGCAGCTGAGCTGTTATCCACAACAATGGCCTCCTTGTGCGTGTTCAGCCCTCACTCACCTGGGCAAGGTCCTCTTGTCTCATCCCTCAAAATCTTCCAGGGCTCTTTCCCTTTCTCCAATAAAGAGAACGCTTCTGGCTGATAAATGCAAAAACCTGCCCAGAAGATGAGAAACAGCAAAGAACCACATTGTAAAGATTCTAAAATTTGCAACTACTTCTTTGGTTACTAAGGAAGAGAAACAATTACAGGCAGGACAAAAATAAGTATAAACTATGGGAAAGATGGAAGTGCCCACTGATGATAACTATTGCCAGATTTACAAAGCGCAAACCATTTTCTAAAAAACAAAGGTCAGAAGTTACCCTGGACATTTAAAAGACAATAAAAAAAATCACAATACAGAAAGCAGGAATTTCTAAGGAAAATGCTGAATCTTACCCAGTGAGACCATGTTGCTGTAGTTCTCCAACATCACATCTCTATATAAATCCCTCTGTTCCAGGTCCAGGCACTCCCACTCCTCCTGAGAGAAATCTACAGCCACATCCCTGAACATCATCAACTGTTGGAAAGAATAATTCCAAGTATTAATGGTGAAATTTTTAAAAATAATTATAATCCCTATAGATGAAAGGGGAAAGGCTGGAAAGGGGCACTGCAGGGAGTGGGGCATATATTGGGCGAAAAACTGGAGTTGGCTGCCTGTGGTTTCAGGGGAAATGACATGGGAATAAGGGTGACAAAAGCCAAGTGTCTACATGCTCTTTTTTTTTTTTTTTTTTTTTGAGACAAGAGTCTCGCTCTGTCGCCCAGGCTGGAGTGCGGTGGTGCAATCTCTGATCACTGCAAGCTCCGCCTCCCGGGTTCACGCCATTCTCCTGCCTCAGCCTCCCAAGTAGCTGGGACTACAGGCGCCCGCTACCACGCCCGGCAAATTTTTTGTATTTTTTAGTAGAGACGGGGTTTCTCCGTGTTAGTCAGGATGGTTTTGATCTCCTGACCTTGTGATCCACCCGCCTCGGCCTCCCAAAGTGCTGGGATTACAGGTGTGAGCCACGACACCCAGCCTACATGCTCCTTTTTTTTGTTCTTTTACGAGACAGAGTGTTGCTCTGTCACCCAGACCGGAGTGCAGTGGTGCAATCTCGACTCACTGCAACCTCTGCCTCCCAGGTTCAAGTGATTCTTGTGCCCCAGCCACCCTAACAGCTGGGGTTACGTGTGTGCACCACTGCGCCTGGCTAATTTTTTGTATTTTTAGTAGAGACAGGGTTTCGCAATGTTGGCCAGGCTGGTCTCAAATTCCTGACCTCAAGTGATCCACCCACCTTGGCCTCCCAAAGTCTTAATGAGCCACTGCACCCGGTAAAAACTCCTGTTGCTCAGTTACCACATCTTTATGATCTTCAAATCACAAATACCAAAACATCAGAATGGTAGCCCAGAACAGACATCATAGGAGTTTTTTGTTGATACCACTGAGAGGCTACACCAGCCTGGAAGAACTAGCCCCAGATTTATTATGTGAGAAAAGTTGGAGGTTTTGTTAGTTGTAAGCAGTCTTTACTGGGCACAAACAGACTTGTGCATACAGAGCCTTTGGCCCAGGTAACTGTCCTTTGCTTAAGCTACTACTTTTAGTTGAATTATCTGTTAGTTTAAACTGAGAGAATTCTCAAGAGATACACTCCCTGGCTGAATATTATTTTCTGTGGAAAATGTGTAGAATCTCCAGACTTTGTTAAGCAGCTGACAATCAGCAAATTCAGTGTCATAAGTGATTACTGTGAAAGTCATCAGATGAGTTTTTTGTCGATACCACTGAGAGGCTATACCAGCCTGGAATAACTAGCCCTGGATTGTTAATGATATTAACCTTTCATTAATTTCCTGGAAAATCCCAGATCTCTTTGAACTCAACCTCCCATCATATCTGCTAAGGAAAGCATCACAAAGTGCCACATACCTAAATGAATCCCAACCAACACCAACTCCCATCTTGATTAAATGAAACATCCCATTCTACAGAGTAAATAAAAGCCTTTATGTAGTATGTCCCCTTTAATTATTCTATCCCCTCTTGTTAAGCCACAGGTTTGAAATGAAAAGTCTTTACTGTTCCCCTTAAGGAAATGTATTTCTCTTCTTCAGTGCTCTGCCAGATTGGGACACAGGAGATAACTGAAAGCCCTGGTGGATAGATTTGGTCATACTGGTTGGAGAAAAGAGGGATATCTAGGGAAAGCATTGGACTGTTTCACAGTCATTACTTATGACACTCAATAGTGATTCAGGTAAGCAGTTTAAGGATAAGCAATAAAAATATTCACATGATTTGATATAAATGGGTTATATTTTTGGAGAGAGGCAATTCCAACTCACATGGGCCATGACTTAACATTCCAAGTCCACCAGTCCTTCTCTGGATTCTTTCTTGGTGAGGCAGCGTGCTGGGAAAGCAGAGCTAGAAGGAAAGAATCACAAGGTCAGGCCTTTCTCAGAGCTCTCAAAGGGACAAATAGGAAATGCCATTTTCTTCCTTGGAGGTAAGTCAGAAGGAACCTGAAGAAATCCTGGCCCTATCCAAAACCAGAGAGATTCAACAAAAGCAGGATGAAGTTTCAGTCGAATCACTTATGCCAAAATCATGATCTGGATCAGGATACTACTAGATAAGTCAATTCTGGCTTGCCCTAAATTCATACATACCTACATTAACATTTATCCTCAAGCCGCCTATGAATGTCAGTTAATTGTCTCATTTAAAACATCTGGAAATGGGTCACTTGCTCAAATTCACTATTAGGAAATATCATAGGTTTGCTGAATGCAAAGCTTGTTACTTTGAATACTGTATCCTACCCTCTGGATTTCAGAATTTCTTATTTTATTGAGTGAAGGATGAGCTGGGCCTTTCCCTTATAGGAGCAGCCCATGATCTCTGCCTCCTGTGTTTTCATTGACAGTGAGCATCAGGGTGGCTTTTTCATGAAGGGAACCCAAAGATGGAAGGAAGGCTGGATTGGGCGAGTAGTCAGTGTTGTGAAGCACGAACTTTTATTAAAAAAATATATTGGCCGGGCGTGGTGGCTCTCGCCTGTAATCCCAGCACTTTGGGAGGCGAGGCGGGCAGATCACGAGGTCAGGAGATGAAGACCATCTTGGCCGACATGGTGAAACCCCGTCTCTACTAAAAATACAAAAATTAGCCAGGCATGGTGGCGCATCCCTGTAATCCCAGCTATTCGGGAGGCTGAGGCAGGAGAATCGCTTGAACCCAGGAGTTGGAGGTTGCAGTGAGCCGAGATTGCACCATTGCACTCCAGCCTGGCGACACAGCGAGACTCGGTCTCAAAAAAAAAAAATTATATATAGATAATTTTATAATTATCTATAATTATATATATAATAAAAATTATATATATATATGCCTCTCTGAATCTAGCTTTGCACTTAGCACAAGGGAATCAGATAAATAAGTTGCAAGACCTACTATCAAGGAATTCACAGTCAGAAAAGTAAGCAGCAATTACAATACTGTAGGAAATAAAGGTAATCATGGTTATGAAAGGAGCCAACTAGTTCTAAGGAGCCCAAACCAAAACTAGTTTTTAACAGAAAATTTCCTATAGGAAATGGTACTTCAGCTGACTCTTGAGGGGCTGTTCTGTGTGGGAAATGCGCGAGGGGAGAAGAAAAGACACACAATACCTTTAAGGGTAAACAACCTTTATCCCACATAAATGGCAATGCAGATATAATAAGCAAATGATATAATAAGCAAATTGCAATGGGAAGAGAAGGGAAAATATATGTACATACATAGATATATATGTGTGTTGTGTGTGTATGTGTGTATATATGTGTGTGTGTGTATATATATACACATACACACACACACACACACACACACATATATATATATATATATATATATATATATATATATACACTTACCAAACTATAAGCATTCACCACCAGACTGGGAAGCAACAGCCTGGGCTCCAGAGTCAGACACTACACCCAGCAGACTATGGAGGATTCACCACCAGACCGGGAAGCAACAGCCTGGGCTCCACAGTCGGCCACCCATCCGTGCACAGGCGAGGAGAGGTCTCATGAAGCTTTGGTGCAGTCTGGGAGCTTAGCTCTTTTTGTAACAAGTTGTTTGGCATGAGGCCCAGTCACAAGGGCCCTTCCTGACTGGGCTCAAGGAACACAAAAAGTTCAACCTGTTTTTGCGATTGTCTATTGTTTTTCAATGACTAATGTATAGGAATAGATTGAAATAGAGAATTCTCCGAAACAGCACTGGATGAACGCTTCAAGGGGCTCACACAACCTGTTCCAGGACTTGGTGACCATTGTTTGTGTCCATGTTCAATTGAGTTCAAATTTAATATTTAACTTTTCCTCCACAGGGGCTCACCAGAGAAGACAGGGCAAGGTGAGGGGGATCTCCTAGCAGAGGAAACAACATGCGCCAATCAAGCAAAGATATTTTTGTGCATTCAAGGAACACAGAGAGGAAAGACAGTGGCAGATGGAGACGTATAAAGCAGGGATCCTGTTATGAAAAGCCCTAAAAAATAGGGTATAGAGTTTGGGCCATATTTCAGAGGTAATAAGAAAGCATTCTGCATTTTTAAAGTAAGGTTTAAAAATGTTTCTAATTAGAGATACAGCAAAGTTGGTGTGAGAGGATAAAGACTGATATACATAATCTGAGGAGTTCATGAAAATTCCATGTAAAGCCTGTAGTATGAATTGGTCCTAGGAGACAGACAGCTTCAGGGGCATAGAGAACTTTAAGCACTTTTCCAAGAAGAGTGAAGGGCTGGAGAATAAATTGTGAACTAAAATATATTTTGTGTTTGAGAACATGAAGTACTTGAGAGTGATTATTACACGGTTTTAAGAAAAAACTAGTTCTTTTAAATAAAACTTTTTTTTAGCTGAGCACAGTGGCTCACGCCTGTAATCCCAGCACTTTGGGAGGCCGAGGCAGGCGGATCACCTGAGGTCGGGAGTTCGAGATCAGCCTGACCAACATGGACAAACCTCGTCTTAATTAAAAATATAAAATTAGCCGGGCATGGTGGCACATGCCTGTAATCCCAGCTACTCAGGAGGCTGAGGCAGGAGAACTGCTTGAACCTGGGAGGCGGAGGTTGCGGTGAGCTGAGATCGTGCCATTGCACTCCAGCCTGGGCAACAAGAGCAAAACCCCTTCTCAAAAAAAAAAAAAAGGAAAAAAAAATTTTTAGGGACAGTGTCTCAAACTGTCAGTCATGCTGGAGTAGAGTGGTGCAATCACAGTTTACTGTTGCCTCAAACTGCTAGGCTGAAGCGATCCTTCCACCTCAGTCTGCTGAATAGGGTGGGACTACAGGAATGCACCACTGTGCCTGGCTAATTTATTTTATTTTTGTCGAGACGGGGTCCGCTATGTTGCCCAGGCTGTTCTCAAACTCCTGGCCTCAAGAAATACTTTCCCACCTTGGCCTCCCAAAGTGCTGGAATTACAGGTGTAGGCCACCATGTCCAGCCAAAAACTAATTCTAATCCTGATATTCCTCCTCCTGGAAACCATGTAGACAGAAACAAGAAAATCAAAGTAAATCCCAACCATCAGGAAACAGAAAATGAACAGATTCCAAATTATTTGGAGATGTGAAAAGAAAATGAAAGAACAATGTCTGTGGAAGCCACAGTGATGCTACAAAGAAAAACAAATGAGGAATATCCATTCCCATGGGGAGTAGACCATATCCTGAATGAAAGTTTCTGTGAGCAGGAATGATGTCAAAAGGAGGTGGTAAAAGGAGGCCCGAAGATGTCAGGGGGATTCAAGGTGGCAAAACACATTGGTTGTATTTTTTTTTTAAAGCTTTATTGAAATATAATTCACATACCATACAATTAAGCCATTTACAGTGAACAATTCAATGGTTCTTAGTATATTCACAAATACGTGCAACCACAGTCAATGTTAGAATATTTTCATCATTTCGAAAAGAAACTCTAACCCTTTGGCTATCACTCCTTGGCTTCCCCACTGCCACATGTGCCCCATACTTAGCCTCAAATAATGACTAATCTACTTTCTGACTCTATGGATTTTCCTATTCTGGACTTTCATATGAATGGAATAACATATGTGGACTTGTTACTGGCTTCTTTCACGTAGCATAAGGTTCTCAAGGTTTATCCAAATTGTAGCATGAATCAGTACTTCATTCCTTGCTATGCCTGAATAATATCTCTGCAAATGAATAGACCACCTTTTGTCTACCCATTCGTCTATTAATGGACATTTGGGTTGTTTCCACCTTTTGACAATTACTATTATTTTTGAGATGAAGTTTCGCTCTTGTTGCCCAGGCTGGAGTGCAATGGCACGATCTCGACTCACCACAACCTCCACCTCTGGGGTTCAAGTGACTCTCCTGCCTCAGCCTCCCGAGTAGCTGGGATTACAGGCATGTACCACTATGCCCAGCTAATTTTGTATTTTTAGTAGAGACGGGGTTTCTTCATGTTGGTCAGGCTAGTCTCAAATTCCCGACCTCAGGTGATCCGCCCGCCTCGGCCTCCCAAAGTGCTGGGATTACAGGCCTGAGCTACCATGCCCGGCTGACAATTATTTTTAAAATGCTGCAATGAACATTCATGTAAAAGTTTTTGTTTGAATATCATCTATTTTGTAGTTTTCAGAGTATAAGTTTTATTTTCTATATAGAAAATCATGCCATCTGCAAATAGAGATGCTCTTAGCTGTGTTCCGTTCTTTTCTCCAGTGTCTTTTATTTCTTTTACTTCCCCATTTGCCCTAGCCCAATTGCCAGTACAATGTTAAACAGAAGTGGGGATCCTTGTCTGGTCCCTGATCTTAGAGGGAAGACATCCAGTCTTTTACCATTAAGTGTGATGTTGGCTGTGGGTTTTTCCTAGATATCAGGTTGAATTCCTCTTTATTCCTAGTTTGTAGAATGTGTATGTTTTAAAAAAAATCATAAAGGGTATTGGCTCTGGTCAAATGCCTTATCTCTATCTATTGAGATGATTGTGTGATTTTTGTTTTTTTATTCTATTGATATGATGTATCACATTAACTGACTTTTGATGGTGAGCCAACCTTGCATTTCTGGGATAAATCCCACTCAGTCATGTTATATAATTCATTTTAGATGTTACTGGATTTGGTTTGCTACTACTTGTTGAGGATTTTTACACCCATATTCTTATGAGATATACTTTGTCTCGTTTCAGTATCTGGGAAATACTGGCCTCATAAAATGAGCTGGGGACTTGGCTGTATTCCTTAATTATAGTAGAAGACACTGGGTGAACTCAGAGCTGATAATAGGAGTCCTCCTGAACCAGTTGAGCTTCTGAATGGTAAAGAAGGCCTGGCTATTCAAAGGGAACCAAATTTTAAAAAAATTGTCTTCTACTGGGGTAACAGAGGAAGAAACCCTTGAGCAAAAAAACCTTAAAAACTACCCTTGCCCCATTCACTTTTTTCACATGAAAATACCAGTGACAGCTATTCCAGGAAAATCTATTACATCCTCTCCAAAATATAAATTAGATATAACATGCGTAAGATAGTTAGATAAAAGTTTTAGGCTGGTGCAGTGGCTCACGCCTGTAATCCCAGCACTTTGGGAGGCCAAAGCGGGCGGATCACGAGGTCAGGAGATCGAGACCATCCTGGCTAACATGGTGAAACCCTGTCTCTACTAAAAATACAAAAAATTAGCCAGGTGTGGTGGCATGTGCCTGTAGTGCCAGCTACTTGGGAGGCTGAGGCAGGAGAATCACTTGAACCTGGGAGGCAGAGGTTCCAGTGAGCCAAGATCACGCCACTGCACTTCAGCCTAGCAACAGAGCAAGACTCCATCTCAAAACAACAACAACAACAACAACAAAAAACACACAAAGTTTTAAAAGTGTGTCAAAATCCCCCATGTACAAAAAAACTCACTAAAAAAATCAGAGAAGATGAAAATCATCACCCAACATTTCAGTCTGAATTAAAAAAAAAGTATGATGCAATTGCAGCTCTAAAAGCAGACCACAAGCAAAAATATACGATCTCAGGAGAGAGAAGAAAGTAATAGATAGACCATAGATGGGAGTTAGTGGAATTCAAGACTGAAAGAGAAAATAGGCTAAGTCACATCAGAAATGAAGAATAAACTAGCTAGTGCAGCGGCATGTGCCTGTGGTCCCAGCTACTTGGGAGACTGAGTCTAGAAGATTGCTTGAGTCCAGGAGTTCAAGGTTGAGGCCAGCCTGGGCAACACAGTGAGACCCCCATCTCTAGGCGCATAAGATCTGACAAATGCCACAGAAAGTATAGTATGGAACACAGAATACAGAAATTAATGAACAGAACAAAATTTAACAAAGAAACAAAAATCATTTGAAGAAATGAAAATGAAAAGAGAGATCCAATATGCAAAACGCAGAGCACCTAAAAATGAAATCCAAATTAAGAGGATATATCTAAAACGATGGTTGTAGCTGTGTATCTAACACTACAGTTTTAATACTCAAGATGAATTTCCTGAAATAGAGTATAAATAAACGTGATGAAAAGTGAAACCATATTACAGGTGAAAATGAACCAAAATAGTAGCAAAACATGACCTAATAAAATTAGACTAAAACTCATGGGGAATCAAGATAAAAATATCAAATATAAGAAAAAGGAAATTCAATTGTCATCAGACTTCTGCAGTGCTAAATTCAGTACCCCAAACAGTGGGGTAAATCTTCCAATATACTTGTGAAAAAAACAAATGAGGGAGTCAAAACATTTTTATATCCAGCCAAGCTGTCATTCGAGTATAAAGGATATAAGGAGTTTTATGATGCAACTTAGGAAATACTGTTGACATGCGCTGTTTCAGAAGAAGCTACTAGAAGACATACTCCAGCCACAAAAGAACAATAGTGAAAGTTTCAGCAAAAGAATAGTAGTGATGCTGAACATATTTAAATGCAAATCTAAATAAAATAGTAAAAGCGGAATTATGGTAGCCAGCATCCTGGATGGCCCCAAAGGTACCCAGTATGTGGTATTCACAACACTGTGTAGCTGCCTCCTATACTGAATAGGATTAACTTGTATAGCAATAAGGTACTGCGGAAATGATAGAGTATGAGATAGATATAAAAGACACTGTGGCTTCCAGCTTATGCGTTCTTGCTGTCCTTTTGCTCTGGAGAAAACCAGTTGACGTATCACAGGGACACTTAAGAAACCCCATGGAGAGGTCTACATGGTGAGAAACTGAAGTCTATTGCCAATAGCCATGTGAGAGCCACGTTGGAAGGTGATCCTCTAGTCCCTGTTATGCCTTCAAATGATAGCAGCCCTGGCCAAGAGTGTGACTGCAACCTCAAGAGACCCCAAGCCAGAACTTCCCAGCTAAGCCACTCCTGAACTCCTGGTCCACAGAAAATGGTGTTAAGATAATAAATATTTATTTCTGTTTTAGGGTAATATGTTTTACAGCAATAGATAACTAATATAGAAATGAAGGTTAGAGAATAGAAAATAGACTAGCTCATTGATTGCCTCATTTGTGATAACTGAGAGATAAAGGGTGTCATTTCAAGCTGAAAATCAAGGGGAAGAAATTTAGAAATGTTTAGGACTACAGCCAAGGCAGGAGGACTGCCTTGAGGCCAGGAGTTTGAGGCCAGATTAAGCAAAAGAATGAGACCTTCTCTAAAAAAAAAAAAAAAATGAATACAAATGTAAGTCAAACAGGGCAAAATGTCAATTAAATTTCAACATACAAGCAAAAAGTAGGAAATTTAAAATGACAGCACTTAGCAGGAAAAATTCAAATTCCTATAAATAAATCTAACAATATATGTAACATACAATATCTTTTGTTTGTTGGTTTGTTTTTGAGACAGAGTCTCGCTCTGTCACCCAGGCTGGAGTGCAGTGGCACAATCTCGGCTCACTGCAACTTCCGCCTCCCGGGTTCAAGTAATTCTCCTGTCTCAGACTCCCGAGTAGCTGGGACTACAGGCACCAGCCATCATGCCCAGCTAATTTTTGTATTTTTAGTAGAGACAGAGTTTCACCATATTGGTCAGGCTGGTCTCGAACTCCTGACCTCAGGTGATCCACCTGCCTCAGCCTCCCAAAGTGCTGGGAATACAGGCATGAGCCACCGCACCTGGCCTGTACAATGTCTTTATATTAATTACTACAAATAGTTAAAGAAGACCTAAACAAATGAAATAATTTATCACATTCATGGGATGAAAGGCTGATAATTTTCAAGGTGTCAGTTTCCCCAATATAGTGGTATAGGAAGCTTAAAAGTAAAAGGATAGCAAAAGATATACCATGCAAATCATAATCAAAATAATGCTTAGGTGGCTATAATATCAAGACACCATAGATTTCAGAGCAAATAAATAACATGGAAGAAAGGATGGTCTTGAATACATGGTGCCAGGTCAACTGAATTTATATGAGGAAAACAAATCATGATTTCCCCTCACGACACAAAAATCAATTCCAGGTTTATATACCTACATGTGACAGATAAATATAGATGAAAATACAGAATATCTTCATACCTTGGGGATAAGCAAAGATTTGAATAAGATACAGAGTACAAACCATAAAAGAAAAATGATAATGATCAGACTACATTTTAAAAAGCAATTTTTGTTCATCAGAAAAGAGTGAATGGGCTGGTCATGGTGGCTTATGCCTGTAATTCCAGCACTTTGGAAGGCTGAGGCGGGTGGATCATCTGAGGTCAGGAGTTCGAGACCAGCCTGACCAACATGGAGAAACCTTGTCTCTTACTAAAAATACAAAATTAGCCAGACATGGTGGCGCATGCCTGTAATCCCAGCTACTCAGGAGGCTGAGGCATGATAATCACTTGAACCGGGGAGGCAGAGCTTGCGGTGAGCCGAGATCGCACCATTGCATTCCAGCCTGGGCAACAAGAGCGAAACTCCATCTCAAAAAAAAAAAAAAAAAAAAAAAAGACAGTGAGTAAAAATGCAAACCTTACGCTAGGAGACGATATATACAATACACAAAGCTGACAAGGGACTCATTCAGATTATACAAAGAACTCTTAAGGATTAACAATGAAAGACAAGTTTCCCAACAGCTAGGCTAAGAACTTGAACTGGCACTTCCCAAAGGAAGATATCCAAATGGACAATGCACATTAAAACAAAGGTATTCAAGTTCCTTAGTCATCAGTTAGGAAAACCACAATGCAATACCACTACATATCCACCATATTGGCAAACATTTTACAGTCTGACAATGCCATGTGTTAACAAGAAGATGGATCAATTGGAACTTGCATAAACTGTTGATGGGAACTTTTAACTGGTTCAGCCATTTTGGAAAACTGACAGTATCTGCTTGAGGAGATTCACATACTCTTACTCACCAATTCCTCTCCTTGGAATAACCCAATAGAAATGCATACATGTAAACACAAAATGACAAGTGCAAGAATGCTCTCTTCCTGATTATTCATGAGAATAACGTATTGTCTGTATATATGATAAACTTCAATAAAAAGACTAGGAAGAAATACAGCATATTACAAGGCAAATACAAACAAAAAAATAAGCAGAGGCCATGATCTTGAGCATGCTAAAGCCTGCAATTCATAATAAACATATAACAATCATTAATATCTGTATATCAAAGCAACAACAACTTTCATAAAGCAAAAGTTACAGGTTATATAAAATAAAATTTTGGCTGTGCACGGTGGCTCACACCTGTAATCCCAGCACTTTGGGAGGCCAAGGTGGGCAGATCACAAGGTCAGGAGTTCAAGACCAGCCTGGCCAATGTGGTGAAACCACGTGTCTACTAAAAATACAAAAAAAATTAGCCGGGCATGTTGGCGCATGCCTGTAGTCCCAGCTACTCAGGAGCCTGAGGCAGGAGAATTGCTTGAACCAGAAGTTGCGGTAAGCCGAGATCCCACCACTGCACTCCAGCCTGGGCGACAGAGGGAGACCCCGTCTCAAAAAAAATAAAATAAAATAAAATAAAATTTCATTAATACACCTCTCTCAATCCAAGACAAATCAAGTGTAAGGCAAAAAGTAAGTATAGACTGACCAGATGTTAGATCACAAATAAAAGTTCACTAAGTTCCAAAGTTTAAAAATAACACAATATAGCAAAACTGTAAATTATATTATTGGTGAAGTGGGGACCTATGTACTTTACTGGAAGTCTTCAACATAATCAACAGAGGTTGAGGTCCCCTTATGTCACAGGGATCAAGACTCCTCCACAACACTGAGGCCAAGACACTACACCACTGTATTAGTTTTCTACTGCCATGAGGTAGTGGCTTAAAATAATACAAATCTATTATCATATAGTTCAGTAGAAGTCTGAGTTGGGTCTTACTAGGCTAAAATCAAGGTGTTGGTAGGGCTGTGTTCCTTTCTGGAAGCTCCAGGGGAGAATTCGTTTTCTTATGTTTTCCAGCTTCTAGAGGCCACCAACATTCCTTGGCTTAAGGCCCACTTCCTCTATCTAGTAAGCAATGTGGCATCTCTCTGACCATTCTTCTGCGGTCACATCTCCCTCTGACTTTAAACTCAGCCAGGAAAGGTTCACTGACTTTAAGGACCCATGTCATTATATTAGTCCAACAAGATAATCGCCCCCATTTCAAGGTTCTTAACTTTATCCCCTTTGCAAAGTCCTTTTTGCCATATAAAGTAGCATCGTCCTAGTTTCCAGGGATTAGGAAGTAAACATTGGTTGCAGGGCCATCATTCTGCCTACCTTGACCCCCCTTCTATCTTAAGCTTCCTTCTTTCTGAGAGATACTCAGTGAAGGAAATAATGTATACAGTGGTCCATTTCCAAGACAAAATGCCTTGAATTGGCTTAGGTAAGCAAACTACAGAAGAAACAGGATATACTAGGCCCCTGCTTGGATAGATGATGCCTGCTTGTCAGCCTCCCGCTTTCTCCCTTTCCCCCACTTAGTTGCCTTCACCCAAACCAAAGAAGTTTAGTCTAAGATGAAAGTTTGCTAGCCTGCAAAATAGCTCATTTTGTCTGCTTTTATCAGCCTGCCCAGCTGCTTAGGTCATAAGTCAACTATTGAAGAGACCTTGAGCTAACTAGGATTGCAGTGCATTGTGGGCCGCAACCAAATGCAGCAAGACAAGCCTAAAAAAAAAACACACACACACACCGGCTGGGCGCGGTGGCTCACGCCTGTAATCCCAGCAGTTTGGAAGGCCGAGGCGGGCGGATCACAAAGTCAAGAGATCGAGACCATCCTGGCCGACACGGTGAAACCCCATCTCTACTAAAAATAGAAAAGTTAGCTGGGCGTGGTGGCACGCACCTGTAGTCCCAGCTACTCGGGAGGCTGAGGCAGGAGAATCCACTTGAACCTGGGAGGCGGAGGTTGCAGTGAGCCGTGATTGCACCACTGCACTCCAGCCTGGTGACAGAACAAGACTCTGTCTCACAAAAATCAAAAAACAAAACACCTGAAGCCCCTACCCAACAATCAATAGGCAACATCCGGGAAGATTGTGACCCCATAGTTATCAGCCTATGAGGAACCAGGGGAGGAACCTGTGCACTAGGGGATAAATTGCTTGTTGAAACTGTTGGGTGTGCCTATCAGACACTGATCTTGCAAGACCATCATTAAAAGTCTCACTTTTGCTGTTCTCCGGGTCTCTGAGTCCATTCTTTGGGACGGGTAAGTTTGTTTCTCACACTCAAGAAATCATCTTTCACTATCCCACGCTATCTCTCCAAAACTGACTTGAATCCAACCAGAATAAATGTCAATCCAACCTTGTATTTATATTTATCTACTATAAGAAGTCCCAGAATTTCTAGTCAACTGTCTTTTCGGACATTGTATACCATCAAGTCTCATTTGTCCCCTTTTCTCATTCTTCCCAACTTTCAACACTTTTCCTGTATGCCTTCATAATGGAATTCATAATTCATTAACAACCAACTCCTCTTTTATCTTCAACCACTTCCTTGAACACGCCCTAACATTCTGAGTCTAACAGAAACTAGGCTGTATCTGGAGGACTCTGCAGCCCTCTCAACATTTCCCCAGCTACAGCCTCTTACCAGTGGGTCTGAAAATGGAACAGATGGCCGGCCTCCTTGTTGTTCACTACCTTCAGACCTTTCTTCCTCCCTCCACAAACTCTAGTTTTGAATTTCCTGCCATGAGATTGTATATAACTCACCACATCTCACTTTTGTTGACCTCTACCAAACACAGGGTATTTTCCCCCTATATCTGAAATCTTCAGCTCATGGTTTACTCTCTGCAGCGCGATTACCCTTTTCTATTTTTTTTAATTCTTGCATTTTTAACTACACCCACACAGATGAGCCTTGTTTACTTACCCTTGCCTGGACTTTTCCCCCCTCTCGTGGCTCATTTCCAACAACATGTTGATGGGTGGTTGTTCCCCAGCCGTCTTCCCCAGCCCTCTACCCCAACCTGCTGCTCCATTTCTCTGCTCTAATTTACGGAGAAACTCTTGAACTATGTTGTCTACACTGTGTCCCATTCTTCTCCCCTCCTTCTAGGTTGCCCCCACTCCAATCCAGCTACGGGCCAGCACAAAAACTGCTCCCCACACATTCACGAAGGACTATGCCTGTCACTCAACGCAAAGCTCAATTCTTTGTTTTTGGCCCCATAGCGGCTGCTATCACCACCTTTACGAACGTGGTCACGCACAACGCGACGCAGTCATAATCACGTACATACAGTCACATTTAAATAGTCCATTAGGGTCACACACAGCGCCTGTCAACGTCGTGTGCGCGTGCGCGCACACACACACACACACACACATACACACACACACACACAAGCTCCCGTCGCGGCCCCAGCTCCTGCATCAATTTCACTCTCGCATCCACTGCTCCCATCGCGATCGCTCGCCCCCACGCTCCCTCGCCGGCAAAGCCACCAACTCCAAAGACATTAGCACCTCACTCCCCTCAGCCCCGGCCTCGGGCCCTCCGGAGTCATTCGGCTTCTGTGTCTCGGAATCACTCACCCGGCCCTGCGGTCCCTTGATGGTGGAAGGTTCCGCGATCTTTCTATTAACCCTAAAGGGACAGAGGGCTGACAGGAAGTTGCCCGGGGAACGGTGCACTCTGGGAAATGTAGTCCGGAGCCTGGGCCGTCTTTAACTGCCCCGGACACCGCGGTCACCATTAACGGACCCTGCATTTGAGCCCCATCCCCTCGCTGGGCAAAGACCATCGCCCACACACCGCTCACATCTGCTGCCGAGAGCTTCCAGAATTCCAGGCCGCGTTTAGGAAGCTTCAGCGGAGGCATGCAGGCTGCCCTACCTCTGCAAAAGGCTCCCAGCCCTGGGAACAGGACAGTAAGCCCAGGCCATCTTAGGCTGGAAGTAACCTTGGTCCCGACGGCCCTGGGAAATGTAGTCCAGAGCCTGGAACACTGCAGAAATGCCCCGGGGGGATGGTGCGATGGTTTTCAGTAGGAGCTCGCTGCGTGGGCCTCTGACCTATGTGGCATGGCGGGAAAGTCCTACAAGACTGTGCCAAGCGAGTGGCGAGTCTGTCCCGTCTCTGCCCGAGCCTCGGCCCGGCTGGGTGGACACCTCTTGTCCCACAAGTACCAGCCTGGGATAGAACGAAGGGGAAACGATCCATGGGACACAGCTACATGCCCAGCCCTATAGGGGTACCCTGTCTGGGAATCCATGAGAACTCTTCCTAATACCTTATTCCCATCCTCCAATCGCCCTTAAAGTGTTTGGTTTCAATTAATGTTTATAGTAACATTAGTACTGTTTTGTAAATTCCATTCATGCCATTCTTTTTGCTGAAGTACACACTTGCCAGTTTTCATTTGCTTCTCTTTTAGATGTACATCATTTCAATCTACATCTAAACTTTCTGACAGAGGAGTAATTTTTTTCAGTACTTTCAAACTTATCAGGTAACTAAAATAGTTGTTTCTTTTTTTATTGTGAAACAGAAAATACTTGAAGTGCATAAAATGTGTAAGTTCAGTATAACTCCACACAAGTGTTGGTATCTCAAGAACAAATGCCCATTCTATGTGATCATTTCTCTTTTTGTTTGTTTGTTTGTTGTTTTTTTTGAGACAGGGTCTGGCTTTGTCACCCAGGCTGGAGTACAGTGGCACGATCTAGGCTCTCTGCAACCTCTGCCTCCCTGGCTCAAGTGATCCTCCCACCTCAGCCTCCAGAATAGCTGGGACTACAGGTGTGTGCCATCACACTCAGCTAATTTTTATAGAGACAGGGTCTCGCCATGTTGGCCAGGCTGGTCTCGAACTCCTGGGCTCAAGTGATCCTCCCAAGTAGGCCTCACAAAGTACTGGCATTACAGGCATGAGTCACTGCACATAACCTGTGTGATCATTTCTGATACCCAGCTCCAGCTCCAGCTGATCTTTAGGGTATTAATAATATCTTGGCTCTTTAATAGTTTTAATCTCTCAGCTGGACGCGGTGGCTCACGCCTGTAATCCCAGCACTTTGGGAGGCTGAGGAGGGTGGATCACCTGAGGTCAGGAGTTCGAGACCAGCTTGGCTAACATGGTAAAACCCTGTCTCTACTAATAATACAAAAATTAGCTAGGTGTGGTGGTGCATGCCTGTAATCCCAGCTACTCTGGAGGCTGAGGCAGGAGAATCGCTTGAACCCAGGAGGCAGAGGTTGCAGTGAACCAAGATCACACCACTGCACTCCAGTCTGGGCGACAAGAGCGAAACTCCATCTCAAAAAAAGAAAAAAAAGTTTTAATCTTGCTGTGAAATGTATATAAATGCAATCAAATTGTACAAATTTTCTGTCTTGATTAGTTGTTAAACTCCTAACTGGATTAACCGAAAACCCCATAGTAAAGGCCTTACAGAAGGAAAGGTATGCCCATCCAGCCATCAACATCATTTTCCTGGTACTACTGGCAGGGGACCCCAAGACCAACCACTACACGCCCAAGCTCTGATGATTCACTGGGAGGCTCACAGTGAAGTGATACAAAAGAAAATCAGTAAAGAAAAAAGCGCATGGGGCAAAGTCCAGGGGAAACCAGGTGCACACTGCGAAGGGTTCTTTCCCAGTAAATTTATATGGGATTTATTTGTTCCCCAGCAGTGAGTTGTGACAATACATGTGAGATGTTACCAATCAGGGCAGTTTATTATAGATTCAGTGCCCTATGTTTTTATTGGGGGCTGGTCACATAGGCAGTCTGTGCCTAACACATACCAGAATTTCAAATTCCCAGAAGGAAAGCGGGTGTTTAACATAAACCATACTGTTTGTACAAAAAGTTTAGGCATAGTAAGCCACTTATTAGGAAGGTGGGAACCAATCTGAAATTCAAGTTCTAGATGCAAGCCAAAGACTAACCTCGCATATCAGGCCTTTCTAAGGATAAGTAGTCTCAGACCTGCTATGTTAACTAATTTCTGCTCACTACTGTCCTAAAGATGTATGGTTTTCAGCAACATCAAATTACAAGACACATGAAAAGGCAAGAAAAATCATGACACTCAAGACATAAAAGCAAAAAGCAACAACAAACAAATAGAGGTAGACTCAGGTAGGATCTCCCCAGGAGCTTGAGGCTGCAGTGAACTGTGATTGCACCACTGCACTCTAGCCTGGGCAACAAAGCAAGACCCTACCTCAAAAATTAAAAGAAAAGAAAAAGATATGATGTAGATGTTGGAACTATCTAAAAAGGAATTTAAAATATTATTAATATTTTCAAAGCTTTACCATAATGTTTTTCAACCAGAGGTGATTTTGTTCTCCAGGAGATATACAGCACAGTATGAAGTTCTTGGTAGTCACAACTGGAGAGGTACAATTTGCATTTAGAGGACAGAGGTCAGGGAAGCTGCTAAATACACTACAAGCACAGGATAGCTTGCCACAACAAAGAATTATCCAGTCCCAAATAATGGTCCAAGGTTGAGATGCCCTAAGTAATCAAGACAGTGTGTTTTTGGTGAAGGACAGAAAGATAGATTAATGGAAGGAACAGGCTGGGCACGGTGGGTCATGCCTGTAATCCCAGCACTGTGGGAGGCCAAGGCAGGTGGATCGCATGAGGTCAGGAGTTTGAGACCAGCCTGGCCAATGTGGTGAAACCCCATCTCTACTAAAAATACAAAAATTAGCTGGGTATGGTGGCTCGTGCCTGTAATCCCAGCTACTCAGGAGGCTGAGACATGAGAACCTCTTCAACCTGGGGAATGGAGGTTGCAGTGAGCTGAGATGACACCACTGCACTCCAGCCTGGGCAACAGAGCAAGACTCCATCTCAAAAAATATATATATATATTTTTAGGCCAAGGCAGGCGGATCACCTAAGATCAGGAGTTCAAGACCAGCCTGTCCAACATGGCGAAATCCCATCTCTACTAAAAAATACAAAAATTAGCTGGATGTGGTAAGGCAGGGAGAATTGCTTGAACCCAGGAAGTGGAAGTTGCAGTGAGCCGAGATCACACCACTGCACTGCAGCCTGGAGGACATAGCAAGACTCCATCTCGGGGTGGGGGGTGGGGGGAGGGGAGAAGTTATTATTATTTTTTTTTGTAGAGACAAGGTTTCACTATGTTGCCCTGGCTGGTCTCAAACTCCTGGCCTGAAGCGCCCCTCCCGCCTCTGCCTCCCAAAGTGCTTGGATTACAGGCATGAACCACCACTCCTAGCCTATAAAACTTTTTTAGGAACACATAAAAGAAAGTGTACATGACCTGCAGTTAGATGAAGGGTTCTTAGACATGACAACAAAAGCACAATCCATAAAAGAACAACTTGATATACTGGACTTCATAGAAAATGTAAACGTCTGCTATTGAAGTAACACCGTTAAGGAGAAAGACATGGGATAGATTGGGAGAAAATATTTGTAAATCATATATCAGGCAGAGGACTTGTATCCAGAATATATAGAGAACCTTCAAAACTCAACAAGTAAACAAATAACCTCAAGCTTAAAATGTGCAAAGGGCATAAACGGAAATAAAAAGATAGATACCAGGAAAAAATATTATAAAATGTGCCTATATGAGATTTATAAATCACTAATTTCCACCATATATAAAGTGCTCATACATTTCAATAAAAGTGAATAATATTTCTAGAATTTAAAAAATTAGTATTATAGTGAGACAGACAAAGGAAACATAGTTCATGGAAATAATAAGTTTTAAATATTTAAAAAGGTATTCACCTTCATATCCAATGAAACAAAGTTAATAATATAGTCAGAATGAAACTATAAAAGTCACTTTAGGGATACAATGGAGTGGCTTGCAGCAAACCAGTATTCCTGCAGAAAACTAAAAAATCAGATATAATACAAAAAAAAAAAACACAAAGCTTTTTAACTTTTTTTTCCTGTATGAAAAAGACATGAGGGGCTGGGCGCGGTGGCTCATGCCTGTAATCCCAGCACTTTGGGAGGCTGAGGCAGGTGAATCACAAGGTCAGGAGTTCGAGAGCAGCCTGGCCAACATGGTGACACCCTGTCTCTACTAAAAATACAAAAAATTAGCTGGGCGTAGTGGCGGATGCCTGTAATCCCAGCTACTCAGGAGGCTGAGGCAGGAGAATCGCTTGAACCCAGGAGGTGGAGGTTGCAGTGAGCCAAGATCGCACCACCACACTCCAGCCCTGGCAACAGTGAGACTCCATCTCAAAAAAAAAAAAAAAAAAAAGACATGAAGGAGTGTTTGGGACAACCAGGAATAGCGTAGTCAAGACTATAGATTGTAGGTAATCACAGACATTGTGCAGCCACATTTTTCCTGGATTATTTGCCAATTCTTGGCAAAGGGCAGAAGGATCCAGACTGCTAGGACTTTAGTTTTCTGGGCCTAAAAACACAACATTGGAGACTTTATGGGCCAAGATCCCTGTGAGAAAAGAGGGACACAGACTTGAACTCTACATAAGGCTGGTTTTCTTCTCAAGACAGTTACCCATTTCTGAAACTGGTTGGGTCAGGAGGCTCAGGAACTTAGGCGGAAAGCTTCCAAAAAGCAGCAGAGTTTTTGGTAGTCTTGCTGGATTAAGAAGACAAAGATTTTGAGTTCAGGCCCTGTCAGGGGAAGGTGCCTTGGTGAACACACCAGATCCTCCTGAAACCCTGATGGGCTACGTCCTAGGAGCAGGCAAACCAGAAGCACAATGAACCTCCACAACCGTAATGGAGCCCTGACTCAACTCAATCACTGATTAAATGAAGGTCATCAGCCCCTACTTGATCTGCCCAGTAAAGGAAAGGATGAATTCTCTAAAGGAAGATATTATCTGCAGCCTCTACTATTTTTATACACCAGTCCAGAATTTAATTTTAAAAAGTATTAAGCATGCCGAGACAGGACTGTATGACAGAAAACTCTGAAAAAACAAACAGGTCGGCCAGGCACAGTGGCTCACACCTGTAATCCCAGCACTTTGGGAGGCCAAGGTGGGTGGATCACCTGAGGTTGGGAGTTCGAGACCAGCCTGACAAATATGGAGAAACCCCGTCTCTACTAAAAATACAAAATTAGCCGGGCATGGTGGCACATGTCTGTAATCCCAGCTGCTCGGGAGGCTGAGGCAGGAGAGTTGCTTGAACCCAGAGGTGGAGGGTGCAGTGAGCCGAGATTGCACCATTGCACTCCAGCCTTGGCAACAAGAGCGAAACTCCATCTCAAAAAAAAAAAAAAATTAAAAAAAAAAAAAAGGCCGGGCAGGGTGACTGATTCCTGTAATCCCAGCACTTTGGGAATGCCTGGGTGGATTGCTTGAGCCCAGGAGTTTGAGATCAGCCTGGGCAATATGGCAAAACCTCACCTCTATAAAAAAATTAGATGGGTGTGGTGATACATACCTGTGGTCCCAGCTACTTGTGAAGCTGAGGTGGGAGGATCGTTTGAGCCCAGGAGATTGAGGCTGCAGTGAGCTGAAAACACACCACTGTGCTCCAGCCTGAGCAATAAAGCAAGACCCTGTCTCAAAAACAAAACAAAACAAAAAACAAAAAAAAAAAAACCCAAAAAGCCCCCAAACTCCAAACAACAAACAAACAAGCAAACAATAGAAATAGACCAAAATGTGATCCTGGCATTAGAGTAAGTAGGCAAGGACTTTTTAAAAAGATGAAAAGATGAAAAATTACACCAAAGAACTAGTGTACACATTGGTATGTATAATTGAAGTCCCAAAAGAAAAGTAGAGACAGCGTGGAGAAGAACCCTATTTGAAGAGACAATGGCAAGGAATTTCCCAAAACCGATTAAACACAGCAACCATAGATTCAAGAAGTTCACCAAAACTCTGAGAAAAAAAATATATATAACCTAGAATTCTATAGTCAGTAAAAATCTCCTTCAAAAAAGAAAGGATAAAAAGACATTTCAGACAGACCATGAGAATCCATTGCCATCAGAACACCACTAAAAGAAATACTAGGGCCGGGCGCGGTGGCTCACGCCTGTAATCCCAGCACTTTGGGAGGCCGAGGCGGGCGGATCACGAGGTCAGGAGATCGAGACCATCCCGGCTAAAACGGTGAAACCCCGTCTCTACTAAAAATACAAAAAATTAGCCGGGCGTAGTGGCGGGCGCCTGTAGTCCCAGCTACTTGGGAGGCTGAGGCAGGAGAATGGCGTGAACCCGGGAGGCGGAGCTTGCAGTGAGCTGAGATCCCGCCACTGCACTCCAGCCTGGGCGACAGAGCGAGACTCCGTCTCAAAAAAAAAAAAAAAAAAAAAAAAAAAGAAATACTAAATGGAGTTTTTCGAGAAGAACAAGATCTCAGATGAAACAGAAAGAAATTTAGGCCAGGCACAGTGGCTAATACTAGTAATCCCAGCAATCTGGGAGGCCAAGGTGGAGGTTCATTTGCATCTAGGAGTTCAAGACCAGCCTGAGCAATATAGCAAGACTTTGCCTCTACAAAAAATCAAAAATTAGCTGGGCGTGGTGGCGCACACCTGCGGTTCCAGCTACTCAGGAGGCTGAGGTAGGAGGATCACTTGAGCCTGGGAGGTCGAGGCTGCAGTGAGCCATGATCATGCCACTGCACTCAACCTGGGTGACAGAGTCCCTGTTTCCAAAAAAAAAAAAAATTAGTAGGGAAAGAATAGCAATAGAAAGAGTAAGTATGTGAATATAAATGAATATTGACTGCACAAAGTAATATACTGCCCTCTGGGGTTTTGAATGTATGCAGAATTAAATAACAAAAATAAAGCAAAAATGAGGATGGAGGTAAATGGAGTTAAAGTGTCCCAAGGTCCTCTAGCAGTATTGGGGAAATGGTAAAGTCAATAATTTGTCCTAGACTAAAAGAAAGAGGAATGCTGTAATCTTTCAGGTAATCACTAAAAGATTTTTAAAAACATGTACAACAAATTGACAGAAAAAATGGATCCACCTTTGGCTTTGCAGAAAATGACAGTGCAATATGACAGCACAAAGATTTATAAAGAACCTAGATTCTTTTTTTTTTTTTGAGGGGGGTGGTGGGAGACGGAGTTTCACTCTTGTTGCCCAGGCTGGAGTGCAATGGCATGATCTCGGCTCACTGCAACCTCTGCCTCCCGGGTTCAAGCGATTCTCCTGCCTCAGCCTACCCAGTAGCTGGGATTACAGGAATGCACCACCACACTTGGCTAATTTTTGTATTTTTATCAGAGACGGCGTTTCACCATGTTGGCCAGGATGATCTCGAACTCCTGACCTCAGGTGATACGCCCATCTTGGCCTCCCAAAGTGCTTGGATTACAGGCATGAGCCACCACACCTGGCCCCAATCTTATCTTTATCTGGAATATGATATATTTCATTTACACATTCATTGTCCACTTCCCCAACTAGAATGGTATACTCTGTGAGGACAGGAAATCTTGGCTGTTCTGTTCACTGATATTTTCCTAGTGCCTAGAATAGCACCTGGCACAGATAAGGAGCTCAATGAGGCCAGGCGCAGTGGCTCACGCCTGTAGTCCCAGCACTTTGGGAGGACGATGCGGGCAGATCACAAGATCACGAGGTCAGGAGATCGAGACCATCCTGGCTAACACAGTGAAACCCTGTCTCTACTAAAAATACAAAAATTAGCCGGGCATGGTGGCAGGCGCCTGCAGTCCCAGCTACTCGGGAGGCTGAGGCAGAAGAATTCTTGAACCCGGGAAGCGGAGGTTGCAGTGAGCCGAGACAGTGCCACTGCACTCCAGCCTGGGCGACAGAGCGAGACTCCGTCTCAAAAAAAAAAAGAGCTCAATGAATATCTGCTGAATGAAGAAATACAATGGTTGACAGGAACAGGAAATAGGAACTTTCATACATTTCTGGTTGGAATAAAAATTAGTTCACCATTTGTGGAAGGTAAATACTTACATAGCCTCTGTGTTCTAACTGCATTTCCTTAGATTCTCTATTAGTCTATTTGGCACTCGTTCATCAAGAGGCCAATTATATTAACTATATTTTCTTATTTTCTGTATTCTTGATGCTCTGGCATTTGGGGACCTTACCAAAAACAGGGAGAGGCTGCTCCTCTCAGGGCTAATTCCTAAAGATAATCACAGTTTTCCAATGAGCACAGCTTACATATGCAAACCAACCAATCCTGAGTCTATACCTCTCTGATATTGTGATGTAATAAGAAATATGTATTTTGGTCTTTATCCATGCCCATGGTTCTTGGTTCATGGGTCCTAAAACCCTTGTAGTTTCCTAAACAGAGTATTTTCTGTTAAAACACTTGTTCTTAGCCAAGTGCGGTGGCTCACACCTGTAATCCCAGCACTTTGAGAGGCCAAGGCAGGCAGATCATGAGGTTAGGAGTTCAAGACCAGCCTGGCCAACATGGTGAAACCCTGTCTTTACTAAAAATACAAAAATTAGCCGGGTGTGGTGGCGCACATCTGTAATCCCAGCTACTCGGGAGGCTGAGGCAGAATTGCTTGAACCCGGGAGGCAGTGGTTGCAGTGAGCCGAGATTGCGCCACTGCACTCCAGCCTGGGCAATACAGTAAGACTTTGTCTTGGGAAAAAAAACAAAACAAAAAACAAAACAAAAACACTTGTTCTTTTGTCCTTGGTTATGTTCTGAATGTGTTCCCCAAAATTTATATAGTGAAACTTAATCGCCAATGTGTTAGATTAAGAAGTGGAGCCCTTCACGCCTGTAATCCCAGCACTTTGGGAGGCCGAGGCGGGTGGATCACCTGAGGTCAGGAGTTCGAGACAAGCCTGGACAACATGGTGAAACCCCGTCTCTACTAAAAATACAAAAATTAGCCGGGATTGGTGGCATGTGCCTGTAATCCCAGCTACTTGGGAGACTGAGACAGGAGAATCACTTGAACTGGGGAGATGGAGGTTGCAGTGAGCCAAGATCACGTCATTACACTCCAGCCTGGGCGACAAAGAGAGACTCTGTCTCAAAAAAAAAAAAAAGAAGTGGAGCCCTTAGGAGGTGATTAAATTATGAGGGAAGAGCCTACATAGATGGAATTAGTGCTTTCAAAAAAAGGATTGAGGGAATGGGTCCAGCCCTTCAGTACCTTCTGACATGTGGGGACACAGCATTCCTGCCCTGTGGAGGATGCAGCAGCAAGGTCCCATCTTGGAATCAGAGAGCAGACCTACCAGACACCTATCCTGCTGGCATCTCAATCTTGAACTTCCCAGCCTCCAGAACTGTGGGAAATAATTTTCTATTATTTACAAATTACTTTTCAGGTATTTTGCTTCTCAGGTATTTTGCTGTAGAAGTACTAAGGGACTAAGACACTTCAGTTCCTGAAATAGCACCAGAGTAATAAATGTGAAAGATGTCTTTACTGTTCATTAACCAACCCCTTTCAACCACAAGTGAGTTAATGAGGTGAAGTTAGTAAAGCCCCTACATAACCACAGGATAGGGCAACCAAACATGTGATTAGAATGTTGGAAAGTTCTGCCCTACCCCATGACTTCTGGGAAAAGGAAAAGGGCTGAAGGTTGAACTCATCACCAATCGCTGCTGATTTAATTAATCATGCCTACATAATGAAGCCTTCATAGAAACACAAAGGGCTGAGTTCAAACAGCTTATTTCCCGGACTACCCCACAGGCGTTTTCTTTTTTCTGTTTTTTAGGAGACATTGGTGGGGTAAACATACAAAAATGTGATTGCCTCACTCAACCAAGAGCCTTAGCCATAATTAAAAGATGTTCAGATGGAGCTGTACAGGAATGTGATGCTGGAGAACTAGAGCAACAGAGCCACATTAGGTATAGATCGCTTGCCTGTATAGTCCAAATTTTGTTGTTTTTGTTTTTTGGGTCTTTTTGTTTGTTTGTTTGTTGTATTTTGTTTTGTTTTAAGGAGCGGAGAGTTTAATAGGCAAGAAGGAAGGGAGAAGACAGAAGGAAGAAGTTCCCCCATACAGAGATGGGGGTTGGGGGGGTGGTGGCTCCAAAGCCGAAAGAGGAGGTCCCCTTGTTTTTTGGGGGTTTTTTGAGACGGAGTCTCACTCTGTCATCCAGGCTGGAGTGCAGTGGTGCGATCTCAGTTCACTGCAACCTCTGTCTGCCGGGTTCAAGCCATTCTCCTGCGTCAGCCTCCAAAGTAGCTGGGATTACAGGTGCACACCACCACGCCCAGCTAATTTTGTATTTTTAGTAGAGACGGGGTTTCACCATATTGGCCAGGCTGGTCTTGAACTCCTGGGCTCAAGTGATCCACCCACTTCAGTCTCCCAAAGTGCTGGGATTACAGGCGTGAGCCACCGCACTCATGCTTGGTTTTTTTGTTTTGTTTTGTTTGTAGAGAGTATGCTGTTCAGGCTGGTCTCAAACTCCTGAGCTCAAGTGATCCTCCTGCCTCAGCCTTCCAAAGTGCTGAGATCACAGGCATGAACCACCATGCCCGGCCCTTCCTGCCATTGTTAAAAGCTTCAGGATTATATTTTACATCAGCATTTCCTGTTGTCATACACTTCCTGCCATCATATTTCGGCAACCTCTACCACCTCCCAAAGTTTCTAGCTTAAAAAATTATTGATTTCCTCCTAGCTCCCCTTTCTGTCAGTTTTTTAATTTTATATTTGTTTTCAAATGAGTCCTCACATTGATTTTAAAAATTTAACAAGAGTATAGTGAAAAGGAAGTTCCCCTTTCACTATTTATCTTCCCCATATGCATCTATTATGACGGGTTTCTTTTTTAAACTACTTGGAGTACTCATAACTGATTTTGTACTCTAGTTCAGAAGAAATGTCTGAATGTTAAATGTTTACATAAAAAATGCTATTTTATTATATCAGTAATGGAGCTTCCCCCCTTTAAAACTGCTGCACCAGGAAGATACAACCTTGTTATCACAATTTAAAGAGAAAATGAGACTTGGAGGTTCAGATTCCTCCACAGTCATAGTATCAGCTACCCACGCAGTGACCCACATTCAGGTGATTACACACACTCATACACAGATCCATACACGATCTTGCCCCCCCCACCTCCACACACTCAATATGACCTCCCCACGCCCAAAGCTGCACACATCTTGACCTCACTTCTCTCACACACACACCAATCTGACCCGCACGCGGTTTCTTTCACTCAACTACCCAGACACCCCTCATCCCACCAGCACAAGCAGGCCCACCGCGGTCTCACACACACTCGAGCCTTCCTTTGCCCAGTCTCACATGCATGACTGGGATCGCGGATTTGTCCCCTTCCGACTCCCCATGCTGGTTCGGTCCCAGACGCTCAGGTGCCACATTGGGGTGCGCTCTCCCGGCTCCTCCACACGCTACGCAGCTGCCCGCCTCAAGAGCGTCTGCGTGCTTCCAGCGTTAAGTGGAATTCCAAGCAGCCTCCGGGGCACAGTTAGTCTGGTCACTGCGGCCAGACTGCCGCCTCAGGACCCAGAGAACGCAGCACACTTTAGTTGGGCCCATCTATCCCCGGCGAGGCTTGGACTACGTTTCCCAGGAGACCCTGCGGTCCAGTATGTCTCCCGAGGAGGGGCGGAAGCCCGGGAGCCGCCCTCTGAGGCTGGGCGGGGTGAAAGAAAGCTTGCCCCAGAGGACTTAAACAGGCAAGAAGGACTTGGTTAAAGACTATTGCAATAGTCAACTTCCAATACAACAGCAGCTGGAGATTTATAGCTAACGGGCTGGGTGAAGGAGTTAAAGGATGCTAAATTACTAAGAGGAAGTTAAGTATCAAGAGTGGGGGGATTGTTACTAAACTGGCTTAGCTGGATTCTTGCTGAAGTGCTGTTCGCAGGCTATGGAGGAGGCCTGGCCAAGCAAAAAGGGCTCAGAGGAGCCTGACTAAAGCTTGGTCTAGGGACTCCTTGTCAGGTGAGACTCCCGGAAGGCTCCGATGGGCAGCTCACCTCAAAGAGATAGTTTTGTTGGTGCCAGAGTCCGCGCCAGGGGAATCGGGATGGCTGGGCTGTAGCTTTCGGCAACCTGTCGCTTTCTGGACTACACTTCCCAGAAGCCTCTAGGCCCAGGGCACTCTCCCGCGATAACTAGATTGTCTCTTGAGGAGTGGGCGGGATCTTCCCGCGGATTTGGGCAAGCGGCCTTGGGGCTTTGTGAGATAGCTAGGGTCGACTTGTGTGGATTCTAGTAGAACGGAGCTGACCCTATCCGAACAGGCGTAAGTGAGGCGGCTCGGAGCCTGGCGCGACAGGAACTCCCGACCTGTGTGGGCTGCGTGGGGAACAGGCTAAGGAGCGATTGTGAGGAGTGTGTACGGTTGTGACTGGGGGCGTGTGTCTGTGCGACCGTGTATGGAACTGTGAGGGCGGGGAGGAGGACTTTTTGTTTATGTTTGTGCGGGTGTGAGTAGAGTTTAATTGTGACCGGGTTGGGCACTGTGTTTGCGAGTGTGAGGTTCCTGGACCGCGGTTGTGACTGTATGTCCCCTTGGGGTGTGTGTGTGTGTGTTTACTACCATTTGCCGAACTGTGTGTAGTATGCCTTAATTTTGAGGTTTGTGGCTGCTTCCGTGTGTGTGTGTGCGCGCGCGTTGGTGATATTGTTGATGGAGGGTGCGTGTGAATTTGTTGTCATTGTGACCCCAAGGTGTATGTCACTGGGAATTTGAGAGATGCCCACGGACTCTGTGGTTGTGTCCGTGTCTACCCCCGTGGTGTGTATGAGTGTGTGATTGTGTGTTGTGTTTAGGTTTGGGGTGCCTGTGACGTTTATGTCCCTGCGGTGTGAGTGAGTTTGTGTGACTATGTGTCCGTATAGCCAATGTAGGTATGGGGAGTCTTTGTCTTTGTGACTTCAGCCATTGGAGACCCCTGTGAGCTCAGGGACAGGTTCTGCCCAGAACGGCATTGACCCTACCGTTGTCTGTGATGCCCGGATTAAGCAGGATGCCCTAGACTTCTCTGACCTTCCTCTGTAGGTGATGGGCAGTAGGGGCTGAGCAAAGATAACTTCTGACATAGTCAAACCAACTCCCTCTCAGAAGAACCTGATGTTTCCTGACTGCTTTCTCCTTCCTCAGCCCTGCCCTGCTTGGATAGAGGCCTCCGAACAGGAGTAAAGAATGGCTGTTGAACATCCACAAGGCACCTGCAAGGTAGCTTGTCCTGTCCTCTTGTTTAAGAAAAATCCCTTTTTCTTTGTCAGGACATAGTTGCTTTCCTTCTCTTGAAAATTCTTGCCTATGAGATGACCTGATCCCTGGAGTTTCCATTTTGAGAAAATGTGGTGTCTTCAAACCCCACCTCCCACACCTGATTTTCCCTTACTGATTTGTCAGATGGTTTTAATTTTTCTTTTTCTTTTTTTTTTCTTTCTTTCTTTTTTTTTTTTTTTTTTTGAGACAGAATTACAGGCGTGAGCTGCTGTGCCCGGCCTTATCCTTCTACTCTTGATGGACATTTGTCTTGTAATTTTTGGCTACTACAGGCAGTGTGACTATGATCATTTTGTGCGCATATTTTGGTACACATTTGCTTGCATTTCTTTAGAATATATACCTAGTGATTAAATTGCTGATAGTGGCTGGATGCAGTGGCTCATGCCTGTAATCCCAGCACTTTGGGGGGCCAAGGCGGGCGGATCACGAGGTCAAGAGATCAAGATCATCCTGGCCAACATGAGGAAACCCCGTCTCTACTAAAAACACAAAAATTAGCTGGGCGTGGTGGCACGCGCCTGTAGTCCCAGCTACTTGGGAGGCTGAGGAGAATCGCTTGAACCCGGGAGGCAGAGGTTGCAGTGAGCCAAGATTGTGCCACTGCCCTCCAGCCTGGTGACAGAGTGAGACTCCATCTCAAAAAAAAAAAAAAAAAGTGCTAATAGGTAGGGTTTGTACATCTTCAGTTTTACCAAACATTGCCAAACTGTTCTCTAAAGATACTGTACTTATGCCAGCAGTTTACAAGAGTTTTCTTAGCTCCACATCCATGCTAGACATCATAAAACTCTTAAATTTTTGCCAATCTGGTGGGTGTCTAATGTTATATTTAATTTAAATTTCCTTTATTGCTAATAAAGTTGAGCATTGATTCTTGGCCATTTGAATGTCCCCTTTTTTGTTTTTTTTGTTTTTTTTTTTTGAGACTGAGTCTCTATTGCCCAGGCTGGAGTGCAGTTGAATGTCCCCTTTTATAAGGTGTTGTTCAAATATTTGACCAATTTTTAATTGGGTTTTTCTCTGATTTACGGCAGTTGTACATATGTGTATATATCTTCTGTAAATTAATCTTTTTTCAGTTGTATGTGTGATAAGTATTTTCACCTGCTCTGGTTTGACTTTTCACTCTATGTGGTGCCTTTTGACAAATAGAAGTTCTGGATTTCATTGTAATAAAATCATTTCCTATGGTTAGTCTTGTTTAAGAAATTTTTGTCTACCTCAAGATAATGAAGATTTTCTTTGGTCTTAAAGCCAAAAGCTTGCTTTCTTTCTTTCTTTTTTTTTTTTTTTTTTTTGACTCGAAGTTTCGCTCTTATTGCCCAGGCTGGAGTGCAATGGCATGATCTCGGCTCACCACAACCTCCGCCTCTTGGGTTCAAGTGATTGTCCTGCCTCAGCCTCCCAAGTAGCTGGGATTACAGGCATGCACCACCATACCTGGCTAATTTTGTATTTTTAGTAGAGACAGGGTTTCTCCATGTTGGTCAGGCTGGCCTGGAACTAGGTGATCTGCCTACCTCAGCCTTCCAAAGTGCTGGGATTACAGGCATAAGCCACCGCACCTGGCCAAGCCGAAAGCTTTCTAGGGTAGGCTTTAATGTTTAGGTCTTTACACCACCTGGAATTTTTATAGGGTAGGATTGAATTTCATTTTTCTCCCGAGTGTGTATCCAGTTATTATAGTATCATTTATTGGAAAGTTCATATTTTCTGCACTGATATGCAGTGCCATTTTAGTAAAAAAATCAAGTGAACATATATGTCTATGTCTATTTCTGGATTCTGTTCCACTGGTCTATTTGTCACTCCTCGCAGTAATAACATACTGTCTTACTCACTGTAACTTTGTATTTGGAGCAAGTACACTTACCTTCTTTTTCCTCAAGAGTGTCTTGGCTATTTGTGTTTCTTTGTATTTTCGTGTCAATTGTTGAATTAGCTTGGTTCCACCCAAACATCTCTTGGAATTTTGATGAAATTGCATGGTACGTATAATTTTTTGAGTAGAAATTTGGAAACTCTTCTACACTTGATCTGAGCCAAAAGGCCAAGAGACAATGGGGGACTCTTCTAATAACATGAGCCTCTCAGTGGATGTAGGTCTTAGTGTTTCTCAACAAGGTCTTGTTTATCTCCTATAAATAGTTCTAGACAAGTAGGAATCACGTAATTCGTTGTACAGAGTATTCCTTTGGCATTGACTGTCTGGAATCTGAGCAGTTCAGATAATGATCAATCATAGTGATAATTTTAGCCTGGGTTTTGTTTTTTTTTTTTTTTATTGAGCACCTATCTCCTCCTGCCTGTCCTTGTCCCCCTCCTCCACCTCTTCCTCCTCCTCAAAAAGCAGCTGTATTAGAAAGACTAAAATGTATGGTAACTTGAACAGCTAGGTTGTACAAGAAAGGAATTGAAAATTCCCTTTCTGATGTCTTCCAAAACTTGAATTTCATTTAAATGCACCTTATTCTTTCCTCAGACCTCTAACTTCACCCTGGAGTTGAGCAGAAACATGGCTTGCCTTTTCCCTCAGATCAGTCTTGGACTCCAGACAAAGGGTTGGAACTTTGAGCCAATAAGCAGGTTACTGGTAACAGTGCCTGAGGAAAGACAAAGCTATGGGTGTAAGGTTCTTTATATACGGTATCCTCCCACTCCTATCTTCTCCAGCTCTTTATGTACTAATATAA
Source organism: Homo sapiens (assembly GCF_000001405.40). Lineage (NCBI taxonomy): Eukaryota > Metazoa > Chordata > Mammalia > Primates > Hominidae > Homo > Homo sapiens. The sequence goes on from NC_000019.10 coordinate 36,854,661, forward strand.
TTTTTAACATTTTCTTTTATTCTTGGCCTTCTCAAATACGTTTTTGGAAGTGGGGATATGAAAATTAGATTTAGATGTAAATGTAGATATTTATTGTCTAATATTTTTTATGTTAGTAACATCTGGTACAATCAAGCCTGCTTTTTCGTTATCTTTTACTCTTCTCACTTATCAGATTTCTTTTTTTTCTTTTCTTTTCTTTTTTTTTTTTTGGATGGAGTCTCTCTCTGTTGCCCAGGCTGGAGTGCAGTGGTGCAATCTCGGGTCACTGTAAGCTCCACCTCCTGGGTTTGCCATTCTCCTGCCTCAGCCTCCCAAGTAGCTGAGACTACACGCACCCGCCACCATGCCCAGCTAATTTTTTGTATTTTTAGTAGAGACGGGGTTTCACTGTGTTAGCCAGGATGGTCTCGATCTCCTGACCTGGTGATCCGCCTGCCTCAGCCTCCCAAAGTGCTGGGATTACAGGCGTGAGCCACCACGCCCAGCCTTTTTTTTTTGAGACGGAGTCTCGCTCAGTCACCCAGGTTGGAGTGCAGTGGCGCCATCTCAGCTCACTGCAAGCTCCGCCTCCCGGGTTCACGCCATTCTCCTGCCTCAGCCTCCCAAGTAGCTGGGACTACAGGCCCCCGCCACCACGCCCAGCTAATGTTTTGTTTTTTGTATTTTTAGTAGAGACGGGGTTTCACGGTGTTGCCAGGATGGTCTTGATAACCTGACCTCATGATCTGCCCGCCTCGGCCTCCCAAAGTGCTGGGATTACAGGCGTGAGCCACCGAGCCTGGCCTTTTTTTTTTTTTTTTTTTTTTTTTAAACAGAGTTTCGATCTTGTTGCCCAGGCTGGAGTGCAATGATGTGATCTCGGTTCATCACAACCTCTGTCTCCTGTTCAAGTGATTCTCCTGCTTCAGCCTCCCGAGTAGCTGGGATTACAGGCATGTGCCACCACGCCTGGCTAATTTTGTATTTTTAGTAGAGACAGGGATCCTTCCTGTTGGTCAGGCTGGTCTCGAACTCCTGACCTCAGGTGATACACTCACCTCGGCCTCACAAAGTGTTGGGATTACAGGCGTGAGCCACCGCACCCGGCCCATGTTTCTTTTTAACTACGCTTTTCTCTTCCCGACCTATCACCTCCACTGTGCTGTGTGAGGTAATTTCTGCCTCTACATCTTTGCCATCTTTTCTTACCAACTCTTTAGTTCACATATTGTCTTCATTGGGAAAAAAGTCATCTCAGATTATTTTACCCACACTAGCCTTATCTCTCTGTAATACGACATAAAGAGCGTGACCTTAAGTATCAGAAAAATGTGGCATCTGATTTCACCCATACCACTTGTGAGTTTAACCTGTGAAGAAGAGATAATAATTTTCTGTCAGTGTCGTCAAGATTGAAATAACTTATGTGCACAACACTTAATACACATCAGGTGTTGAGAAAATGTTATTTCCCTTCTTTACTTTTCTTTCTTGGGACCTCTATATCAATTACAGTAGAAAGCATTTAACTAAATGCCTTTGGTTTTTCCCAAAATATCTTATATGTAAGTTTTGCTCCCTACCTACATTGTAAATCATTTAGAACCAGGATTGTGACTTTCCGTTCTCTTATATATAACTTTTCAATCCATTTTAAATTTGTTTTGCTTTGATTTGGGGATCTAAATTCAATTTTTTCTCATTTACCTGGTCTTATTCCCATATTATTTATTCAGTGATAACTTATTTGCTTTTCTCTTACTTTGTACTGCCTACTTGGTGATATTATAAGTAATTCGTATTATATATTTGAATTTTTTTTCAGTTCTTTGATTTATGTCTCTGTGCTTCCGCCTGAACCATGTTTAGATTTTCTTTCAAAAACCTTTGAATACATGATCAGATGTGTCACTTCTTAAGATTGTTGTATTTGGCCAGGCCAGTGGCTCATGCCTGTAATACTAGCACATTGGGAGGCCGAGGCAGGCGCATCACCTGAGGTCAGGAATTTGAGACCAGCCTGGACAACACGGTGAAACCCCATTTCTATTAAAAATACAAAAATTAGCCGGGCATGGTGGCAGGTACCTGTAATTCCAGCTACCTGGGAGGCAGGAGAATCGCTGGAACCCGGGAGGCAGAGACTGCAGTGAGCCAAGATGGTGCCACTGCACTCCAGCCTGGGTGACAGAACGAGACTCCGTCTCAAAAAAAAAAAAAAAAGATTGCTGTATTCTTTATTTTCATTACAAAAAGAATTCCTTATTACAACACATTTAGAAAATAGAAGGATAAAGAAAAAACAAAGGTCATCTGTAATCCTATCAATTAGATATAACTACCATCAAATTGTTACAGCAAATACTTAGAATTCTTTTTTTAATGCAATCGTTGTGTAGCTATTGATCTGTGTAACCTGTGTTTATTATGCCAAAATACATATCAACAGCTGTCCATGTTAACATTTATCTTTATCACGAATTGTAATGGCCTCATAGAGTTATTTCACCAAGGCTTTTTTGTTGAATATAGTTTGCTTACAAATTATTGGCTTTATAAATAACCATCTACTTTGGCCAAATGCTAGTGCTTGTTTTTTTCCTTTTCAGTAAAATTATAATTATATACATAATTAATGAATATATTTTTCTTATAAAAATTGTTTATTTATTTATTTATTTTGAGACGGAGTCTTGCTCTGTCGCCCAGGCTGGAGTGCAGCGGCGCCATCTTGGCTCACTGCAAGCTCCGCCTCCTGGGTTCACGCCATTCTCCTGCCTCAGCCTCCCGAGTAGCTGGGACTACAGGCGCCCGCCACCACGCCCAGCTAATTTTTTTGTATTTTTAGCAGAGACGGGGTTTCTCCATGTTGGTCAGGCTGGTCCCGAACTCCCGACCCCAGGTGATCCACCCGCCTCAGCCTCCCAAAGTGCTGGGATTACAGGCGTGAGCCACTGCTTAAATGTCAGTAAATACTTCCAAAATAATTTCATATTGGCTTGATCACTTCACAGTACACTCAGTTGTCTCTAACAGAATCTGCTTTTCTAACTGCCAGTTAGGTCACTTATAGCTGCATAAGGTACAAAATAGCACTTAGAACAAATAATGATTTCATTTCATTTAAGCTATTCTTTTTTTGTTTGTTTGCTTGAGACTAGGTTTTGCTCTTGTCACCCCGGCTGGAGTGCAATGGCACGATCTTGGCTCACTGCAACCTCCACTTCCTGGGTTCAAGCAATTCTGCCTCAGCCTCCCAAGTAGCTGGGATTACAGGCTCCTGGCACAACACCTGGCTAATTTTTTTTTGTATATTTAGTGGAGATGGGGTTTCACCATGTTGTCCAGGCTGGTCTCAAACTCCTGACCTCAGGTGATCCGCCCACCTAGGCCTCCCAAAGTGCTGGGATTACAGGCATGAGCCACTGCGCCTGGCCTAAGCTAGCTATTCTTAACCTTGGTTACTAACCTCTGGTCCCACCCTCAGCAATTCTGATTTAATTGGTCTGGGGTATGGCCTGAGCATCGCCATTTTTCTCATTATTGTTTTAAGACTAATCAAGCCCATTTTTCTTATTATTGTTTTAAGACTAATCAAGCAAAGCAGTGAGAATGGAGAAGGAACAAAGAAATCTGTAACTGGTTGTGATCAATTAGTTGTAAACACCACTTGCACTTGGACTAGCCAATCACAATTTTTAAAAGGTCACCAGATGACTCTATGCACTGCCACAATTGAGAACTGGTGACTTCAGCGCATATAAGCTGATAGAAAAGCATTAAAATTTAATTTGATGCGGAGTGGGTTCAAACTTTGGAATATTTAAAAAACTACCCAAGAGGCAGGGTGCAGTGGCTCACGCCCGTAATCCCAGCACTTTAGGAGGAAGGCGGGCGGCGGATCACCTGAGGTCGGGAGTTCGAGACCAGCCTGGCCAACATGGTGAAACCCCGTCTCTACCAAAAATAGAAAAATTAGCTGGGTGTGGTGGTGGGCACCTGTAGTCCCAGCTACTCGGGAGGCTGAGGCATGAGACCCCTTGAACCTGGGAGGTGGAGGTTGCAGGGAGCCAAGATTGCACCACTGCACTCCAGCCTAGGCGACAGAGTAAGATGCTGTCTCAAAAAATAAAAATCAAAATAAAAAATAAAAAGCTACCCAAGTGATTCTAATGTACACTCAGGAATGAGAATCACTGAGTTAGACAATCGTGATTTGTTTTATGGAGCTGAGCACAGTAACTGGAAGAAAAATCAAAGTCATGTATCAAGGAAGTAGCGGAAGGAGTAGTTTTGGCAGAGGCAATCAACAATATCTGCCATATCTGTGCACTTCCTAGCAATTTATTGTATGAAAATACACTGGTCATCTTAGTGGTGTCTTGTGGGAGAGAAAACCTAAAGTATATGGTACATACACATACCACGTTTAATCAGCAGTCTTCTTTTTAAAAAAAAAAAAAAACTTTCAAAAGCTTTGGGTTTTGTAAATCTTAAACTTTTTTATGGTTTTTTTTTTGTTGTTGTTGACAGCCTGACAGTTGCTCAGGCTGGAGTATAGGAGTGCAGTGGCATGATCTCAGCTCACTGCAGCCTCTGCCTCCCCAGGTTCAAGTGATTCTCCTGCCTCAGCCTCTTGAGTAGCTGAGATTACAGGCATGCACCGCCACACCCAGCTAATATTTGTATTTTTAGTAGAGATGGGGTTTTGCCGTGTTGGCCAGGCTGGTCTCAAACTCCTGACCTCAAGTGATCCTCCTGCCTCAGCCTCCCAAAGTGCTGGGATTACAGGCGTGAGCCACCACACCCAGACTTTTATGTTTTATTTTTATCTTCACCAGTTCTTTTGTTTTTTTTTTTAATTTTGAGATTCTTTTTTTGTGACATTGAATTCAAATCTGTTTTATATTATTTTTATACAGGCATTTAATTCTATCAATTACTTTTTATTTGGTAATTTCTTGATGTCCAGTTTTTGATATGTATCTTGCTCTTGTTTACCTCGTTTCTAGGCTGTTTGTATTTCCATTTAGTTTCATATTTAACATAAGAATTATTTAGGAATATGTTTTGTTAACTTTAAAATTTTTATTAAATTTGAAACTTGTAGAAGTTAAAAGAATAGCATAAAGTATTCCTGTGTACCACTCAGATTCACCAGTTGTTACCTTTTGCCTATTTGCGTTATCATTCTCATATGAACTTGTTTTCTTCTCTCTCTCCCTCTCTCTCTCTGCACACACACACACACACACACAGACACACCCTACACACATTTTATCTGTACCATTTAAGACTAAGTTGCAGATTTTTTTGTTTGTTTGTTTGTTTTTTTGAGACAGTCTCGCTGGGTCGCCCAGGCTGGAGTGCAGGGGCGTGATCTCGGCTCACTGCAAGTGCCGCCTCCTGGGTACACTCCATTCTCCTGCCTCAGCCTCCCGAGTAGCTGGAACTACAGGCGCACGCCACCACACCCGGCTAATTTTTTGTATTTTTAGTAGAGATGGGGTTTCACCGTGTTAGCCAGAATGGTCTCAATCTCCTGACCTCGTGATCCGCCTGCCTTGGCCTCCCAAAGTGCTGGGATTACAGGCATGAGCCACCGCGTCCAGCTAAGTTGCAGATATTTTGCCCCTTTATTTCCTAACAACAAGATTATTCTCTTACATAACCCACAGTACAGTTATTAAAATTTTAACATTTATATGATACTCTAATCCATATTTAAAATTTTTGATTCATCCCAGTAATGTTCTTTATAACAAACCACCCTACCCTTTCTCCTCATCTATCCAGGATCCACTTTAAAATCACACTTTAAATTTACTAATTATGTCTCTCTAGTCTTCTTTAATCTGGAAGAGTTGCTCTCTCTTTGTCTTTCATGATCTTGGAATTTTTGAAGAGGAGAAGCCATTTATTTTGTAAAAAGTCCCTTAATTTGGGTTTGTCTTCTGGTTCTTCATGCTTACATTCAGGCTATGAATTTTGTGGCAGGAATACCATAAAGGTAATATTGTATCCTTCTTGCTGCATCATCTCAGGAGATACATGATTTTGATTTATTCCATTTCTGGAGATGTTAACTTTGATAATTTGTTAAGGGGATATCTACCATGTTTCTCCACTGTAATATTGACAGTTGTCTATTTGTAATTAATAGATAATTTGTGGAGATGTACTTTGTAACTGTGTAAATAACTACTCACCAAACTTTTCCCCACTAGTTTAACATCCATCCACTGATAATTATTCTTGGGTCTGTTATTAGTAAGATGTAATAGTAATAATGGGAGGGTTTTTTTTTTGTTTGATTTCTATCGCCATTATTTTGTCTGTATTAATTGGTTGGCATTCTACTATAAAGAAGAGCTTTCCCTTCTCTCCCACTTATTCGTTTATGTCAATATGAATTCATAGATGTTTACTTTCCTCAATGGGTTATAATCTGTTGTTATTTATTTTTATACTCAAGTTGTCCCAGATTTGGCCAGCAGGAACCCATTCTGGCTGGCTTCTGTGTTCCTTTGACTTGTCTCCATGATTCTTTGAGCATTTCCTTACTTCCTGGAATGATAAGATGTTCCAGGCTCATTCCTAAATACTGTCTTAGCTCCAGCCTGGAATGAATCATTTCTCTAAAGAGCTCTGGTTCCTTGCAATGTGAATATTTGGAAACCAATATCTAGGTGATGGGACTGCAGTGTTCATTCTTGTCACAACCTGTTCCATATTTATATCTTCCTTCTGTAGTAGTAAGAAACCTGGCTTCCATTATCCTCATTAGATTTACGAATTTGTTCAAGTCTAGAATTTATACATACAGAATGTGAGAATGCTAACCTATACTGTGGTAAAAATCAAGAATACTAAGTAGGGTTCAGTATTTGCTTATAGTTCTCTTTATCTTTTTATTTTTATTTATTTATTTATTTTTGAGACGGAGTCTCGCTCTATCACCAGGCTGAAGTGCAGTGGCGTGATCTCCGCTCACTGCAACCTCTGTCTCCTGGGTTCAAGTGATCCTCTTGCCTGAGCCTCCCAAGTAGCTGGGACTACAGGTGTGCACCACCACGCCCAGCAAATTTTTTGTATTTTTAGTAGAGACTGGTTTTCAGCATGTTGGCCAGGATGGTCTTGATCTCTTGAGCTTGCAATCCGCCAGCCTCAGCCTCCCAAAGTGCTGGGATTATAGGCATGAGCCACCATGCCCAGCCTTTTTTTTTTTTTTTTTCTTGAGATGGTGTCTTGCCCTGTCACCCAGGCTGCAGTGCAGTGGCATGACCTCGGCTCACTGTAACCTCTGCCTCCCTGTTCCAGTGATTCTTCTGCCTCAGCTTCCTGAGTAGCTGGAATTACAGGTGTCCACCACCACACCTGGCTAATTTTTGTATTTTTAGTAGAGACGGGGTTTCTCCATGTTGGTCAGGCTGGTCTCAAATTCCCGACCTCAGGTGATCTGCCCGCCTCAGCCTCCCAAAGTGCTGGGATTACAGGCATGAGCCACTGCACCCGGCCAACTTCTCTTTATCTTTGGACTGGGAGTACGTAATCAAAATATTGTGTTCTAATTTACTTGGATTTGGTTTTTTCCCCCATTAAAGTTGCTTTTGTTATTCATTTGAAATACATTTAAGTTTGTTAGTTCCTACCGTTTGGCCTTTTTTATTACTCTGTTCTTGGTGACTTGATTGTATGAGTATGTAAAAATATTAGCATGCTACCAAAAGTTAAAACTAGCTGGGTGTGGTGGCTCACACCTGTAATCCCAGCACTTTGGGAGGCTGAGGCAGGTGGATCACTTGAGGCCGGGAGTTCAAGACCAGCCTGGGCAACACAGGGAAACCCCGTCTCTACCAAAAAATACAAAAATTAGCCAGGAGTGGTGGTGCACACCTGTAGGCCCAGCCACTTGGGAAGCTGAAGCAGGAGAATCACTTGAACCTGGGAGGCAGAGGTTGCAGTGAGCCAAGATCATGCCACTGCATTCCAACCTGGGCGACAGAGTGAGACCCAGTCTCAAAAAAAAAAAAAAAAAAAAAAAAGTTAAAACTATGCAAAAAGGTAAAGTTAGAGCATCATCACTCTGCTCCCACAACCCTTGTTTTGGTGCGTGTTAATGGGCTCAATTGTGTCCCTTCCAAAATTCATATCTTGAAAGCCTAAACCCCAGCGCCTTAGAATGTGAATGTATTTGGAAACAGGGCCTTTAATTCAGTTAAAATGAGGCCATTAAGGTGAGTACTCATTCGACCTGACTCCTATCTTTATAAGGGAGGAAATTTGGACACACAGAGAGATGCCAAGGATACACACAGAGGAAAGACCATGTGAGTGCATAGCAAGAAAGTGACCATCTGCAAGCCAAGGTGAGAGGCCTCAGAAGAAACCAAACCCGCAATCAGCATAATCTTGGACTGATGTCCATAACTGTGAACAAACAAATTTCTGTTATTTAAACCATCCAGTCAGTGGTATTTTATTATGGCAGCCCTAGCAAACTAATACGGTGAGTTATTTCCTCCTGGGTCATACTATATACTTGTCTCTCTGGGTTATGCTGAGATTGGACCCTCATTATAGGTCTATAATGAGGATTGAGCATTTCCTTACTTCCTGGAATGAGAAGATGTTCCAGGCTCATTCCTAAATACTGTCTTAACAGACAACATTTCTGGTGGATCTTAAAGAGAATGAGCATGCCCTTTGCACTACTCCAGATGATGTTATCATAGGGTTTTCAACCAGAGGAAAACTAGTTTCTCAAATGCTGGATTGCAAGTTATTTCCACTAGTAAGAGAGATCCCCACAGTGATTTAGGAGTTCAAGATTGCCAGTTTCATCTGGGTCCCATCCGTATGTCCCAACTCCAAATTTCAGGTTCCTATTCTTTGCCATTCTTCTTTCACATGAAAAATGTGGCAAGACTGTGAATTCAACATTCATCATAATTCAGCAAGCTGAGCAGTTCTGTGTTTTTCAGCAATGTCAGCCCTTTGGCTACAAGAAAGGGGAGATTCTTTTAGGATTTTTATGGAAATGCTCTCATTCTCAGATTGTGACTTGAACTGAGAGTTAATAAACCTGGGCTTATCAGCTTCTCTTTATGCATTTAAGTTAACATAAGTTAATCCATCCCACACCGCAGTCCTTATATCATTACTGCCATAATGGTCAAGTACAGCAACTATTTAGCTCCCAAGGCATGTGCTTTAATTGACACTTCATTCCAATCAACCATGGCCTAATTAATTGTAACATTACTGCATGCCATTAATTTCTACCAACCCAAATCCCATTGGCATGGAACTCTGCACTGCAGTCAATCCCAAAGGATTAGCAAAAAGATACTAAAAGGCATGACCAAACTAATCCCAAAGTTCCATCTTTACAGGCCTTTCACTTGGAACGACATCAGTTACCAATTCTGTTGCAGTCAATATCTAATCAAGGAACAGAAAACACAGCAATTTGAACTAGGAAAGTTTAATATAAAAAATTATTAACCATCGTGGAACTAGAGTAACAAAGGATTGACCAGTAAGAAGTAAAGGAAACTCTAAAAACCATGGGAATTACAGCCATAAAGAGCAGCCATTGATCGGGCATGATGCCTCACATCTGTAATCCCAACACTTGGGGAAGCTGAGGTGGGAGGATAACTTAAAGCCAGGAATTTCAGACCAGATCCTGTCTCTACAAAAAGAAAAATAAAACAGCCAATTAGCCAGGTGTGGTGCATGTGCCTGTATTCCTAGCTACTTGGGAGGCTGAGGTGGGAGGATGGCTTCAGCCTAAGAGTTTGAGGCTGCAGTGAGCTATGATTGTGCCTGGGTACCTGGGTGACTCCAGCCTGGGTGACAGAGTGAGACCTTGTCTCTAAAAAATTTAAAAAAAAAATAATAAGAGCAGCCACTACTAATGGTAGAGAGTCCGAGGAAGACGCCCTCCCAGGGTTAACATCCAGCCCTTGTTGGAGAGTGCACATCCGTGGCTCATTGAATGACAGTAATTGCTGTGGTAAAGGGCTGGGACTAAGATGAGGCAAGTGAGACGGTGAGAAGCACTCACCGTCAGATGTAACTACACTTGGATGACCCTGAGACGGAATGCCTCAAATTTTGCACCCTGGGTTCCTCATTCTTAAGACAGTCATCGTCAGGGTTATACGTGCAGGGTTGGCATCTGAGAGTGAAAGCCTCAAGTTTTGTGCCATAAGTGCCTCACTTGCCTTAGCCATGTCCTGTTCCTGCTGTGGAACTTGCTGGAAATCTGTGCTCTAGAATTTGCCAGGAATCCATCCTGTGTGGCAGACTGGGTTGTCTTACCAGAAGCATTTGCTACAAAACTTTCAGACAAGGCTACTGGGTGCTGCTGGCCACTTTGTACTTTAAGAGCCGGGAGCTAGAGAAGCTGCTTGACTGAGGAAGCCTGGTAAAGTCACCCATGCTGCAGGAACTGGGTGCTCGGGAAACTGAATGTGCTGCAGGAGGTGGACCTGGATTCTGGAGCCGCCTGCCAGCAAGCATGCCAGAACCAGAAAGGAACGCCCCTTCCTCCTGCAGTGTCTTTCAGACATCCACTACTGGCAAAGCTTAACATTGTTCTGGCAAGGAAAAATATTTCTATAGCCCAGGTCTGCTTTTGCAGAGTGAAAAAATGGTGAATAAAGGGTGAATTTGGAACTTAGGGGCAATACATTGATAACTAGCACATAGTCTTCTAAGAGTTTTAAAGTTAATTTTTTAAAATGTAAGTCATTTATCTAAGACTGACTTTGCTGTGAGATAGGGATATAATACTTTTCAAAATTTTTATTTATTTATTTATTGATAGAGACAGAGTCTCACTCTGTCACACATGCTGGAGTGTAGTAGTTCGATCTCGGCTCACTGCAACCTCCACCTCCCAGGTTCACGTGATTCTCCTGCCTCAGTCTCCCGAGTAGCTGGGACTATAGATATGTGCCACCACGCCCAGCTACTTTTTGTATAGTACTTTTTTAAATGGATAGATGATTATATCTTTTGAATTTTTCCATATAGGCAATCATAAGATCTGCAAACATCACTTTTGTTTCTTGCTTTCTAGTACTTACATGTTTTATTTGCTACAGCCTTTACGGACATGCACATATTTGACGTGTCCCTTCCTGGTTTTTGTAGGTGCTGTTCATCAGAATGAGGAAATTACCTTCCACTCATAGCTTGTTCAAGTTTTGTGTTTCTTCTTACAGTAACTGGATGTTGGGTTTTATCAAATTCTCTGATTGTTGTAGACAATTGTGCATTTTTCTCTCTATTCTGTTAATATAATTAATTAACTGATTTTTCAGTGTTGAAGCAACCTTGTATTCCTTGGATAAAATCAACTTATTCATAAAGTTTGCTTTTTTAATTATTTTATTCAGTTTGCTAGAGTTTTATTTAGGGTGTGTGTGTGTGTTCATAAATTATATTAGCCCAAAATTATTCTCTCTTCATATTTAGTATTTTGTCTTATTTGGTATCATGGCTGTTAGACTACTTTCATCAGATAAACTGAAAAATGTTCTTTCTGTTTCTTTTTTCTTCTTTTCCCCTCAAAGTTTGAGGTTTTTCCTGAAATATTTTATATATTCAAATACATAAAATCTTTTTAGGTTAAGTGATAATACCCATATAACCACCATGAAGATTGGAAAAATACAACATTGCTAATACCACAAAGCCATCTGCCTGCCCAAACCAAATTAATCTCTTTCGCTCTCCACTGAAGTGTAACTATTAAGTAGATTTTGTAAAAATCATTCTCTGCTATTATAATTTTTTGCCAACTTTGTATAACTCCCTAAAGAATATTATACAGCTTTGCCTGCTTTTAAACTTATGTAAATTGAATAATAATATATGTGTTCTTTTAAGTTTTGTTTTGTTTTGTCTTTTTTGAGACAGTCTCACTCTGTTGCCCACGCTAGAGTGTAATGGCATAATCTCGTCTCACTGCAACCTCCACCTCCCGATTCAAGTGATTCTCCTGCCTCAGCCTCCCAAGTAGCTGGGATTACAGGCGTGCACCACCAAGCCTAGCTAATTTTTTGTATTTTTTAGTAGAGACGGGGTTTCACTGTGTTGGCCAGGCTGGTCTCAAACTCCTGACCTCAAGCGATCCACTTGCCTCGGCCTTCCAAAGTGCTAGTATTACAGGCGTGAGCCGCCGCACCTGGCCCATGTTGAATAGTTTAGATATATCTTGTTTATCTCCACTATTATTTAATAACCTTTATGACTATATCACAGTGTATTTTGTCCAACATATTTTTTATGTGGATAATTGGTGGTTTCCAGCATTTTACTCTTAATAAAACTGTTATGAACATTGTAGTGGATGTTTTACCTAGGAGTGGAATTGCTGGGTAATAGGGAATGTGCATGTGTTAGCCTAGATAACCAAACTCTTTCAAAGTGGTTGTATGAAAAAGTGGTCTACTTCCAACAGTGTATATTTGCCGCCGCCTTTGCCACGTTTTTCCCACATCTTTACCAACATTTGGAATAGTCACACTTTTTACCTACCTAGTATACTTAGTAATATCTAATTATGGTGTTAATTTGTATGACCATGACTACTGATGAAACAGAACATCTTTTCATTTGTATTATCTTTTATCTCCTTTTCTCATTTTTTCCCCAAGATTTGTTCTTTTAGGCAAAATTCACATGAGATACACTTAACCATTTTAAAGTGTATAATTCAGTGGTATTTAGTATAAATTCAGTGGTATTTGCTGTATTCACAATATTGTGCAACTATTGATTCTCTCTAGTTTTAAACCTTTTTCATCTGCCTCTAGAAATACCCTGTACCCAATTGAAGCACAAACTTTTAACTTGGATGAATTTAAATTGATGTATTCTTTTCTTTCATTGCTTGTGCTTTAGGTGTTAAATTTAAGAATTAATTGCCAAATCTGAGGTCATGAAGAATTAGAAATTCTGTTTTTTTGAAAGAATTTTATGATTTAGCACTTCTGTTTAGGTTGTTGATCCATCTTGAGCTCACATTTTATATTTGCATGTGTTTATCCAGTTGTCCCAATACCATTTGTTGAAGAGACATTTCTTTCTCCATTCAGTGGACTTACTATCCTTCTGGGAAATCTATTAGTCATAGATGTTTGGGTTTATTTCTGGATTTTCAGTTTTATTCCATTAGTTTACAAGTCTGTTCTTAGGCCAGTCCTATTGATTACTGTAGCTTTGTAGTAGTAAGTTTTACAATTGTAAGAAGAGAGTCCTACCTTTTCATTTTCAATACACATTGCAGTTCCATATGGATTTTGGGTACCAATTGCAGTTCCATATGGATATGAGGAGTGGCTTTTTTTTTTTTTTTTTTGAGTCAGAGTCTTGCTGTGTCGCCCAGGCTAGAGTGCAGTGGTGAAATCTCTGCTCACTGCAACCTCTGCTTCCTGCGTTCCAAAAATTCTCCTGCCTCAGGCTCCCGAGTAGCTGGGATTACAGGTGCGTGCCACCACGCCCAGCTAATTTTTTTTACTTTTAGTAGAGACAGGGTTTTACCACATTGGCCAAGCTAGTCTCAAACTCCTGACCTTGTGATCCACCCGCCTTGGCCTCCCAAAGTGCTGGGATTACAGGCGTGAGCCACCGCGCCCGGCCTTGAGTTCACATTTTATATTTGCATGTGTTTATCCAGTTGTCTCAATACCATTTTTTGAAGAGACATTTCTTTCTCCATTCAGTGGACTTAACTGGCCTTCTGGGAAATCTATTAGTCATAGATGTTTGGGTTTATTTCTGGATTTTCAGTTTTATTCCATTAGTTTACAAGGCTGTTCTTAGGCCAGTCCTTTTGATTACTGTAGCTTTATAATAGTAAGTTTTACAATTGGAAGAAGTGAGTCCTACTTTTTCATTTTCAATACACATTACAGTTCCATATGATTTTGGGTACCCATTGCAGTTCCACATGGATATGAGGAGTGGCTTTTTTTTTTTTTTTGAGATGGAGTCTTGCTCTGTTGCCCAGGCTGGAGTGCAGTGGTGGAGCTCGGCTCACTGCAACCTCCGCTTCCTGGGTTCTAACAATTCTCCTGCCTCAGGCTCCCGAGTAGCTGGGATTACAGGTGCGTGCCACCACGCCCAGCTAATTTTTTTACTTTTAGTAGAGACAGGGTTTCACCATGTTGGCCAAGCTAGTCTCAAACTCCTGACCTCGTGATCCACCCGCCTCAGCCTCCCAAACTGCTGGGATTACCGCCCCGCCTGGCTTTTCATTTCAAAGGCCACTGAAGTGTTAATAGAGATTGTATTGAATCTGCAGATTATTTTAGCGAGTATTGCCATCTTCATGTTAAGTCTTCTAATCCATGAACATGGGATTTTAATCTATTTAATCTCCAACTGATGTACTGCAATTCAGTTCTGGTACTAGCTGCCCAGAGTTAGTGTCAGACTCCATAGGTTTTAGCATACAGTCCCCAGTAAATCTGCCCTTACTTTAGGCCAACTAGCTACAATTCCAGGAAGTTCCCATGACTCCCTCCCCCTCCCCCCTTCATTTAGTAATTTACTACAACTCACAGAATTCAGGAAAGCACTACACTTAAAATTATAGTTTTATTATGAAAGATAAGGATACAAATTAGGAACAGCACAGTAAAGAGACACATAGAGCAAGGTCTGAAAGGGACCTATACACAGTTTCTATGCCCTTTCCTGGTGAAAGCAGGGTGTGTCACCCTCCAAACACATTGATATGTTCACCAGTAAGGAAGCCCCACTGAACTTTGGGGTGGAATTTCATTATGTAGGCATGATTGATTAATCATTGGCCACATGACTGAACTCAGTCTCCAGCCCCACTTTCTTCCTCAGAGACTGGCTAGCTAAAAGTATTTTTGATGACTGCCCCAATTCTGAAGCTACTCGGGTCCACCATGAGTTACCTCATTAGCATAAACTCAGGTGTGATCCATAGCAAAGACATGTCTAGCTCTGTGCTAGGAACCCTAGGACAAAGACCTGACAAATTATTACACAGGGCATAAACAAGACCAGGAGTGAATATGGCAGTGTTTTCTTATTTATTTAGTGGTTTCTTTTCTCTTGGATCATTTAGCTTTTTTTTTTTTTTTGAGACTGAGTCTTGCTCTGTCGCCCCGGCTGGAATGCAGTAGCGTGATCTCGGCTCACTGCAAGCTCTACCTCCTGGGTTCAAGCAGTTCTCCTGCCTCAGCATCCCAAGTAGCTGGGATTACAGGCACATGCCACCACGCCTGGTGTGCCACCATGCCTGACTAACTGTTTTGTATTTTTAATAGAGACAGGGTTTCACCATGTGGGCCAGGCTGGTTTCGAACTCCTGACCTCAAGTGAGCCGCCCACCTTGGCCTCCCAAAGTGCTGGGATTACAGACTTGAGCCACTGCACCCAGCCCATTTAGTTTTTTATTAATGATTTGAGAAAGATCTTATATTTTACCTGCTAGTTCTTTGACAGTTAAATGTTTTGTAAATATCATCACCCATTCTGTGGCTTGCGTCTTTTTAACAGATTTTATTCATAAGTGAGCTGTGAATCACGCTTATATTTTTACGCAACTTTGTTTTCCATTTAATTACTATTACCTTTTTGTCCATATATTTATCACTAATTTATATTCAAAATCTACTGGAAAATAAATCTTTTTCCAGTATGTTCTGTCAGTTTCTTGGGTTTAGAGACATCTCTTCTATGATCCTTTTTTTCTCTACTGACTGCTTGTACCACTATTACTCTAGAATTCTATCTTTTTAAATTCACTGCCCTTCTGCGTTGAGTTCTTTGTTTCTTGGATTCCTTGCCTTCCTGTTTCTTGGTTTGGTTCTTCTTGATATTGGTGGCATGTGAGAAAGGATGAATGAGAATTAAATTTTGTGAGTTCTGGTATATTTTTCAACCACTATATTGATTCTTTGGCAGGGCATGGAATTCTACATTAAAAATATTTTTCCTCAGAATTTTAAAATTATGATCTCTGTCTTATAGTATTGTTTAGAACTCCAAAGCCATTTTCATTCCTGGTCTTTGGTTTATACCCTGTCTTTGCATATTGGAGCCTTTTAGGGTATTTTCTTTGTTCCCAGTGTCCTAGAACCTAATAAAAATATATGTAAATGTAAATCATCTTTTTTTTATACTACATACCAAGTGGACCCATTAAATATGGAGACTCATTTCTTTCAGGTCTGGGAAGTTGCCCTTAATGCTACTTTTTAGAACAATCTGTATTTTCTGTTTTCTTTGAAAAATTTCAAACATAGAGAAAAAAAGATTATTCCAGTGAATTCTGAATACCCATTTTCTTCCTCTGTTTGGGCCACTGTAACAAAGTACCATAAACTAGTTATCTTATAAACAAAAGAAACTTATTTCTCACAGTTGTGGAGGCTGGAAAGTACATGATCAAGATGTTGGCAGATTCAGTGTCTGGTAAGGACCTGCTTTCTGCTTCATAGTTGGCACCTTCTCTCTTTGTCCTCACATAGTAAAAAGGGAAAGGCAGTCCTCTGGGTACTCTTTTTTAAGGACATTAATTACATTCATGAGGGCTCTGCCCTCATGACCTAATCACCTCCCAAAGGCCCCACCTCCTTACCCCATTACATTGATAACTAAAGTTCAACATTTCATTTGGGGGTTGGGAGGACACAAACATTCAGACTCTATCATCCATCACCCAAATTCTTCAGTTGTTGCCATTTTGCCACATTTCCTTTATCTTTATTAATACACACACATACACTTTTTTTTGTGAGTCATTTGAAAATATGTTGGGGACATCTTCACATTTTACCATTAATAATTTTAACATATATCTCCTTAGTATTAATGATATATCTCCAACCTAAGGAAATTAAAATAGACTTAATAATATTCTTAAGCATTTTATATTTAGACAGCTCCAGTAGTCTTCAAGCTCTCTTTATTTAGCTGCTATTGTGTTTGTTTGTTTGTTTTACTTGGGTATGTGTTTGCCTGATCTAGGATCCAGTCAAGATTTATATATTGATTTGGTCATTGGATCTCTTTAGTCTCTTTTAATCTGGAGCAGTCTCTCATTTTTTGTTTTATATGACTTTGAATTTTTTTGGTTTTTTTGAGATGGAGTTTCACTCTTGTTGCCCAGGCTGGAGTGCAATGGTACGATCTTGTCTTACCACAACCTCCGCCTCCTGGGTACAAGCGATTCTCCTGCCTCAGCCTCCCTAGTAGCTGGGATTACAGGCATGTGCCACTGCACCCGGCTAATTTTGTATTTTTAGTAGAGACGGGGTTTCTCCATGTTGGTCAGGCTGGTCTCAAATTCCCGACCTCAGGTGATCTGCCCAACTTGGCCTCCCAAAGTGCTGGGATTACAGGCATGAGTCACCATGCCCGGCCCTGTTTTATATGACATTGAATTTTTTTGAGAATCCAGGACAATTATTTTATAGAATGTCACATAACCTTTATTTGTCTCATGGCTTTCTCATGTATAGGAAGCTTAGATTCAGGTTAAATATATTTGGCAAGCATACCACATAGGTGGTATGATGGTACATCTTTTATTGTATTACATTGGGAGGAACATATTGTCAGGTTGCTCTACTACTGTTGATGCCAAGTGCTGTATGGATGTTTGTCCCCTCCGAATCTTATGTTGAAATTTTCCCCCCATTGTTGGAGGTGGGGCCTAATGGCAGGTGTTTCAGTTATGGGGATGGATCCCTGATGAACAGATTAATGCCCTCCCTGGGGGGCAGTGGGTGAGTGAGTTCTTGCTCTTATTACTTCCCAAAAGAGCTGGTTGTTAAAAAGAACCTAGCACCTCTCTCGACCCTCTCTTTTGCTTCCTCTCTCTCCACATAATCTCTGCACATCCCAGCTCCTCTTCACCTTCTGCTAGTGGAAGCAGCCTGAAACCTTCATCAGAAGAAGCTGTTGGTGCCATGCATCTTGTACAGCCTGCAGAACTGTGAGCCAAATAAACCTCTTTTCTTTATAAGTTACCCACTCTTAGATATGTCTTCATAGCAACACAAGTAGACTAAGGCATCAAGTTTTACCACTTAAGATTAAGGTGGTGAGTACCAAATCTTTCTATTAAACAGGTATATATTTTTCCCTTTATAATTAATAAATAATCTGTAGAGTGATACTGTGAGATCAAGTGAATATCCTTTTCCGCAGCACAATTCATTATCCAGCTTTAGAATCCATTGAGGATCCTGAATCTTTTATCCTATTGACGATTTTTAAATGGTGATTTTCAGGTTCCTCCGTTTCTTCTAGCACACTTTGTAGATTCTTAGCAAACTTCTAAAAATGATTTCTTCTCAGTAGACGTTGGACTTTGTTGCTTGATCTCCCATATTTTCCTATTTTCCATTTCTGTATCTTTTTTGTATGGGTTTTAAAGATATTTTATTATTTACTTTTGAATGATTTGTTTTTATTCCAACTTTATATTTTCATTTTCTATGAATACTTTTTTCACTTAATATTTCTTTCATATTATTCTATTCTTGTATCATGTGGAGTAGCTTCTCATATCCTTATGAGAATATACGTTGTGACTTTTGAGGTTTTCTTTGTTCTCCTATATAGTCTGTCTTCTGAGTTGCTTTGGTTGCTTTGTTTACTGTCTTTTATCTTACAGGCTTTTCTCAAATATCTAATATTTGCCTATTTTTTGTTTCTGTTGTTTTTGTATATATTTAAGATATACAACATGAGGTTTTGATACATATTATGAAATGGTGACTGTAGTCAAGCAAATTAACATGTTCATCATCTCACATAGTTACACTTTTTGTGTGTGTGTGGCAAGAGCACCTAAAAATCTACTCTCATCAAAAATCTCAAATACAATACAATGTCATTAACTATAGTCCTCATGTTGTACATTGGATCTCTAGACTTATTCATTCTACATGTCTGAAACTTTGTATCCTTTGACCTGCATCTCCCCATTTTCTCCCTGACAGTCCCTGGTAACTACCATTCTGTATGCTATTTCTGTACTTTTTTTTTTTTTTTACATTCTACATATAAGTGAGATCATGCAGTATTTCTCTTCGTCTCCCTTATTTCACGTAGCATAACGTCCTCCAGTTTCATGTCTGTTTTGTCAAATGGCAGGATCTCTTTCTTTTCAATGGTGAATAATATTCATTTATATATATCACAATTTCTTCATCTGTTCATCCATCAGTGGGCACATAGGTTATTTTCATGTCTTGGCTATTGTGAATAATACTGCTTTGAACATGTGAGTGCACATATCTTCATGAGGTAGTGATCTATTTGTAATTTAGAGTGGGCCCTAAGAAGCTGTATGCTATATATTTTGTATGTTGATTGTTAGACTTTTATGGGTACTTAGTTCCCTCCACTTCTTAAGTTTTTCTGGGGTTCTGCAGCATAAACCGTACACTTTTTTATACACAAAAAGTGTAACTATGTGTGGGCTTTCCTTACTTTTAGTTAAGATTATATCTTTTTTGATTGGTCATTGTTTATCTTACACTTTCAACTTAAAATGTTGGCTGGGCATGGTGGCTCATGCCTGTTATCCCAGCACTTTGGGAGGCCAAGGCAGGTGGATCACTTGAGGTCAAGAGTTCGAGACCAGCCTGGCCAATATGGTGAAACCCCACCTCTACTGAAAATACAAAAATCAGCCAGGTGTGGTGGTGGGCACCTGCAATCCCAGCTGTTTGGGAGGCTGAGGCAGGAGGACCACTTGAACCTGGGAGGCAGAGGTTGCAGTGAGCTGAGATTGTGCCATTGCACTCCAGTCTGGGTGACACGAGTGAAACTCCACTAAAAAAAAAAAAAGGGGGGTGGGGTGCCAGGCCTGGTGACTCATGCCTGTAATCCTAGCACTTTGGGAGGCTGAGGTCGGGAGTTCAAGACCAGCCTGACCAACATAGAGAAACCCTGTATTACTAAAAATACAAAATTAGCCAGGCGTGGTGGCACATGCCTGTAATCCCAGGTACTGAGGAGGCTGAGGCAGGAGAATCACTTGAACCCGGGAGGCGGAGGTTGCAGCGATCTGAGATCATGCCATTGCACTCCAGCTTAGGCAACAAGAGCGAAACTCCATCTCAAAATAAATAAATAAATAAGCTGAAAATGTTTTGTTGCTGCAGCTTCCTCTTTAATTTCCTTTTATGTGGTGGTTTTGTTCTGTTTTACAAATTCCTTTTCATTCCTTTTAGTGAGGTTTTGGAAAGCGTACGGGGATAAATGCACGTGATCCACTTGAGCTTTTTCAGAGAAATTATGTTGTATGGCTAGAGAAATCTAGTTTTTAGATGTTTATTTGTAAGGATAATACATTTTGCAAATAATTTATTATATTATTCAATAAATGCATTTAGGTTTTTTTTGCATGTACCAGAGTTCAAGTTGATTAAATTAATAGATATTATCTTTGTCTTCATGAAGCTTGGCTCTATTGTAGCAGACAGAGGTTAAACAAGCATTCAAACAAATATGAAAAATTTAACTGTAGGGAATGGATACGTAAATTACCTATTATCAAAACAAAACACAAAGAAAAGAGGAAAAAAGAGCTCTGAGAAATGATAGTAGAGTGTGCATAATTCAGACTGAACATGTAGGAAATATTTTAAAGATACATCATTTAGCAGAGACCTAAACCACTGCCAGAAACTTGCAAGGCCAAGAGTAGGGGCAGTGGATATAGGGGGACATTTCAGGCAGATGAAACCATGATGGGGATGGGTCGGTACAGTTTTGTGCATTTGAAGAACTATGAAGACTACATAGTAGCTACAGCTTATTGTTGGGTGGGGGGTGCAGGGAGGGATATTAGGTTGAAGAGACAGGCAGATCACTGAGGAACTTTTAAGAGCGAGTTCATTTTGAGCAGAACAGTTCCAGGCTAAATATCACTCTGGGTGCTAAGGGTGCAAAACTGGAAATGCAGGCAGGTAGAAGAAATGCTGGTTTAGTGTCCAAGCAAAAGATAATTTTGATTTGGATTAGCCAGTTGGAGACTGAAAGAACAATTTCAAGACATATTTAGACCTGCTCTAAACAGGATTGTTATGTAAGTTGTAGAAAGAGATTGGTGCCGAATGTTTTCACTTTTTGGGATTTGAGGTATTCACTCAGGGCCTTAGATAGTATCTTTAAATCCATTCCCTTTCCTAGCCTCTACTTTTGAGGCAAATAAGTCTCCCAAAATAATAAGCACTGCATAGTTACTTTATGCAAGTATGTAAGTAGATTTGGTGTGATCAGAATCATTCCATAATCATCAAAGATGAGGTTCAGGATATTTATATATCTTCATCTTTCTTGCAGTCTTCTAGTAGTATCACATTGCCTCCTGTCTTGTCTTCCCTTTCCTCTTATGTTAAAACCAGATTCTGTTCCTCTGCTGTAGCCCTTACTGAGCTCCATCTTCTCTCAATGTTATCATCATAGAATTTGGAGGCAAACTTATTTCTTAAATGGCATAAACAAACCACATTCTAACCACAGATGAATCTTCCCTCTCCATAGCTCATTCCATACTCATTTAGCACATTAGTCTTTCATTGGGAAACTGCTCTTTGTGGATTATCTTTCTTTTCTGTCTCCATCAGTTTATATGCAAATTATGTTTATTACTGAAACATCCCAGATTTCCCACCCCAGGAAAAATGTAGTACTCCCAACAACCCTGATAAATGAATATGAGAATTACTCTCATTTATAAATGTTTATAGCACTAGATTCATCTCTTAAAAAATTAAGACAGGGCCAGGACATCTGTATAATTACCAAGCTTTCAAAGTCTGCAGGACTTTTAAACTAAACTAAACTACTATTTAAAACTACTATTTTAAATAAATATCTAAACTACTATTTAAAAATAATCTGTTTCCTGAAAACCTCCTCCACTTTCTAGTCTGACTTTTACTCATTTTCTCTGCTTCCCTAATCTGTTTTTCAAATTGCCCAGTCATATGTGAGAACTGTATAAACCACTCAATTTTTATGAAAATTAAATTGTAGTTAAGTCTTTCGTATCTATTATAAACGTTTAATCTCTCCCAGAACACAAAAAAGTGAATGTTTGCTTTTATATTTTCTTTCAGACTATGAATCAAAGTTGAGACCAAGAAATTATTTCTGAAAAAGGATATGGAAAACCTTACAAAACACAGCATTGAGTGTTCAAGTTTCAGAGGTGATTGGGAATGTAAAAACCAGTTTGAGAGAAAACAGGGATCTCAGGAAGGACATTTCAGTGAAATGATATTTACTCCTGAAGACATGCCCACTTTCAGTATCCAGCATCAGAGAATTCATACTGATGAGAAACTCCTTGAATGTAAGGAATGTGGGAAGGATTTTAGTTTTGTATCAGTCCTTGTTCGACATCAGCGAATTCATACTGGTGAGAAACCTTATGAATGCAAAGAATGTGGCAAGGCCTTTGGTAGTGGTGCAAACCTTGCTTACCATCAAAGAATTCATACTGGTGAGAAGCCTTTTGAATGTAAAGAATGTGGGAAGGCCTTTGGTAGTGGCTCAAACCTTACTCACCATCAGAGAATTCATACTGGTGAGAAACCCTATGAGTGTAAGGAATGTGGGAAAGCCTTTAGTTTTGGATCAGGCCTTATTCGACATCAGATCATTCACAGTGGTGAGAAGCCTTATGAGTGTAAGGAATGTGGGAAGTCCTTTAGTTTTGAATCAGCCCTTATTCGGCATCACAGAATTCACACAGGTGAGAAACCTTATGAATGTATAGATTGTGGTAAAGCCTTTGGCAGTGGTTCAAACCTTACTCAACATCGGCGGATTCATACTGGTGAGAAACCTTATGAATGCAAAGCATGTGGAATGGCCTTTAGCAGTGGTTCGGCTCTTACTCGGCATCAGAGAATTCATACCGGTGAGAAACCATATATATGTAATGAATGTGGTAAGGCCTTTAGTTTTGGATCAGCCCTTACTCGACATCAAAGAATTCATACTGGTGAGAAACCTTATGTATGTAAGGAATGTGGGAAGGCTTTTAATAGTGGCTCAGATCTCACTCAGCATCAGAGAATTCACACTGGTGAGAAACCCTATGAGTGTAAGGAGTGTGAGAAAGCCTTTAGAAGTGGTTCAAAACTTATTCAGCATCAAAGAATGCATACTGGAGAGAAACCTTATGAATGTAAGGAATGTGGGAAGACCTTTAGTAGTGGTTCAGACCTTACTCAACATCACAGAATTCATACTGGTGAGAAACCCTATGAATGTAAGGAATGTGGGAAGGCCTTTGGTAGTGGCTCAAAACTTATCCAACACCAGCTAATCCATACTGGTGAAAGACCCTATGAATGTAAAGAATGTGGAAAGTCCTTTAGTAGTGGTTCAGCTCTTAATCGGCACCAGAGAATACACACTGGTGAGAAACCCTATGAATGTAAGGAGTGTGGGAAGGCTTTTTATAGTGGCTCAAGCCTTACTCAGCATCAGAGAATTCATACAGGTGAGAAACTTTATGAATGTAAGAACTGTGGGAAGGCTTATGGGAGGGATTCAGAGTTTCAGCAACATAAGAAAAGTCATAATGGTAAGAAACTCTGCGAATTGGAAACTATAAATTGAAATTATGTGCTGAAGGAAGGACTCTAAACATATGACTTAAGAAAATTCATAGTGGTGAAAATCTCTACAAATAGAACTAAGGTACAAATGCCTTACTTATGCTTCACAGGTTAGTCAGTCTAAGAATATTTATACAGGAAAAAAATCACCCCAAATAAAATAAATATTTGAAGATCCTTATCTATATTCATTCCTTCATTACTTTTGGAAAATTCTTACTTGTGAATGTTAAAAATGAAAAAAAAATCATTTATTATATTTTGCCTCAACTTTAAACATTGGAAAACTCATTTCTGGGTTAATCCTACTATATTTTTTCAATGGTCTTTTTTTTTTGTATTATACAGAATTACTGATTCATTGAAAAATTATTTTATTTATTGCAAGTCTAAATTTATCCTTTTTTTCTTTCCTGATTATCCTAACACCATTTATTCAATAACCTTGTCCATTTTCATATTTTTTTTATTGACTATTTGATGGTAAGTTACATTTTTATTCACATAAAGCTTGGATATCAGGTCAGTGTTTTTTTGTTTTTGTTTTTGTTTTTGTTTTTTTGAGATGGAGTCTCACTGTCACCAGGCTGGAGTGCAGTGGTGCAATCTCGGTTCACTGCAACCTCCACCTCCCGAGTTCAAGTGATTTTCCTGCCTCAGCTCCCCAGTAGCTGGGACTACAGGCGCCCGCCACCACGCCCAGCTAATTTTTTGTATTTTCATTAGAGATGGGGTTTCACCACGTTGGCCAGGATGGTCTCGATCTCTTGACCTCGTGATCCATCTGCCTCGGCCTCCCAACGTGCTGGAATTACAGGCATGAGCCACCATGCCTGGCCCAGTGTTTGTTTTTTAAATTTATATATATGTATCTATGTCTCATCCTGTTTATGGTCAATAACTGTTACTTTTAAGTATCCTTTAATACCTGTACCTTTTGTTTTAGAAGATTGTTTACTTTCCTTTTATAAAATTATACTCTCCATTTTAGCAAAACAGCTTTCCCTCATCATAATGTAGATAAAAAGAAAAAAAGGATATGGTTACCTGTAATCTTACCAATCATAGATAATCACTGTCAAACTTTTGGAGCAAATCCTTTAATACTATCTCTCATTGTTTTGGAAACAAGGTGTGATTATGCTATACTATAACCAGCCCTTAATATTTTTTGTCTGTAAATATGTTGTTACCATTTTATTGGCTTTATAGTATTCACCTGTCTTTATCAAACCCCAATTTTGTCAAATATTAAAAATTTTGCCATTATAAACACTTACCTTGATGGCCCCTTTTCAGTGTGTCTGATTTATTTATTTATTGTTCATTTCAGAGATAATGTATCAATTGCTTTTGCATATAAAAGATTTTTACATTACAGATAAAGCCGGCCTTTCCTTTGAGCAGCATTCCTGGCCTCAGTTCCTTTCCAATGTTAACCAATTTACTTATTCTTCCAGATCCTTTTATATGCATCTGTAACATACCTATGGTAATGTGGGTAGAATCAATACCTCAGAGCCTTATTGTGTGGATTCTATAATTGTGCCTATCACATAATAAATGCTTAGTGAATGTTACCCATCACTATTATCTTCTCAAGCTTCATCTTTATTATTTCTAGAAAAACTTTTAGCCATGATCCATACCTTACTCAACAACAAAGACCTCATAATGGAGAAAGACATTCATTTAAATGAATGTAGGGAAAATTTGATTGACATTCTTTCCTTGTTGAATAAGAATATTTGCTGCCAGGCACAGTGGCTCACACCTGTAATTTCAGCACTTTGGGAGGCCAAGGTGGGTGGATCACTTGAGGCCAGGAGCCTAGCCAACATGGTGAAACCCCATCTCTATTAAAAATACAAAAATTAGCCAGGCATGGTGGCGTGTGCCTGTAGTTCCAGCTACTCGGGAGTCTGAGGCATAAGGATTGCTTGAACCTGTGGAGGTTGCAGTGAACCAAGATTGCACCACTGAACTCCAACCTGGGTGACAGAGCAAGGCTCTGTCTCAGAACAAAATAAAAATAAATAAATAAAAAATTGTCCTACAGAAAAAATAATAAGATTATAAAGTGTGAGAAGACAAATACACTATAAAATTTGTACCAGGGTAGAAGTAAAAAAACTAGCAGTTTTCTCCATTGAAATCCAAATATTAATTCAGTACTCATCTGCATGATTCTTTGCTTAAAAATAAAATGCAGGCAGGCACAGTAACTCTTGCCTGAAATCTCAGCACTTTGGGAGGCTGAGGCAGGAGGATTGCTGGAAGCCTGGAGTTTGAGACCAGCCTGGGTAACATAGCAAGCCCCCATCTCTACAATAAAAGTTTTAAAAATGAGCCAGGCATGGTGGCCTCCAGCTACCAGAGGCTGAGGTGGGAGGATCAGTTGAGCCCAGGAATTCAAGGCCTCAGTGCACTATTATTGTGCCACTGCACTCCAGCCTGGAAAACAGAATAAGATCCTGTCTCTAAAAATAAATGAGTAAATTAACTAAAATCAAATACATTATTTTTTAAATAAGTGGCACTGAATAGATTACATAGCAAAACCTGTGAGGACCTGTAATATACAGAGGAAATTTTATAGCTCTAAATTCATTCATTTGTTAGAATGTTAAAGAAATTATAAATAAAGAAACCAAGCATATAACCCAAGAAGCTGGAGAAAGAATAACTACAACAAAAACCCTAAGGATAATGGGAGGGAAAAATAATTTTAGAATAAAAAAAGCTAGATCAATCACAACCTAATGTTTTGAAAACAAAAATAGTAGCAGTTCTCATAAATAAAGGTATATGAACATGAATGCAAAAGCGACATTACTCTAGAGACTTTACAGATTACAGGTTGAGCATGCTTAATTTGAAAATTCAATATCTGAAATGCTCCAAATTCCAAAACTTTTTGAGCTCAACATTATGCTCAAAGATAATTTCAGACTTCTGGATTAAGTATGCTCACCTGGTAAATATAATGCAAATATTCCAAAATCCAAAACACTTCTGGTCCCAAGCATTTTGAGGGATACTCAGCTTATGTTTATTACGATTACATGTAACCTTTTAATAATTATTTTGAAAATTGAACATTTTAGTAAAAGGATTTTAATCACCAGAACTGACTCAAAGTGGCATAGAAATGGGTATTATATAAGGGATATAAAGCAAAAACTATATCTAGGAAGGCTGGGGAAAAAAACCCTGTAGCCAAAGTCTCTTTTATACCCCCCAGTCAGGTCCCTTGAGTGAATATTCTGGCATTCAATCACATTTTGCATTGGAAAGAGCAAAAGATGAAAATATATCAGCATTAGTATATTTTATGTCTTTTTAATTTGAGGTAATTAGATTTTTTAATTTTTAAAAAGAATGGAATAGGAATCATTAAAAACAGACTAAAGTAACATGAAATCTTAAGATGCTACATATAAAATACATCACTTTAAATATGAAACTAATTTTTAAAGTCCTGCAGATTAATCTGTTGGAGATATATATTGAAACCCACTTTCAGAGACATTAAAATGCGGGGTAAAAAGTGCATTTTAGAACTGATAAACTACTTCATCAATGATTTTAATGGTTCCTTTTCTTTAGATTTTCAAATTCGTTGATATTGGCAAACAGAATTGGCTTTCAGTTTTCAGTCTCTGTATATATATTTGTATTTCTACTCATAGTTTTATTTTTAAACCACTTTATTCCTCTAAATTGATTTGAAGGAGTCCCATTCATTTTACTTGTTTTTTTTTTAAAAAAAACCTTATCTGGGTTTTCTTCATGCTTTTGACTATTTTTGTTTGCTTTTTCTATTTCAAAAATATATTTCACTATTTTCTTTTTATTTGTGTGTATTTCTGTTGAGTACATGTGCTTGGTTAATATATTTTCAGTCTCTTTTAAATTGGAAGCATTTAAGGCTACAAGATTTCCTTTGAATATTGCTGTATCTGGGGCCCATGGTTTTTTTTTCTTCTTGAGATGGAGTCTCGCTCTGTCACCAGGCTGGAGTGCAGTGGCGTGATCTCGGCTCACTGCAACCTCCGCCTCCCAGGTTCAAGTGATTCTCCTGCCTCAGCCTCCTGAGTAGCTGGGACTACAGGCATGCGCCACCACGCCTGGCTAATTTTTGTATTTTTTAGTAGAGACGGGGTTTTACCATGTTGGCCAGGATGGTCTCGATCTCTTGACCTCGTGATCCGCCCGCCTCGGCCTCCCAAAGTGCTGGGATTACAGGCGTGAGCCACTGCACCTGGCCCCATAGTTTTTTAAAAATTAACTTCTAGATAATTATTATTTTAATCTTGATTTCTCTTTGATTCACTAGTTACCTAGGTGTCTGTATGTTTGTGTGTGTTTCTAAATTTTCAAAAACCTGTGAAAAAAATTTAGCATATGAACTTATAATGTGTGTGATCTGTGAAACTTCATTAAAAAGTTAAAACATTAATTTATTATTTGTGGCCAAATATACGTTAGGTTTTTAATACATTTTATAGATATATGATGTGAAATAATATATATTCTCTATAAAACACAAAGTTCTACTTAATTATATTAAGCTTCGTGATTATATTATTTAAATATCCTCTGATTATTTTGTTTAATTCTGAAAAGTGGGCACAAAACGCCCAGCTATATTGTTTCAAGGTCTTCTGTTAATATAGGGGTTTTACTTTTTATGTTTGGTTGCTGTATTTTTCACTGTGATGTTGAATTCCAATTTCTCTAATATTGAAAATTCTGCTTTGGCCAGTAGAGCTGCACTAGGTCTGTTGTGTCAGCTTGTTCTAGGTATATATCCTTATAAACACCATATAGTTAGTGTTTTATTTTTAACCCAATTTGTTTTTGTATTTTAATTGGAGAACACCATATATCTATAGGCAGGCTTACTCAATTTCTATGAAATCACCTTTTAAAATATCTTTTTCTATTAAAGAGCAGAAAAGTAACTAAAATTCTCAAACTCTGTTGCTCTTTCCTATGTAGCTACTCGTCATGGTCATTTAATGCATCGTTTCTCTTCATCTCTCTGTTCCCTAAAGATTGAAGTTTTCTAAGACTCAGCCTCTGACACATTTACTAATTATACTTAATTGTTCCTTGGTGATTTCACCCCCGTGGGTTTGTTTCCCTTGAACTCCACACTCACTACGTTCAGTAGCCTTCTCTACACTACTTGAATTATTTTTATTTAGGTATATAAAATACTGGTGGCAATAGCATAAATTCTAAGTGTTAAACTTGATGAAGTAATATTGTACACCTATGTAAGCACTGCCCAGACTGATATACATTTACAGCCTAAGGAGGCTTCTTTGTGCTGCTTTGCTATTAATATTCCATTGCCCAGAAATAGCCCCTCTCCTAATTTCCATAACCAGAGATAAGCTTACATGTTTTTCCACTTCATGTAAATGGAATCGTACGCTGAACCCTTTTTGTGTCTGGTTTCTTTTGCTCAACATTATTTCATGCAACAATAAGGATGGCTCTCTCAGACATAATATTCATTTTTATTTATGTAGTGTTTTATGGGAATTGCACTGAGTTAGAGAAACTGAAGTCTGAAGGAATAGTTTCCACAAGACTGCCCTCATTTCAGACACCAGGCACAAGTTCAGAGGTTCCAAGGGCTACCCATACTTCAGACCAGCTGACTACAAATTTGGGACTTGTCATGACTACCCTTGATAATTCAGTATAATAATTCACAGAACTCAAGATAATACTATACCTATGATTACAACTTATTTATTTTTATTTTTTTTGAGACAGAGTCTTGCTCCTGTTGCCCCGGCTGGAGTGCAGTGGCACGATCTCGGCTCACTGCAACCTCCGCCTCCTGGGTTCAAGCGATTCTCCTGCCTCAGCCTCGTGAGTAGCTGGGATTACAGGCACCCACCACCATGCCCAGCTAAATTTTTGTACTTTTAGTAGAGACGAGGTTTCACCATGTTGGTCTTGAACTCCTGACCACAAGTGATCTGCCCACCTCAGCCTCCCAAAGTGCTGGGATTACAGGCATGAGCCACCGCACCTGGCCTATGATTACAACCTTATTATAGTGAAAGGATACAAATTACAACTAGCCAGAGGAAGAGACACATAGAATGAAGTCTGAGAGGGGTCCAAAGATGAGTCTTCTGGTCATCCTATCCCTATGGAGTCCTGGATGGCATTACCTCCTTCCAGCTACAATGTGTACTGATAAGTGTTGCAATCCAGGGAAGCTCACCTTAGCCTTTGGTTTCCAGTGTTTTTCTTGGGGTTTGATAATATACTGCCCACATAGCTGACCTTTGTCTTTCTGCCCTTCTTGCTGGTTTGTCTAATACTGTTTGTCTGCCATTTCCCCAGAAGTCAAAACTGAGATAGCATGCCTCAAAGCACTCATCATAAATCATGTTATACTGTCGGGTGGCCATCCAAAGCACCCAGCCAAACCAAGACACTGTTATTGGGCAGGACATTCCAGAGGCCTAGAGTACCCCCAGTGGGCCTCCCAGTACCCAAGGTAAAGGCAAGACCTCTCTTTGGGTGAAGTTAATTTATCACTATACAGGAATATACTTTGACTTACTCATTCTTTCGTTGATGGGTATCTGTATTGTTTCTACAACTCTGGGAACCTTCTTATACATGTCTTTATGTAGACATATTTACTCTTTTCTATTGGCAGTATACTTCAGAATGGAATTGCTGAGTCAGAGATAGGCTATATTTAGTAAATGTCAGTTTTCCAAAGTGATTGTGCAAATTTACACTCCCACAAAGAATCTGTAAGGGTTTCATTTGCTGTATGTCCTCTTCACACTTAGTATTGTATAGTCATTCTAATGGGACTATACTAATGTATTAGTTACTAGAATTATATATAGAAATATTATATAACTATTATATAGTTATATAAGTATGTAGAAAGTTACATTTTCACTTCCAATGACTAATAATGTTGAATACCTTTTCATATGCTTGCTTACTAGCTTTTTTGATATCTTGTATGCAGGGTTGGTAAGACTTTGGCCGTTTTAAATGCGTATCGTGTCTTTTCCTTATTGCTTTGTGTGAATTCTTTGTGTATTTTGGATCTGATTTGTTTGCTAGATATGTATGTTGCAAATGCCTTTTGCTTTGTGGCTTGCATTTCCACTCTCTTAAAGGTATGGGTTGATGAATTGGAGTTTTTAATTTTAATGAACTCCTGTTTATCAACCTTTTTCTATATATGGTTAGAACTTTGAGTCTTAAATGTTTGTGTGCGTGTGTGTGTGTGTTTCATGCCTACAAACTTATGAAGGTATTCTCTTTCTTCCCCTAGAGGCTTTATTTCACCACTCACATCTTGCCTGGGATTACAGGTGTGAGCCACCGTGCCTGGCCTATGATTACAACTTTATTATAGTGAAAGGATACATATTTCAACTAGCCACAGGAAGAGACACATAGAATGAAGTCTGAGAGAAGTTTGGTGTACAGTATGAGATTTAGTGGGTCAAGTTTAATTATCAATACTGCTACGGATATCCAAGTTAATCCAGTGTTATGTAATGAAAAGTAAATTCTTTCCCCCCAGTTATATTCCAATTCTACCCGCCTCTCATCACCTTTCCTGATACCATCCTGATCCTAACCATGGTTATGTTACTTAGATGTTTATAATAACCTAATTTGTCTGTTTGTGTAGCTTTCAGGGCGTTCACAACAGCATAGCCACAGTGATTTAGATGATATCACTCCAAGAAAATTTGAGCAACAAATAAAGTGGTATTGGATTATAACCCGAAGTATAAAATAAATATCCATGCATTCATACTGATATGACTATATTATCAGATAAATAACTAAATAAATGGAGAAGAGATAAATCTCCAGTACAGAATTCTAAATAATTTATGTAGATATTCTGCCTTCAGGAAAGTGGAGCATAACCCCGCTCCTTAAGTACGTGCTGTGCATAGTGACTTCCAAAGATGACTGTATGGGAAAAGGGAGAAAAGACTAAATTTACACTGGAGAAACTTGACAAACACTCCCTCACTCAGGTGATCAAGACCAACAAAAAGTCATCATGCTGATAGTATGAATCTTTGATATCTATGAGGAAAATGGCACTTTACCTCTGTGATCTTCCTCCTGCAAACAACCTCAGTCTAATCATGAGAAAAACATCAGTCAGATCTTAGCGGAGGAACATTCTACGCTATACTGACCTCCTCAAAATAGTTAAGGTCATTTAAAATGAGGAAGAGGGCCAGGCCCGCTGGCTCATGCCTATAATCCCAGCACTTTGGGAGGCCGAGGAGGGTGGATCACCTGAGGTCAGGAGTTCGAGACCAGCCTGGCCAACATGGTGAAGCCCCGTCTCTACTAAAAATACAAAAATTAGCTGGGGGCCGGGCGCGGTGGCTCACGCCTGTAATCCCAGCACTTTGGGAGGCCGAGGCGGGCGGATCACGAGGTCAGGAGATCGAGACCATCCTGGCTAACACGGTGAAACCCCGTCTCTACTAAAAAAAAAAAATACAAAAAATTAGCCGGGCGTGGTGGTGGGCGCCTGTAATCCCAGCTACTCGGGAGGCTGAGGCAGGAGAATGGCATGAACCCAAGAGGCGGAGCTTGCAGTGAGCCGGGATAGCGCCACTGCAGTCCAGCTTGGGCGAAAGAGTGAGACTCCGTCTCAAAAAAAAAAAAAAAAAAAATTAGCTGGGGGTGGTGGTGGGTGCCTGTAATCCCAGCTACTCGGGAGGCTGAGGCAGGAGATCCACTTGAACCCGGGATTCACTGCAGAGATTGCAGTGAGCTGAGACCGCACCATTGCACTCCAGCCTGAGCAACGAGCAAAACTCCATCTCAAAAAACACCACCACCACCACCACCACCACCAACAACAACAAAAAAAACAAGGAAGAAACTGTCACAGCCAACAGTAACCTAAGGGGAAATGATGACTAAATGCAATGTGTTCTCCTGCTTAGAATGCTGGAACAGAAAAAGGAAGAAAAGCTTAAAAACCTAAGAACATTTGGAATAAAGTGTAAGCTTTAGCTAATAATAATGTACCAATACTTGTTAATTAATTGTAACAAATGTACCATATAATGTAAGATGTTTTTAGTAGTAGGGGAAACTAGGTGTAGGGTATATGGGAATTCTCTCTATTGCTTTTATAATTATTCTGTAAATCTAAAAACTGTTCTAAAACAAATTATATATTTTACAATAGAGAATGAAGCTGAGTATTCAAATTATTTATAAATAGTCATTCCTGTGTATCCACAGAGCCGGATTTATCATGATTTGAGTAATGTTATTACATGGAGTCATTTACATCTATGATATTAGATCCATGTTTTACAAAAGGAACACACGTAGAGCCCAGACCACTGTTTCCTGACATGCTAGGCTAAAAGTCAAGATTCGAGACTCAGAATCATTTTGGTCCTCTTCAACATTTTACTCCATCTAATGGCACACTCTACTTATTGGGTCTCCTGAACTCTAGAGCCAGTAACAGTGATCCTAAAGTCATTCTCATGATTTTGCCTGAGGTACAATTTAAATTCTTGGATGACTCCAAATCTGCAGAAATATTAATCTAGAAAAAATAATAGTTATGTGTACAGGAAAAACTGTAAATTTTACTACATGTGAAAAAGATTTCTGCTTATTAAAAAATACCAAAGAGGCCAAAAGATTAGGAAAAGTTACTGAAACAACATATGACAAACACTAACCTTAATATATAAAGAAATATATATATTTCTTAAATATGTAAAGAAATTTGTAATCAGTAAAGATGACCAACAACGTGATGGTGAAACAGAAGAGTTTATAGTAACATGAACATGCCTGTTAAACATTTGAATAAATGATCAGTTTCTCATAACATAGAAATAGAAATGAAATTATAAATTGTGCTGTCTTGTTTGATCAAAAGTTTGATAAAACATTTAATAGTATACATATTCCAGGGAAGATGTTTCCTGTTCTATCTCCCAACACATACAGTGTTATTACCACAATATAGTGTCAAACCGTCAATGCAAAAATCTTTAATCTCCTTGCCCTGATGATATCTGTCTCTACAATATCCAGTACTCCCACGTCAATAAAATTTATACACCCATTTTCTGTTCCCACCTACCACACTAAATTCTTGTGATCTTTCTACTCTGCACTCTGAAATCCACAGTAACTTATTAGCATAATGCCCCCACCTTTTAAAAAAGCATTCTTAATTTGCCTTTTATTGTTTCTTAATTATAGGTTTAGGAAGTTACAAGGGCAGTTGTGTTACATACACATATAGTGTAGTGGGGAAAGTGTTGGCTTTTAATGGACTCATTACCTAAATAATGTACCTTGTACTAAATAGGATTTTTTTTGGTTTTTTTTTGAGATGGAGTCTGGCTTTGTTGCTCCCCCGGCTGGAGTGCAATGGCATAATCTCGGCTCACTGCAACCTCCACCTCCCACATTCAAGCAATTTGCTCTGTTGCCCAGGCTGGAGTGCAATGGCACTATCTCAGCTCACTGCAACCTCCGCTTCTCAGGTTCAAGTAATTCTCCTGCCTCAGCCTCCCAAGTAGCTGGGACTACAGTGCCTGCCACCATGCCCAGCCAATTTTTCTATTTTTAGTAGAGACAGGGTTTCGCCATGTCAGCCAGACTGGTCTCAAACTCTTGACATCATGTGATCTGCCCGCCTTGGCCTTGCAAAGTGCTGGGATTACAGGTGTGAGTGCCTGGCTTATTTTTAATTCTGTGTATGTGATGAATCATGTATTGAGTTGCATATGTTGAGCCATCCTTACACCCCAGGAATAAAATCCACTTGACTGTGCTGTTACTATCTTTTTTATGTACTGTTTGATTTGGTTTGCTAGTATTTTGCTGAAGATTTTTGTGTCTATTTTCATCAGGGATATTGGCTTGTAGTTTTTTTGTGTGTTTTATCCTTGCCTGGCTTCAGTATCAGGATGATACTGGCTTTGTAGAATGAGTTAGGGAGGATTCCCTCCTATAATTTTTGGAATAGTTTCAATAGTGCTGTTACTAGTTCTTCCTTGCATGTCTAGTAGAATTCAGCTGTGAATCTGTCTGGTCCTGGGCTTTTTGTTTTTGCAAGATTTTTTTCTATTACTGATTCAATTTCAATACTCAGTAGTCTGTTGAGGATTCCTATTTCTCCCTGGTTCAATCTTGGAAGGTTATGTGTTTCTAGGAATTTATCCACTTCCTCTAGGTTTTCTAATATGTGCATATAGTTTCTGCTGATATTTTATATGTCTGTGTTATCAGTTATAATATCACCTTATCATTTCTGATTGTATTTATTTGAATCTTCTTTTTTTCTTGGTTAATCTAGCTAGTGGTCTGTCAGTTTTATCTTTGCAAAGAACCAACTTTTTCTTTTATTGATCTTTTGCATTCCTTTGTTCTCAGTCTCATTTTTGCCTGCTCTGATATTTGTTATTGCTTTTCTTCTGCCAGCTTTGGGTTGAGTTTGTTTTGTTTTTTCCTAGTTCCTTGAGATGTGACGTTAGGCTATTCATTTGAGATTTTTCTATCTTTTTGGTGTAGGCATTTAATGCTATAAAATCCTCTCTTAGCACTGCTTTTGCTGTATCTCAGATGTTTTCATGTGTTTTGTCTCTATTTTCATTTATTTCAAAAAATTTTAAATTTCCACCTTAGTTTCATCATTGATCCAAAAATCATTCAGGAGCAAGCTGTTTAAATTCCATGTATCTGTTTTGAGAGTTCCTCTTGGTATTGATATCTAGTTTTATTCCACTATGGTCAGAGAAGATGTTAGATATGATTTTGTTTTTTTAAAATTTATTGATACTTGCTTTGTGGTCCAGTATATGACCTATTTTTGAGAATGTTCCATGCACAGAAGAGAAGAGTATATATTCTGTGGTTGTTGGGTAGAATGTTCTTCAGATGTCTGTTGGGTCCATTTGGTGTAGAGTCCAATTTAAGTCCAGAGTTTCTTTGTTGATTTCTGTCCCAGTGATCTGTCTAGTGCTGTCAATGGAGTGGTGAAGTCCCCTGCTATTGTTGTATTGCTGTCTATCTCTTTTCTTAGGTCTAGTAGTATCTGTGTTATGGATCTGGGTGTTGCAGTGTTGGGTGCATACATATTTAGGATTGTTTTATCTTCTTGTTGAATTTATCCTTTATCATTATAAATGACCTTCTTTGTCCTTTTTAATTTTTGTTGGTATAAAGTCTGTTTTGGCCATCACGGTGGCTCACGTCTGTAATCCCAGCACTTTGGGAGGCTGAGGCGGGCAGATCACTTGAAGTCAGGAGTTCAAGACCAGCCTGGCCAACATGGTGAAACCCCGTCGCTACTAAAAATACAAAAAAAAAAAAAAAAAAAATTAGCCGGGCATGGTGGCGCATGCCTGTAATCCCAACTACTTGAGAGGCTGAGGCACAAGAATCGCTTGAACTCAGGAGCTGGAGGTTGCAGTGAGCTGAGATCACACCACTGCACTCCAGCCTGGGCAACAGAGCGAGACTCTGTCTCAAAATAAAATAAAATAAAATAAATTTGACTAACAACTTATGTATAAAAGGAAATTACAAATATATTAGACAAAATCATTCTAACAGGGTATTATGGGTTGAACTGTATCCCCTAAAAAGATATGCTGAAGTCCTAACCCCTGGTACCGGTAAATGTGACCTTACTTGGAAACAGGGTCTTGGCAGATATAATCAAGTTAAGATGAGGTCACCAGGTAACCCCAATCTAACCTGACTGGTGTCCAAATAAAAGACATACACAGAGATACACAGCGAGAATGCAATGTGAAGATGGAGGCAGAGATTGGAATGGTGTATGTAAAAGCCATGGAATGCCAAGGACTGCCAGCTGTTAACAGAGGTTAGGAAAAAGGCATAGAACAGATCCTCAGAGTCCTCAGAAGGAACCAAAACGATCAGCACCCTTGAGTTTAGATTTCCAGGCTCTAAACTATGAGAGAATAAATTTCTCTTGTTTTAAGCCACCAAGGTTTTGGTACTTGGTACTTTGTTATCGTATCGTTTAAAAACGAATACATAGGAGAACCTTTGATAATATGTATCCTAATTTGTTCTCCTTACCTGTTTTAAAAAAATTATTATAAAGGTTAACAAAATGGTCTTACTTTACTGTCATTCAACCAGTATGAATTCCCTCATGGCGAATGAGGTCAGAGCGACTACCAAAAGCCTTTCCACATTCCTTACAGTCATAGGGTTTCTCACCAGTGTGAATTCTCTGATGTCGAGTAAGATTTGAGCCTTTATTAAAGGCCTTCCCACATTCATTACATTCATATGGTTTTTCATCTGTATGGATTCTCTGATGTTGAATAAGTTCTGAGCTCTGAATAAAGGCCTTTCTACATTCTTCACATTCATAGAGCTTCTCACCAGCATGAATTCTGTGATGGTTAGTAAGTGTTGAGGCACTATTAAAGGCCTTCCCACACTGCTTACATTCATAAGGTTTCTCACCAGTATGCATTCTCTGATGCTGAATAAGCCTTGAGTGTTGAGTAAAGGCTTTCCCACATTCTTTACATTCATAAGGTTTCTCACCAGTATGAATTCTCAGATGTAGAAAAAGTTGTGAACTTTTAGTAAAGGCTTTTCCACATACTTTACATTCATAGGGTTTCTCACCAGTGTGAATTCTCTGATGATCATTAAGGTTTGAGCAATACTTAAAGGCTTTTCCACATTCCTTACATTCATAGGGTTTCTCACCAGTGTGAATCCTCTGATGTTGAGAAAAATATGAACTACAACTAAAAGCCTTGCCACATTCCTTACATTCATAGGGTTTTTTACCAGTGTGAATCCTCTGATGTCGAGTAACGAGTGAGCCACGACTAAAGGACTTCCCATACTCCTTAGATTCATAGTGTTTTTCACCAAAATGAATTCTCTGATGTTGGATAAATTGTGAGTTTTGATTAAAGGTCTTTCCACATATCTTACATTCCCATGGTTTCTCTTCACTCATAGTTTTTTGAGGTGGAATAAGAAATGTGGGCTGAATAAAAGTAGACATGTCTTCACGGGTAATTATTACTTGACTGAAATGTCTCTTCTTTAGAGATAATATTTTGGTCTCACACATTGATTCCAGATCTGAAAGAAAATACAAAGGCAAATAAATTTTCCTATTCTGGGCAAGTTAAAACTTCTAAAAAAGAAATGGGAGAATTAAACTGAAAAGAATATCTGAGAAATTACACAGTTTTCAAAGGTGGAGAGGCAATCTGTAAAACTGACAAGAAAAGCACAGACATTAGGAGAGGTAATAAAAGAAGCTGAGGATGTGGATTCAGAAAGTAGATGACCTCTATGATCCTCAAATTTTGGTCTGAACCAGAGTCACCTTAAGCCTTGGTGAATACACAGTGTTCAGCACCATCCTCCATATTATAGAGAGATTCTAATTAAAAAAAAAAAATTTTTTTTGCCCCCACCCCAGATCCCCCACAGGCGCTGCCTGAGACCCAGCTCTGTGTCTCCTCGTCGTACAGCTTGTGGAGCTCCGACTGCAAGGCCATCAGCATGCCCAGGCAGGGGTTAAGCTGGAGGGCCATGGAGGAGGACAGGCCAGCAGGATGCCGCTTCTGCTCCAGGGCATGCACCATGCGTGAGATATTCTAATTATATACACGTTCATAAACATATGCTCACATGCACAGAGTATGATACTGTATGTTTTGCAATTCGTAGATAACTGTCAGACCTACATGAAAGGACTGTTAAGAATAACAAATGTGTTGAAAGGTTTAAATGTCGGGGGCGGGTGGAGTTCAGTGACTGTGCAATGGTATACTGGCAAATCACCAGCCTCCGACAAATCTAATATGCTGAACACAACTGGTGGGAAGAGTAGACAGGTACATCTCTTCTGTGCATACAGCATGATATGGGCTAGGAACTCACTGAAAATAATTTGCTCTGGAATTCTGTGATGTTGACCTTGGGAGAAAGAAATGAATAATTCAAGTCATAGCAGTGATTGAGAAGGAAGGTGGCTCAAGTTTGAGACACAAGAGAGTTAAGATAGGATGAAATGTACTCTATGAGAAGAATGGAACTCCATGTCAACATATAAACAGTGAGCCCCAGTTCTATGCTTTAAGGCAACCTCTGAGCCCTCTTTTCCTTGTTTATTAAAATGGGACTGACACTTAACTTATGATTGCTAAAAAGATGAGGAATAACGTATATAAATAATCTGATATAAAGTAAGCACTCAGTATTGGTAGCTATTATTATGAAAAAATGTCATAGCAAAAACAGATATTGGGCAAATAAAATGGCTTGAAGACATCAAAATAAAGCCAGCTAGACTATCTTAAGTATTCCCTCCACACAATCATTGGCCAAACTTAGTCTGGGTGAGTCCCTAAAAATCTCTTAAAGTTGTCCTCATTTAATTACTGAATCCCCTCTTTCCTAGACCACTACAGGAATCTCCTAATGGTTTCCCCAGTATGTTCTAGCACCCTCTAATCCATTCAGCACCTGGTGTGATATTTGGTCTCACTTTGCCCTCCTGAAAATCTAAACTCCTTGGTAATTACCAAGAAGACTCCAATAATGAGGCTCTTGCCTACCTCTACAACCTTGTGTTATACTCCACTTCCACTTGCTCAAGAAGCCCCAGTCCTTCAAGCACCTCAAGTTCTCCCTGCCCCTCAGGGCCTTCCCACATGGATCTCCCCTTTACCTGGCATACCCCTCATCCTATCACCATTGTTGGCCCTGCTAACAATGAGAAAAGCCTCATCACAGCTTCCACTAACAACCAAGCCCTAAGCCACTGAGGAACTCACAGACACTGCTGACACTGATTGCAGCCAGAGAAATCATATGGAGATTATACCACTGCATCCACCTATAACAAAGCCAAAGCAACCTACCCAACCAACACTATAAATACATCTACAGGAAAAAGGTTTTCCTTATGAAAACAAATCCATAAAATTGGAAAAAATGACCATAACAAGAAATACACAGATATCAATGTAAGGATAAAAGAAACACGAAAAAGCATGGAACCATGACATCTCCAAAGTAATACAATAATGCTCCAGCAACAGATTCCAACAAACAAGAAATCTATCAAGTGCCTGAAAAAGAATTCAAAATAATGATATTAAAGAAGCTCAGTGGGAAACAATAGAACATGGATAAAAACCAAAAGAATCAGAAAAAACAATTCATGATCTGAATGAGAAATTCAGCAGATAGATATCATGAAAAAGAACCAAACAGAAGTCCTGAAACTGACAAATTTCAATGAATGAAATAAAAAACACAATTGAGAGCTTCAACAATAGACTAGATCAAGCAGAAGAAAGAATTTCTGAACTTGAGGACAGGGTTTTTTAAAAGAATCCAGGAAGAAAAAGTAAAAAATAATAATTTTTAAAACTGAAAAAAGCTTAGATGACATATGGGACATCATAAAGCAACCAAATATTCAAATTTTGGGTATTCTAGGAGAAGAGATGGGCAAAGGCATAAAAACCTATTTAACAAAATAACTGAAAACTTTCCAAGTCTTGTAAGCAATATAGACATCCTGATACAGAAGGCTCAATGATGCCCAAATAGATTCAATCCAAAAAGGTTTTCCAAGGCCCATTACAGTCAAACTGTCAAAAGTCAAAGACAGAGAATTCTAAAAAAAGCAAGAGAAAGGCATCAAGTCACATATAAGGGAACCCTCAGGCGTCAAGTCACATACAAGGGAACCCTCATCAGAACTAGTAGCAGATACCTTGGCAGAAACCTTCCATGCCAGGAAAGAATGGGATGATATATTCAAAGTGCTAAAAAAACACTGTCAGCCAAGAATACTGTACCTAGCAAAGCCATCCTTCAAAAATGAAGGAGAAAGTTTTTCCCAGAGAAAATGTATCACAACTAGGGTGGCCCGATCAAAAATGGCAAAGGGTGTCCTACATCTGGAAGTAAAAGACATATCTACCATCATTAAACAAATGAAAATAAGAAGCTCACTGGTAGAGCAGATACACAAATGGAAAGAGAAAGGACTCAGATGTAACCATTACATAAAACCACCAAACCAAATGATAAGAGGAAAGAAAAAGGATATAAAACAACCATAAAAAATTAACAGATTAGGAATAAATCCTCACCTATTAATAATAACCTTGAATGTAAACAGTCAAATTCCCCACTTAAAAGATACAGTCTGGTTGAATGGATAAAATAAATATGACTCACCTATATACTGGCTGTGAGAAACTCACTTTATATATAAAATCATAGACTGAAAGTGAAGAGATGAAAAAAAAATACTGCACACAAACAAACCAAAAGCAAGTGAGAGTAGCCATACTTAAATAAAACAGACATTAAGTAAAAAACTGCAAAAGAAGCAAAGAAGGTCATTATATAATGATAAATGGGTCAATTCAGCCAGAGGATATAAAGTTCTAAATTTATAGGCACTCAACACTGCAGCACCCAGATATATAAGCAAATATTATTAGATCTAAAAAGAGAGATAGGGCTGGGCATGGTGGCTCATGCCTGTAATCCCAACACTTTGGGAGGCCAAGGCGGGAGGATCACTTGAGGTCAGGAGTTCGAGACCAGCCTTCCCAACATGACGAAACCCTGTCTCTACTAAAAATACAAAAATTAGCTGGGTGTGGCCAGGCGCGGTGGCTCATGCCTGTAATCCCAGCACTTTGGGAGGCTGAGGCAGGCAGATCACGAGGTCAGGAGATTGAGACCATCCTGGCTAACATGGTGAAACCTCGTCTCTACTAAAAATACAAAAAATTAGCCAGGCATGGTGGCAGGCACCTGTAGTCCCACCTACTCGGGAGGCTGAGGCAGGAGAATGGTGTGAACCTGGGAGACGGAGCCTGAAGTGAGCCGGGTTCGCACCACTGCACTCCAGCTTGGGTGACAGAGCAAGACTGTCAAAAAAAAAAAAAGAAAGAAAAAAAAATTAGCTGGGCGTGGTGGCATGCACCTGTAATCCGAGCTACTCAGGAGGCTGAGGCAGGAGAATTGCTTGAACCTGGGAGGCAGAGGTTGCAGTGAGCCAATATTGTGCCACTGCACTCCAGCCTGGGCGACGGAACTAGACTCTGTCTCAAAAAAACAACAACAAAAAAAGGTAGACTCCCATAAAATAATAGTACGGGATTTGAACATCCCACTCTCAGCATTAGACAGTTCATCTAGATAGAAAATCAACAGCTTTGGATTTAAACTGGATATTAGACCAAATGGACCTACCAGACACTAACTGAACATTTTATCCAACAGCTGCAGAATACACATTGTTCCTATCAGCACATGGAACATCCTCCAGGAAGAGACCATACGTTAGGCCATAAGACAAGTTATAACTAATTTTTAAAAATTGAAATCATATCAAGTATCTTCTCAGACTACACTAGAATAAAACTAGAAATCAATAACAAAAACTTTGTAAACCACACAAATAAATGGAAATTTAAACAATGTGCTTGCTCATGAATGCCCATTGGGTCAATTAAGAAATTAAAGATCATCAAAGACTACTACAGGCAACTATATGCTAACAAATCAGATAACCTAGAGGAAACAGAAAAATTCCTGGATACATGAAAACCTACCAAGACTGAACCAGGAAGAAACAGAGCAGAAGAACCTGAGCAGACCAATAACGAGTAATGAGATTGAAGCAATAGTAAAATGTCTCCCAACAAAAAAAGCCCAAGACTAAAGGGCTTTACTGCTGAATCCTACCAAAATTACAAATAACTAACCTCAGTTTTTCTCAAACTATTCCAAAAAATGGAAGAGAAGTTAATTCTTCCTAATCCATTCTACAAGGCCAGCATTACCCTGATACCAAAACCAGAGAAGGACACAACAACAACAACAAAAAGAGGTGATATCCCTCATGAACATAGACACAAAACCCCTCAATGAAATACTAGCAAATGAAATCCAATAATACAACAACAAGATAATATACAACGATTAAGTGAGATTTTTCCTGAAAAGTGCAAGGATGGCTCAACATAAGCAAATCAATAAACATGATGTATCAGATCAACAGGATGAGGGATAAAAACCATATGATCAGCTCAATAGATGCAGAGAAACATCTGATAAACTTCAACGTCTCTTCATTATAAAAACCTCTCAACGATTAGGCATTAAAAAACATAACATAATAAAGACCATATATGACAAACGTACAGCTAACACCATACTGAATGGGGAAAAGCCGAAAGCTTTTCCTCTAAGAACTGGAACAAGATAAAGAAGCCCACATTCACCACTATTATTCAATATAGTACTGGAAGTCCTATCCAGAGCAATCAGGCAAGAGAAAGAAATAAAAGGCATCCAGATTGGATAATAGAAAGTCACACTGTCCCTTTACAGATGACATGATCTTACATATATTTAAAAACCTAAAGATGCCACCAGAAATTCTTGGAACTGATCAATGAAATCAGTAAAGTTGCAAGATACAAAATCAATATACAAAAATAAGTAGTACGCTGGGCACGGTGGCTCACGCCTATAATCCCAGCAGTTTGGAAGGCCGAGGTGGGTGGATCACTTGAGGTCACGAGTTTGAGACCAGCCTGGCCAACATGGTGAAACCTTGTCTTGACTAAAAATACAAAAATTGGCCAGGTGTGGTGGCAGGCACCTGTGGTCCCACCTACGTGGGAGGCTGAGGCAGAACTGCTTGAACCCAGGAGGT
This sequence comes from Homo sapiens, assembly GCF_000001405.40. Lineage (NCBI taxonomy): Eukaryota > Metazoa > Chordata > Mammalia > Primates > Hominidae > Homo > Homo sapiens. The sequence continues at coordinate 36,898,098 of NC_000019.10, forward strand.
GGAAGCTGCAGAGAGCTGAGATCATGCCATTGCACTCCTCCAGCCTGGGAGACAGAGCAAAACTCTGTCTCAAAAAGGGAAAAAAAAAGGATTTCTATACATCCACAATAATGAATTAGCTGAAAAAGAAATCAAGAAAACAATCCCATTTATTAATATAATAGCTACAAAAAACAACCTAGAAATAAATTTAACCATGAAGTGAAAGACCTCTGTAAGGAAAACTACAAAACACAGACAAAAGAAATTGAAGACAACAAACAAATAAAAAGATATTTGCATGCTTATGCACTGGAAGAACTATTGTTAAAATGAACATACTTCCCAAAGCAATCTACAGATTCAATGCAATCTACAGATTCAATGCAATCCCGACTGAAATGCCAGTCAGTTTTTACATGAACAGGAAAAAAAATCCTAAAATTTGTAGGAAACCATAAAAAATGCCAAATAGCCAATGCAATCTGTAGCGAAAGAACAAAAGTGGAAGAATCAAACTTCAAAATATACTACAAAGCTGTCGTAACCAAAACAGCATGGTACTGTCATAAAAATAGACCCAAAGACCAATGGAACAGAAGAGAGAACCCACAAATAAATCCATGTATTTATAGTCAACTGATGGTTGACAAAGGTGCCAAGAACAGACATAGGGAAAAGGACACGCTGTTCAATAAATGGTGCTGGGAAAACTGGTTATCCATATAGTGAAGAATGAAACTAGACTGTATCTCTCACCATATACAAAAATAAACTCAAAATGAATTAAATACTTAACTATAAGACCCCAAATTATAAAACTACTGCAGGAAAACATAGGGGAAACACTTCAGAAGAATAGGCAAATATATTTTAGATAAGACCTCAAAGATATTTTCAATAAGGGGCAACAACAAAAAAATAGACAAATTGGACTATATTGAACTAAAATGCTTCTGCACAGCAAAGGAAACAATCAGCAGAGTGAAGAGACCTGTAGAATGGGAGAAAATATTTGCAAACTCTTCACCTGAGAAGGGACTAATATCCAGAATTAACAAGGAAGCAAAAAAACTTAATAGCAGTGCCATAGCGGCTCATAACTGTAATCCCAGCACATTGGGAGGCCAAGTCAGGAGGATCACTTGAGGCCAGGAGTTCAAGACCAGCCTGGGGAACATAGGGAGACCCCCCCCGATCTCTATAAACAGTTTTAAAATTAGCTAGGTATAGTGGCATGCACCTGCAGTCTTAGCTACTTAGGAGGCTGAGGTGGTAGAATCACTTGAGCCTGGGAGTTCAAGGATGCGGTGAGCTGTGATCAGGCCACTGCACTCCAGTCTGGCTGACAGTGAAACTCTCTCACATACACAAAAAATGACACTGGGTACATTCTATTAGTAAAAGAAAAAAAAATACATATATATATATGTATGTATAAAACAATTGATAAATATTCAAAGTGATGGGTATCTAAATACCTTGATTTGATCCTTATACGTTGTATGAATGTATCAATATATTGCTTGTGCTCCATAAATATGTATAATTTGTATCGATAAAAACTAAAAAAAAAGCTCATGAGAAATCTAATGTATAGCAGGAGGACTATAGTTAGTAATACTCTATTGTATACTAGAAATTTGTCAGGAAAGTAGGTTTTAAGTACTCTTACCCTAAACAAAAAAAAAAAGAAAGAAGAAAAGATTATAGTTATTTGATAGGATCTGCTTAACTATAGTAATTATTTCAATATGTATGTGTATCAAAACATCATGTTGTACACCTAGAATTTATACAATAATTTTTAAAAAAAGGTTCATATAAAAATTTTTTTTTAAACACATATAAAAATAGAAAGAATGAGTAACACTTAGTATTTGCTAGCAAAACAGGGTGACTGTAGTCAAAAATAATTTAATTGAACATTTAAAAATAACTAAAAGAGGCTGGGCATGGTGGCTCATGTCTGTAATCCCAGCACTTTGGGAGGCCAAGGTGGGTGGATCACTTGAGGTCCGGAGTTCAAGACCAGCCTGGCCAACATGGTAAAACTCTGTCTCTACTAAACACACACACACACACACACACACACACACACACACACACACACACACACACAAATTTGCTGGGCGTGGTGGTATGTGCCTGTAGTCCAAACTACTTGGGAGGCTGAGGCATGAGAATCACTTGAACCTGGGAGGCAGAAGTTGCAGTGAGCAGAGATCACAGCACTGCAGCACTGCACTTCAGCCTGGGTGACAGAGTGAGACTCTGTCTTAAAAAAAAAAAAAAAAATTCCCCTAAAAACTAAGAGTACAATAAGATTGTAACACAAAGGATAAATGCTTCAGGTGATAGATATCCCATTTCTCCTGATATAAGCATTGCCTGCCTGTATCAAAATCTCATGTAACCCATAAATATACATACCTACTATGTACCCAAAAAATTAAAAATAAAGATTAATAAATAAATAAAAACAACCAGGCCAAGTGTGGTGGCTCACTCCTGTAATCCCAGCACTTTGGAGGGCTGAGGCAGGTGGATCACTTGAAATCAGGAGTTCAAGACCAGCCTGGCCAACATGTTGAAACCTCATCTCTACTAAAAATACAAAAATTAGCTGGGTGTGGTGGCATGAGCATGTAATCCCAGCTACGCAGGAGGCTGAGGCAAGGGAATTGCTTGAACCCAGGAGGTGGAGGTTGCAGTAAGCCAAGATTGTGCCATTGCACTCCAGACTGGGCAACAGAGCGAGACTGTCTCAGAAAAAAAAAAAAAAAAAAAAGATAACAAGTGTTAGCAAATGATGTGGAGAAACTGGAACCATCATACACTGCTGGTGGGCATGTAAAATGGTGCAGCCAATTTGGAAAAGAGTCTAGCAGTTCCTCAACTGGCTAAACACAGAGTTATGATATGACCCAGCAATTCTACTCCTAGGTAGAAACCTGAAAGAACTGAAAGCTTATGTCCACACAAAAACTTATAGACATGTTCATACAACATTAATCAAAATAGCCCAAAAGAGGAAACCCAAATGTCCATCAACTGATCAATGGATAAATGTGCTATATCCATAAAATGGAATAGTATTTGGCAATAAAAAGGAATGAAATGCTGATACATGCTACAACACGGATGAACCCTGAAAAGCATTAAGTTATGAAATAGGGAATTTGCAGAAGACCACATATTGTACAATTCCATTTATATGAAATGTCCAGAATAGGCAAATCCATAGAGAAAATCAACTCATGGTTGCCTGGGGCTGGAGGGGGTGGGAATAACAGCTAGAGTGTACAGGGATTTTTCTGAGGTGATAAAAATGTTCTAAAATTGATTATGGTGATGGTTATACAACTCTATTACATTAAAAATCACTGAATTGTACATTTTATGTGGGTGAACTATATGGTATGTGAATTATACCTTAATAAAGCTGAAAATAAAACAACAAAATTAAAGGAGTGCTACTCTGGTTCATAGCGAGCAGGGGTTGGGCAACTTTTTAAATAAAGAATAAGATAGCAAATATTTTCAGCTTTGTGGGCTATCCAAGTGTGTGATTGTAGTGCAAAGACAGTCACAGAAAACTTCTAGTAGTTTGAATGTGCTAGCCTTAAAAAATAAACAAGTCTTTCCAACTTGGATCCGGCAGAATGGCTCCCACAAAGAAGGGTGGTGAGAAGAAAAAGGGCCGTTCTGCCATCCACAAGGTGGTGACCTGAGAATACACCATCAGTATGCACAAGCGCATCCATGGAGTGGGCTTCAAGAAGCGTGCCCCTCGGACACTCAAAGAGATTCAGAAATTTGCCATGAAGGAGATGGGAACTCCAGATGTGCGCACTGATACCAGGCTCAACAAAGCTGTCTGGGCCAAAGGAATAAGGAATGTCCCATAACGAATCCATGTGCGGTTGTCCAGAATACGTAATGGGGATGAAGATTCACCAAATAAACTCTATACTTTGGTTATCTATGTATCTGTTACCACTTTCAAAAATCTACAGACAGTCAATGTGGATGAGAACTAATCACTGATTGTCAAATACATCAAATAGTTATAAAATTGCAAAAAAAAAAGAAAAAAAAAAACAAGTACCCCCCCGCACCCCGCAAAAATAACCCCACAACCTCACAAGAACTGCTAGCTCAAAAACAGAAATTTTTAAAAAGACTGGCTTAATAATTCTGGTTTAAAAATAGCTATACATCTTCCTCCTGATTTTATCAGTGCAAAATGTAAATTTTAAGATTATAAAAACTAGGCCGGGTGCTGTGGCTCACGCCTGTAATCCCAGCACTTTGGGAGGCAAAGGCAGGCGGATTACTTTAGCTTAGGAGTTCGAGACCAGCCTGGGTAACATGGCAAAATCCCATCTCTACAAAAAATACAAAAATTAGCCGGTCATGGTGCCGTGCACCTGTAGTCCCAGCTACTAGGGAGACTGAGGTGGGAGGGTCACTTAAGCCTGGGAGAGGCGGGTGTGGTGGAGGTTGTAGTGAGCCAAGATGCACCACTGCACTCCAGCCTGGGCAACAGAGCCAGACTCTGTCTCAAAATAAAATAAAATAAAATAAAATAAAATAATAAAAACTATACAATTATGTGTTAAACCAAATCAAATTATAGTTCTGTCAGACTTTTTGACATCCAAGTAACTGTTGGGCCGGGTGCAGTGGCTCACGCCTATAATCCCAGCACTTTGGGAGGCCAAGGCGGGTGGATTACTTGAGGTGAGGAGTTAGAGACCAACCTGGGCAACATGGTGAAACCCCGTCTCTACTAAAAATACAAAAATTAGCTGGACATGGTGGCGCACGCCTGTAATCCCAGCTACTTGGGAAGCTGAGGCAGGAGAATCGCTTGAACCCGGGAGGCGGAGGTTGTAGTGAGCCGAGATCACGCCATTGCACTCCAGCCTGGGCGACAGAGCGAATCTCCATCTCAAAAATAAAAAAGAAGAAGAAGAAAAAAAGTAACTGTGTTGCTCTGTAGTGTGTCAGTTTAAATACAGTAGTCAAGATTTTTAGTCAACTTCAAGAAAATGGACATTAAGTAAGAAAAATTAATAGATAATCCTCGAAAACCTGGATGATTTCTAACATAAGGTATTAAAACATTGATTTCTAAGAATAGTTTTAACAAATATGCCATTATTATTTAATATGTATGCCTTGTTTTTTATGTTAGAGGATGGCTATACCTTTGGGTAATATAAATAAATACATGTGGTTTTGTTTTGTTTTGTTTTTGGGTCAAGGGTAATTTTAGTTATAGTATGTGCAGGGCACAAATGTGCAAAAGGGCATTTCTGTCCTTTTTATAAAGGCTTATAAGGAATGTGGGTGGCTATTGGGGGAGTGGTATCACATGTCAGGAGTCTGTTAAAATGTTTATATATCACAGTTCTCAATTACCTACCTCCCACATCTTTCTTTATAATTTGAGTAGTTGAGACTATCTGGGAATAATCATAACAGAAATGTAATAGATATGCTTTTGTTATCAAGGAAATTATAGGTTGGGCACGGCGGCTCAGACCTGTAATCCCAGCACTTTGGGAGGCCAAGGTGGGTGGAACACCTGAAGTCAGGAATTCGAGACCATCCTGGCCAACATGGGGAAACCTCGTCTCTACTAAAAATAAAAAAATTAGCCGGGCATGGTGGCAGGTGCCTCTAATCCCAGCTACTCGGGAGGCTGAAGCAGAGGTTGCAGTGAGCTGAGGTTGCACCACTGCACTCCAGCCTGGGCAACAAGAGTAAAACTGTCTCGAAAAAAAAAATAACAATAGTTTTGTCTTAAAAAAACCAATTGTTCCAAAATGTAAAACTGATACATAAAAAAGACATCTCAGTTTTGATGGGTTTATTTTCAATCCAGTATTTGAACTTGGGAAGAATATGTAAAAACACTCCTAAGTGACTATTATTAAGCAAAGATATGAAAATAGAAAGTACAAACTACAATACAAATAAACATAAGGCATAACACCAATGGGGATGCACATTAAGTAGGTAACAGGAAAGTTATAACAACATTTGTGTAATCAGGATATAAACTATGAATATATTGCTATAGGCAAGATACATACAGTGATTACGAGAGACCAGCCCTCAACTATCAGAAAAAGACATCAAGAAATACTTTTATAGTTTGATGTATCACAGAAAGACAAAACATACTATGCAAAATTTGAAGGTAGGTATCAGAAGAATGAAAGTAAGAGTTGAAAATGTATTATCTTTGATGAGAGGGACTGGGGCAGTCATGGTAGGAATGTATATGTGAAAAAGCAGGCTGCTGTTTTTCTTTTTTCTCTTTTTTTGAGATGGAGTCTTGCTCTGTTGCCCAGGCTGGAGTGCAGTTGCATGATCTCAGCTCACTGCAACTTCCACCTCCTGGGTTCAAGCGATTCTCCTGCCTTGGCCTCCCAAGTAGCTGGGACTACGGGCGCCTGCCACTATGCCCGGTTAATTTTTGTATTTTTAGTAGAGACGGGGTTTTGCCATGTTGGCCAGGCTGGTTTCGAACTCCTGACCTCAAGTGATCTGCCCGCCTCGGCCTCCCAGGTGCTGGGTTTACAGGTGTGAGCCACCGCGCCTGGTCTGGGCTGCTGTTTTTCAATATAAGCTTTATAACACTGTGATTTCAAACTCTGTAAATATATTACTTTAATGAAAATTAATTATTTTAAAATGAAAAAGGAATAAACAGAGACCACCTTTCAAGTACAAAGGTACAAGGTTAAGGTAAGATTAAGAAGGGGGTGAATTAGCAAGTTGGTAGGGAGGAAAAGTGGTAGGAGAGACAGAAATAAAAATACTTGAAGGCAGCTAAGATCAACTGATAGCTGGGAAAAAGTGAAGATTCACAAACTCCTCCCTAGGTTCCTAGAGCTTTGTTAAATCTAGAATTCTTTCTCAAGGGACACATGGATCTTCTATTTCCAACGCTAACTCCATAGGTAACAACATCTACTTCTAGGGCTCCAACCATTAACTTCTACTTGGATCAATTTCCACTTCCATATTTTTTGACTGTTTTACAACTTTCTTCTGAGCGTCCTATTTGATCTTCTCATTGATGAATCTTATCCTGTAGAAATTATTTACAGCAATGTTCTAGCTCCTACATTAGATAACAAGTTTCTTAATAAGCCTACACATTTTCTAAACTGTACAGCACCTAGCAGACTAGTGTATAAAATTAAAAAGTCAAACATTTTTATAAGACTTGCTATTTAAAAATCTTAATTCTCCACAAACTGATATTAATATTCTCATGAAAAAATAACTTGGCATTTTGATTAAGTTTCAAATGACTATATAAGCTAATTCTAAATTTTTTTTTTTTTTCTTTTGTGAGACCAAGTTTTGCTCTTGTCCCCCAGGCTGGAGTGCAATGGTGTGATCTCGGCTCACTGCAACCTCCGCCTCCCTGGTTCAAGCGATTCTCCTGCCTCAGCCTCCTGAGTAGCTGGGATTACAGGTGCCCGCCACCACACCTGGCTAATTTTTGTATTTTTAGTAAAGATGGGGTTTCACCATGTTGCCCAGGCTGGTCTTGAACTCCTGACCCCAGGTGATCCACCCACCTCGGCCTCCCAAAGTGCTGGGATTACAGGCGTGAGCCACTGCGCCCGGCCTAATACTAAAATTTACAATGAAAATGCAAAGGACTAAGCAGCAGCAGGAGAACTTGCTCTACTAGATAAGATTTATTACATGCTACAGTATTAATATAGTGTGGTATTGGCACAAGGATAGACAAATAAGCCAAAGGAACAGAATTCAGAGATAGACTCACAGAAATAGGAATACCTGATTTATGACAAAGGTAGTCCTATTTCTATTGGGGAAAAGATAGATATAGTCCTATCTCTATAGAATGGGAAAAGGACAGTCATCTCAATAAACACTAAGAAGTCAACTGGATATTCACATGGAAAAAAAATGAAATTTGACCCCTACCTCACAACACATACAAATACCAACTTCAGGAAAGTAGATCTAAATGGAAAAAGTAAAACAATAAAGCTACTAGAATATAACATAGGAAATATCTTCAAGACCTTGGGGTAGGCAATGATTCCTATCCAGGACACAAAAAAGCAACACTATAAAGAAAAAGATAACTGTGACCACATTAAAATTAATAACTTCTGTTCATCAAAAGGTACTATTAAAAGAGTAAAGGGCAAGGTATAAAGTGGTGGGAGATATTTACATCATGTATAACCAAACACAGGGCTGATACATAGAATATAATAAGAATTCTTTGAAACCAACAGGAAAAAGATAGACAACCGACTAAGTTTAGCCAAGAAACTTAAACAGGCATGTCACAGAACACACACATCAGAATAACTAAAATTAAAGGGCCTGGCAATAATAACTGGTAAGAATGTAAGAATGCAGAGCAATAGTAACCTTCATACTGCTAGTAGAACTGCAAATTGGTATAACTACTTTGGAAAATTGGTATATTTACTAAAGTTGAACACACACATATCCTATTGCTCAGTAATTCCACTCCTATGTATATACCTAAAAGAAATGTGTACATACATTTACCAAAAGTTATACACAGGAACGTTCACAGCAGCATTATGTTTAATAGCTAAAAACTGCAAACAAACCAACTGTCAACAGAAGGACACTTATAGTAATTAATAATATATAAAGCATAATTTAAAAAATATTCATAGAATGAAGCAGGACACAGTGGGTTACGCCTGTAATCCCAGCACTTTGGGAGGCTGAGGCGGGTGGATCACCTGAAGTCAGCAGTTTGAAACCAGCCTGGCCAACATGTTGAAACCCTGTCTCTACTAAAAATACAAAAAATTAGCTGGGCGTGGTGGCGCAGGCCTGTAGTTCCAGCTACTCGGGAGGCTGAGACAGGAGAATCGCTTGAACCCAGGAGGCAGAGGTTGCAGTGAGCTGAGATCACACCACTGCACTCCAGCCTGGGCAACAGAGCAAGACTCCATCTCAAAAAAAAAAAAAAAAAAAAAAAATGTATATATATATATATATGTATATATTCATAGAATGAAATATAACATAGCCAATAAGAATGAACTAACACCAGATATATGCAGCACCATAGATATGTCACATAAACATAATGTTGAGCAAAAAAAGCCAAAGGCAAAAGACTAAATACTGTGTGATTGCGTCTATACAAAGTTCAAAAATAGGCAAAACGAATCCATGGTGCCAAATGTCAGGATGGTATTTATTTTGAGAGAGGAAAAAGAGGCTGGTGATTGGGAAGGGGCAGAGAAGGGGTTCTGAGGTGCTAGTAATGTTCTATTTATCGTCCTAGTAGTGGTTTCACCATTCTCAATTTCACCATACTATGCAATCATAGTCATGCAGTTTTATGTGTGTATGTTATACTTCAATTTTGTTTTCAAGTAAGAAATAATCAAATGTTTGATAAATGAAAGAATGAGCTTTTAAATCCAGAACAAACTGGTCAAAGATGTTAAATAGCTGAAAGTAGATAAAATGAAAACAAGCACAGGGAAAGAAAAAGACACACATGCACTTACATCTATTTCTCAGGGTGGGAATGTCTACTGTTATACAAATCTAAACGTAGCGTATCATAGGAAGGAATGAAACTAAAATGTGACTAGAATAATTATAGCATAATTGTAGCCAGGGAGGTACTTGCTATATTGGACTAGGGAAAAAGTATGAGAAAAAAAAAAAAAGTGGGATAGCTTATATGGAAGAGGCTTCAGGCCTTTAAAGGGAGCTTCCTGATAACATCTCAGAAGTATATCTCTTTATAGCCCTGCTCCTGAGCCATCATCTCTTACTTACCTGAACACAGGCCTCTAGTCAGCTCTCTATCAACCATCCAGGGCTCTTTTCCTTGTTCCAATAAGGAGATCACAGCTGGCTTAGAATTGGAAAGTCCTGTTCACAAGAAAAGACATGGGACATGGTTATGCTGTGGGGTCCCCAGAAATCAGATCCAGTCCCTTAGTGATCAAAGGAGAGATGCCACTACAAGAAGGACCGGAGAAAGATGGAGAAGATGAAGCTTCAGCCACAGCCCATTGGAGCTGCCCACTTCCAACTCTTCCATTCTATTTTAACTCAAACCATTCCTTAGGGAACAGGGAGCAGAAATTCAGCTGGTTACATGAAGCAAATAATTCACAATGGAGAAAGGAGACACTTCCAAGGGCACACTCTGAATTTTGGGGAATAGTTATCCTTACCCACTGAAACCAGGTTGCTGAAATTCTCCAACATCACTTCTTTGTATAAATTCATCTGATCAGCGTCCAGGCATTCCCATTCCTCTTGAGAGAAGTCTATGGAAACATCCCTGAACATCACCGGCCCCTGAAACAACAAACATGCTTTCACAATGAAAGGAGAAAAGAAAAAGATGGCGGTAGAGGTGGCAAGAAAGGACAGAGTAAGCAAAATTAAAGGGGGTGAATCCTATCATATCAGAAGATATACGTCCTGTGTACAAAGGGATATACAAATAGACTGGACTTTTCCAGTGATATGAAATAGCATGCATTCAGCTCAATTAGTGAGTTTCTTCCCCCTCCCCGCTTTCCCTTTATGCCCCAAGAGAGGGGAAAATGGGAGGGGCTTTCAAACACACCTTATAATACATGGAGTAAAAATTCAGAATATCAGGGGAAAACAAAAATGAAAGTTTCTAAAAGCTTCCAGAAGAAAACACAGATCACATAAGTTTTCAGAAATCAGAATGGCAATAGACTTCTCAATAGCATCATTTGAAATAAGAAAAAACCAAGCAATTCCTTTAATATTATAAAGGAAAATAAATTCTGACCTAGAATTCTATAGCCAGTCAGATTACTAAGCCACTATGAAGATTAAATCAAGACAATTTTAAATCTGCAGGGAATGATAAAAGTACTTCCAATGTGGCTTTTCTTAGGAAGCTACTAGGCTACATGTTCCATCAAAACTAGGTAGTAAATTAGGAAAAAGAAAAGGTACTATATTAAGAAACTGTAAAACTAACATGAAAATGGTGATGAAAGTGCCAGTATAATTATAAAAGGCAAATCCTAGAACATCATCCGGCAGCAGACTGAGAGAACAGCATCTAGGAACAGAAGAAGTGAGGACTATAGGAAAGACATCTCCAAAGAAAACTAAGGAGCTAGTATGTTTCATCATGTAGAAAATATTGACAGGCAACTGACAGCAATGTTAGAGAATTTGAAAAAAATAGTGACACATACATAAAACCGGGCAAAAGAAGAAACAAGGCAATTTCCTCTGAGAAAAATACAAATTGTATTAGAAAGAATCCAGAATCTGGTGTTTTACTTGGCTCACATTGTCTGCAAGGTCCTAATGTCTGCAACAATGTCTGCAAGGTCCTAATCACAGGGATAGCAATGATTGAAAGAAAAATTATGAGCCGAGCATGGTGGCTCATGCCTGTAATCCCAGCACTTTGGGAGGCCGAGGCAGGAGGATCACCAGGTCAGGAGTTCGAGACCAGCCTGGCCAACATGATGAAACCCCGTGTCTACTTAAAATACAAAAATTAGCTGGGCGTGGTGGTGCACGCCTGTAATCCTAGCTACTCGGGAGGCTGAGGTAGGAGAATCACTTGAACCTGGGAGGCGGAGGTTGCAGTGAGCCAAGATTGCGCCACTGCACTCCAGCCTGGGCAACAGAGTGAGACTCTGTCTCAAAAAAAAAAAAAAGAAAGAAAGAAAAGAAAAATTGTGATATAATTCTATTGCATGGACAAAAAATGAAGACTGTGGTATGGGAAATCTCAATCCATAGTTACCTGCCTAGAAATCACTGGAAAATATGTATCAAAAAATAGCAATATAGGAATATTAATTAGAAATATAGGAAAAATGCTAAGAGAAACAGCAAAAAGAGTAGCCACCTAAGGGGAGTAGGATTGGGTTAGTGGGACAATGCCCTGCCATTTTTCATGTCTTTTAACATTTCTTGAAAAATTTTTTTTTTTTTTGAGACGGAGTTTCGCTCTTGTTGCCCAGGTTGGAGTGCAGTGGCACAATCTCGGCTCACTGCAACCTCCACCTCCCGGGTTCAAGCGATTCTCCTCCTTCAGCCTCCCGAGTAGCTGGGATTACAGGCGCCGGTCACCACACCCAGCTAATTTTTGTATTTTTAGTAGAGACAGGGTTTCACCATGCTGGTCAGGCTGGTCTCAAACTCCTGACCTCAAGTGATCCACCTGCCTCAGCCTCCCAAAGTGCTGGGATGACAGGCGTGAGCCACCACGCCTGGCCCATTTCTTGAATTTTTAAAATGCGAAATGGGTTAAACATAAATTTAAAGTATCACTTAGACAACAGCATACTTTAAGTTTCTTGGAAATTACAATTCTTATAAGACTGTCATAATTATTCCCTATTAACATAAACAAATTCAACTTTTATACCCTTATGGTAGCAGAAATTTCCACAATATAAATACTACTGAATGAATCTTTCATTTCAGACATTTTCTTAGGCAAAAATACTTTTAAGACCTTTTCCAGATATGCAGGCCCTTCCCCATACCTTGCCCTATGCATCTCTTCCATTTTGCTGTTCCTTAGTTGTATCCTTTGTAATAAAACTATAATCAGGCCGGGTGCGGTAGCTCATGCCTGTAATTCCAGCACTTTGGGAAGCCAAGGGGGGTGGATCACCTGAGGTCAGGAGTTTGTGACCAGCCTAGCCAACATGGAGAAACCCCATCTTTACTAAAAATACAAAAAATAGCCAGGTGTCGTGGCGCATGCCTGTAATCCCAGCTACTCAGAAGGCCAAGGCAGGAGAATTGCTTGAACCCGGGAGGCGGAGGTTGCAGTGAGCCGAGATTGTGCCGTTGCACTCCAGCCTGGACAACAGAGTGAAACGCCATCTCAAAACCAACAAACAAAGAAACCAACAAAAAAGTAAAACTATCATCATAAGTATAGTGCTTTCCTGAGTTCTATATGTTATTCTAATGAATTATTGAACCTGAAGGAGAGTTACGGGAACCTCTAAATTTTTGGCTGGCTAGGCAGAAGTGCAGTGCCTTAGACTTGTGGCTGGTGTCTGAAGCAGGTACAGTCTTGTGGGACTGAGTCTTTTTTTTTTTTCTTTGAGACTGAGTCTACTCCATCACCCAGGCTGGAGTGCAGTGGTGCGATCTCAGCTCCCTGCAACCTCTGCCTCCCAGGTTTAAGCAATGCTTCTGCCTCAGCCTCCTGAGTAGCTGGGACCACAGGCACACACCACCACATCCAGCTAATTTTTGTATTTTTAGTAGAGATGTGGGTTCACCATGTTGTCCAGGCTGTTCTCAAACTCCTGACCTCAAGTGATCCTCCCATCTCGGCCTCCCAAAGTCCTGGGATTATAGGCATGACCAGCTGGGACTGAGCCTCTTAAGCAATGGGGTCTATGTTAACTCTGGGTAGTGTCAGAATTCAGTTAAACTATAGGACACTCAGTTAGTGTCCCAAAAATTTTGTTTATAAAAGGACACACATTCCCAATTGATAGGAGAAATGAGGGTACTTCTCCCTCACCTTAGGACAAGCAAGGGGGCCCCTTTAGACTCCAGGGTCCAAAGTGGAATGATGAGATACTTTGGAATAATTTTTGCTGTATTCTCTGGAGCTTAGGGGGCACAAAGATTAGTACCTATTTCCCTCTTTGGACTAGATGTGGACCCAATAAAGGGACAAAGTGACCTCAACAAAGGAATGGATCACAGAATGCAGAAGTGTATGACAGATGTCATAAGTAGCCATTTCAAGAAGACATGCTGTGCATATCCCAGGAAATGCAATTAGAGGTTTCCAGCAGGGGCTTCTCTGAGAGACTCTTAATAGTGTCTCCTAACAAAGGAGTGTTGAACATCCATCAAGGCAAAAGAGATCAACACCAAAACAAGTCAAGAAAGACTTTTCTTTTCCTTACCTCCTCTTCCCTACCCCTGCTCTAATCTCATAGGATCCAGAGACTGACTTAGGCAGGAGAAATAGAAGCTCAGGGCGAGGAAATCAAGAAGCTTAATTATGTCCCTTTTCATACTTTGCAAGCTTGAAGCAATTCTCAGCTCAGAGAAGAGGCTTTAAATGAAACTCACATATTATTACAGTGAACTAGAGGTTGTAATTAGTAAAATGAGACTAGATTTTGACTGAAAACAATCAAAGGACATCAAAGAGTGATAAAAATTATAGTCTATACCAGTTCTTATCCAGGGCAACAAAAAAATTAACCCACAGAGAGGGTTGAGAGTAGAAATTATGAGGAAAAAGTTTTTCTTTTGCTTGCTTCATATGGAATCCTGCTTATTTCAAAATGCTGATCACAAGCAGATTTGGTTTTTCAGTTACACAGTCACATCATCTATAAAGCGATAATCTTATGCCCTCTTTTGTAATTTTTAACCTAATTTTTTTTCTTATGTAAGTGTTTTGGTTAATATCTATAAAACAATGTTAAATAACATTGGTAATGTGGTATATCCTTGTTTTACTTCTAATTTTCAAATATTTTGATGTTTCAAATATTTCCTGATTAAACATTAGATTAAGTTCTGAAAACAAATTTTATTTCTTTTAAAATTTATTGTCCCCCGGGCACAGTGGCTCATGCCTGTAATCCCAGCACTTTGGGAGGCCGAGATGGGCAGATCACCTGAGGTTGGGAGTTCAAGACCAGCCTGACCAGCATGGAGAAACACCGTCTCTACTAAAAATACAAAAATTAGCCGGGCGTAGTGGCGCATGCCTGTAATCCCAGCTACTCGGGAGGCTGAGGCAGGAGAATCGCTTGAACCCAGGAGGTGGAGGTTGTGGTGAGCCGAGATCATGCCATTGTGCTCCAGCCTGGGAAACAAGAGTGAAACTCTGTCCCAAAAAAAATAAAAATTTATTGTCTACTACAGTATACTACATGTCCCTAGTTATTCCCGTTAATACTGGGCAACAATCTTCTCTATAGAAATGAGAAGTGTAACTAGAGACTGATGCAAGAGGGGAAGCAGATATTCTATTTGGGCTTTGGCACAGGAGAGGGAAGACTCAGTCCTCTTTAAAAGAAATTCAGATAGAAAGGCCTTACACAAAATACTTAGTTAGACTTATTCTTATCCTGATTTTCTCTGCATCTGTACCAAACACATACAATTTAAAAATTGAGAGTAGGCCCACTCAGAGTTCCAAATTTACACCTTGAGAAAACATTGTCACTATTCTGAGTCCTCTATCCTAGTATGTATCCTCTAATTTTCAGATAAAATGATTACCTGGTGAATGGATAACCTTACAATTTAGTGAGTTCCCCAAGATTAGAAGTGTTGAAACACAAACTGAATAAAGATATTTTTATTATTACTTGGAGGAAGAATCCAAAAACTCTGTAATTGCCTGCCATGCCCACTGCCCCCTCCTGAGATGAGGCAAGGTTCTTTTGTTTGCTTTGATTTCAGCTATAAGTATCAACTCTAAAAACCAAAAAGAGATAAGACACAGAAAAGAAGAAGAAATTCTAACATATGTTTAGTTAGAACCTGAGAAGGAAAGGGGGAGAGAATGATACGGGGGCTTTTTGAAGGTATAATGACTGAAGATTTTCCTGAACTAATAATAGATATCCATCCATAAATTTTAAAACTCTACAAATCCCAAGCAGACAAATAAAACACATTTATATATCTTACACTAAAATTACAGAAAGCCAAAAACAAAACAGTCAGAGGAAGACAAGGCAGATTACCATCAAGGGAGACGAGCTAATCAAGACTGTATGATACTGGCACAGGAATATAAAAAATCAGTGGAAGAGAATAAAGAGTTCATAAACATACCCATGCACATATAGACACTAGGTATATTTGAAGACCAATGAGAACACAATAGACCTTCCAATATATGGTATTGATAAACTGGGTATTAATAAGGAGGGGGGAATCTGACTCTTACCTCATAACATATACAAAAACCAGTTGCAACTATATAAAATATCTAAACATGAAAGTGAAACTTATGGCTTTAAGCATAAATATAGGAGAGTATCTGCATGACCTTGGGACAGGGAAGGATTTATTTAAAAAGATACAAAAAGCACTAACCATAAAGAAAAAATATTGATAAACTCAGCTTTTTAAAAATTAGAACTTATCATAAAATCATCTTACAGGAAATGATGAAATAGTCCAAATAGTAGGAAAACAATCAATAAAGGACTGAGATCCAGATTACATAAATAACTCATACGAATCAATAAGAGCTATTCCAAGAGAAAAATGAGTAAAGATTTGAACTGACATGTCACAAAAGATGACTAAAAACCAATAAACATATGGAATATGTTCAATTTTATTATTAATCACGGAAACCCAAATTCAAACCTGTGGGGGTGGGCGGGTATAAGTACAGATATATATTCAAATGAGGATTTAAAAGTCTGGCATGTCTGATTTGTATATCATAGTTTTTGCAAACATCAAAAATGTATTTCCCAAGACCATTTGATGACATGGGAGAATATTTCTGACACTTCTTTTTGCAAAAATGTAGAACATCAAATGGTAAATGAAATAAAATTTGGTTTTTGACAAATAATGAAAATACATTAAAATATTAACCCTAGTTATCTGAGTGGCTAAATTTTATTTTTTCTTGGTAATGCTGTGTTTTTGAGATCTCTAAATTAATCATCCTTTTATTTTTAAATCAGAATAAATATTTGAGAAGAAAATTCAGCAAGCATAAGTGGAGCAACCATCCTTTTCTGTGATGGGAAAATTATAGGGACCTATAATTAAATGACATTCCTTTAAGCAAGAATTTTCAGAAGAAAAAGAGGAAACCCCAACACACCTTGGATACTGCTTGTAGAAGTTCATCATGCATTCTTTCCTCCTCTTCTGGGTGACACCTGGAGAAAGGTAAAATTGGGAGAGGGAAGAGTAACTGTGAGACACCAGGTTTTTCTTGGTACCCAGATTAGTCAAGTAAGAGTTCTTCCCCAGCCCCATTACCCACCACACATGAGGAATGGAGATCAGAGGAGAATGGGGCATTCTGTCCAATTCCAGTGGCTCAGGGGAAAGGTTGTGTTCACTGCTGTCCAGGGTTGGAATCTGACCAGACCTCAGAGAGGTTTCCTAGAGACAGAGTTCTGGAGTCACAATCGCATAGTTGACAGGACCCCATACTCATACACAGAATGCCACATACATTTAGGGACAGTCACACTTAAGGCGACATGCACGTCTCACCTGCCCACAAGGAGCCACACACGGCAACACAGTTACAATCACATACACACCATAGGAAACACACAATTACAGCTGCACAATCGTAGGCACCCCACACTGTCGCAGAGTCACAATCACACATCACCACGGGAACACACAGCCACAACCCCCACAGTGACAGGTATCCCATATCCGCACATAAGCCGCAGTGTTATTATCTCCCAGACAATTTCACAACCTCCCCTCTTTTTTTGGGGGGGTGGGGTGGGGTGGGGACAGAGTCTTGCCCTGTCGCCAGGCTGGAGTGCAGTGGTGCGATCTCGGCTCACTGCAACCTCCGCCTCCCGGGTTCAAGTGATTCTCCTGCCTCAGCCTGCGAGTAGCTGGGATTACAGGCGCGCGCCACCATGCCTAGCTAATTTTTGTATTTTTAGTAGAGATGGGGTTTCACCATGTTGGCCAGGATGGTCTCGATCTCTTGACCTCGTGATCCTCCTGCCTCGGCCTCCCAAACACAACCTCCACCTTTCAGGCCGCTCCGCCCGCAGGGGCCCAAGGCGCCAGCTCCCCATCGGTCTTCGGTATCCTCACCTAAGCCCTTTCCAGTCATCCCGGATGGGAACTTGCAGACCTGAGCCAGTTCTCCTGGGGACCAAAATATCTCACCTCCCAGATCTAAGGGTCCCGCCAGGAGTGACGAAACGTTCGAATTCCTGCGAGAAAAGTGGCAGGCCACCAGGCCCTCTGGGAAATGTAGTCCAGAGCGGGACCCACGCCGATTCCTGTCAGCTCCTCGCCTGGGCCCACCCGAAACGGCTGCTCCCTCAACTCTCAACATCCAGCCGAGCCTCGGAGTTGCGGGTCGCCGTAGCGCTGCGCAATGGAGATGAGCCTCCCGGGGAACCCGGCCCAAGCCTCACCCTCACACAGGAAAGCAGATGTGTTCTGGCCGGAAGTTGAGTGGGGCCGCGGGGCCTGCTGGGAGGTGTTGTCCTCGGAAACGTCGCTGGCGCGGAGGGATGGTTCGGCGCTTTAGGCGTCTGTCACAGACCTATCTGCGGGTCGCCTTCACCCAGCATCTCAGAAACTGCGCGCGGGATGAACATTCGGGTGTTTCCGGCAGGTGACGCTGCCGAGTCCCCGCAGCAGGGGGCGAGCAAGGGACTCGCGGTTGACGGGACACGGATCCTCTAAGGCCCAGAGTGTCCCGAGTAGCGGCAGTGGGGAGTGCTCAGGGTACGCTAATGGTGAGTGGTTGCAGTTGATGGGACAAAAAACTGTGATGGGAGTTAGTGTGGGTGTGTGGTTGTGTGTGTGAGTGTGACGGCACGAATAATCTGATGGGGTGATTGTGATATTTGGTTGCGCGGGATTATGATGAAATGTGTGATATGTGTGTGATTATGATTAAGGCTGTAGCGAGTGTGAACGTGGCGAAGTGTGCGTGATTGTAATATGTCTAGTAGTTCTTGTCTTGAGCTGGCTTTTCTGTAGCATTTGGCACAGTTGGTAACGGCTTGAAAAACACTTATTTGTTTTCTACTGATCCTCCCTCCTTGTTGGCCACTCCTCTGTAGTCTTCTTTGCTGTCTTTTTTACCCTAGTAGCCCTTGGCCCTTTGTAATTTTCCACTATTCCTTGGCGAACTTTTCAGGTTCATTATTATCTTATGACTTGCTGCTTTTATGTATGTTAGTTAGCTATTGCCATGATAATAATTATGTCTAAAAACCACCCCTGAACTCAATGCCATACAACAGCAAGTCCTTACTCTCCTGTTCACAGGCTTGCGCATTGACTGTGTTCAGCTGATCTAGGTGGGGCTTGGCTGAGTGGATAGGCTGCGTGACGAGTTAAGATCTGCGCCGCATGTGTTCTTTCAGGGTCTCAGGCCAAAAGGACATTTGTTGCCAGGGCATGCTCTGCTCCTGATGGGTCACCAGAGCGCAAGAGAGATTGCCTCAACCAGAGCAAGTCACATGGCTAAGCCTAAAATCAATTATGCCCACAGTTGGAGAGCAAAGTTACCTCGCAAAGAGTATGAATAATAATCTATTAGAGGGTGTGAGGAATTGGACTAAAATTCCAGTCTACCACCTTAAGAAACATACCTCTTTATCCTGGTGAATGCCTTTTAGTCCGGGTTCTCTTTTGTCTGATAATATTGCTTTTCAAGTTTTATTGTATTTCTTAAGAATTTCATTTTCTAACCCCCTTGTGTCTTTATGTTTCAGATCTGTGTCTTGTAAAGAGCATATTGCTGGGCTTACATCCGTTTATCTTGTTTGACTGTTATTTTAATAGGTGAGTATAGTTCAGTGGCATTTATCATGATTGCTCATAAAAAATGTTTTATTTTCTATTACGCCTTAAACATTTTTGATTGACATATAATAGTTGCACATATATCTTTTTTTATTGTGCAAATTCACCTTATCCCTTTTTCTCCCCTAGGTTGGTTTCTGCTATTATCCTTTTTTAATATGCATGCTTAACAAAACTCAACCTTAAGACTTTAAAATACTTGAACTCCAAAATATCCACCAATTTCTGTGTTATTCTTGTCTCATATATTATTTTCTTCTAGTTTTTGTTGTTGTTGTTGTTTTGTTTTGTTTTTTTGAGACGGAGTCTCGCTCTGTCACCCAGGCTGGAGTGCAGTGGCACGGTCTCGGCTCACTGCAAACTCCGCCTCCCGAGTTCAAGCGATTCTCCTGCCTCAGCCTCCCGAGTAGCTGGGACTACAGACGCGCCACCACGCCCGGCTGATTTTTTGTATTTTTAGCAGAGACAGGGTTTCACCATGTTAGCCACCATGGTAGATCTCCTGACCTCGTGATTTGCCGACCTCAGCCTCCCAAAGTGCTGGGATTACAGGCGTAAGCCACCATGCCCAGCCTATTCTCTTCTAGTTTTAAATCCCCAAATTAGTAGTAGTAGCTCATTTATTCTATATACAGTTCGTATCCAGGAGGGGTTGGTTTCAAGACCCCCCATGGATACCAGAATCCACAGATGCTCAAGTCCCTACATCCTTCTTTATACATTAAATCATCTCTAGATTATTTGTAATACCTAATATAATGTAAATGCTGTGTAAATCATTGTTACACGTTATTGTTTAGGGAATAATGAGAAAAAAATCTGTACTGTACGTGTTCAGTACAGACACAACTGTAGTAGGCCTAACTGTATTTTTTATCTGAGGCTGATTGAATCTGAGGATGCAGAACCTGTGGATAAGGAGGACCAACTATGTATACACACATGTATATTTAATTGTGGTAAAATACACAACATAGAATTTACCATCTAAACCATATATAAGTGTACAGTTCAGTGGCATGAAGTACATTCACATTGTTATGGTACCGTCACCACCATCCAGCCAGAGAACTCTTCTTCTTGCAAAACAGAAACCCAGTACCTATCAAACAATAACTCTGTACCCCCCTTTCCCCCGGCCTATGGCATCTACCATTCTACTTTCTGTCTCTGAATTTGACTATTCTAAATACTTCATATAAGCAGAATCATATGTTGTTTGTGCTTTTGTGACCCTGATTTAACTTAGCATAACGTCCTCAAGATTCATCCATGTTAGCATGTATTGGAATTTCCTCCTTTTTTAAGGCCGAATGATAAGTATGTCATATATGGATAAATATTTTGTTTATCAATTTATTCATCATTGGACACTTGGGCTGCTTCTACCTTTTGGCAATTGCAAGTGACACTGCTACAAACATGGGTATACAACTATCTGAGTCCCTGCTTTCAGTTTTTTATATATACATGTGGTAATGTCTGTTTTTAATCTTTGATTGTCATAGTGTTTTCGATAATGACTGAACCATTTTATCAGCATATTTTTGAGCACCTACTATGAATATCAAAAACAGACAAAAATAAGTCCTTGTTTTCATGGAGTTTATGTTGAGGGGGGTGGGTGGACAGTATATATAACTAAATTATAGTCATGTGCCATATATGTATGGACTATATACATACATGACAGTGGTCCTGTAAGACAGTGGTCCCCAGCCTTTTTGGCACCAGGGAGTGGTTTTGTGGAAGACAATTTTTCCAGGGACTGGGGGATGGGAGGGTTATGGTTTCAGGATGAAACTGTTGTCCCTCAAATCATGAGGCATTAGATTCCTATAAGGAGCAAGCAACCTATATCCCTCGCATGCACAGTTCAGAAGAGGGTTCACACTCCTGTAAGGCTGTAATGCCACCACTAATCTGATAGAAGGTGGAGCTCAGGCGGTAATGCTCACTCACCTGCTGCTCACTTCCTGCTGTGTGGCCTGGTTCCTAACCAGGAACCAGTACTGTACCAGTACCGGTACGTGGCCCAGGGGTTGAGGACCCCTGCTGTAAGATTATAATGGAGCTGAAAAATTCCTGTCACCTAGTGACTTTCTAGCCAATATAACACTGTAGCACAATACCATTACTCATGTGTTTGCAGTGATGCTGCTGTAAACAAACCTACTCTGCTGCCAGTCATATAAAAGTATAACATAAAATTATGTACAGTACATAATACTTGGTAATGATAATAAATATGTTACTGGTTCATGTGCCTACTATACTATACTTTTTATCATTACTTTGGAGCATATGCCTATTTATTTAAAAAAAGTTAACTGTAAAACAGCCTCAGGTCCTTCAGGAGGTATTCCAGAAGAAGGCATTGTTATCATAGAATGTGATAGCTCTGTGTGTGTTATTGTCCCTGAAGATCTTCCAGTGGGGCCAGATGTGGAGGTGAAAGCCAGCACCAATGATCCTGGACACTGTGTAGGCCTAGGCTAATGGGTGTTTGTGTCTTAATTTTTAACAAGAAAGTTTAAAAAGTTAAAAAATTTTTAAGAAGATAGCTTATAGAATAAGGATATAAAGAAAAAATATTTTTGTACAGCTGTACAATGCATTTTAAGCTATGTGCTACTACAAGAGTCAAAAAGTTTTAAAAAATTGAAAAGCTGGCTGGACACAGTGGCTCACCCCTATAATCCCAGCACTTTGGGAGGCCGAGGCGGGTGGATTACAGGAGGTCAAGAGTTAGAGACCAGGCTGACCAACATGGTGAAACCCCGTCTCTACTAAAAATACAAAAATTAGCCGGGTGTGGTGGCAGACACCTGTAATCCCAGCTACTTGGGAGGCTGAGGCAGGAGAATCACTTGAACCCAGGAGGCTTAGGTTGCAGTTAGCCAAGATGGTGCCATTACTCCAGCCTGGGTGACAGAGTGAGACTCCATCTAAAAAAAAAAAAAAATGAAAAGCTTATAAAGTAACAAAGTTATAGTAAGCTAAGGCTAATTCAACAATTTGAAGAAATAAAAATTTTATAAATTTAGTGTAGCCTAAGTGTACAGTGTTTATAAAGTCTACAGTAGTGTACAGTAGTGTCCTAGGCCTTTGCGTTCACTCGCCACTCACTCAGAGCAACTTCCAGTTCTGCAAGTTTCATTCATGGTAAGTGCCCTTTACCAGTGTACCATTTTTTATCTTTTATATTATATTTTTACCATTTCTCTCCTGTGTTTAGGTATGTTTAGATATACAAACACCTACCTTTGTATTGCAGTTGTCTACAGTATTCAGTACAGTAACATGCCATACAGGTTCGTAGCCTAGGAGCAATAGGCTATACCATATAGCATAGGTGGGTAGTAGGCTATACCATCCACATTTGTGTAAGTACACTTATATTTGCACAATGATGAAATTGCCTAATGACACATTTCTCAGAGCATATCTCTGTTGCAAAGTGATGCGTGACTGTATATATTAATAGTTTGTTAGAAAGTGATCACTGTCGGCCAAGCATGGTGGCTTATGCCTGTAATCCCAGCACTTTGAGAGGCTGAGGCCAGCAGATCACCTGAGGTCAGGAGTTCAAGAACAGCCTGACCAACATGGAGAAATCCCATCTCTACTAAAAATACAAAATTAGCCGGGCGTGGTGGCGCATGCCTGTAATCCCAGCTACTCAGGAGGCTAAGCCAGGAGAATCACTTAAACCCAGGAGGCGGAGGTTGCAGTGAACTGAGATTGTGCCATTGCACTCCAGCCTGGGCAACAAGAGCGAAACTCCATCCAAAAAAAAAAAAGAAAGAAAGTGATCACTGTCATGAAAAAAAGTGAGTGTGTGAGGGGTATTAGGAGGATATCTCAAGCATAGCACTTCTCAAAACTTATTATAACTGAATGTTTTCTGTTTTATTTGTTCTATCATACAGGGCAAAAATTAGTCTATTTTGTTACATATATTTTTTTTTTACCCTTTACCTAATAAAGACTCATAGCAGCTGCTAAATTAATATATTTTAATAGTCATTTCGTATATTCATCCAATATTATTGTGACATGAGTATAATTGTCATTTCAGATGAAGAATCTTGGAATTCTAAATTGCAATTCTCCCTTAATTCAGTTGCCAAGATAATACAGAAATGGAATGGAATAGCTGGTCTTTGAATGAAACTCTCTTTTATGCCAAATTTGGGGTTGCTGCAAATCTGGGTGTTTTTTGACTCAGGTTTACATCTGTCACCTCATCGAGCATACACCTTTAGACACAGAAGATATCTGAAGAACAGATAGGTAAACATCACTTGGTTTATGCCTCTGGTCAGTGTGTCCAGAGTGTATGAATTACAAATAAGGAAGATTAGTGTTTGAGGCTATATTATCTATTAGTGTGTAACAAATTACCTCAAAAACTAGTGGCTTAAACAACAATAAACATTATCTCACAATTTCTGTGGGAAGTGTCTTCACTGCGTATTTGGGCTTGGGTATCTCATGAAGTTGCAGTCAAGTTGTCAGCCGGGCTGCAGTCATCAGAAGGCTGGGCTGGGGCTGGAGGGTTCACTTCCAAGATAGCTGGCTTCCAAGTTAGTGTTAGCTGTCAACAGGAGGCCTCTCCCTAGGGCTGGTTGAGTGTTGTCATGGTATGGCAGCTGGCTTCCCTCAACATCCATGATCCAAATGTGCAAGACAGAAGCCCTAATGTCTTTTATAACCTAACCTTAGAAGTCACACACCATCATTTCTGCAATATCCTATTGGTTATGCAGGTCAAAGGTACTCATGGTGGGAGGGATCTACAAAGGCATGAATACCAGAAGACGGTGGTCACTGGGGGCCATCTTGGAAGCTGGTTATCACAGGGAGCCAGTGAGAAGGCACCAGGTAAATTAGATTTATATCCTAATCCACAGGTCCTGGTTCCACAAGGATAAAACACATCTGCAGTGCAAATAGAAGTCTGAGGAACAGGTGTCTTATCATGGAAGGAGACCTGACCTGAGACCTGCCTTAGAGGCTGGAGAGTCCTGAAAGAGAGTGGACCCTGGAGTTGCTGGAGCTTGTCTTGACCCTTCTGCCCAGAGCAGGCAGGGTCTGAATGACATCTCAATCTTCAGTGATCAGCAATAGCTGTGTGACAATGGAGCGTTTGAGCCACATGATGGAAAGGAAAGGTGAGGTGGCTCATAGGTGGACAGAGCTTAGGAGAGAAAGGCTCTACATTTGGGGACAGTGAAAAGAAATTCATTACTCCTACTGAGAAAGGTCACGTATGTTAATTGACTAGGCAGGGGAGACATTTGTTTTTAATCATATTCATTTGACTATTTGATTTTTTAAAATAAATTTTGAAATGCAATTTTTATTTCTTAAGAGTATGTTTAAGTATATCTTTAAATGCTGTACTATAACATAAACAAAAGCTTCCTATTCCATCCATCCTGGTTCCCTGTCCCCATTCCTGAAAGGCAACCACTTTGAACATTTTTGTCTCAATATTCTGGTATTCACCTCCTTTTTTCTAAATAACATTCTTACACTGCTAATGCTTCATTTCTCAGTTTTAGATATTTCCTGTTGATTTTTGATAATGAAGTTAAGGATTTAGCTCTCTTTCACTACCTAACCCCTTCCGTTTCATCTCCACCCCAACACACTCTTCTCCTTGCCCTTCTTTCTAATATGGTATTATTTTTTGGAGGTTGAAGGTTGACCAGATGTCAGCATCTGTAAGCATTTTCTTTTGGGCTAGTCAGTTTCCCCAGCAAGAAGTCCTAGATTTTGCTTGAGAAGTACAAGCCAGAACTCCTGCTTTTTGGGAGACGAAGGAAGTGAGCATGTTGGACACCTCATCTTGCAATATGAGAACTTTAATTCTTTTCTCTCTGCATTGCTTCAACCCCACCTTTATCTGCATCTGGTATGCCTGAAATTCAGAGCTTGTCTCATTCAGTTTATCTAGAGAAATAATCTTTAATTTTTTTCTGTTGCCAATGTGAGGGAAATGTGACTATGCCATGTTGGGTGAAAGAAAACATCAGGTGGTTTTAACATCTTTTTATGACATCTTACATTCGGTTTTATGTTTTTCAGCCCTACTCCCAAACTCTAGTCCACAGAAGTAATTAGTAGCTCCATTCCTGAACCTTTCTAGGGTCTTGTCATGGCTTCCCCACCCTCCTCCCACCTTCACTTAAGCTTCAGCTTTCTCTGGTTAAGTTAGATACCACTCATTTGTCTGCTCTTTAGCTTCCCACATTTTGTTGACAGCTCTTATCTGTGGAAATCTTCTATATTCTTTGTCCTTATGAGTTTTAGCCTCCTTTTTTCCTTTATTAACATTATGATTGGTTTGGGAGAGAGTGGAAATATTAATAAATGCAGGTATTCAGGCTTTTATTTTTAACCAAAAGGCCCTGAATTTTTTAGGGTAAAAAATAAATCAAGTTTTTTAAAAATGTCATTAGAAACATGACTGTATTGCATCCTATCTTATCAATGTTCCACATTACCTATAGCCAGTCTCTGATGAAGGTTTTTTTCTAAATTATTTTTTTTGAGGGGGAGACAGAGTCTCGCTCTGTCGCCCAGGCTGGAGTGCAGTGGTGTGATCTCGGCTCACTGCAACCTGCACTTTCCGGGTTCAAGCGATTCTCCTGCCTCAGCCTCCCAAGTAGCTGGGACTACAGGCGCACGCCACTACGCCCAGCGAATTTTTGTATTTTTAGT
This sequence comes from Homo sapiens, assembly GCF_000001405.40. Lineage (NCBI taxonomy): Eukaryota > Metazoa > Chordata > Mammalia > Primates > Hominidae > Homo > Homo sapiens. The sequence continues at coordinate 36,924,402 of NC_000019.10, forward strand.
AGAGACAGGGTTTCGCCATATTGGCCAAGCTGGTCTCGAACTCCTGACCTCGTGATCCGCCCGCCTTGGCCTCCCAAAGTGCTGGGATTACAGGCGTGACGACCGCGCCTGGCCCTAAATTTTTTATGGTTAAAAAATAACATTTTAGGCCAGGCGCGGCGTCACGCCTGTAATCCCAGCACTTTGGGAGGCCGAGGCAAATGGATCCCTTGAGGTCAGGAGTTCGAAACCAGCCTGGCCAACATGGTGAAACCCCTTCTCTACTAAAAATACAAAAAAGTTAGCCAGGCATGGTGGTGGATGCCTATAATCCCAGCTACGTGGGAGGCTGAGGCAGGAGAATCGCTTGAACCTGGGAGGCAGAGGTTGCAGTAAGCAGAGATCAGGCCACTGCACTCCAGCCTGGACGGCAGAGTGAGACTCCATCTCAAAAAAAAAAAGAAAAAAAAATTTTAAAGATCATCCCAATCTTTAAATTTTTGGGGTAACTATTATTATGTACTTAAGATAAACTTCCTGTTAGAAATAAAACAGCAAGATTCTAGGGAGATAAAATATTGCCAATAGATTCATTGGGCACTGCATACTTAGCCCTCCATAAATCCCCATCAGACCCCATATGATTAAATTAGCCATCTGTGTCCATTTCAGTGTCTATAGCTAGATGGCAGTTAACATTTCTTATTGCTTCAAGGATCATTCATCTGTAGAGGGTCTTCTAGCCACCTGGTACTGAAGATTTCTATATTCCTTTGTCTGAAACTTTGAAGCAAATCTGTTTCATTTCTCTTCCCTCAGCTTGGTGTTCTCAAGAGTCTGCCCTTTCCGAGGAAGAAGAGGATACAACCAGGCCTCTTGTACGTCTTAAGCATTTATTTGTTTCCTGCATTATTTTGCAGTGCAGTTACGGTGGGTTCTTGTAACCTACCAATGTGTTGGAAAAAATAAATTGATGAAAATAAAAGTGAGAAAAAATACAGATAGAAAATCAGAACCTGGGGAAATTTGAGATATGGCTATGCAGAAGCAGGTACATACAGAATTATTAAAGTTGAGTTCAAATTTAAATATGATCTGGACAGTCAAAGCAAACTGGGACACTTAAGTTTATTCCGTAAGTCCATAAGTTGCACCATTTATGAGGAAAAACTTACAATTATTTAAGTAAAAGGCTTTTAACTGGCACCTTGTTCAAAAAGAAACTCTAAAATATAGTTGGACTTCTGTATCTGTAGATTCTGCATCCATAGATTGAACCAACTGCAAATCAAAAATACTTGAAAAAAAAATGGGTGGTTGTATCTGTACTGAACATGTACAGACTTTTTTCTTGTCGTTTTCTAAACAACATAGTGTAACAACTATTTACATAGAAATCACATTATATTAGGTTTTATAAGTAATCTAGGGACGATTTAAAGTATACGGGAGGACGTACATTGGTTACGTACAAATCCTACACCATTTTATATAAGGGACTTGAGCATCAGTGGATTTTGGTATCCGTGGGGGGTCCTGGAACCAATTCTACATGGTTTCCTAGGGACGACTGTAATTCCTTAATTCTTACAATTTTTAGCTTAGCTTTTAGAAGTTGGTCTTGGCCAAACTTCAAAAATTCAAATTACCTGGAAGAGTAAGTGGAACACATATCTTTCAAATGATCCTACGTATATATTTTCTTCAATTGAGTTTTTAATCCAAGTTGAGCTAAATTATACTAATATTCTATGGCAGAATCTTATAGTTCTGATATCCATAGCTTTTCACATCTTTTTTATGGTCTCAGAAGATATAGTCTTCATCCTCATCTTACAAAATTACGTATTCTCTGCTCTTGATTCTTTTTGTTTCCACCTCTGAAGTCACTCACACACCTATATTTTGAATGTTTTCTGCTTAACTGCCTCTTTTTCTTCAGCTTATGTCTTTCACATCATGAAATATACACACATACTTCTTTTGACCATATGATCATATGGCTCATCCAGTTACTTCTGTTGGCGCGGTGGCCCTAGCAAACCTCTCTGGCCCTCGACAGGCTTGAGTTTAAATCTTGGCTCAGTGACTTATGAAGTGCATGACTGTGGACAAGTTTCTTAATCTTTTTGTGACTCAGTTACATCATCTGTAAGTCTATAAATGGGGATGATAATGGTATTTATCCCACAGGAATGTTGGGAGGGTTAAATACATGTAACAAGTACCCCATAAATGATAGGCATTGTTATTTTTTTCTCAAATATTTTTGGTCTGCCATTGGTTGAATCCATGGATATTGAACCCACAGATATGGAGAACCAACTGTTACAGCTTTATTGAGTTCTTACTATGTGCCAGATGTATTGTGCTTTACATAGCTTATTTCATGTAATTATTATCAGACGTCTATGAAGTACATATTATTTAAATTTTTTAAGATAAGGGAAATGAAGCACAGAGGTTAAGCTTACATAACATCGTGCATCAATGTGTCATAAACCCAGGATTCAAATCCATACAGTCTGACTCTAGGGCCCACACTCTACGATACTGTACAGATGGAGGCTCATTATGAGTGAAGAAATACAAAAGCCAATTACCCATTCATATTGTTTGTCTATTTTGTAATAATAGTTTTTTCTGTATTCGAAATTAGAATATTTTAAGAATGTCTATTTCAGTATTAGGACTTAGGATTTATGCAGCTACCTTCTCCCAATCTGTCATTTTTATGTTATTTATTTTTTGTTGTATAGACATTGAAGTTTGGATAGTTACATTTAGTGTATGATAAATATGTATACATAATAGAATTCAGTCAAAATATGCAACTATTAATATTTAGTAGTCTTTTCTCATGAGTTGCCAATGTTAATCTTTTCTAAGATATCTTTCCTAATTAATATTAGATCATAGAGATAATCTCTGTTCAAAGCATTGTTTTCCATATTTAGTCTTTAATCCAACTGGATTATAATATTGTAATTGGTTTGAGATAGGAATTTACTGATAATTCTATTAGTAGAATTATCTTTGCATGTAGAAGACCAGTTGTTCCAACACCGTTTATTAAGTAGATCTTTCCTTTGTGATGCCACCTTTACTGTATACATACATGATGGTTTCTAGGCTTTTACTTTTTCTGTAATCTATTTGTCTACATTTATATCAGTACTGTACTTTGTGTGTGTGTGTTTTACATTGGTTTAATTACAATTACTTTATATGGGCAATGATTTCACCACTTCTTTATGCACACACATTATTCTTAGTTTTTCAAAAATTTTTCAGCTACTTTGGGACCTCTGGGCTTCCATTTGAATTTTAGAATTAGTTTATCTAGTTCTAGGAAGAAATCCTATTGGGGATTTCCATTGAATTGCACAACTAGTTGGAGAAGAATTAAGCAAAAAATACATATATATAAAAAATATATAAATATATATATATATAAAGATATATGTGTGTGTGTGTGTGTATATATATATATATATATATATATATTATATATATATATATATTTTTTTTTTTTTTTTTTTTTTTTTTTTGGTGATGAAGTCTTGCTTTGTTGCCCAGGCTTGAGTGCAGTGACACGATCTTGGCTCACTGCAACCTCCACCTCCCGGGTTTAAGTGATTCTCATGCCTCAGCCTCCCAAGCAGCTGGGATTACAGGGGTACACCACCATGCCTGGCTAAGTTTTTGCATTTTTAGTAGAGATAGGGTTTCGCCATGTTGGCCAGGCTGACCTCAAGTGATTCTGACCTCAAGTGATCCACCTGCCTCAGCCTCCCAAAGTACTAGGATTGCAGGCATGAGCCATTGCACCTGTCCCGAAAGATATTTTCTGTCACAATTAAAGATGTTTCCATTTAAGGGAATCTATTAATATAAATTATTATATTCAAGAGAAAAACAATCAGATCTATAGAGCTGAAAATTTTTTTAACTCAGAACCTGTGATTTCAAAAGGACCTATTTATAAAGTAAAAGTAAAAGAACATTTTCTTATGATATTTTAAGAAATTATTCACACGCATACAACACATATATATGTGCAGATAATAAGCTACAAGCTAGTACCATGTTTACTTGTAAAAATTAGGCACTTTCCTACTAGTCAGGAACACAACCAGCTTGCCAGTGCTACTACTACGATTTTGTATGCCTAGACATAAGTAAGGGGAGGGAAATGAAGTAAAAAGCAGGATGGTGCATTCAAAATTATGATATCTAAGTGATACAATTATGTTTTTAGGCAACAGAAGAGAAACACAAGAATGATTGAAATATGGACACAAAATTAATATACAAAAATCAATACCATTTTTCTCTATAAACCACACCATCAAAAATGAAATGGAAGAATGATGCTCAGACTAGAAAAAAACCCGAAAGAAAAAAATAAAATGTATGTGGTGTACATGGGAGAATGAAACCTTCAAATTATTACTGAGATAGAGGATTTGAACAAATTTTTTAAATACCCTTTTTTGGATAAGAGCCATCATTATTAAATTAATATAAATTGTCTTTAACCTACATAGATTGATCAGAATCTCAATAACAATTCTAAATTATTTTTCTTAGAATTAGACAAGTTTATTTGAGCCGAGTCTAGAATACATTTGAAAAATAAAAACATGCAGAATGGCCAGGAAAAGTATAAAAGAATGTCATGTGCCATGCTCTAAGTTTTTAAAAGAAGAATATTTGTTTAATGCTTACATAACTTTAGGGAAAAAAAAATTTTATAAAAAGTTGCCAGTCAACATATACACCCAGAACTGACTTGTAGTTATCTTTATTCCCTCACTGTAAACTTTGTTATTTTAAACAATTATATTCTATTATGTATCTTAAAAGTGAAGAAAGCGAGGCATGGTGGCTCACACCTGTAATCCCAGCATTTTAGGAGGCCACAGCTGGAGGATCACTTGAGGCCAGGAGTTTGAGACCAGCTGGATCAATACAGCAAGACCCAGTCTTTACAAAAAATTTTAAAAAATTAGCTGGGTGTGGCCAGGCGTGGTGGCTCACGCCTGTAATCCCAGCACTTTGGGAGGCTGAGGCGGGTGAATCATGAGGTCAGAAGATCGAGAGCATTCTGGCTGACATGGTGAAACCCCGTTTCTACTAAAAATACAAAAAATTAGCCGGGTGTGGTCGTACACACCTGTAGTCCCAGCTACTTGGGAGGCTGAGGCAGGAGAATCACTTGTACCCAGGAGGCAGAGGTTGCAGTGAGCCGAGATCGCACCATTGCACTCCAGCCTGGGCGACAGAGCAAGACTCCGTCTCAAAAAAAAAAAAAAAAAAATTAGCTAGGTTTGGTGGCTCACATGTGTAGTCCCAGCTACTCAGGAGGCTGAGGCAGGAGGATTGCTTGAGCTCAGCAGTGAGTCTTCAGTGAGCTATGATTGTGGCACTGCTCCAGCTTAGGTGACAGAGCGAGACCCAGTTTCAAAGAAAAAAAAAAGTGAAGGAGAGGAAGGTGCTGTGGTACCAGCAAGAACATTGGAAATATTATTGCCTCTTGCCAGGGGCAGAAGCGTGTTCATGTTTTTTTTTTTTTTTGGTTCTGTTTGACAGGAGAAGGAATAAAACTTAATGACATGAACTGTGAATTTATGTTTTTTAAGGTTCGAACCCCTATGTTTCTTGCTATTAATACTGAATTTCTTAACATTTGTATGTGAAGAGAATCAACATCTTGGGAAAATAGACCCTATTGTAAAGACTGACTCATCATTTTATACAGTCAAAAATTAAAGCATATTTTACTTCTTGGTATTTTGTTACTTATGGCTTTTGTCAGGGATGCAATTTCTTTTTTTTTTTTTTGAGACAGAGTCTCGCTCTGTCGCCCAGGCTGGAGTGCAATGGCACAATCTTGGCTGACTGCAAGCTCCGCCTCCCAGGTTCACGCCATTCTCCTGCCTCAGCCTCCCGAGTCGCTGGGACTACAGACGCTCGCCACCACACCCGGCTAATTTTTTGTATCTTTAGTAGAGATGGGGTTTCACCATGTTAGCCAGGATGGTCTCGATCTCCTGACCTCGTGATCCGCCCGCCTCGGCCTCCCAAAGTGCTGGGATTACAAGCATGAGCCACCGCGCCTGGCCAGGGGTGCAATCTTTTTATATGAGATTTATGCTAAGTTACTAGAGTTGGTGGGAAAATGTTTTTGTGCTGATTTGTTAGCACTAATTTAAAAAATGTTTTCTCTTTTTGTAGTTTTCCCCTATCTTTGTTGTGGTGTATATTCCAGAGGGATTATCTATTTCTGAAACATTCATCAGTTGATTATTGTGTCAAGCTCTGTTCTGAGTCACATTTACTGTGTTATTTAGTCTTCACATCAACCCTTTAAGGAGAATTCCACTTTATAGATGAGGAAACTGAGACTCAAGTTTGGCTATTTGTCAAGGTAACACAATTAGTAAATTTTGAAGCCAGAGTTTGAACCCATGACATTGGATACCACAGCCTATTAACTGGTAAAAAATATCTAAACCCAGCTCCGTTTTGAAAGTTTAGTATTTCAGCATTTTTTTTCAGTCAGAAATGTGTCAGTCACATGTCTGTTCAGCCTTTCTGCTGCTTTTGTGAATAGAAAACAGGCGTTCATTCTTATCCTTGGGGTCTGCAGGTTAACTATGTGGGCATCTCTGCTTTGGGCTGCAGATCAGCTGGCCTTGGCTTAGGCTCCACAGTGGGCTTGTGTCTGCTCTGCATATATTCATTCTGAGTTTCAGCTGAAATGGCACAGCTTCCTGGGCCAAGGTCTTCATTTGCTGTCTCACTGGAGCACATGAGCCAAGGTAAAGGGTGTAAGCAAATTTCAGGCCTTTGCTCACATCATGTTTACTGACATTCCTTTTGCCCCAACAAAGGGCTCAGACAAGGCCCACATTAGTAGATGGGACATTAGTACAGGCAGGAAGTGAAGACTCGCTGAATAATCAATTTATCACAGTAATATTTTCTAATGGAATTATTTTTTGTTGAGTTTGTTTTTGAGACCAGGACTTGCTGTGTTGCCCAGGCTGGAGTACAGTGGCATGAACTTGGCTCAGGTGATCCTCCCGCCTCAGCCTCCCGAGTAGCTAGATGATAGGCATGTGCCATCATGCCTGGCTAATTTTTTTATTTTTTATTTTTCGTAGAGATGGAGTCTCACTATGTTACCAAGGCTGTTCTCGAACTCCTGGCCTCAAGCAGTCCTCCTGCCTCAGCCTCCCAAAGTGCTACGATTATAGGTGTGAGCTACTATTCCCAGCTTCACTGAGATTTTTTAAACTTTAAACATATTGAAATATAGTCTTATAACTTAAAAAAACTTTATTAACATATAAGTCACATACTATAAAATTAGCCCATTTAAAGTATACAAGTGAGTGGTTTTTAGTGTATTCACAGAGTTGTGCAACCATCACCATAATCAATGTTAGAACATTTTCATCACCCTGAAAAGAAACCCTTTACCTGTTAGCTTTCACTTCCTGTTTTCCCTTAAGGCTCTGATGTAGGCAAGAATAAATGATTTCTAGCTCTATGGATTTGCCTATTTTGGACATTTAATGTAAATTGAGTCATATGATAAACTGTTATCCTTTGTGTTGCCTTTCGCTTAGCATTATGTTTTCAAGTTTCATGCATTTTGTAGCTTGTACGAGTACTTTTTATTTCTGAATAATATTCTCTTGTAGGGATATACCACATTTTCTTTATTCATTGATTAATGGAAATTTGATTCATTTCCCCTTTTAGGCTATTATGAATAATGCTGATAAGAACATTGATGTACAAGTTTTTATGTGGTCATATGTTTTCACTTCTCTGAAGTTTGTACATAGAAATGAAATTGCTAGATCATATGGCAACTCTATGCTTAACCTTTTAAAGAATTGCCCCACTGTTAGCCGAGTGCAATGGCTCATGCCTGTAATCCCACACTTTGGGAGGCTGAGATGGGCAGATCACCTGAAGTCAGGAGTTCAAGACCCACCTGACCAACATGGTGAAACCCTGTCTGTACTAAAAATAAAAAACAAGTAGCCGTGCCTGGTGGCACATGCCTGTAATCCTAGCTACTTGGGAAGCTGAGGCAGGAGAATCACTTGAACCTGGTAGGCAGAGGTTGCAGTGACCCAAGACCACACACCATTGCACTCCAGCCTGGGCAACAAGAGCGAAACTCCGTCCCCAGAAAAAAAAAACAGAATTGCCCTACTGTTTTCCATAGCAGTTGTGCTAGTTTACATTCCCACCAGCTGTGTATGAGGATTCCAGTTTCTCCATCAGCACTTGTTCTTATCTGTCCTTTGGTTATAGCTGTCCTAGTGGGTGTGAAGTAAAGCTCATGAGATTTTGATTTACACGTACTGTATAACTTGTGATGTTGAACACCATTTCCTATGTTTGTTGGCCATTTTTATTAATATATCTTCTTTGAAGAATTGTCTATTCAGAGCCTTTGCCCACTTCTAATTGGTTTGTCTTTTGATTATTGAACTTTTAAGAGGTCTGTACATATTCAAGTGTCATCAGATAAATGATTTGGAAATATTTTATCCTATCCTCTGGGTTGTCTTTTCACTTTCTTGATGATGTCCTTAGAAGCACAAAAATTTTTAGTTGTTCTGATGTCCATTTTTATTTAATTTTCTTTTGTTGCTTGTGCTTTTGGTGTCATATCTAATAAACCATTGCCTAATTCAATTGAAGGTCATAATTTACAACTATGTATTCTGAGACCTTTTTTTTTTTTTTTTAAGCTCTTACAGCTAGATCTTTGATCCATTTTGAGTTAACCTTTGTATACGGCATGATCCACCTTCATTCCCTTGCATGCAGACAGTCCAGTTGTTGTCCCAGCATCATTTGTTGAAAAGACTATTCTCTTCCCTGGTGAAGTTTTTTATCACCATTTATTATGATGTGGGGGTTTTGTAGTTGCCCTATATCATGTTGAGGAAGTTCCCTTCTTTTGCTTATTTGCTAATTTGTTGGATGTTGGGTTTTTTGGTTGTTGTTGTTTGTTTGTTTTCAATGATAAAAGGGTGTTGGATTTTGTTGACTACTTTTTCTGCATTTACGGAGATGATCTTATGGTTTTTGACCTTTATTATATTGGTATGATGTATTACATTAATTATCAGATGTTAAATTAATATTGCATTCTGCTGGGGTAAATCCTACTTGGTTATGGTCCATAATACTTTTTATATGTTGTTGGATTAGGTTTGTTAGCATTGAGGATTTTTACCTCTCTATTAATAAGAGAGAGTGGGCTCTAGTGTTTTTTTGGGGGGTGGTGCGTGTGTGTGTGTGTATGTTCTTTGTCAGGTTTTAGTATTAGGGTAATACTTGCCTCATAAAAGATGTGTCCCCTCCTTTTATTCATCCTCTTTGTTTTGGAAGAGTTTGTAAATAAGTTAGTATTAATTTTTTTGTTGTTTGTTAAAATTCACCAGTGAAGCCATCTAGGCCTGAGTTTTTCTTTTGGGTAGGTTTTTTTTTTTGTTTTGTTTTTTTGTTTTTTTTTTTTTTTTTTAGTAATTCAGTCTCTTGTTACAAGTCTTTTCATCTTTTCTTTTTGTTGCAGTTTAATCAGTTTGTGTCTTTCTAGAAATTCATTCATTTCATCTACTCTAGTTTGTTGGCATATATTTATTCATAATATTTCTTTGTATTCCTGTTTATTTCTGTAAGATTAGTAGTAATGTTTCTTCTTTCATTCCTGATTTTTGTATTTTGAGTCTTCTTGTCAGTGATATTTGTCCATTTTGTCAATTTTTAGTTTTATTGATTCTCTCTAATGTTTTTCTAGTCTAAATTTCTTTGATTTCCATTCTGATGTTTGCTTATTTCCTTTTAGTTACTTTGGATTTAGTTTGATCATCTTCTTCTAGTATCTTTTTTTTTTTTTTTTTTAATTGAGGCAGAGTCTCACTCTGTCACCCAGGCTGAAGTGCAGTGGCATGATCATGGCTCAGTGCAGCCTTGATCTCCCAGGCTCAGGTGATCCTGCCACTTCAGCCCGGTCCCCTAAGCTCCCAGTAGCCGAGACTACTGGCATACACCACCACGCCCTACTAAGTTTTTGTATTTTTTGTAGAGATGGGGTTTTACCATGTTGCTCAGGCTGGTCTTGAACTCCTGGGCTCAAGCAATCCGCCTGCCTCGGCCTTCCAGAGTGCCAGATTATGGGCACGCCCAGCCCTCTTCTAGTATTTTAAGGTAGAAAGTTAGTTTATTGATTTGAAATCTTTCTTCTTTTTTAATAAAGTGTGTACAGCTATAGGTTTCCCTCTAAAACTTGCTTTAATGGCATTCCATAAGTTTTGGTATGTTGCACCCTCATTTTCTTTTACCTCAAAGTATTTTGTAATTTCCATTGTGATTTTGTTGATCCATTGGTTATTTCAGAATATTGTTTAATTTTTACATATTTTTGAATTTCACAAATTTCTTTCTGTTAGTGATTTCTAATTTTTGCCCATTGTGATCAAGGAACATACTTTACACAATTCTCTTAAAATTTATTGAGGCTTTTTTTTTTTTTAAGAGACAGGTCTGGCTGTGTTTCCCTGGCTGAAATTCAGTAGCTGTTCACAAACATAATTATAGTTCACTATAGCCTTAACCTCCTGGGCTCAAGTGATCCTCTTGCCTCAGCCTCCTGTGTAGCTGGGCCTATTGAGGCTTCTTTTATAGACTAACATATTTTCTATCTTGGAGAGTGCTCTATACACTTGAGAAGAATGTATATTCTGTTGAGTGGTGTGTTCTATAGGTGTCTGTTAGATCTGGTTGGTATATGGTGTTTGAGTCTTCTATTTTCTTGCTTATAATCTGCCTAGTTGTATCCATTATTAAAAGTGGTGTTTGGGCTGGGTTCGGGGGCTCACGTCTGTAATCCCAGCACTTTGGGAGGCTGAGGCGGGTGGATCACGAGGTCAGGAGTTAAAGACCAGCCTGGCCAAGATGGTGAAACCCCATCTCTACTAAAAATACAAAAATTAGCCGGGTGCGGTGGCAGGCGCCTGTAATCCCAGCTACTCAGGAGGCTGAGGCAGGAGAATTGCTTGAACTTGGGCGGCAGAGGTTGCAGTGAGCCGAGATCGTGCCACTGTACTCCAGCCTAGGCGACAGACTGAGACTCTGTATCAAAAAAAAAAAAAAAAAAGTAGTGTTTGGAGTCTCCAAAAATTATTGTTAAATTGCCAGTTTCTGCCTTCAATTCTGTATTTTTGCTTTAGGTATTTTAAGACTGTTAGATGCATATATAATTGTTATATCTTTCTGCCAGATTGACCCTTTTATCATTATAAAATGTCCTTTAGTAACAGTTTTGTTTTAAATTCTATTTTGTCTGATATTAGTATATCCACTCTAGCTTTCTATGGTTGTTCGCATGCTGTGTTTTTTCCATCACTTTATTTTCAAGCTATTTGTATATTTGAACCTAAAATGTATTTCCTGTAGACAGCATGTAGTTGAATTCTGTTTTTCTATCCAATCTGACAATCTGTCCTTTTTTTTGGCCTGTTTAATCCATTCAGAGTTAATGGTAACACTAAAATTATTGGGCTATGTCTGCCATTTTCCTTTTTGTTTTCCATATGTCTCATGTCATTTTTTGTTTCTCCTTTACTGCTTTCTTTTCACTAAGCAAATATTTTCCAGTATAAAATTATAATTTCTTTAATGATTTTTCACTATATTTTCTTAGTGGTTGCTCTAGGACTTGGATACTATGTATCTTATCAGAACCTACTTCAGATTTATACTAAGTTCCATTAAGATATGGAAATGTTGGTCTTATGTAGCTCTATTCCCTCTTCCCTTGTTTTGTACTATTATTGTTATATATGTTACAGACTCAACCCATTATTATAATTACTACTGCATATAATGTTGCATCACTTAAAGAAGCTGAGAAAAGAGAGCAAATATGTATTATGTTTATTATATTAACCTTATTTACCATTTGTTTGTGTTGATTCAAGTTCTAGTAAATCTTGTGTCATTGCTTACTCTATTCCAAATTTGCTCTGAAGATTCTCTCTTTATCTCTGGTTTTCAACATTTTTGCTATGGTATATCTGACTGTGGGCCTCTTACATTTATTTTACCTGGAGTTCATTGAGCTTCTTGAATGTATAATGTTTTTTGTCAGATTTGGGAAATGTCCAACCATTATTTCTTTGAATGTTTTTTCTGCACCTTTCTCTCTTCTTCTTCTAGTACTCCTACCTCTGACCCCTGAGTACCAGCTAAACAAGTTCTTGTATGTTGTGATCACAATGCCTAATTTTGATGACTTCAAATTAATTAGCATTATGTTTTTACAGGAAACAGTGACATTTAAGGATGTGGCTGTTGACCTTACCCAGGAGGAGTGGGAGCAAATGAAACCTGCTCAAAGAAACTTGTATCGAGATGTGATGCTGGAGAACTACAGCAACCTAGTCACAGTGGGTAAGGTGGCTTGGTAGCCTTGCAATTTAACAGAGAATTCTTTTCCATTTCTGAAATGTGTGAAGACTGTAACTTGCCAGATGAATCTAGCCTTTCCTTTCTCCATGTGACTATATGTGCTCCACTCTTCAGTGTTAAAGGCTGATTACTTTGTGTCATTGTGTAAGTTCATTCATCCTCATCTTTTATAAGCCCTCAAGCTTGGACTTAGCCTAAGATCTGAATGGTTGTCTCCAGCATTGACATCCACATCCTTTGCTATTTCTTGTAATAGGCTGTCAAGTCACCAAACCGGATGTGATATTCAAGTTGGAGCAAGAAGAGGAGCCCTGGGTGATGGAGGAAGAAATGTTTGGGAGGCACTGTCCAGGTGAATAAGTGAAAAGCAGCTCTGAATGAGAAAGCCACATGAGAGTTGTTCAGTGAAGGGTTGATATCATTTCACAATTTCCAAGATTTTCTTAAAGGCCTTATTCTTCTAGAGTGACAAATGGGATGGAGTGCTTTAGATTACTGTGACATTTCTAGGTATTATTCTTCCTATTTTGCAGATATTTTCCTCTTTTAAATTGTAGAGGGCCAGTAGCCCTATCCAATTTCATAATACCAACCTTCCCTAATTCATTCACAGCTTCACTTTCAGGATTATTGTTCCTCTCTCTATGATCCTCGGGCACTCTCTTTCCTTTATGTTTATGGTTTCATTTTCTTATGCATTCAGTATTTCATGGTTGTGTAGTAATTTTAAAACATGTTTCACACTTAGGTTTCTTTTCATTTCTTTCCTTCTTTCTTTTTTAAAAAGCCTTAGATTTGTGTTTGGTTAACAATAGTTTCACTTCCCATTGTGCTTCACAACCCTCACAATCCCATGGCTTAGAAATGTAAAAGTTTCTGGCTTAGAAATCCCATGGCATCTCCTTTCTGCTTATTCCTGCCTTCCATTCCTTTAATTTTTTTGAAACTACATGAGGTCCATCCTTGGTTGAAAAGATATAACCAATGTAACCAATATTATACCTATAATACCAATATTATACCTTTTGTGCAAAAGTAAATCTTCCTCTTATCCTGGACATGGTCCCTTCCTTTCCACAGTTGCATACACTTCTTTTTTGGAGTTATCCTGGCTATTTTTGATTATTTATTTTACCATATGAATTTTAGACTAAACTGTCTATTTCCAGAGAAAAACCTGTTGGAATTTTTATTGGGATTGTGCTAAATATATAAATTAACTTTCAGAAATTTAACATCCTTTTAATGCCAATGTTTTCTGTCTAAGAACACACACTGTCTTTGTTCAGATTTTCATATCTACTTCTGTGTCCTTTAGAAATGGAGCTTTCCAAGTTTTCCCATTGTTGCTTTTATACATTTCACTATAATAATGGGTAAGAAAGCTATAAAACCATCCTTATTTACAGATAATGAGATTGTATCCCTAGAAAACACAAGCAAACCAATTGAGAAAGTACAACAAATAGTAACAGAACTCAGTGAGGTGGTAGGATATCAAATTAACAAAGAAAAATCAATAGCTTTCATATATACTTCAACAACCAAGTAGAAGATACTAAGGAAAGAAAACTACATTTATAGTAGTAAGAACAAAGATGAAATACTCTTCTGGGCATGGATATATAACAGTATACCAAACAAAATCCTGTCTTTATGAGCTTATAATTTAATGGAAACTAGAGTCCCTGAGGTTTTGCATATGGGAAAATATCTTTTTAACCTTTACATTTGGTTGATAGTTGGCTGTGTGTAAAATTCTTGAACCATACTTTCTTTTCCAAAGAGTTTTACAGACAGTTACCTGAGGGATTTAGACAATTCTCTGTTGTTTCCTAGATTCAAATGTTGCTTGGAGAAGTCTGAAGCCTGATTATTTCCCCTCATAGGTGACTTATTTTCCAGGATGCCTATAGGTTTCTTTTTCTTTAAAGCTTAAGTGGCTTTATGAGGCTATGCCTTGGAATTGATCAATCAGTATCAGTTTTTCCTTTCAGCTTGTGGATTCATGATTTTTGTTCCTTGAAATGTCGTCATATAGATTTCATGCTCGTTTCTTTTGTGGTTATCATTGTCATCTTTCGATGAAGGTATTTCCTGCTGTAGCCACTGTTTACAGAAGGATAGTGTTGAAGACTGTCCAGAAAAATACTCTGAGTTGGTAAGAAGTCTCTATACCTCACACTGACCTCCTTTATCATACAAGGTTTTGTGTTGAGAGTTGGTTTACCCTTTCATTCTCCCAAGTTAAAGAGAGATTATTATTTGCATACTTCCTCTAGAACTCAGTGTCTCTTCCATCTTCCTATGCTAACAAACTGCTTATATAAGAATACTGGCTGTTTGCATCTCTTTGTTCAGCCCTGCCTTTGTACCATTTGTCAGGGCCAGATGAAGTCCATTCTGTACCTGCCACAATTTCAAGACATCTGGCAAAAAAATGACTCATTCATTCTGCCCACAAGGGGGTGCCTCTGTTTTAGAGAACTCTGTTCCCTGTACTTTTTGTTGGAGATAAGAAACAGGAACTGCTATCTCTGGGTTTCTTCCCTGCCTAATCCAGTCTATTTTCTGTTCTTTCCTCCTATTCTGGGGATGGAGTTTAGCTATCTTTAAGGTTCATTGAAGATGTATTTTCTTTCTTTTTTTTTTTTTTTTTTTTTTTTTGAGACGGAGTCTCACTCTGTCATCCAGGCTGGAGTGCAGTGGTGCAGTCTCAGCTCACTGCAACCTCCGCCTCCTGGGTTTAAGCGATTCTTCTGCCTCAGCCTCCCAAGTAGCTGGGACTACAGGCACGCGTGACCATGCCTGGCTAATTTTTGTATCTTTTAGTAGAGACGGGGTTTCACCATGTTGGCCAGGCTGGTCTCGAATTCCTGACCTCGTGATCCGCCCACCTCGGCCTCCCAAAGTGCTGGGATTACAGGCAAGAGCCACTGCATCTGGCCAGAAGATATATTTTCTTTTTCTGTTTCTTCTTCATGTTTGCAGAGTGAAGAGGAGACAGAGATGTTTAATTCTACCATATTGAAACAGGAAGTCCTCTATGCTGTATTTGATCCATTTCACCCTTCTTGGAAATGTCTTTCTTCTTTGTGCTTCTCTAAAGGATTCAAATTCTTCCTTGGTTCTGGTTTATTGTTTATTTCTTCTTCCCTTGTGAAATATCTTTTACATGACTTCTTTCTCATCTCTCACTGGACATCACCCAAAGTAGTTCTGAATTACAATAGACTTCTTTTTCCTCAGAGTACCTTCATGCTATATCTGTGTTCATGCTATTAAATAGGTATTTAACTCTAGAAATGACAGCATTGGAATATGTATCTTTAATGCCTCCAGAATTTTGAAACTCTTCATATCTCTGCCATTAATTATGAGTGCTCTTACCTAAGTTCTAGCAGTTATTTAACTTTAATATCATTTTCTAATAAATGGTCCTCAATATTTCCAGCCTACATTGGTCTTGCCCATCTCTCAACTAACATTCTATTACACGTCTACCAGAGTGGTTGGAATCTGAAAACATATACTATCTTCTACATGTTTTCATATTTTGATGTCTAACACTTGTTTATTAGTCCACCTGGAGAAAGAAAACTTTTATTCTTCCTATAAATGAGTCATGATTGATGTAGAGCTATATTTGGGAAGATTTTTCTTATTTTTGGTTGTTTTAAAATATTTACCTACAGATTTCAAAATAAACGTGGAAGAAATCAGGCTAGAGTTAGAAAGACAGGGCATAGTCACATGAGATAGTGTTGAATGTTAAATTGCATGTGAAGTGTCTATTTAGTAAATGAGTAAACCAGACAACACCTAGAAAGTTTTAAGAGAAGGGCTGTAGAAGGAGTAACAAGATTGAGGCTTTCTTTTTCTTTTTGATAAGAGCTTGGCATTGAAGCCATTTTCCTGTAAGATCTATAGCTTATTTAGACTTATTAAAAATTAGAAAACATAACAAAATGTTTGGAAAGTAAAATTAGCGTGTCTGTTTGGGGGGTAAAATTAGAAACATGGCCTGATTAGAGGAGAGAAGATTGTAAGAGATTAGTGAAATCAAGGATGAGTTTTCCATTGTAGAGTCAGAAAGTTCTGAATTTTGCTAGCATTCATGTTCTCTTTTGCTGTCTTTTATTTTTAAAATTTTGTTGTCAATTTAGTTTATTTTTTCCCCTCTTTAATCACTGAAGCTATAGTTTTGCCCTGTGCATGGTGGCAGCAAGGTTACAATGGTCAATTATAAGCAGGGGTTTATAAGATAAACAGAATATGAAGGTTAAAACACATCTAGTTATCTGAATTTTAAGTTACCCACAGCTGATGGAACTCCAGGGGCGTGGAAAACCATTGTAGAACTAATGATGTAGGAATGTTATCATTTTGGGTGATGGTATGAAAGAAAAAAGTCAAAACACAATGGAATTTGATATAAAGGCAGTTTCAGTGTGGAGAAATAAACATAGGATAAGATGATAGGACCTGCTGTTAACACACTGTGGTGAATCAAAGATGGCTTGCCTCCTGATCAGCTTTATACTTTTTATTCAATAAAATTAGACCTTCCTATTTCTAATATGCCTTGTTCTTTAAGCACATATAAAAATGAATCACAATTAGATGGAAAGTTGGAGCTCTCTCCATATTTATTACCAATTTTGGATCGTATTTAGTTTGGACAGACTAATCTTCAAGTATGTTTAGATAGAAATAAAGGAATTTGAACTTTATGAAAATTAATTTGCCTGTGGTATGCAGACTGCACAAAAGATAGACTTGTCAGGATCATGACAGTTAATCTAGGCAAAAGTAATGAGAACTTGGGTTATCATTTGTTTCTCTTAACCTAATGTAGCTGTTATTATTTCTCATGCCATTTCTTTCCCTTTTAATATGCATTTTTAGTTTTTTCAAAGTATACCTTATACATTACTTGTTTTAGAGAGCCAGTAGAAATGTCAGATTATAGCAGTGCTGTGCTCTGACCTCACATTTCACCTCCTTTAGTCAATTATTTTTGACTTTTTTTAACTATCTCTTTTGTTGTCGACCTACGTATTTTGAAACAAATGTTTATACTGCTCTGTAAATTTTTTTTTTTTTTTTTGAGACAGAGTCTTGCTGTTGTTGCCCAGGCTGGAGTGCAATGGCGTGATCTTTGCTCACTGCAGCTCTGCCTCCTGGGTTCAAGTGATTCTCCTGCCTCAGCCTGCCAAGTAACTGGGATCACAGGCATACACCACCACGCCCGGCTAATTTTTTGTATTTAGTAGAGATGGGGTTTCACCATGTTAGTCAGGCTAGTCTCGAACTCCTGACTCACCTCGGTCTCCCAAAGTGCTGGGATTACAGGCGTGCACCACCGCACCCAGTCTGTAAATGTTTCTGTAGTCATTTTCAAACATAAGAATAGAGAGATAAAGGAGCTGGTCGCGGCAGCTCACGCCTGTAATCCTAGCACTTTGGGAGGCCAAGGTGGGCAGATTATGAGGTCAGGAGATCGAGACCATCCTGGCTAACATGGTGAAACCCCATCTCTATTAAAAGTACAAAAAACTAGCCAGGCGTGGTGGCGGGTGCCTGTAGTCCCAGCTACTCGGGAGGCTGAGACAGGAGAATGGCGTGAACCCAGGAGGCAGAGCTTGCAGTGAGCCGAGATCACGCCACTGCACTCCAGCCTGGGTGACAGGACCAGACTCCGTCTCAAAAAAAAAAAAAAAAAAAGAAGAATAGAGAGATAATATAAGGAATCCTCATGTATTCATCACTCAGCTTCAACAGTTACCGACATTTTCTTAGATTTGTTTACTCTGTTTCTCTCTTACCCCCACTCCAGTTTTGTTTTGTTTTTTTGCTGAACTACTTTACCTTTTCTTTTAAATACTACCATATGTATTGCCAAGAGATTTGTTTAATCCTGCAATATTTCTAACACACCTAACAACATTAGTAATAATTTCTTACTATCATCTTCTACTTAGTCTCTGTTATATATTTCATTGTGTCAAGAATGTTGTTTATGGTTGGTTTATTTGAATCAGGATCCAAATAAAATCTGCACATTCTTAGTTCACAGACTATACAAAAGCAGGCTGTGGGTATAGTTTGCCAACCCCTGCTCTAGATGTACCTTATTCTGGATTTGCCATTTGACCTCCTTGTGGTGGTGTTTGACATGCTTCTTTATCCCATTTTTCCTATAATCTGGCTTTATTCAATGCAGATTCAAATCTTTGGCAAGTATACCTCATAGGTGATGCTGTGTACATCCTATTGCATCTTATGTCAGTTTGTCCCACTTACAGACATAATTGAGATTGATCAGTAGATTCATGTATTGTCAGGCCAAATCCTCCTATTTCAGTGATCTCTGTCAACCTTTCACTTAAGGGTTTTAGCACCTATTGACCATCATAGCCTAGATCCATTATTTTATTGAGCGTCTTTCACTTTTATTAGCTGAAATTCTCCCAAAGAGAAAAACTCTCTCATTAACTATTTGATTGCACTGAAATACAGTTTCTCAGGCCAGGAAAAAGAAATACTCTTTCTCTTCAAAAGCTTTTAGAATAATGATTGGTGTCCTAGAGGTTTCCAAAATTTGTCAAGTTAAATCATTATAAATTTATGTAATTTGAGCATCAGAATATATTATAGGCATATAAATATTTTTCATATATTATTATTATTATAATATTGAAGACAGAGTCTTGCTCTGTCGCCCAGGCTGGAGAGCAGTGGTGTGATCTTAGCTCACTGCAACATCCGCCTCCCGGGTTCAAGCGAGTCTCGTGCCTCCACCTCCCGAGTACTGGGATTAAAGGTGTGCGCCACCACACCTGTAATTTTTGTATTTTTAAGTAGAGATTGGGTTTCGCCATGTTGGCCAGGCTGGTCTCGAACTCTTGGCCTCAAGTGATCAGCCCGCTTTGGCCTCACAAAGTGCTGGGATTACAGTCATGAGCCACCACACCAGGCCCATATATTAATACTCAAATTGTCTCATCTTGAGCAAGAGGGATCTTTAGTTAATCTTGTAAGTTTCCCGCTCCAGACATGGAAATAGCCATTTCTTTAAAAACTTTTGCCTCTTTTAGCAGGAAATGATATTGTGGAGACTGCAGTCTGAGGATTATGGTTGCTCTTTAATACTGAGTTATTGGTTCTATAGCTTTTAAGTGGACAGAGCTAGGAAAAATGCATCTTTTAAAAAGAAAAAAATAGGCCAGTCACGGTGGCTCATGACTGTAATCCCAGCACTTGGGGAGGTTGAAGCAGGCGAATCACCTGAGGTTGGGAGTTTGAGACCAGCCTGACCAACATGGAGAAACCCCGTCTCTACTAAAAATACAAAATTAGTTGGGCGTGGTGGTGCATGCCTGTAATTCCAGCTACTCGGGAGGCTGAGGCAGGAGAATTGCTTGAACCTGGGAGGTGGAGGTTTTGGTGAGCCGAGATCATGCCATTGCACTCCAGCCTGGACAACAAGAGCAAAACTCCATCTCAAAAAAAAAACAAAAAAGAAAAAGAAAAATATATATGAATTTTAGATACATCCAATTAAAATTAAAAAGTATAGTGCCCTTTTACCTTTTATGCTGAAAATCTTGGCTCCTCATTACATGTTTATTTCCTTAATTCATATATATTTCTCACCCTTGACACTATTGACATTTTGGGCCAGATAATTCTTTGCTCTGGGGGACTGCCTTGTGTGTTGGGGGACGTTTAGCAGCATGCCTGCTTCTACTCACTGGATAACAGTAGCGCCATCCCTCTTTCTCCCCATCATCTTCCCAGTTGTGGAAACCAAAAATGTCTGTAGACCTTCCAGACATTGCCCAGTGACCCTTAAGGAGTAACACTGATTAATCTATCTTCTTTCTTTATATATTAATTTCAAATTAACAGTAATGCTAATATTACTAATAATAAAAAGACAACTAAACGTAATTTAAGATGTCTTTTGAGTTTTCTTCCTTAGAATATATTCTAATAGGGATATATAGTCAAACTACTATGTTTAAGGTTACTTGAAGTAATTTTCTATGTGATTATGACCCTCATTTGATAAGTAGGCTTGTTTCCAATTTTTTTCTATTTTTAGGGATTGCTTTGGCTTTTTTCTTTTTTGATTTAATTTTTATTTTTTCATATGTAAAATATGTACATGATTTTATTGTCAGAACTCTAAAGTTACAGTCAGAGAAGTCATGGTTTCAGTACATGTAAGTGAAAAAAACTCAGCGTAGAGAACATTGTTTAGAATATACTCTCTTTTATGTGCAAATGGATGGGAAGAGAGACAGAGAGAGAAGTGTGTGTGTGTGTGTGTGTGTGTGTGTGTGTGTGTGTGTGTATAAAATATATATTAAAAATACAATTGGCCCTCGGACAACATGGGTTTAAACTGCACGAGTCCACTTACATGCTGATTTTCTTACACCTCTGCCACCCAAGACAGCAAGACCGACCTCCTCCTCAGCCTACTCAGTGTGAAGATAATGAGGATGAAGATGTTTAGGATTATCCACTTCCACTTAATGAATAGTAAATGTATTTTCCTTATGATTATTGTAATAACATTTTATTTTCTCTAAGTTATTTTATTGTAAAAATGCAGCATATAATACATATACAAAATATGTGTTAATCAACTATGTTTTCAATAAGGCTTCTGGTCAACAGTAGGCTATTACTGGTTAAGTTTTGGGAGAGTCAAAAGTTAGAAACATTTGCAATTATGTGGAGGATTAGCACCTCATCCCCATGTTGTTCAAGGGCCAACTGTACATATGATATATGCGTGTATATGTACTATATATAAGGAAATGTGTGATTATATGTGTGTGTGTGTGTGTGTGTGTGTATGTATGTGTGTGTGTTTTTTTAAATAGTGGAAGAATAATCCAAGAACTGGCTGGGCGTGGTGTCTCATACCTGTAATCCCAGCACTTTGGAAGGCTGGGGCGGGCGGATCATGAGGTCAGAAGATAAAGACCATCCTGGCCAACATGGTGAAACCCTGTTTCAACTAAAAAAACGCAAAAAATTAGCCGGGCGTGGTGGTGTGCGCCTGTAGTTCCAGCTATTGGGGAGGCTGAGGCAGGGGAATCGCTTGAACCCGGGAGGCGGAGGTTGCAGTGAGCCGAGATTGCGCCACTGCACTCCAGCCTGGCGACAGAGTGAGACTCTGTCTCAAAATAATAATAATGATAACAATAATAATAATCCAAGAACTAATAAAAATGGTTATCTATAGGGCAAAGCAGGAATTGGTGTTTCAGGGACAGGGTGGAATCTGGACTTCCGCTGCTGTTTGGTAATTTGTCAGTTTTTATCAACTTGATATAAATAGAAGATGAGGTTTAGTAGCATTACCACAATCACTTCTCCTTTCCTTTTCTTCTGGAATATAGATACATCACAATTTTTAGCTAATTCAATTTCACCACTTACTTTGTTATGATTGTTGACATATTGTTTACTATGAGGCAAGAAATGACTCTTAATTAATATACTTATATAACTTTTTGTCACTCCTAGAATTACTACTTGCCTTATTTTTCTATTTTCTATGTATTATTAATTTAAATGATACCCTCAAAATTCTTTGTTTAAATAAGGAATCCATCGTTGTTATTAGTTTACCTCATTTTGATGCATGAAGGGATAAAAGGGAAATTCTAAACATCTTCCAAAATTCTAAATTTTAAAGAGGATAAAAGAAATTTTTTAGTTTTTTTTTTTGTTTCCTTTTTTTTTTTTTTTTTTTTGAGATGGAGTTTCGCTCTTGTTGCCCAGGCTGGAGTGCAAAGTTGCAATCTCGGCTCACCACAACCTCCGCCTCCCAGGTTCACGCGATTCTCCTGCCTCAGCCTCCCAAGTAGCTGGGATTATAGGCATGCTCCACCACACCCAACTAATTTTGTATTTTTAGTAGAGATGGGGTTTCTCCATGTTAGTCAGGCTGAACTCCCAACCTCTGGTGATCCGCCTACCTTGGCCTCCCAAAGTGCTGGGATTACAGGCTTGAGCCACTGCACCCTGCCTGTGTTTTTTTTAACTAGTGGACTATACTGTAGAATGGTTGGATCAGAACCTAGAAGATTTTTTGTTTGTTTGTTTGTTTGTTTGTTTGAGACTGAGTCTCACTCTGTTGCCCAGGCTGGAGTGCAGCGGCACGATCTCGGCTCACTGCAACCTCTGCCTCCCAGGTTCAAGCAATTCTCCTGCCTCAGCCTCCTGTCTAGCTGGGATTACAGGCACGTACCACCACGCCCAGCTAATTTTTGTATTTTTAGTAGAGACGGGGTTTCATCATGTTGGTCAGGCTGGTCTTGAACTCCCGACCTCGTGATCCACCTGCCTCGGCCTCCCAAAGTGCGGGGATTACAGGTGTAAGCCACCATGCCCTGGCTGAACCTGGAAGTTTTGTGTGGGGCCCCAAATGCCAGCATCTGTTGTTCCTTTTAATCTTTTTATCTCCTATGTGTAGGTACATGCCAGCATTCATGAGGCTAAATAACAGAAAGGGATTGTTGATCTCATTCATGTTAGAGTGTATGGTGAATCTAAATCACATGGGAACTCTACATGCAGTTATGTCTAGGAAATGTAGTTTTAACTGCCTCAGCCTTTACGGGATGGAAAAGCATGGTGGGAGACTGGAATACATGTTACTTAAGCAGATCCATAACTCTTGCCTTGGTGTGTAACTGCTCCCTACTCAGACTTTAATCCTCTTCTTTTTAGTCCCACTCTTATCCTACCCACTCCACTTTTTTTTGAGATGAGGTCTTGCTATGTTTCCCAGACTAGTCTCAAATTCCTGGGCTTTAGCAACCCTTCCAAGTAGCTGGGAATATAGGTACAGCCCACTGCATCTGGTTTTTTAAATTAATAAACTTCATCTTTTAGGCTGGTTTTAGGTTCACAACAAAACTGAGTGGTGTACAGAGCTCATGAAAAAGTACCAAGTATATGGATACCCACTGCCCAGGCACACACAGCCTTCCCCACTGTCAACATCTTGCACCACAGTGGTATATTTGTTACCATCAATGAACCTTCATTACTGTTATTATTATACACATTATTATTACACAAAGTCCATAATTTACATTAGGGTCACTCCTGGTGTTGTACATTCTATGGGTTTTGGTAAATGTATAATGACTCAGATCCATTATAGTATCTTACAGAATACTTTCACTGTCCTAAAACTCCTCTCTCTTCCTCCTGTTTATTCCTTCCTCTCCCATAAGCTCTGGCAACCACTGATACCTTTACTAGTCATCATTTTGCCTTTTCCAGTTTGGAATCATATAGTAGGTGGCCTTTTCCAATGGGTTTCTTTTACTTAGCAACATGCATTTAAGGTTCCTCCATGTCTTTTCATAACTTGATAGCACATCTGTTTTTATCATTGATGAATATTTCATTGTCTAGATGTAGCACAGTTTATCCGTTCACCTAGTAAAGGGCATCTTCCAAGTGTTGGCAATTAGGAATAAAGCTGCTGTAAATATCCATGTGCAGATTTTTGTATGGACATATGTTTTCAACTCATTGGGGTAAATACCAAGCATGATTGCTGAATAATATGGTAATAGTATGGCTAATTTTGTAAGAAACTGCCAGACTGTCTTCCAAAGTGGCTGTACCATTTTGCAGTCCCACCAGCAATGAGTGAGAGGTCCTATTGCTCTGCAAACTTGTCAGCCTTTGACTTAGTAGTTGCAGCAGGGGTTTTTTGTTGTTGATTTTTTTTTTTTTTTTTTTTTTTTTCAGATTTCCTACATAGATGATCACATCACCTGTGAACAAAGACAGTTGTTGTTTCGTTTTTCCTTCCTAATCTGAATAGCTTTTATTTCCTTTTCTTGTTATTGCATTAGGTAGGACTTCTAGTACAATGTTAAAAAGCAGTAATGCGAGGGAACATCCTTGCCTTGTGCTTGTTTATCCCTACCTTTTGAGCGCCTAGATTCTCCAATTCTTGAGCCTTTCCAGTGATTTCTGGCCAAATCTCTTTGTTGCTTATTGTCATTTGCATCTTCATGATACTTTGTAGCTTTGCTATTCAGTTTATCCTAAATGCTTCTCATCCTGCAGTATTATGTTAAAATCTCTTGTTCATCTTTTTTTACACTCACGTCTCCTTTTTCTTATGGATTTAACCCTTTATTCCTTCACTATCATTTTAATGGCATTTTAGGAAGGAGGAAAAATACATGCATTCAAGCCTGTGTGTTTAGTCACAAATGTTCATTTTGTTCTCTAGCCGTTTGACTCCCTATCAGTCATTTTTGTGTTCACCCTTTCATTTTAATTATTCTATTCATTTTGCTGATTTCTGCACTATACGTGGACGCTTTAAAAATCAGTCAAGGCTACTTGGACCTACAGATGTCAGTTTTTGTCTCCATATGTTTTATGTAGTAGTTAACTTCTCAAACCTTAGGAACTAGGAACATTTACTCTTAGCTTTCTTTTGTATTGGTTGACTAGGCCAACATCAAAGATTAAACCCCACATTAGCCTATTTCTGATATGTTATTAATAGTCTAGTGGTAGAATAATTCACAAGTAATAATTTCTGGTCCTCCATTTTAGAAGTTTGGGAAGTTGATGAACAGATCAAGAAGCAACAGGAAACACTTGTGAGGAAAGTCACATCCATCTCCAAGAAAATTCTGATAAAGGAAAAAGTCATTGAATGTAAAAAAGTTGCGAAAATATTTCCTCTGAGTTCAGACATTGTTACTTCAAGACAAAGCTTCTATGACTGTGACTCACTTGATAAGGGTTTGGAACATAATTTAGACTTACTTAGATATGAGAAAGGCTGTGTAAGAGAGAAACAGAGTAATGAGTTTGGGAAACCATTTTACCATTGTGCATCCTATGTTGTAACCCCCTTTAAGTGTAATCAGTGTGGACAAGACTTCAGTCATAAATTTGACCTCATTAGACATGAGCGAATTCATGCTGGAGAGAAACCTTACGAATGTAAAGAATGTGGAAAAGCCTTCAGTAGGAAGGAAAATCTTATTACACATCAGAAAATTCATACTGGGGAAAAACCGTATAAGTGTAATGAATGTGGAAAAGCTTTCATTCAGATGTCAAACCTTATTAGACACCACAGAATTCATACTGGGGAGAAACCTTATGCATGTAAGGATTGTTGGAAAGCCTTCAGTCAGAAATCAAATCTCATTGAACATGAGCGAATTCACACTGGAGAGAAACCCTATGAATGTAAGGAATGTGGGAAATCCTTCAGCCAGAAGCAAAATCTTATTGAGCACGAGAAAATTCATACTGGGGAGAAACCTTATGCATGTAATGAATGTGGTAGAGCTTTTTCTCGAATGTCATCTGTTACGCTACATATGAGAAGTCACACAGGGGAGAAACCCTATAAATGTAATAAATGTGGAAAAGCTTTCTCTCAATGCTCAGTATTTATTATACATATGAGAAGTCACACTGGTGAGAAACCCTATGTATGTAGTGAATGTGGGAAAGCCTTCTCTCAGAGTTCATCCCTAACCGTACATATGCGAAATCATACAGCTGAGAAACCCTATGAATGTAAGGAATGTGGAAAAGCCTTCAGCAGGAAAGAAAATCTCATTACACATCAGAAAATTCACACTGGAGAGAAACCTTATGAATGCAGTGAATGTGGGAAAGCTTTTATTCAGATGTCAAACCTCATTCGACACCAGAGAATTCATACGGGTGAGAAACCCTATGCATGTACAGTATGTGGAAAAGCCTTTAGTCAGAAATCAAACCTCACTGAACATGAGAAAATTCATACTGGAGAGAAACCTTATCATTGTAATCAATGTGGGAAAGCTTTCAGTCAGAGACAAAATCTTCTTGAGCATGAAAAAATTCATACTGGAGAGAAACCATTCAAATGTAATGAATGTGGTAAAGCCTTCTCTCGAATCTCATCCCTCACTCTTCATGTGAGAAGTCACACAGGGGAGAAACCCTATGAATGTAATAAATGTGGGAAAGCCTTTTCTCAGTGCTCATTACTTATTATACATATGAGAAGTCATACTGGTGAGAAACCCTTTGAATGTAATGAATGTGGGAAAGCATTCTCTCAAAGAGCATCCCTTTCTATACATAAGAGAGGTCATACAGGTGAGAGACACCAAGTATATTAAATGAAAGAAGGCCTCTTAAATTCAACCCATGTTTTACTTAAAATATCTTGGCATAAGCTCAAAAAAGCCAGGATCTTTATGGAAAAATTTTAATACTTTGTTAAAAGGTGTAAGACTGGAATAAATGGAAAGAAATACCATATACATAGATGGAAAAACCCAGTATTATAAAAACCTCAATTCTGAAAATCTATAGACTGAATGCAGTTCCAAACAAAATCAACTAAGAATTTTCTAGGATCTTTCAAAAATGATTATAAAATTCATGTGAAATAGAAGTGTATGAATTGCTGCGACAATTTTGAAAAGAATAGAGGAAACACCCTCACTGTATGATATAAAGTTATAGTCATTTAAAAATGTGTGATATTAGTACATTAGTAGGTAAATGAGCAGATTTTAAAGAATAGAATATCCAGAAGCAGATTCATGAATATATGTGAACTCAGTGTATGTTAGACCTGACATCATGAATTAGTAGGGAAATGATGACCTAGTCAATAAAATTGCTGGGAATATTTGACTCTCCGTATTGGAGAAAATAAAATTACAACATTACGACATACTAAAAAATCAATATTCTTTTTTTTTTTTTTTTTTTTTTGAGACAAGCGTCTCACTCTGTCGCCCAGGCTGGAGTACGGTGGTGCAATCTCAGCTCACTGCAGCCTCTGCTTTCCGGGTTTTTTTGTTTTGTTTTGTTTTGTTTTTTGTATTTTTAGTAGAGACGGGGTTTCACCATGTTGGCCAGGGTAGTCTTGAACTCCTGACTTCAAAAGTGATCGCCCTCTTTGGCCTCCCAAAGTGCTGGGGTTTACAGGCTTGAGCCACTGCACCTGGCCAAAAAATTAACATTCTAAAGGATTTAAATACTGGAATTTGAAAAGCCAAACTGTGAAACCATTGGGAGAAAATAGATGATATTGTCTATGACGTTGAGGCCAAGGAGCTTTTTTTTTTTTTTTTTCAAGACAAAAGGACTCTGTAATTCCACTTCTAGGTATATATACATCCTATAGAAACTCACAAATAATGCATAAGAAATATATATATAATATATGTATGTATGTATAGCCAGATGCAGTGGCACATGCCTGTAATCCCAGCTACTTGGGAGGCTGATAGAAGAAGATAACTTGAGGTCAGGAGTTCAAGACCAGCCTGGGAAACATAGCAAGACCCCATCTCTTAAAAAAAAAGAAATATATAGACATATATCTGCATTGAAAACAACCTAAATATTCATCAGTGGGGTAATGGATGAATAAAATATGATATATTCAAATGATAGAATAGTATACAGCACTTAAAAGCAGTGAACCAGATCCATATTGTGTAACATGGATAGTTAAAACAATGTTGAATGAAAAAAATCAAAATACAAATGAAACATTGTGTAATAATATTTATGTAAATTGGAATGAAATCATTTATAAAGAACAACTGTTTCTATTATTGAAAATTGTATGTAAAACTATTTAAAATAGAATAGAAGGATACACACCCAATTATTGATAGCATTGTCTCTGGAGATTGAATTTGAGGCTGTTGATTAAAAGGAGACTTTAGCTTTGCTTGTAGTTTTTATACCTTAAAAAGACTGGTAGCATATAAAATAAATCTTAAAAGCTAATTATACACAATGACAATATGAATGTTTACTTGTAATAGTGTTTTTCTTGTTCTTTCTCACAACAGGCCAAGGGAAGCCTGTGCCCATAGAAGGAAATGTTATAATGGATTCATATGCCCTATCAGATGCTCAACTATTTTATGAAAAATCTCTCTAGAAAATTAGTAATTAGAATATTCTTGTTTATTATATAATGTGAAATTAGCACATTTTAGCAACTTGATGATGCTGTGTTTTTATATTTTAACATTTCTGAAATTGGACTCCTTTCAACTGATGATATCTTAGATTCAAGTAAATATTTAATTATTAAAAATTTGAAAATCAGATGCCAGTATAACAAATGAAATGTGTTTTTATTTACTAGCTCCGGGCATCATGTCTACTACTCACGGTGCCTGTCCTTTCAGTGGAGCCAGTATTATTAGACAGCAAATTTATTAGGTTCATAGCTAACTAATTACCAATATATTTAGAGTATTGTGGAGAGATTAAGATTTTTCCTGGGAAAGTGACTTTGCAATATTTGTTTTCTTGCCCTGTAATTTTCCATACAACCAGCATAGGCATTAATATCATTGTTAATTATAACAATATTTTGAAATGAGAAATCATTTATTTCCTGAGGTGGCCATAAGCAATTGTGTAAAAGTGTGTTGGTTTTAATCTAGAGACCATTTTATTCTTTTTACAACTCTTGACTTACACAGCCCATCCGGTTTTGGTTGGAAATGGTGGTGAACTTAGACCCTGAGCACTAATAGTAGAGTTCCTCTTGAAGAGTCTCATTCTCTGTAATAATACATGAACCAACCCTTACAGAGGTGATGTTTTTATTATGCCATCTCTACAATATTAGTTGATATACATTACAGAAAGCTGCTAATGCCTTTTTAAAAAGGAGATAGGGCCAGACGCAGTAGCTCAAGCCTGTAAACCCAGCGCTTTGGGAGGCCGAGGCGGGTGGATCACCTGAGGTCAGGAATTCAAGACCAGTCTGGTCAACAGGATGAAACCCCGTCTCTACTAAAAATACAAAAATTAGCCAGGCATGGGGCGGGTGCCTGTAATCCCAACTACTCAGAAGGCTGAGGCAGGAGAATTGCTTGAATGCGGGAGGCAGAGGTTGCAGTGAGCCAAGATTGTGCCACTGCACTCCAGTCTGCGTGACAGAGTAAGACCCTTTCTCAAAAAAATAAAAAATAAATAAAAAGGAGATAGGCTGGGTGTGGTGGCTCACGCCTGTAATCCCAGCACTTTGGGAGGCCTAGGCGGGCCGATTACTTGAGGTCAGGAGTTCGAGACCAGCCTGGCCAATATGGTGAAAGCCCACCTCTACTAAAAATACAAAAATTAGCTGGGCGTGGTGGTGCATGCCTGTAATCCTAGCTACTCAGGAGGCTGAGGCAGGAGAATTGCTTGAACCTAGAGGGGCGGAGGTTGCAGTGAGCCAAGATCACGCCAGTGCACTTCAGCCTGGGCGACACAGCAAGACTCTGCCTCAAAAAAATAAAAACAATACAAAGGAGATAAAAATAGGGGGTGTTTGTGAAAAGGGATCTTTAGCTTTTATGATTGAACATTAACTACATTTGTTTGAAGTTGATTTCACAAAAGTAAATCTCAGACTAAAGATGTGAAGTACAACCATGACTATCAGTTTTGATTGTTATTAGGTATTTTTGAAGACTGATGGTGACTTAACAACAGCAGGGACTGACTTCAGTGAAAACAATGACAACTTACCCAAACTGAAATATCTAAATGAGTATTATCATTTCGTAGTCCCTTCTTCAATAAGTTTTATACTAAATCCAGTTTTGCTAGCATACCCAATATTTATGTGTAAACTTTTTTTTTTTTTTTGAGACAAAGTCTTGCTCTGTCACCCAGGCTGCAGAGCAATGGCGTGATCTTGGCTCACTGCAACCTCTGCCTCCGGGTTCAAGTGATTCTCCTGCCTTAGCCTCCCAAGCAGCTGGGACCACAGGTGCGTGCCACCATGCCTGGCTAATTTTTTTTTTTTTTGTATTTTTAATGGAGCTGGGGTTTCACCATGTTGGCCAGGCTGGTCTCGAATCCTGACCTCAGGTGATCCACCCACCTTGGCCTCCCAAAGTGCTGGGATTACAGGTGTGAGCCACTGTACCAGCCTGTAAACCTTTTTCTTTTTTTGGAGAGGGGGTCTCCCTCTGTTGCCCAGGCTGGAATGCAGCAGCATGATCTCGGTTCACTGCAACCTGCGCCTCCTGGGTTCAAGTGATTCTCCTGCCTCAGCCTCCTGAGTAGCTGGGGCTACAAGCTCCCGCCACCATGCCCGGCTAATTTTTGTATTTTCATAGAGACAGGGTTTCACTACGTAGGTCAAGCTGGTCTGTGAGCCACCATGCCCAGCCTGTAAACCTTTTTTTAAAAAATGGTTTTCGCATTTCGTGTATCCACACAAGTAACCCTGTATAAATATTTGTGAGACTTTTTTTTTTTGTCTAAACAGTTGTTTTTATCTGTGATTTTCTTTTTAATGTTTTTTGTTTGTTTGTTTGTTTGTTTTTGGCCTGTACTTTATATGCCTTAAATCCTCTGCCCCTTTCTTTACATAGCTTTAGAGTCAACAGAGAAATGTAAAATTCCACTTAAGGCCCATAAGGACAACCTTAGATTTCTCTTTTGGCCTCTCTCACCCCAGTAAGACTGGCTGAACCTATCAGGTGAGGTAAAGTGCCTCAGAGTAGGTCTAAAAGGGCGTTTTACTGATCTTGTGTCAGCAAGCAGATGATCTGGTCTCTGTAAATTCATTTTTTCCTTCTGTCCTAAGGGGTAGAAATAATAAGATAGATATAAGTGACTGAGACAGACTTTGAAAAAAATCATTAATTAAATCATGGTGAATTCTTCTTTTCCTGGACACACATGAGTTACTGCCTAGAGAGTTTCCATTCTAGAGTTCAAACTTCATAAGAGGTTCAGTTCCTGTGAATGGCCTCAAAACACACAGAATAAAACATACTAATAGTGGCTTGGACTAGACACAGCAGTAGAAATTGATAGATTTCAGATACATTTTGGAGGTGATTCAACATAATGAGTTCATATGAAAGATGAGGAGTAAAGAGATAAAGGATAACTCCTATGTTTTTATGGAAAGAAACTGGCTGGCCGGTGGACCATTTGATAAAAATGCAGCAGGCTGGGGAGAAATATTTTAGAGTAAAGGTTGGGGATGGACTCAAGATGTGTGATGGACTTTCTTTTCAGCTGTTTCCCAGAAGCAGGCTTTGAGATGAGGATTCCTATGCAAGTGATTTATTAAGGAAGTGCTTTCAGTAAGAGGGGTAAGAGAATGGAGGAAGCAGAATAAGAAAAAGAAGTAAGTCAAGGGTGTGATCGCAGGCACAGTCCTGCCATGGATGGTGTCATCCTGATCCCTGTGGGAACTCGAGTGTAAGCTATGCCTCAGACTTTTCAAGATTCCACCTTCAGGACTGAGGCACTTGTGCTGCCAACTTCTGAGAATCTTGGCTGCTGACAACTCACAGCTAAATTCCTCTAAGGAATTGCTGTTGGACGAAAGGAGCTGCCTTATGCAAGGTTACACTGTCTCCCTTCAGGCAGCTTGGCCCACGTTGCCTCAGTTTAGAGCAACTCTGAAGAGCAATCCCAGCTCTAGAGCTCCCCAGGGAACAAATTTCAACTGCATCAGTTTAATTTCTCTTTCCATCCAGTTCTGCTTTATTCATTTCCTTACTGCTGATGTTCCCAAGAGATCTCCCCAATAAACCCTATCATAGATTTCCATCTCAGATTCTCTTTTCCTGGGAAACTGACTTAAAACAGTAGACATTTTGCAACAGTAGTCCTCAAATTGAAATTTAAAAAAAACTTTTTTTTTTTTTTGAGACAGGGTGTCACTCTGCTGCCCAGGCTGGAGTATGTGATGCAATCTTGGCTCACTGAAACCTCTGCCTCCCAGGCTCAAGCGATTCTCATGCCTCAGCCTTCTGAGTAGCTGGGATTACAGGTGTGCACCACCATGCTCAGCTAATTTTTTGTATTTTTGGTAGAGATGGGGTTTCACTATGTTGGCTAGGCTGGTCTTGAACTCCTGGCCTCAAGTGATCTGCCCACCTTGGTCTCCCAAATTGCTGAAATTACAGGTGTTAGCCACAGCACCCAACCAAAAAATATTTTTGATTCATTTGAAACTAATAAACTCATTACATGTTAATACAAGCAATAAATTTTTATGAAATTATTTTATGAAAAAGAATTATTTCCAAAACCAAAAAACATAATAAGAGCGTCATTGTTACACAACTTTCAAATACTTTAAATTACTTAAAAGTAGACAGCTGGGTTCTCATATCTGCTTCTACATTCAGTCACATGTCATGTAAGACTGGGAAACTCCATTCTTACTCATGAGCAAATGAGATCAAAAGAAGGAAAAATATGAAAATAGTTTCAATCTCAAGGCCCCCTAGGGATTTCCAGACTGTTCTTTTTTTTTTTTTTTTTTTTTTTTTTTTTTTAAATGGAGTCCTGCTCTGTCGCCCAGGCTGGAGTGCAGTGGCGCGATCTCGGCTCACTGCAATCTCTGCCTCCCGGGTTAAGCGATTCTCCCTGCCTCAGCCTCCCAAGTAGCTGGGATTACAGGCGCCTGCCACCATGGCTGGCTAACTTTTGTATTTTTAGTAAAGATGAGGTTTGGCCATGTTGGCCAGGCTGGTCTTGAACTCCTGACCTCAGGTGATCCGCCTCAGCCTCCCAGAGTGCTGGGATTACAGGCATAAGCCCACACGCCTGGCTCAAACTGTTCTTTAACTGCTGTTGTGACATTTGGTGTGGTTTCTTCAAAAACTTGATGTCATGGGCTAAAGAGGTGTATAAACAGGAGGCTAAAGGGAAGCATGGGCAAGCTCTCTAGAAGTGGTCTCAGATGGAGGACTTGAGAAACAAAGAAGATGGATAAGGAAAATGTTAAATATGTGGGTAAATAGAAACAAATATTGGCAGGTGGAAAAGAAGAGCAAGATTGATTTACAGGGTTTTCAAAGGCCATGAAAGTACTGGGAAACAATGGTATATAATTCAGTGGATTGGAGTGGGTTTGATTTAAAGTATTTCAAGTCTCTTTACTATTAAATATAAAGCTAATTTTTAAGATTCAGATTTTGAAGGATTGTAAGAGACCCAAAAGATTGCCTTATTGAGTTGAGGAAGTTCCCTTTATTCCTAAGTTTGCTGACTGTTTTTATTGTGATTGGGTGTTGGATTTTTGTCAAGTGATTTTTCTGCATCTATTGACATGATTATATGATTTTTCTTCTTTAGCCTCTTGATGTTATGAATGAGATTAATAGATTTTCAAAGGTTGAATCAATCTTGCATTTCTGGGATAAATCCCACTTGATTGTGGTGTATAATTCTTTTTATATATTATTGGATTTGATTTGCTAATATTTTATTGAGTATTTTTGCATCTGTATTCATGAGAGATATTGTTCTGTAGTTTTCTTTTCTTGTAATATGTTTCTCCTGGTTTTGGTATTAGGATAATGCTGGCCTCATAGACTGAGTTAGGGAATATTTCCTTTTTCTAGAAGAGAGGGTAGAGAATTGATAAACTTTCTTATATGTTTGGGAGCATTAATCAGTAAACCCATCTGGGCCTGATGCTTTCTATTTTGGAAGGTTAATAGTTATTGATTCCATTTATTTAATAGATACAGGCCTGTTTGGATTGTCTGTTTATTCTTGGTGAGTTTTGACAGATTGTGTCTTTCAAGGAATTAGTCTGTTTCATGTAGATTATCAAATTTGTGGGCATAATATGCTTTATACGCTTTTATTCTTGTTCATAATATTCTTTCTTTTTTTCTTTTTTCTTTTTCTTTCTTTTTTTTTTTTTTTTTTTTTTGAGACAGGGTCTCTCTTTCGCCCAGGCTGGAGTACTGTGGCACAATCTTGGCTCACTGCAACCTCCACCTCCCGGGTTCAAGCAATTCTCTTGCCTCAGCCTCCCAAGTAGCTGGGATTACAGGCGTGCACCACCAAGCCCAGCTAATTTTTTTGTATTGTTAGTAGAGACAGGGTTTCGCCATGTTGGCCAGACTGGTCTCAAACTCCTGACCTCAAGTGATCGAACCTCCTCGGCCTCCCAAAGTGCTGAGATTACAGGCGTGAGCCACCACGCCCAGCCAGGTGGAGTCTTTAGATTTTCCTAGATATAGGATTATATCATCAACAAAAAGGCACAATTTGACTTCCTCTTTTCCAATTTGGATACCTTTTATTTCTTTCTCTTGCCTGATTGGTCTGGCTAGGATTTCCATTACTATGTTGAATAGGAGTGGTGAAAGTCGGCATTGTTCCAATTCTTAGTGGAAATGCTTTCAGATTTTCCCTATTCACTATGGTGTTAGCTGTGGGTTTGTTATATATAACCTTTATTATTCTGAGGTATGTACCTTCTGTGCCTAGCTTGTTGAAGTTTTTATTGTGAAAGCATGTTGAATTTTATCAGATGCTTTTTCTGCATCTATTGAGATGATTATATGGTTTTTGTCCTTTATTCTGATGTGATGTATCATGTTAACTGATTTGCATACATTGACCCATCTTTGCATCCCTGGTGCAAATCTCACTTGATTGTGGTGTATTATCATTTTGCTGTGCTATTGGATTTGGTTTGTTAGTGCTTTTTTGAGGATTTTTGCATCTACCTTTGTCAGATATCAGCCTTTAGTTTTCTTTTTATGTTGTGTCCTTCTCTGGTTTTGGTAATAGGATGATCCTGGCCTTGTAGAATGAACTGGGGAGAATTCTCTCCTCTTTTATTTTTTGAAATAGTTTCAGGAGAATTGGTATTAGTTTTTCTTTGTATGGTATAATTTGGCTGTGATTCCAAGTGACCCTGGGCTTTTCTTGGTTGGGACACTTTTTATTACTGATTTAATCTCACTACTTAGTGGTCTGTTCAGATTTTATATTTCCTCGTCATTCAGTCTTGGTAAGTTTTATGTTTTCAGGAATATATCTGTTTTCCCTAGGTTTTCTAGTTTGTCAGTATATAGCTGCTCGTAAGTCTCTGACACTCTCTTGTATTTCTGTAGTATCAGTTGTAATGTCTCCTTCTTCATTTCCAATTTTGCTTATTTGGGTATTCTCTCTTCTTGGTTAGTCTAGCTAGTGGTTTATCAATTTGGGTTATCTTTTTGAATAACCAACTTTTCATTTTGTGGATCCTTCATATTGTTTTAGTCTCCATTTCATTTAATTCTGCTCTGATCTTTATTATTTCTTTTATTTTGCTAATTTGTGGTTTGGCTTTTTCTTGTTTTCTAGTTCTTTGAGGTACATTGTTAGAGTGTTAATTTGTAATTGTTCTACTTTTTTTTTTTTTTTTTTTTTTGAGACAGAGTCTCCTCGCTCTGTTGCCCAGGCTAGAGTGCAATGGTGTAATCTTGGCTCACTGTAACCTCTGCCTCCCGGGTTCAAGTGGTTCTCCAGCCTCAGCCTCCCGAGTACCTGGGATTACAGGTGCTCACCACCATGCCCAGCTAATGTTTGTATTTTTAGTAGAAATCGGGTTTCACCATGTTGGCCAGGCTGGTCTCGAACTCCTGACCTCAGGTGATCCACCCGCCTCGGCCTCCCAAAGTGTTGGGATTACAGGTACGAGCCACTGTGCCCAGCTAACTTTTTTGATTGCATTCTACATTTATTGCTATAAGCTTCCCTCTTAACACTACTTTTGCCTTATTTCACAGGTTTGGGAATGTTGTGTTTTCATTTTCGGTTGTTTCAAGAAACTTTCCTTTGGCCTGGCATGGTGGCTCACCATGTAAAAATACAAAAATTAGCTGGGGTGGTGGCACTTGCCTGTAATCCCAGCTACTCGGGAGGCTGAGGCAGGAGAATCACTTGAATCTGGGAGGCAGAGGTTGCAGTAAGCCGAGATCATGCCATTGCACTCCAGCCTGGGCAACAAGAGTGAAACTCCATCTCAAAAAAAAAAAAAATTTTTTTTTCTTTCAATTTTCATTTTAATTATGATCTTTAGTGGTTATTTGGGAATATGATATTTAATTTCCATTTATTGGTATAGTTTCCAAAGTTCCTCTTGGTGTTAATCTCTAGTTTTATTCCGTTGTGGTCTAAGATACTTGATAAGATTTCAGCTTTTAAAAATTTGTTGAGACTTGTTTTGAGGCCTACTCGATGGCCTATTATGGAGAATGTTCCATGTACTGATGAAAATAATGTATAGTCTGCATCTGTTGGGTGAAAGGTTCTGTGAATATCTGTTAGGTGTGTTTGGTCTAAAGTCCAGTTTAAATCTAATTTTTTAAAACTCTGATTTTTTAAAACTGTCTAATGCTGAGAATGGGATGTTGAAGTCCCTCATTATTATTGTAATGCAGTCTCTCTCTTTAGATCTAGTAATATTTGCTTTATGAATCTGGGTACTTCAGTGTTGGCTGCATATATATTTAGAATTGTTATATCCACTGCTGGTTTAATCACTTTATGGTTATATAATGACCTTCTTTGTCTTTTTTTTTTTTTTTAACTCTTTTTGACTTAAAAACTCTTTAATCTATTAGAAATATAGCTACTCCTGCTCACTTTTGGTTTCCATTTTCATGGAATATCTTTTTCCATCCTTTTACTTTCAGTCTATATGTGTCATTACCAGTAAGGTGAGTTTTTTATAAGTAGGATATTTGGGGATCTTTTTAAAAAAAAAATCCATTCAGCCATTCTCTATTTTTTAAGTGGGAAATTTAATCCATTTATATTCAAAGTTATTATTATTATTATGAGATGGAGTCTCACTCTGTTGCCCAGGCTGGAGTGCAATGGCGGGTTCTTGGCTCACTGCAACCTCTGCCTCCTCAGTTCAAGCTATTCTGCATCAGCCTCCTGAGTAGTTAGGATTACAGGCATGCGCTGGCACGCCTGGCTATTTTTATACTTTTAGTAGAGATAGGGTTGTGCCATATTGGCCAGGCTGGTCTCAAACTCCTGACCTCAGGTGATCCTCCCACCTCAGCCTTCCAAAGTGCTGGGATTACAGGCGTGAGCCACTGACCTGGCTAAAGGTTATTATTCACATACGAAGCTTTGTCTCTATCATATTGTTAATTGGTTAGGGTGTTTTTTTTTTTTTTTGAGACTTCTGGGCTCAAGCAGTCCTCCCACCTGAGCCCCACAAGTAGCTCCCCATGCACCACCATGCCTGGGTAATGTTTTTTTTATTTTTATAGAGATGGAGTTTCACTGTGTTGCCCAGGCTAGTCTTGAACTCCTGGGCTCTAATGATCTTCCCCTCTCTGGCTCCAAAGTGCTGGGATTACAGATTTAAACCACCATGCCCAGGCTTTTTTGTTGTTTTATGTTTTTTTTTTTTTTAATTTGTTTTCTTATTGTCACTGTGGCTTGGTAGATTTCTGTAGTAGTACCATGTGAGTCCTTTCTCTTTCTTCTTTATGTGTTTGCTTTACCAGTGAGTTTTATAGTTTACCTTATTTTCATGATGGTAAGTGTTGCAGTGTTTTTTTTTTTTTTTTTTTTTTTGCTTCCAGGTTTAAGACCCCCTTGAGCTTTTCTTTCTTTTTTTTTTTTTTTCGTTTCTGAGGCACAGTTTCACTCTGCCACCCAGGCTGGAATGTAGTGGTGTAATCTTGGATCACTGCAACCTCCACCTCTCAGGTTCAAGTGATTCCCGTGCCTCAGCCTCCCAAGTAGCTGGGATTAGAGGCATGCTCCACCACACGTGGCTAATTTTTGTATTTTTAGTAGAGACGGTCTTTTACCATGTTGGCCAGGCTATTCTCAAACTCCTGACCTCAAGTGATCCACCCGCTTCGACCTCCCATAGTGCTGAGATAACAGGTGTGAGCCACCACACCCAGCCTTCAGCTTTTCTTGTAAGGCCAGTCTAGTGGTAACAAATTTCCTTAGCATTTGCTTGTCTAGAAAGGTCTATTTCTCCTTTGTTTATGAAGGATAATTTTGCTTGATGTAGCATTCTTGGCTAGTTTTCTTTTTTTCTTTTAGCACTTTAAATATATCATCCCATTTTCTTTTGACCTATAAGGTTTCTGCTTAGAAATCCTCTATTAGTCTTATGGGGTTTCTTTTATAGGTGACTAGATGCTTTTTTTTTCTTCTAAGGATTCACTCTTTATCTTTGTTTGACT
Organism: Homo sapiens; assembly: GCF_000001405.40. NCBI lineage: Eukaryota > Metazoa > Chordata > Mammalia > Primates > Hominidae > Homo > Homo sapiens. The sequence goes on from NC_000019.10 coordinate 36,962,927, forward strand.
TGAAACAATGTGAATATAATTGTGCCATGGAGAAAAACTTTTTGCATTTTATCTCCTTGCATATTGTGAGCCTTCTGTATCTGGATGTCTGAATCTCTTGTTAGGCTTTGGAAGTTTTCATCCATAATTTTATTAAATAGGTTTTCATTGCTAAATAATGGTACCACAATCACCTGTTAATGAATAGTTGTGTTGTTTCCAGTTTGGGGACTATCAAGAATAAGGCTACCATGAATATTTGTGTAAAAATTATTTGTATAGATGTATGTTTTCATTTCTCTTGGATAAATACCAAGGATTGGATTGGCTAGGTAGTATATGGAGATACGAATTTTATGAAAATTCTTAATTTCAGACCTGTCAATTCAGTCTCAGTAGCTTCATTTTTCTTAGCTTGATAAATGATGGAAATATTAACCCAGTGGCAATTTTATGTACGAACACTGATGAATGTCAGCAGCACTAGGCTTTGGGCAGAGTGCCAGAACAAATGGCAAAGCAAAGCCTCAACAGCTGCTCCTGGGGCATAATTAATGACCATGTCCTAAAGACATTTTAGTGTTAACATATAACCAGCTGCTGTTTCTCCTGTAACTAAATTTAACAACTGACAGCAATATGAACAGCGTTTTATGAAATACTCCCAATACAGTCTCTATTAAATGAATTTGGCAGAGGGCTATGCTATGACTGGTGCCCTATTTCAGAGTTGTTTTTTAACATTGGTAATATCTTTTCATGCATTAGAAAGGCCCAAGTTGGCCGGGCACAGTGGCTCACAGCTGTAATCCCAGCACTTTGGGAGGCTGAGGCAGGCGTATCACGAGGTCAAGAGATTGAGACCATCCTAGCCAACATGGTGAAACCCCATTTCTACTAAAAATACAAAAATTAGCTGGCCATGGTGGCATGCGCCTGTAGTCCCAGCTACTCAGAAGGCTGAGGCAGAAGAATCGCTTGAACCTGGGAGGTGGAGGTTGCAGTGAGCCGAGATTGTGCCACTGCACTCCAGCCTGGCAACAAAGCGAGACTCAGTCAAAAAAAGTAAGAAAGAAAGGGTGGGGGGAGGGACGGAGGGAGGGAGGGAGGGAGGAAGGAAGGAAGGGAGGATGGATTCAAGTCACATAAACATTTGTTAGATTTGCTTCTGAACCTTTGTGAAATATTACTTTCTTGTTACATAGTGGGCAGTAACTTTGTAAGATCTCAGGAAGGAAGGAAGGAAGGAAGGATTCAAGTCACATAAACATTTGTTAGATTTGCTTATGAACGTTTGTGAAATATTACTTTCTTGTTACATAGTGGACAGTAACTTTGTAAGATCTCCTAAGAGAAGGAAGGAAGGAAGGAAGGGAGGGAGGGTCCAAGTCACATAAACATTTGTTAGATTCGCTTCTGAACCTTTGTGAAATATTACTTTCTTGTTACATAGTGGACAGTAACTTTGTAAGATCTCCTGGTGTCCAGAACTCAAGCTTGATTTCTGCTGTTTCTGAATATCTCTTAAAGAAACAAGTACTGGAGGCAGAGAATAACCCATTAAGTGTTCTCTGAACTATGAGGCATCTGAGCCTATCTGATCTTTAAGTCAAAATAATGAAGTGAGCCAGGCATAGTGGCTCATGCCTATAATCCTCGCACTTTGGGAAGCCAGGGTGGGAAGATAGCTTGAGCCCAGGAGTTCGAGACCAGCCTGGGCAACATAGTGAGACCCTGTGTCTACAAAAAATTTTTAAAAAATTTGGCGGACGGTGTGACACACACTTGTAGTCCCAGCTACTTGGGAGGCTGAGGTGGGAGGATCCTTGAGCTCAGGAGGTTGGGGCTGCAATGAGCCATGATCACCACTCCAGCCTTGGCAACAGAATGAGACCTTATCTCTTATAAATAAATAAACATAAAATAATGAAGTGAAAGTCGATACAAGAGGTGGTGGAGCTTGTAGCAGATGACAACCATGTCCCCTGAGGTGACTGATACCTCCAGTGTTAGAGGTGGAAGAGCATCACCTCTAAATAAAAATGATCTTCTGCGCTCTCCTAGTTGGGACACTAGTCTTTGGGGACAAGCAAGTACTATAAGAGGGACTTGTATCTATACAAAGACTTGTACAACTGGGCTTGAAATTTTCATTAAGCATGTAAATGTTATCCCACTTTCTTGGGAATCTTTGATTATTGCTATGGTTTGAATATTTGTCGCCTCCAAAATTCATGTTGAAATTTAGTTGCCATTATAACAGTATTAAGAGGTGGAACCTTTACAAGGTGATTAGCTCATGAGAGCTCCACACTCATGGGTGGGATTCATGCTGTTATAAAAGGACAAGTTGGGCATGCTTTTATCTCTTTGCCTGTCTGCCTTCCATGTGAGGACAACCATGTATCATAAATATGGCCAGTGAGATACAAGCAAAAATATTTGGGGGTAATGGGTATTTGAAAGCATTTTCTTCCTTAATTTAAAAGGGACATAATCAGCCAACACAGTCTTTTCCCTTGATTTTTGTCAACAGCAGAGACCAGCATTGAGTCCCTGATATAGCAGCATTCCCTTTTGGAACCAGCTAGCCACCTTATAGAAGGCCGAATACACTGGGCCTGTTCTGTCATGGATGAGACAGAGATTCATTCTTATAAGCATGGACAGATATTCTGGAATAGATTTTTTTTCTTGCCCGTAATGCTGCTGCCAGCATCACAACCATGGACTTACAGAATGCTTTCATGCTTTCTCCACCATTATGGCATCCCCCCAGTTTTGTGTGTGATCAAGGACTTTTTTTTTTTTTTTTTTTAAGAGTCTTGCTCTGTCATGCAGGCTGGAGTGCAATGGCGTGATCTCGGCTCACTGCAACCTCTGCCTCCTGGTTCAAGCGATTCTCCTGCCTCAGCCTCCCAATTAGCTGGAATTACAGGTGCACATGGCCACACTGAGCTAATTTTTGTATTTTTAGTAGAGACAGGTTTCACCATGTTGGCCAGGGTGGTCTCAAACTCCTGACCTCAGGTGATCTGCCCGCCTCGGCCTCCCAAAGTGCTGGGATTACAGGCGTGAGCCATAGCACCCAGCCTGATTACAGGATATAAGGTTAATATTTAAAAATCAGGCCACGTGTGGTGGGTCCTCAGGCAGATCACCTGAGGTCAGAAGTTCAAGACCAGCCTGGCCAACATGGTGAAAGCCTGTCTCTACTAAAAAATATAAAAATCAGTTGGAAGTGATTGTCCATGCCTGTAATCCCAACTACTCGGGTGGCTGAGACACGAGAATCGCTTAAACTGGGGAGGTGGAGGTTGCGGTGAGCCGAGATTGCACCACTGCATTCCAGCCTAGGCAACAGAGACTCTGTCTCAAAAAGAAAAAAAGAAATGGGGTCTTGCTTTGTTTCCCAGGCTGGTCTCCAACTCCTGGCCTCAAACAATCCTCCTGCCTTAGTCTCCCAAAGTATTGGGATTACAGGCGTGAGCCATCATGCCTGGTCCATCTTCTCATTTGGATAGCTGTACCTTGCTAGGTAGAAATAGAGTTGTTTCATTGTTGTAAAGGAGCTCAAGTTTTGTATAAAAAAGTGTGTAGAAACTTAGTACCCAAAGGGTTAGACTAGGTCAGTTATCAGTGTATTGCCTCTCAGCTCCAAATTAACCTTTTCAACACCAGTCTGTGAAAGTGGACAACTTGAAGCATTTCTCCTTTACAGTGAGTGTGATATTAAGCTTTGTCAGTAGAGGGTGTGGACATTGAAGAGGGACATTGAAGGAAGAAGGGGTCTTTCTGGCTCAGGTTGCAGCATTTTGCTTTTCCTTGCTCTTGCTTCATGGTCCATCAGTGGGAGGTGTGTATGTGAGAATATTCAGCGATGCTCTGCGCCAGCTGTGCTCCAGAGCATGCAGTCTCTTGGAGATCTTGCATATCTGGCCTGGGCCTGGCAGACTACCTTGCTGAGGCCCTTCTCATGAGAGACCGTGTGCTCCAGACCTCATGCTCACAGTGGCACCCAAACTCCTCTGCATCCTGGCCATCAGCCGTAGCTTGCTTGTGCAATGGGGAGTAATTTCCTGTAGCTGTCCTGATGTGGAAACCATGCATCTCAGGCCTAAGGCCTACAGTGCCACTCCAACTCTCTTTGAGTACCTGGCAACGTAGCAAACTTCTCCAGCATCACACTGAGCTACAACCACATTCAGTGAGGTTTGAAACTCACCCTTGGGAAAGACCTCCTTCCAAGTATGTTTTCTTTTGGGTACTCTCCCTCAGCTCTAAAGGGCCTTTTAGAGTCCTCCTCATGGCCCTATAGTTTCTGTCCTATCATTGCTTAATAATTCTTTATATTATAATTCTGTTTAAATTCCTTTGGCCAGGCACAGTGGCTCATGCCTGTAATCCCAACACTTTGGGAAGCTGAGGTGGGTGGATCACCTGAGGTCAGGAGTTCAAGACCAGCCTGGCCAACATGGTGAAACCTCATCTCTACTTAAATACAAAAGTTAGCTGGGCATGGTGGCAGGTGCCTGTAATCCCAGCTACTTGGGAGGCTGAGGCACGAGAATCACTTGAACCCGAGAGGCAGATATTACAGTGAGCTGAGATAGCACCCCTGTACTCCAGCCTAGGCAACAGAGCAATACTCCTTCTCAAAAAAAACAAAACAAACAAGCAAAAAATTCCTTTGTGGTTTCTGTTTCCTGACTGTATCCAGACTGATACAAACTGACCATAGAAGCTGGCTGCTGATGCTTAAAAAGCTTCTCATCCATCCATTTCTGGCAAAAGCCCATCATCATTCACCAAGACCTTCACACTTAAGCTTTCCATGATACCCAACTGCTTAAAGTCTCATAAGGCAGGACAGTTTGCCATCAACCAAAAGCATAATGAGTTGTTTCATCACAATGGTCCTGTCTCCATGGCAGATCATAATGTCCACAGTAAAGAATCTCATCTTTCTCTACAAGATAGGTGTTTTTGCCCCATTAGTGCTTGGAATAGAACACTGGGCATGAAGGAGAATCTCAACAACATGAAAATGCATATCTCTTAACAGTGGTGTTGTAGTTTCTTGTGGGCTAAATTGAAAACCCAGGAACAAAATAAAAACTTGGTTGTATTTGAAATTATCCCATAAAATATCTAAGATGTCCTACAAAGCATATAACATGGATCAGTTATCCAACACTGAAGAATAATATGTATATATGTGTGTCAACTGTACACCATAATATCCATACATGGTAGAAAGTCCACTTATAAAATGTAATTTCATGATTCATATTTATATGAGAAAAATACATACAAATTTATATGAGAGTAACACATATTAATTTACATGAAAATGTAACATATACCTTATATTAAATATGCATATGGGCCAGGTGCAGTGGCTCACACCTGTAATCCCAACACTTTGGGAGGCCGAGGCAGGTAGATCACGAAGTCAGGAGATCAAGACCAGCCTGGCCAACATGGTGAAACCCCATCTCTACTAAAAATACAAAAATTAGCCGGGCGTGGTGGCGGGTGTCTGGAGTCCCAGCTTGGACCCAGGAGGCAGAGGTTGCAGTGACCTGAGATTGCGCCACTGCACTCCAGCCTGGCAACAGAGCAAGACTCTGTCTCCAAAAAAAAAAAAAAACTATATATATATATATGCATATGATTGTTAAAAAAGAGGAGATTCATATGGTCTGAAGTTATCATCCCTCAGGTTACTTACCAATTAAAAAGGGGAAAAATAACTACAATGGAGACATGTGGCCATTACCATCTTAGCCAAGTGATCAAATTGGCTCACTGCCTCAAAAAAAAAAAAACATGTTTAGTACTGAAGTATAATGATTCTTGAATTTATTTTCAAATGGTAGAGAGAGAATCAAAAGTGGCAAATTGTTAAATTGTTGACAATTTGTGAATCTAAGGGACAAGCATGAATGAGTTCTTTTTTTTTTTCTTTTCAGAGTCTTGCTCTGTCCCCCAGGCAAGAGTGCAGTGGCACAATCTCAGCTCACTGCAACCTCCGCCTCCTAGGTTCAAGCGATTCTCCTGCCTCAGCCTCCTGAGTAGGTGGGATTACAGGCACGTGCCACCATGCCTGTCTAATTTTTTGTATTTTTAGTAGAAACGGGCTTTCACGGTATTAGCCAAGATGGTCTCAATCTCCTGACCTCCTGATCCAGCCACCTCAGCCTCCCAAAGTGCTGGGATTACAGGTGTGAGCCACCACACCCAGCCCCAATACAAGTTCTTTGTAGTATTCTTTCAATGCTTCTGGAGATTTGAAACTTGCCAAAATAAACAACTGAAGTAAATGTGCCTAGGAAGTGGGAAGGCACTGAGCTTATTGGGGACATACCCAAAGACCCCACTGGAACAGAACTAAAGAACCAGTTCTCTGATTCGTTACCATAAGAGAGGAAGTTTCAGGAGAAGGAATGCAAAAGTTCTATATCCTAATTGAAAGAGAGCGAAAGAAAATATCTCAAGCAAGGAAGGACAGGCTTATCAAGGATATAGTTTTTTGATGAATGACAGGTCATCCCAACCTCTTCCTGCTGAGGGAAGATTTCTTCATCTAGATACTGAGGTCAGAAGTGTGAAATGAGTCCTGTGGGCTAAAATCCAGGTGTCATAAAACCGTGTTCTTTCTCTAGGTTCTAGGGGAGAATCTATTTCCTTGTCTTTTCCAGCTTCTAGAAGCTGCCTGCGTTCTTTTGCTTATGGCACTTTCCTCCGTCTTCAAAGCACATCCCCGCTTTCGTTGTCATGATTTCCTCTCTGACTCTGACCCTCCTGCCTTCCTCTTTTAAGGACCCTTGTTGGGCCTACTCAGTAATCCAGCATAATCTTCCCATCTCAAGATTTTTTTTTTTTTTTTTTTTTTTTTTTTTTTGAGATCAAGTCTCACTCTGCCGCCCAGGCTGGAGTGCAGTGGCGAGATCTTGGCTCACTGCAACCTCTGCCTCCCGAGTACCTAGGACTACAGGCATGCACCATCATGCCTGGCTAATTTTTGTATTTTTAGTAGAGACTGGGTTTCACCACGTTGTCCAGGCTGATCTCAAACTCCTTACCTCAAGTGATCCGCCCACCTCGGCCTCCCAAAGTGCTGGATTACAAGCATGAGCCACGATGCCTGGCCTCCATCTCAAGATTATTAGTTGAAGCATATCTGCTGCAGAGCCTCTTTTGCCATGTAAGATATATTCACAGGTTCTGGGGGTTAGGATTTGAACGTCTTGGGGCATTATTCTACCACTTTGTCTTATTGGCATAATTTATGAATTTCTTTTTTCCCAATCCTTTGACATAACTATATAAATTTTATACATTATTGAAATCAGCCTTTTATTTGGAACTTTTGCATCTATAACCACAAATGAAATTAATACTTTTCTTTTGGCCTGTCTTTATTGAATTTCTTTTCTTTTCTTTTCTTTCTTTTGGAGACAGTCTCGCTCTGTCGCCCAGGCTGGAGTGCAGTGCCCCAATCTTGGCTCACTGCAACCTCTGCCTCCGGGTACAAGTGATCCTCCAGCCTCAGCCTCCCCAGTAGCTGGAAGTACAGGTGTGCGCCACCACATCCGGCTAATCTTTGTAGAAAGGGGGTTTTGCCATGTTGCCGAGGCTGGTCTCAAACTCCTAGCCTCAAAGTGATGCTCCTGCCTCAGCCTCCCAAACTGCTGAGATTACAGGTATGAGCCACCATGCCCGGCCATGTCTTTAATAAATTTTATGCCACTTAGACAAAAATTCATTGGAGAGCATATATAAGTTGGATATAAATACATTGAATAATCATTATTAGTTCAAAAATTAGCTAAAATTCAGCTATAACCATCTGGGTATGGTACCTTTTTAATTGTACATACTTTAAAATATCTTAAATAAAATAAAGCATTTCATTATGGTTATTATTCTGTTCAGATTTTCTACTTCTTAGTAGAAATCAGTGATTTAAATTTCATTAGAAAATCTACAGTTTCCTCTACCATGGTTATAGAGTTGTACATAACAGCCTCAAAATTCTTTTAAACCCAGGCCTGGGCACGGTGGCTCACTCCTGTAATCCCAGCACTTTGGGAGGCTGAGGTGGGCGGATCACCTGAGGTCAAGAGTTTGAAACCAGCCTGGCCAACGTGATGAAACCTCGTCTCTACTAAAAATACAAAGAATACAGGCGGGCACCTGTAATCCCAGTTACTTGGGAGGCTGAGGCAGGAGAATCACTTGAACCCGGGAGGCAGAGGTTGCAGTGAGCTGAGACGGCATCACTGCACACCAGCCTGGGCAACAAGAGCAAAACTCCGTCTCAAGAAAAAAAAAAACTCTTAAACTCTTTATGTTTTTTTTTTCGCATTTCTAATGTTTTTGCTTTATTTTGCTCTTGTATATCAGTCTTGTGTTTCATTTATCTTTTAGTACTAAACTGTGGATTTTTAAATTTTGGTCCAGTAGTTTGTTTTCTAGTTTGTAAACTAGAAATACTTAAGAATTTTTTTTAATGAAATGTTATAAGTAATGTTTCACAAGAAAGAAACGATAATGGCCAAAAATATAAGGGACTACTTTTTAACTGAAAAGAAAAAAAGTCACAATTACACATCCTAGAAGTTAACTGCTGTTAACAATTAACTTTAAAGATATTATTGCCCAAGTGCCTATGTTTCTGCTATTTATAACTTTGTTTTTTTTCTTTTTGAGACGCAGTCTCGCTCTATCGCCAGGCTGGAATGCACCTCCTTAGTAGCTGGGACTACAGGTGCACACCACCACGCCAGGCTAATTTTTGTATTTTTAGGAGAGACGAGGTTTCACCATGTTGGCCAGGATGGTCTCGATCTCCTGACCTTGTGATCTGCCTGCCTCGGCCTCCCAAAGTGCTAGGATTACAGGCGCGAGCCACTGCGCCTGACCTATTTATAACTTTTTTTTTTTTTTGAGATGAAGTCTCACTGTCACCAGGCTGGAGTGCAGTGGTACAGTCTCGGCTCACTGCAACCTCCGCCTCCCAGATTCAAGGTATTCTCTTAGCCTCCTGAGTAGCTGGGACTACAGGTGCGCGCCACCACACCCAGGTAAATTTTGTATTTTTAGTAGAGACAGGGTTTCACCATGTTGGCCAGGATGGTCTTGATCTCTTGACCTCGTGATCCGCCCGCCTTGGCCTCCCAAAGTGCTGGGATTACAGGTGTGAGCCACCGTGCCCAGCCTATAACATTTTTAAATACAGTATTTATTTTAAAAAATTGGTTTATTTTAGTAGCACTTTTAGTAACACAAAAGTGCTTTTATTTTAGTAGCACTTTTAGTAACACAAAAGTGCTACTAAAATTGGTTTATTTTAGTGGCACTTTTCCAGGTCCTAAAGTATTTCTCGAACATACTTCTGTCATTAAATATCCTTCTGCAACTTAATCCTCAAATAATGACGTTGCAGCCCACTATATTGGTTTTCCGTTATTTCCGCTGCAGACCCAACTATCCCTCATCCTTCTCCAGTCCCTTCGGCATCCTGAGCCTGTGACTGCGCCCCTTCAGTCTCTCCTAGGCCACATCCCCAAACCTCTAGGACAGGTCGTTTCCCAGACACCCTCCAGGCCAGCCTGTGGCCCGGCCCGAGCAGAAATTAGTGACTTAAATGTTGAGATGCCAGAAGACCTGGACTGGGGCATGAATTCCCAGCCCAAACTTAGCCACCCGGCTTTATCGGGATTGTGGCCCAGGTCAGTGAAGCCCCAGGTCCGGGCCGACTCCTAATTCGTGGCGTGGCCGGGAGTCGCCCTCTCCTGATCCACCCCAGAGCGCGGCTCCCTGTGGAGGGTACCCTGGGTGGTCCGCTCCCTGGCTTTTTACAGCACTTGTGAGAGGCCTTTGGGCACACACACAAACCCCACTCCCTGACCCTCCGTTTGGGGCGAGGGCGGCTGCAGCCGGGTTAACTTCGCGGACTCTGGAAGCCCTGGCGGCGGGCCCGGCCGCCCCTTCCCGGGTTTGCGGCTACATTTTTCTGAAGCCTCCACGGCCCCACAGCCTTTTTCTAGCCGTCAGCGGCCAACTATTGCTGCCTGGGCCTGTGTGTTTGCCCAGTTCCTGGGAGGGTGCTCGGGTGCAGCTGGGCAGTCTGGCCTCGGCTTCACTGGAGGCGGGGAACTGGACATGACTGTGAGCGCCAGTGACCGTGGTGCGGTCCAGGCCCCGGGTGGCGCACCCACCTCTGGACTACATTTCCCAGGGGGCCCCGCGGCCAACCTTTTCCGGCCGAAGAAGGCTAGTCACCTTTCCTTGGCGGGTGTTGGAAAGCAAAGGGCTGGAACGTCCCGGGCTGCGGAGCTCGCTGGGTTGGGATGGACTCGTTCAGACCTGAGTGCTAGGACGCCGAAGGGGGCGGTGAGGCGTCCCGGCGAGGAGCTGGGGTCGTCTGGAGTTTAAAAGACAGGTGGCTCTCGGAGATGTGCGGGCTGCATGCCCACGCTTCACCGCTAGGGGAGGTCAGGGCTGTGCGATGGGGAAGGAAGAGAGTGTCGGGGCGGTGCAGTCGGGATGGGAGAAGGGTGTCAGGGCCACTGGCCCCCAGCTCGGCAGAGGGCAGTGTCGGGCCGCGCGCAGGCAGGGAGTGGGTGTGGTGTGAGGCTGGCGCTGGAGCGGTCTGGGAATGTTAGGAGGTCTAGGGTATCGCGGCCCTGCGTCCTCTTGTCTGGACTAAAAGTCCGGGCAGTTCTCCCCGGACCTGGATTGTGGGCCCAGCGACAGGTGCTTGGCGATCTGTGCCCGCTGTGCCTGCGGGGCTGTGGTGGGAGTCCTGTCTGCACGGTATTCTGTGTGGCTGTGCATGTAAGTGTGAGCGTGTGCCGGGTCATCGACCCCATCTTTGGGAGGCCTGGGAGGGGGCGGGACACCCTCGCTGTACATTCTGGGGATACGCTGGGCGGGGTCTGCCCTGTGGATGGGTCCTGGCCGTCTACGCAAACCCCAACTGAGACTAGTCAGTAGGTAGTGAATCTCTGTGAATGGCCTTCCCTCCATCGGGTCTATCTCTGGTGTGTGTTGAGGGTGGAAATGGTTCTAGAGTTTGGGGCTGGGAAGTCCCTGCTATATCCACTTCTCTGTTCTTTCACCCAGTAGCCACCAGGGATCTAGACCCATAAAGGTGCCCCCAGCCTAAAGGACAGCAGTTTGAGACCCTGACAGGTGGGTCCATTTAAGCTGTGTCTTGGCGCCACAGACTTTTGGGCTCAGTGTAAGACGCTAGGCCTGAAAGTTTCCCAAGTTAGGCTGTTATGGAGGAAGAGGGCTACGGTCTGGGGGGCTCTCCCAGGACTTCTCTCTGGGCTCCTAAGGTCACCTGCATTTCTTTGTGAGGATGACAGAGAGCGGTGGCGTTGCAGCTTCTTTGGTCTCCCTTTCAGTGCCTGGGGTGGGGCAGGAGTTTGGCCTCCCAAGGGGTTCAGGGAGGGATTCAGGATGGCTTCTTAACGTTTTTCCACATCTTTCTTTAAGAACCCAGAAGAGGAGAGAACTGCTGTGCGTCTGAAGTGATGGCGGAGGTAAGTTGCATTTGACATTTTCTTGGAAAGGACTTACTGGTTTTCAGGACAGTGTCCTATTTCAGAAATTTATCTAAAATATTTACATTCATGATTTGGACAAAGGGGAAGAGGGGAGGAAACTGCATTTATGTAGCATTTTCCTAAAGCAGCCTAGGGCTGTCTATTTTGCAAACATTGTCTCATCTGATCTAGAATTTCCACTTCCCTGGATTTTATTCATGCTCACAACAGTGTTGACAGAGAACATGCCTCAGTGATTTGGCAGGGAAATTGAACAACAGAATTAGCTTTTTCAGTCTCACTGATTTCTGCATTGTCCCCTCCATGATCATATGCAATAGCCTTTTTGCTTACCAATTTTTTTTTTTTTTTTTTGAGACAGAGTCTCGTTCTGTTGCCCAGGCTGGAGTGCAGTGGTGTGATCTCAGCTCACTGCAACCTCCGCCTCCTCGGTTCTAGTGATTCTTCTGCCTCAGCCTCCTGAGTAGCCGAGATTACAGGCACACACCACCACGCCCAGCTAATTTTTGTATTTTTAGTAGAGACGGGGTTTTGCCATCTTGCCCAGGCTGATCTCGAACTCCTTAACTCAGGCAATCCACCTGCCTCGGCCTCCCAAAGTGCTGGGATTACAGGCGAGAGCCATCTTGCACGGCCCGCTTATCAATTTCTTTCTTTCTTTCTTTTTTTTTTTTTTGAGACCGAGTTTCCTCTGTTGCCCAGGCTGGAGTGCAATGGCACAATCTCGGCTCACTGCAACCTCCGCCTCCCAGGTTCAAGCGATTCTACTGCCTCAGCCTCCTGAGTAGCCGGGATTACAGGCACGTGCCACCACGCCCGGCTAATTTTTTGTATTTTTAGTAGAGATGGGGTTTCACTGTGTTGGCCAGGATGGTCTCGATCTCCTGACCTCGTGATCCGCCCGCCTAGGCCTCCCAATGGAGCCTTGCTCTGTCGCCAGTTAGGAGTGCAGTGGTGTTATCTCAGCTCACTGCAACCTCCGCCTCCCAGGTTCAAGCGATTCTCCTGCCTCAGCCTTGCGAGTAGCTGGGACTACAGGCGCATGCCACCACGCCCAGCTAATTTTTCTATTTTTAGTAGAGACAGGGTTTCACCATGTTGGCCAGGATAGTCGCAGTCTCTTGACTTTGTGATCTGCCTGCCTTGGCCTCCCAAAGTGCTGGCAGCAGGCGTGAGCCACCGCGCCAAGACTTTTTTTTTTTTTTTTTTTTTGAGACAGAGTCTTGCTCTGTCACTCAGGCTGGAGTGCAGTGGTGTGATCTGAGCGTGATCTGAGCTCGCTGCAACCTCTGCCTCCCTGGTTCAAGCAATTCTTCTGCCTCAACCTCCTGAGTAGCTGGGATTACAGGCGTGCGCCACCATGCCCAGCTAGTTTTTGTGTTTTTAGTAGAGATGGGGTTTCACCATGTTGGTCAGGCTGGTCTCCTACTCCTGACCTTGTGATCTCCCTGCCTCGGCCTCCCAAAGTGCTGGAATTACAGGCGTAAGCCACCACGCCTGGCCTCAATTTCTTATAACCTGGAATGCCTACCTGTCCACTTTATCTCCGGATAGTTTTTCAAGATAGAAATAACCTGAATGCCCTCTTATGATTAAAGTGATATACAATTTTTGCAAAAGTTTCAAAATTTGAGGGAGTCACAAAGAAAGTTTAAGTCACCCCATCCGTGGTCCCACTATCCAGATGGTCACTATTAATGTTTTCAGATTATTTTGTCTGCTTATATGTGTAGTCATGTGATTTTTTTTTTTCAGAGTGGGTTCATACTACTAACAGAAGTAGCTAACTTATTGAGCATGCACTTTGAGCCACTTATAGTTGGACTTTCTTTACAGATGTGATCTTGTTTAATCCACATAACAACCCTATTAGACAGGTATGACTATATTTCATTAATTCTCTGATGTACTTTTTCTCACATTTTAATCTCTCTGAAATCAAAATGGGGTTTACAAAAATTCTTGGCAAGTCATAGTTTCATTGATGGCATTTTTTTTTCTTTCCTAGTATATAAAGTTATAAGGGCCTTATTATCAGTGACATCTCAGACTCAATGAAATAGAGTATTATTCTAAGTTGACAACTGAGGAAATCAAGTCACTCGCCTCAAAGTTACGCAGTTAAAAATGGTAGAGCTGGCCGGGTGCGGTGGCTCATGCCTGTAATCCCAGCACTTTGGGAGGCCAAGGCGGGCGGATCACCTGAGGTCGAGAGTTCAAGACCAGCCTGACCAACATGGAGAAACCCCATCTCTACTAAAAATACAAAATTAGCCAGATGTGGTGGCGCATGCCTGTAATCCCAGCTACTCGGGAGGCTGAGGCAGGAGAATCGGCTGAACCTGGGAGGTAGAGGTTGTGGTGAGCCAAGATTGCGCCATTGCACTCCAGCCTGGGCAACAAGAGCAAAACTCCGTCTAAGAAAAAAAAAGAAAGGGTAGAGCTGGGGTTTCTACATCACCTACTGACTTCCTTTGCCCACTTGTCAAAGAATGCTATTTTTTAATTTATTTTAAACAACATTTCATATGTTCAGCATATTTTCTCTTTGTCATTTATACGTTGTTTTAGAAATATTTTTTCACAGTTAATCTATTTTGTGTGCTTTTAGATTCATTTAGTTTTCATAAATGTATTCAGATAAATCAACTCTTTTCTTAAAATTTTTCCCTTTTTGCTGTGCCAGATGGTCTTTCTTACCACAAAAATAGAATAGTTACTTTTATATTTTCCTAAAATACTTTCTGTCTTTTATCCAAACAATCTAGTCTTTAAGGTGTCTCCTGTGATATCTCACCAGAGAATGTTGGCTATAAAATTCCAAATTTGGAGTGTTTATTTAGATTTTTTATGCAACTTTGGAGTAATATATTTTAAAGAGTGGCATGGTATTTGTAGGATGTGAAATTTAAGGTTTTTTTGTTTTGTTTTGTTTTGTTTTTTGTCCTGGATATGTCTGGATGTAGCACTTACTTCATTAATTCTGGCCAGTCCTCAAGAATTACTTTCACTCTAAGACTAAAGAAACATATTTTCTATTCTGAATTAATCAGTTTCTTTCTCTTTGATTTTTCTTCAGAATTCTGTAAGAATTTGTTGAATTTCTCTTCCCATTACTGTAGAGGCCAAAACCTTCCTAAGATTATCAGAAGATCACCACACCCTCCCCGTCCATGCCCTGCACACTGGTGGGGAGGAAGCTTCAGTTCCCCTTGCACTTCAACCCTTCATTGTCTATTTCTCCCTGTATCTTCTGTCCTGAAAATATTAATTGCCCTTTGTCCCTGCTAATGGGAGGCTGTGCATTGTGATGAAAGGGTAGAATCTTAGCCCATTTCTGCCATTTGCTAGCTCTGTGACCATGGGCTTCCTCATAATTTCAGTTTGGGGAATGTGATGATAATGGAAATTCACCTGCACTTACACTGGCAACCTGGGGTCCCCCAGCTCCTACCTTCTGGTCTCCCCAACATCCAGTGAAGTGCCCAATTTCATTGCTTCTTTTCTTTTCCTGTTCTGTGAGCTTATGCCCTAGGGCCTCACTCCACTGTCTTTTGCCTTGTGGGAGTAGATACTACATTGAACTGATTGGGCTCCCTGGCTCCACTTTTACTCTTTGCCAATAAGATAATCCAGTAATGTCACCTTTTGAATTTTGTTCAGTGAATCCCTGGTACTTTCAGGATAAATCTCCAACTCTTTCACGTTCATTGCATATTTACTAAAAAGCATATTCTGTATTTAGCAGAGCACAAAGCCTAATGTTGGAGTAAAGTGGTGAGCAAAGATGATGTGTTTAGTCCTGGCAGGTATAACCTGTCATTCAAAACATTTCCTGCCCTGATTCCTGTGGAGTTCTCCAACATCACTTCTCTCTACTCCTCCCTCAGAACCCCTCATCAGCTATCCCAGTTAACTTTCTGCTCCTCAGAAACACAGGGTGCAATTGGTCTCCCTTCTTACCTCCATCTTCTGCTCTCTCTACTTGGAGTGCTGTTCAGTGTGTTTTCTGCTTGTTGGAATTCTGTTCCTTTTCTAAGTCCCAGTTAATCTTCCACACGTTACGTGAAACTTTCCCCACACCCCTCAATCTGAGTAGGTCACTATTTTCTTATTTCCTATAGCAAGATTCTTCTTTTAATGGGAGGCAACGTATCCTGCTTAAAAACCCCTCAGTTAATTATTTCATCTGTGAGAACAAGTTTAAATGTCTCAGGATTGATCCTTCTTTTCAGCCTCGTCTCTCTGCTCTCTCTCTGACTTTACACTAGTCGTGTTAAACTACTAGCAGTTCCCAGATTGCACAGTCTATCTCATGCGTCCATTGTGCAAGAAACACAAGAAGGGCATTTATCCCTCACCACCCCTTTCTCTGGGTTCTACTGAACCTAGTCAAGAACAGCATCTATGAAACCTGTGTCAGTCTCATGGTTGCGCTTGGTCTCAATTGCTGTATCTCTTATAGTCGTTTTCATACTATATTGTAACTATCTTTTTTTTTTTTTTTTTTGAGATGGAGTTTTGCCCTTGTTGCCCAGGCTGGAGTGCAATGGCGCGATCTCAGCTCACCGCAACCTCTGCCTCCCGAGTTGAAGTGATTCTCCTGCCTCAGCCTCCCGAGTAGCTGGGATTACAGGCATGTGTCACCACACCCAGCTAATTTAGTGTTTTTTATAGAGACGGGGTTTCTCCATGTTGGTCAGGCTGGTCTCAAACTCCCGACCTCAGGTGATCCGCCTGCCTTGGCCTCCCAAAGTGCTGGGATTACAGGTGTGAACCACCGCACCTGGCCTTTAACTGTCTTTTTAAAACTGCTTTTTATTAAATATTGAATAGTAGAACATGTGTAATATATTAAGGGGGACTGAACACCCATGTTAAGAGGTAGAATGCTAATGTTAGAAATCCCATGTGTGCTTTGATCTTCCCAATCTAAATCCCCTTCTTTAGCTGTCAGAGGTATCTGTTATTCCGAATCTTGTGTTTGGCATTTCCTTGTTTTTCTTTACAGTCTTAACCATATGTGTTTATTTTCCTGTTCTAATTTGATGTCAAGAAATCATACTGTTTGGATTTTTCTGCAACTCTATTACTTGTCCTCCAACGAGTGTTCAAGAGATCCATTCACATTGCAAACTTATCCTACTGTATAGCCATCCATTGTAAGAATACATTTTTTCATTTATATTGTGTACATTACTCCAGTGAACATTCTTGAACTCCTCTTTTTGTATCCTGTGCAAGAATTTCTGTATGTAACTAAAAAAGGAATTGCTAGCTCATAGGTTATATGCATTTTCAGCCTTACTCAACATTGCCCAGTTGTTTTCTAAAGTGTTTATTATACTCATTTACTATTCCTTTTACTTCGTATCCTCACCAACACTTGGTATTATTAAATTTTAAATTTTTACGCACTTGGGTATGAGTTGATATGTATTATTTTGATTTCAAATTTGCATATTTTGGTACTAAATGAGGTTGAGCCCCCCACCCCCGCAACTTTCATGCTCATTGGCATTCATGTTTTCTCTTTTCTGAAGTACAATTTTATGTCATTTCTAATTTTTCTATTGATTTTTATATTTCCAGAGTTTTTGTTCCTTTTAATGCTTTGTATGCATTTCTTAAATATTGTGGATTGTCGTCCTTGCCGGTTATATGTGCTGTGCATGCTTTCTTACTTTAACCTTTAAATGATGGTAGATATTCTCAATTTTAATGCCTTCAAATTTAATGCTGTTTTCTTTAATTTATTTACATCTTGTGTATGAAATCTCTCCTCTCCTAAGAGTAAAGATATTATCCCTATTTTCTATAAATGATATTATTTTGCCTTTAATGTTTAAGTCTTCAATTCACTTGGAATTAATTGTAGGGTGTGGTATTTCCATTTGGATAATATCTGAAACATCATTTATTGAAAAGGCCATTGTAAAGGATTAGGCAAACTGCAAGGTCTGAGGGAACAGTCCCTACAAGATGCCGTCACTCAGACACCAGCTACAACTTAAGAGGTTCCCATGACCACTCTCACTTTAGACCAGCTAGCTACAAATTCAGGTATTTCCACCACCACCACCCTTAGGTATAATAATTCAGTAGAAAGCCTCACAGAACTCAATGAAAGCTGTTATATTCACAGTCATATTTATAACAGGGAAAGGATACATTGGGTTGTATTACCCTCCCAGTATTGATGTTTGGCAGTACACCCAGAGTATTGTCAACCAGAGAAGCTCACTCAAGCTTCAGTGCCCAGTTTTTACTGAAGCTTCATTACATAGGCATCATTGATTGAATCATTTTCCATGTGCACGAACTCAGTTTCCAGCATCTGTCCTCCCTCCTTGCCTGAAAGTCAAGCTGATACCACACGGCTCAAAGTCCCAAGACCGATTACATGGTAGAAGTAGGTGTGGCCAGCCCCAAGCCCTAGTCATCTCATGAGCATAAACTAACAGACGTGGTCTTAGGGGCTCACCATAAATAACAAAGACATTCCTATCACTCAGGAAATTCAAAATGTTTAGAGGTTGCTTCCCAAGAGCTGGGACAAAGGCCAGACCTCTTTTTGGAGGCCACATTCCTTACTACACAGTCCTCCTTTCTATGTACTTCAGTGGCAGTTCTGTCATAAATTAAGTTTCCCTATGTATATGTTTGTCTATTCTGGGCTCTCCTTTCTAATCTGTCCGTCCGTTTGTCTATTTAAACCATACTGCCTAAAGACTGCTTTCTAGTAATGTCTGATATTTGGTAAGTCACATGCCTCTACTATGGTCCTGTTCTCTAGAAAGGTCTTAGCTGTTCCTAGGTTTTGGCTTCATATACATTTTAGAATTGGCTTATCAATTTCTGTAGAAATCCAGTTGGGATAATGATTTATAATGCATTAAACCTTCGATCAATTTGGGGAAAGTTGACATTTTTACGGTATTGAGTCTTCCTCTGCCTCTAAATAACTCTGCTTACTTGAGTCTTGTGGAATGGTTTTCAATAAATATTTTATAATTAGAGTCTTACACATCTTTTGTTAATTTTATTTCCAGGTATTTTTATATTTTGTGTTTTTCTTAGATGACATTAACTTTAGAATATAGACTGGGTGCTGTGACTCACGCCTGTAACCCCAACACGTAAGGAGACCGAGGCAGGCGAATCACTTAAGCCCAGCAGTTTGAGACCAGCCTGGGCAACATAGTGAGACCCCATCTCTACTATAAATAAAAAATTAGCCAGGCATGATGGTGCATGCCTGTAGTCCCAGCTACTTGGTAGGCTGAGGTAGGAGAATCACTCAAGCCCAGGAGGATGAGGCTGCGGTGAGCTATGATTATGCCACTACACTCCAGCCTGGGTGACAGAGCAAGACCCAGTCTCAAAAAAAAAAGTAAATAAAATAAAATATAATTTTCTCATTGTTTCTGGTATATAGACTTGCCATTGATTTTTTTTTTTCTTAAAACTCCTATGACAGATTATTGCAGTTGATTTTGAGATATTGATTTTATATCCCCCCACCTTGCTTAACTCTTATTTATTCTGACGTCTTGTAGATTCTTTTGGATGTGGGGTCATCCAACTTGATCATATCATTGATGAATAAAGATACTTTTTGGTTGTAAATAATTGTCTTTGTCTATTAGTATTGATTTCTTTTCTTCTTTTTTAACCTTTATTTTAATTCTTATCTTGCTGCACTGGCTCCACCTCCCAGAACAGTTTTGAATGGTGAATATGGGCACCCTGTCTTATTCACAGTTTTAGATACTTCACTTTTACTTATGTTTGCACTTGTTTTTTTTGTAGGTGTCCTTTATCAGGTTAGGGACGTTGCTTTTTATTGCTAATTCGCTCTTGAGTTTTTATCATGAAGGAATATTGCATTTTTAAAATGCCTTTTCTGCATCCATTGAATTGATTGGTCAGGTGTGGTGGCTCATGCTTGTAATCCCAGCACTTTGGGAGGCTTAGTCGAGCAGATCACCTGAGATCAGGAATTCGAGACCAGCCTGGCCAACATGGTGAAACCCCATCTCTACTAAAAATACAACAACAAAAAATTAGCCGAGCGAGGTGGCAGGTGCCTGTAATCCTAGCTATTTGGAAGGCTGAGGCAGGAGAATCGCTTGAACCTGGGAGGCAGAGGTTTCAGTGAGCCAGGATCGCGCCATTGCACTCCAGCCTGGGTGACAAGAGCAAAATTCCATCTCAAAAAGAAAAAGAAAAGAAAAGAAATGATCCTAAGTGTTTTCTCTTTAATCTGTTAACGTGCCTAATAATTTTAATTTATTTCCAGTATCATGTACACCTTTATTGGGAAAAACCTAACTTAGCCATGATGTGTGATGAATTTTTACATATTACTGGATTCAGTTTGCTAATAACTTGCTTAGAATTTTAAATCTGTGGCATGTGTAAGACTGGCCAGTAATTTCAATTCTTCATAATGTCTTTATACAAGTTACTCTATCCCAGGAGAACTGTGGCCTTGGCCTGTGAACCAAGATTGTTTTCTACATTTTTAAATGGTTGGGGGAAATAATCAAAAGAATTATATTTTATGACACATGGAAATTATATGAAATTCAAATTTTAGTGTTCATGAATAAAGCTTTATTGGAACATAACCACATTCATCCATTTATGTAACATCTATGGCTGCTTCTGTGCTGCATGGCAGAGTTGAGGAGTTGCAGCAGAGATGGTATGTCCCACAGAGCCTAAGATACTTACTATTTGGCCCTTGACAAAAAAAGTTTGCTGACCTCTGGTCTAGCCTCATAAAATATATCAGTTTTCCTTTTCTTTTTCCCATGGTAGGATCTGGGAGTACTCATGTTATCAATGGTGTGAGCAAGGCCACTCTTCAGATTATTTGTTTATTCCCTGTCTTCTATGCCATTTACTACCCGCATCCTCCCCCCGCCCATAAGGCAGTCGTGTTAATGTGCATCGTTTTCTTAGTATGTATTCATTCATGCAAAATGTTTTTCTCTTTTGTTAAGGTCCAGGGTGGTCAGTTTTTCAAAATCTTCCATATATGATTGAGAAGAATGTTATTTGAATTGAGTGCATTGTTCTATATGCAGCCATTAGATCAAGCTTAATTTAGTATCTAAATATTCTGTTTTTACTGACTTTTTGTCTGTTGTATCTATCAGTTATTTCTAGTGTTTTGTTAAAATCTGCCACTGTGATTAGGGTTCGTCTATTAGAGTTTCTATTTCATTTATGCATATGTGTATGTATATATAATATGTATTTATTATTTATTAGGTAAGCATAAAATTATCCTTTTCTAACTGTCATCTTTCTGAATATTTATGTTTTGGATGTGTCTCTAATAACCAGCGTAGAGCTGGGCTTTGGTTTTTGACAACTTTGACCAACTTTGTCCTTTTTTTTTTTTTTTTTTTTGTTGAGACAGAGTCTCGCTCTGTCGCCCAGGCTGGAGTGCAGTGGTGCGATCCCGGCTCACTGCAACCTCCACTTCCTGGGTTCAAGCAGTTCTCCTGCCTCAGCCTCCCGAGTAGCTGGGATTACAGGTGCATGCCGCCACGCCTGGCCAATTTTTTTGTATTTTTAGTAGAGAGGGGGTTTCACCGTGTTAGCCAGGATGGTCTCGATCTCCTGACCTCATGATCCCCCCACCTCGGCCTCCCAAAGTGCTGGGATTACAGGCATGAGCCACCGCACCTGGCGACCAGCTTTGTTCTTTAACGAGAGTATTTAGTCATTTACAGTGCTTGTAATTACTAATATAATTGAAGGTATCATTTTTGTGCTTTTAATTCTACCTTTTCTGTATTTCATTATCTTCATTTCATTTTCCCTTCTATGAGTTTGAAAGTTATAAGCTATTTGTGTTTATTTAGTGGTTACCTTGAAAATTTCAATATACTTTCTTAACTTACTAGTGTCTAAAACTAAAAAATATTATTATATTCTTGGTAAATAAGGAAGTAGGATATATTCTAACTAATCAAACAACTT
Source organism: Homo sapiens (assembly GCF_000001405.40). Lineage (NCBI taxonomy): Eukaryota > Metazoa > Chordata > Mammalia > Primates > Hominidae > Homo > Homo sapiens. The sequence goes on from NC_000019.10 coordinate 36,984,490, forward strand.
ACATTATTGTCAGGTATTTTTCTTCTTTTTTTAACCCATAAGAAATTTTTATTTTATGTATTGAGTGTTATCTTAGATTATCCATGTATTTACGACTTTCTTGGTTCACCATTCTTTCTTACATGTCAAGCTCTCCATCTGGGATCACTTTCCTTTAGATGGAATTAAATAGTAAATTTCTCTCTGATTTTGGTGTTTGTTTTTTTTTTAACATCTTTATTTGCCCTCATTTGTGAAAGGTGTTTTACCCTCACACTGGGATATTCCGCTGTCTTCTGGTTTACATTTTTGTTATTAAATAGTCATCTGTCAATCAGACTTTTTTTTTTCTGTAGATAATCTATCTTTAATCTCAAATTGCTTTTCACGTATTCTCTTTGTATTTAGTGCTCTGCAGTTTTGGTGTGATTGTCTAGGCATGGATTTATTTTTATTTATTCTGTTTAAGACTTATTGGGCTTCCTGAATCTGAATAATGCCAATTCTGAAAATTTCTTAGCTGTCCTGTCTTCCAATACTGCCATTTTCTTAATTCTTTCTCTTTTCTCCTTCTAGAACTTCAGTTAAATATCTATTAAGCCATCTCACATTATCTTCTTAATCTCTCTTCTGTACATCTGCTCATTTGTCTTTTTGAATTGCATTCTGCATAATCTCTTTTTATACCTTGCAGTCCAGTAATTTTTCTCTTCAGAGAGATTTATTCCAGCCATTGTATGATTTAAGTATGTTTTTTATTTTATATTTTTATTTCTTTTCCTTTTTTTGAAATCTACTGTCATCTTTGTGAAGTTTTCTTATTACATTGCTTCCATTTTAAAAACATGTAATATGCTTGTTTTATAATTTTTGGCATTATCTGTATAATATATGAATCTTTTACAGAGGTGATTCCTCCTGCCCCTCAACATTTTATTAGGGAAATTTTCAAAACATAATGAAAAGTTGAAACAATTGCATGACTGATTTTCCTGACTCTTTGTTCATGGAATTATGCCTCTTTGCATGTTTTTGTTTGTTTGTTTGTTTTGTTTTGTTTTGTTTTGTTTTTAAGACACAGTCTCACTGTGTCACCCAGGCTGGAGTGCAGTAATGCGATCTTGGCTCACTGCAGCCTCCACCTCCCAGGTTCAAGCGATTCTTGTTTCTCATTCTCCCAAGTATCTGGGACTACAGGTGCGCACCACCATGCCCGGCTAATTTTTGCATTTTAAGTAGAGATGGGGTTTCCCCAGATTGACCAGGCTGGTCTCGAACCCCTGACCTCAAGTGATCCGCCCACTTTGGCCTCCCAAAGTTCTGGGATTACAGGCATGAGCCTCTACACCTGGCCATTTTTTTTTAAATTTGATTTTTTGTTTAGGCAAAATTCACATAATATATAGTTAACCATTTTCAAGTGCATAGTTCAGTGACATTTAGTTCATTCACAGTGTGGTGCTGCTTTATTTTTGACTCATAGGTTATTTTCCTTGGAATTCTACCCCATAGATTCTTGAGGCCTGATTGAAGGTTGTTCCTCTAGGGCAGATCTGTGTTTGCTTCTACCAGGAGCCCTGCCAAACCAGGACCACCATAAAGTAAACACATGGCAAGTTTTTTAGATCCACCTTAGTATTGTTATGTGAACTGCAGGCCTGTGTGAGGGCTGGCTTGTAGTTACAGTTCCTCAGAGGAAAATGTTTCCCTTCTGCCATCTGCCAAGGTTCCAGTCAGGCAGTTTTCCTAGCGGACCCTAGGAATGGGAATGCCACATCTGGTTTTCCCTTACTCTAAGGGCGTGGTTCTAGAGGTCCCAGGTCTTTGTAGTATGGAATTAATTAGACCCCCCAACTTGGCCAGCTATAGGCTTGATCTTCTCTCCACCTGCTCCTTAATATCATGAATGTCAAAGCTTATGGTCTTCTGGGCTCCATAGACATTCCCTGGGCAAAATAAGCCTCAGTGGCTCAGCTTACCCCTCTCTGTTCCCATTTTGACATAGTTTTATCTGCTGAAGATTACTTTACTTCTCTGTCAGCTCATCCTTGAATTCTAAAATATTTTTGATATTCAATCTCTTATTTTTCAGCTGGTGATTTGGTTGTAGTAACTAGTCCCCCACAGAGCCTGGTGTCCTATGATTGATTTTCTTTTTTTCCCCCCTCCGTGACTGAGCTTTTTAAGAGGAAATGCATGCTAGGTAAGAGTTATCTGCGACCCTGGTGCCCACGTAGAGCCAGAGTCATGGGGATTTGATTCGTATTTTCGGATAAGAGAATTTTGTTGACACAGCTGCTCCTCTCTTCCCATTCCCTTCCGCCTTTGATCTCCCTTCATAGACTGCTGTGATCTGCAGTGACAAACACAGCAGACCTAGCATTTTCCGCTCCCCTAAGTGCAGGGGCCAGCTGAGGGTTCTTTCAAAGGATCAGGAAATTCCCAGGTTGCATCTACAAGAGCCAGAAGTTAGAAGGCAACCAGCTGCAGACTTGGTTATTTCTCAGTAGATTCAGAACCCAGCATTGCCACTGTAACTGCAGATTTGAGTAAATGACTTCTCTTCTCCAAGCTAAAGTTTCCTTTCAGTTAGGATTCATGACCTTCTCATGAGGATTAATATATGTAAGGCACCAGGAACTTAAAGTGCTTAAAGAACAATGATTGTCCTTGAGATGCAGTGTGCAGTGTGCAGTGTACAGCAGTAAGGTTAGGGGTAGTAGCAGGAGAGAATGTCAGGCAGGAAGGCCATGGGTAATCTCGGTTTGGAACCAGGATGTACTGGCCGTGAGGATTCCTGGAACTGTGGTTTCATGCATTGTGTATCTGGGTAATTGAGCCCTGCTGAGGCTGCTGAGAGCCTGCTGATCCTGTGGGTTGTCTGGCTCAGTGCTGGTCATTCTGGAGAGTCTTTGCAGAATGAGGTTTTAGTTTTAGTTCCAAAGGCCCCAGTTCTGGGATATACGAACAAAGCCCAGGAAGTGGCTGGTGCATAGAACACCAGAATTTATTCCTCTATCTCTATTAGGCTTGAGGGAGGCTGGAACCCTCTGTTGTAGAAATCTTTGTCCAGAGCTGGGCCTGCCCAGGTATCCTGTGCTCCTGGGCCTTGAGGGCTCCCTCAAGTCTTTGGGGTGCCTTCAAGTCTTTGGGGTGCCTTCCATGGCTGAGGGTCTCAGTGATATCCAGGTTGTACAAAAGGGAGCCCAGGCCCTGGGCTCTGATCAGCTCCTGACAGTGGGGAAGTTGTTTCTTCTGAGTCTGTTATTCTATAGTTGGATTCCCTGGGATTCAAGAAAGACAAAGGTTTGTTCATTCTTTCTCAAATCTCAGAGAGAAAGAAAACACAGACTCTGTGTGTGTGTGTGTGTGTGTGTGTGTGTTGGGGTACCAAAAGCAGGGATGGGGTGAAGGGATTCATTCTCAGGCCTTTGGGGACCTTGAGGTCAGTCTGATGAATTTTGTCAACAAAATTCTCTTATCCAAAAATATCAGTCAAATCCCCATGACTTGCTTTTTCTTCCTTTTTTGCTTTCTCAGGCTTTCTCTAGGAGAAACCTAGGGTATAAATTTTGTAGTTGTAAAAGCTATTATCTATGTGTTAGTATGTCTCCTCTCCTTCATTGAATGCATTCTTTCATTTTTAAATTTTTTATTTTTATTTTTGTAGAGATGGGGTCCTGCTATGTTGCCCAGGCTGGTCTTAAACTCCTGGACCCAAGCGATCCTCCCACCTCCACCTCCCAAAGTGCTAGGATCACAGGCATGAGCCATCACACTTGGCCTGAATGCTTTCTTTTCTGTTTTTTATTTTAATTAACAATGTATTAGTCCCTTCTCGCATGCTATAAAGAAATACCTGAGACTGGGGATTTTATAAAGAAAAGAGGTTTAATTGGCTCACAGCTCCAGCTCCACAGGCTGTTCAGGAAGCATGATGCTGGCATCTGCTCCGCTTCTGGGGGTGCTCAGGAAACTTACCATCCTGGTAGAAGGCAAAGGAGAAGCCAGCACTTCACCTGGCCAGAGCAGAAGGAAGCAGGGAAGGTGCGGGACACTTTTAAACAGCCAGATCTCGTCAGAACTTACTATCATGAGAACAGCAACAAGGGGGTGGTACTAAGCCATTCATGAAGTATTCACCCCTGTGTTCCAGTCACCTCCCGCCAGGCCCTCCCTCCAACATCAGGGATTAGAAATCCACATGAGACTTGAGTGGGGACACAGATCCAAACCATATCAGACACATTGTAATCCTAGCACTTTGGGGTCATATTTATGGGGTACAATTTGATGTTTCAGTACATATCTATGTGGTATAATGAGCCAGTCAGGGTAGTTAGTGTATCTATCACCTCATGCATTTATCATTTCTTTGTGGTAAGAACATTCAAAAGCCTCTCTTCTAGCTATTTTGTAATATACAATATTTTATTGTTAAACCATAGTCACCCTACTGTGCAATAGAGCACCAGAATGTATTCCTCCTGATTGTAACTTTGTACCCACTGACCAACCTCTCGCGTTTTGTACCCCCACCCCGTCTCTGGTAACTACTGTTCTGCTCTCTGCTTCTGAACGCCTTCTTTTTGCTTTAGAAGATTTGAACAGATTGAACAGATTTCTTTTTCCTAAAACTTCTTGGCTTCCCCAGGGACTTGTTCCCCAGTTCTTCCCATTCCAGTCAGTAATGCTATCAAAGACTGCTATCTCTTTTATTGATTGATTGATTGAGACAGAGTCTCCCTCTGTTGCCTAGGCTAGACTACAGTGGCATGATCTTGGCTCACTGCAACCTCTGCCTCCCAGGTTCAAGCGATCCTCCTGCCTTAGCCCCCCTAGTAGCTGGGATTACAGGCACGTGCCACCATGCCCGGCTAATTTTTGTATTTTTAGTAGAGACAGGGTTTCACCATCTTGACCAGGCTGGTCTCAAACTCCTGACCTCAGGTGATCCACCCACCTCGGCCTCTCAAAGTGCTGGGATTTACAGGTGTGAGCCACCATGCCTGGCCAAGGCTGCTGTCTCTTAAGGGCCCCTCTGTTCTCCAAGAAGTGTTTAGGTATTTATCAGCAAACCTCTTAGCATTTATAAGTTTCTTTGAGACAACATCTTGCTTGGTCACCCAGGATGGAGTGCAGTGGCACAATCATGGGTCACTTCAGCCTCAACCTCTGGGGCTCAAAGAGCTCCTCCTGCCTCAGCCTCCCAAGTAGCTGGGACTGCAGGTACATGCCACCTTGTCCGGCTAATTTTGGATTTTTTTGTAGAAACGGGATCTCACTGTGTTGGTCTTGAACTCCTGGGCTCAAGCAATCCTCCCACCTTGGCCTCCCAAAGTGTTGGGATGACAAGAGTGAGCCACTATACCAGGATTAGCATTTTTTAGATGCATGTTCTTCCACCGAGAGTACTGATGGAGTAGGAAAACCAATCCTTGCTGGAAACTTTCATACCTCCCTTCTTGGAGCTGTGATTTGATGAAGTGGAAATGAATGGTTAAGTGGAATCACATATTGCAAACTTGAGTTTTCTAATTAGACAAGAAAGGAATTGATGTTGATTTATTGTGTTGCAGTCTCAGTATCAGCCAGTATCTCTAGCTGTCTGAGGATTTTAGGACTGGGGATATCCTGAGATATGTAGATTGTATGGAGTTACAGTGTATTCCCAAGGAGTCTGTGCCAGATGGATAAAGTGTGTCCATTTTGAACTTGTGTAGTATGTGCGCACCTCGTGTGACATCGTTGTGAGTCTGGATCTTTCTCCATCAGTTCTGGTAGCTAAGGAACAAGGAGAGTATGGTTGGGGTCATTTGTGGTAACAGGAACAATTTAGCCAGATGTATAAATTGTTGAGAAATGACCAGGCACGGTGGCTCATGCCTGTAATCCCAGCACTTTGGGAGGCCAAGGCGGGTAGATCACTTGAGGCCAGGAGTTCAAGACCAGCCTGGCCATCATGGGGAAACTCTGTCTGTACTAAAAATACAAAAATTAGCCAGATGTGGTGGCCCATGCCTGTGGTCCCAGCTACTCAGGAGGGTGAGGCAGGAGAATCGCTTGAACCTGGGAGACAGAGGTAGCAGTGAGCGGAGATGGTGCCACTGTACTCCAGCCTGGGCACCCAAGTGAGACTCTGTCTCAAAAACAAAAAATTGTTGAAAAATAATGAATGACTATTATAACTGCAAAAGAACCTTTAGAAAACTTCTCCAACCTACTTCCTCAAAACAAGAACATTGTATATATTATATGAGGAATCATGCAGCCAGTAAAATTGCTGTCTATTTAAGAATTTTTGGTGATGTAGAAAACTGATTCAGGATTTAATTTATTGAATGGGAAAGAGGAAGAGGCAATGAGAAGTTTGTGTGCTTAACATAGGGTGTTCCGTGTACTTGCACGTACAGTTTCATTTAATTGGGAAACACCACTTACATGGACTTAGTTTATTCTCTGACCTGGGTAGATAATGGAAGTGCCCAGAGGCTACCTTTGCAGGAGTAAGCATGCCCAAGAACCATGTGGGCACTTCACTCTGATCACCCCTGTTTCCACACCGACCCCTCCATGTTGAAGGAGCCAGTATGGCCTGTTTTCCTAATGGAACTTCCCTATTGAATTGCTTTCTCCATTTTCTTTTATGTTGTCTTAAAGATTTTGTCCATGAATTTCACAAATGGTGTATTTATTTTTGGTTTCAGGGCTTGAAGTTCAAAGATGTGGTCATTTACTTCTCTCAAAAGGAGTGGGAATGCTTGCACTCTGCTCAGAAGGATTTGTACCGAGATGTAATGTTGGAAAATTACGGCAACCTGGTCTTACTGGGTAACTTTATCTGCCCCTCCGTACACCCCCTGCCCCGCCAAACACACAATTGGCCTTCTGGAATTCTTATGTTCTTTTTTCTGAGTTTGTCCCAAGTGCTTTTCAAGTACCTGGATGAGTTAATGTTTCTTGCTCACCAAAAGAATGGTTTGTCTCTTGTGAAGTTGGAAATTGGCTGTTCCAGCAGGCACCTTTATCTTCATTATTTTCATACCTCCCTTCTTGGAGCTGTGATTTGATGAAGTGGAAATGAATGGTTAAGTGGAATCACATATTGCAAACTTTTTTTCTAATTAGACAAGAAAGGAATTAATGTTGATTTATTGTGGTGCTCTGACCCTCACTCCTTCTTCTGACCCTTAATCTACCTGCTCCTCTTTCTTGGTAATTAGGGACTGATTTTTAATTCTGACACCCACAACAAAACCTTGTTCCCTTTGTTTTTGAGCAGGGCTTTCTGATACTAAGCCAAATGTGATCTCCTTATTGGAGCAGAAGAAAGAGCCCTGGATGGTTAAGAGGAAGGAGACAAAAGAATGGTGTCCAGGTGAGTGACGATGAACTGGAATGGGGAGGCCATAGCAGGTGGTCACTTAGCTCATCTGTGAGAAGGCAGCACTTCAGGGATTTTGGTAGGAAAGCTGCCTAAAAAGGCTTGAGATCTGGGGAAGAAAGTAAGGATGTTGTAATCCCAGCAGTTTGGGAGGCTGAGGCGGGCAGATCACAAGGTCAGGAGTTCGAGACCAGCCTGACCAACATGGTGAAACCCCGTCTCTACTAAAAATACAAAAAAATTAGCCAGGCCTGGTGGTGCGTGCCTGTAATCCCACCTACTCAGGAGGCTGAGGCAGGAGAATCACTTGAACCTGGGAGGCAGAGGTTGCAGTGAGCCAAGATTGTACCACTACACTCCAGCCTGGGCAACAGAGCAAGACTCCGTCTCAAAAAAAAAAAAAAAAAAAAGGAGGCCAAGGCAGGCGGATTACGAGGTCAGGAGTTCAAGACCAACCTGGCCAACATGGTGAAACCCCATCTCTACTAAAAATACAAAAATTAGCTGGGCATGGTGGCAGGTGCCTGTAGTCCCAGCTACTTGGGAGGCTGAAGCAGGAGAATTGCTTGATCCCAGGAGGCAGAGGTTGCAGTGAGCCAAGATCGCGCCACTGCACTTCAGCCTGGGTGACAAAGCGAGACTCCATCTTGAAAAAAAAAGAAAGTAAAGCATGTTTCAGCTCCATTTACTAGGCTCTCTTGCTCACCTCCTATAATACCTCCCCCCTCATTTCAGAGAGGAAGTACCCTCTTTCTTTCCCTGTGACAACCATTTTACTTGCATTTTGGGTCCAGTTTTGTCCTGACTTTTTAAAACAGTTTTATTGAGATATCATAAAATTCATCCATTTAAAGTTCAGTAATTTTTAGTCAGTTCACAACCATCACAACAGTCTAATTGTAGAACATTTGTATCACTCAAAATGAAACGCCATACCCATTAGCAGTCACTCCCCAAATCCAGCCCTAAGCAACTACTGATCACTTTCTGTCTACATAGATGTGCCTGTTCTGGACATTTTATATTAATGATATCACACAACATATAATTTATGACTGGCTTTTTTCACTTACCAGAATGTTTTCAAAGTTCATCCATAGTGTAACATATACCAGTGCCTCATTCTTTTATATTGCCAAATAGTATTCCATGGTATAGATATTACCATTCTGCTCATTCATCAGTTGGTAGACATTTGGGTTGTTTCTACTTTTAGGCTATTTTGTATGACTAAAGCTGCTATGAACATTTGTATATAGGTTCCCTTCTTTTCTTCGTTTGTTGAGTATTTTTGTCATGAAAGGATTTTAGAATACTTTTTACCATTACTTTTTCTGCATCTATTAAGACATCTGTAGTTTATGTCCTTTGTTGTATGAATATGTTTGATTACATTGATAACTTTTGGATGTTGAACCTACCTTGCATTTGTAGGATAAATTTTACCTGGATGTGGTATATAATCCTTTATGCTGTTGGATCTGGTTTGGTCTTTTTTGTTGAAGATACTGGTCTGTAGTTTTCTTGTGATATCTTTGCTTTGTCTGGTTGGTATCAGGGTAATACAGGCCTCAGAATTAGAAAATGTTTCTTCGTCTTCTGTCTTTTTGAAGTGTTCATGGAGGATTTATATTAAGTTTTCTTTAATGTTGGGTAAGTGAGGCCATTTGCTCCTCGGCTTTTCTTTATGGGAAGATTTTTTTGCTCTAATTCAGTCTCTTTATTTGGTATAGGTCTATTCAGGTATTCTATTTCCTCTTGAGTCAATTTTGGTAGTTTTGGGTCTTTTTAGGAATTTGTCCATTTTGTCTAAGTTATCTAACTTATTGGCATATAGTTATTCGTAGGAGTTCCTTATAACCCTTTTTATTTCTATAAGGTCAGTGGTGATATCTCCTATTTCATTCCTGATGTTAGTATTTTGAGACTTCTCTCTTTTTTTGTTGGTCAATCTAGCCAAAGATTTGCCAATTCTGTTGATCTTTTCCAAAGACCAACTTTTGGTCTCATTGATTTTCTCTGTTGTTTTTCTATTCTCTATTTTGTTCATTGCTGCTGTGATCTTTTATTATTTCCCTCCTTCTGGAAGCTTTATGTTTTTGTTTATTCTTTATTATCTGGTTCCTTAAGATATACAGTTAGATTGTTGATTTGAGATATCTCTGTTTTTTTTTCTTTTTTTTTTTAATATAGGTGTTTTTAGCTGTAAATTTCCCTTTAAGCCCTGCTTTAGCTGCATTTCATAAGTTTTGGTATGTTGACTTTTCATTTATCTCAAAATATTTTTTAATTTTCTTCATGATTTCTTTAACACGTTGGTTATTTAGGAGTATGTTATTTAATTTTCACGTTTGTGAATTTCCCAGATTTCCTTCTGCTGTTGATATCTAAGTTCATTCCATTGTAGTTGCAAAACATATTTTGTGTGATTTCAATCCTCTTACATTTATTGAGGGCTGTTTTATGGCTTAATATATGGTCTAACCTGAAAAATGTTCCATACATGCTTGAGAAAAATGTGTATTCTCCTGTTGTTGAGTGGAATGTTCTACAAATGTTTTCTTAGGTTTAATTGGTTTATAGTGTTTTTCAAGCAATCTGTTTCCTTGTTGATCTTCTGCCTAGCTATTCTATCCATTATTGAAAGTAAAGTATTGAAGTCTTCAATTTGTTCAATTGTTTGTGGCTCTCTTTAATTCTTGTGTTACATATTTTGGGCCTGTGTTATTAGGTGTATATGTACTTACAACTGTTACAGTTTTCTGACTATCATTATATTCTCTTATCATTATAAAATATCCTTTTTTCTGATTTGTGTGTTGTTGTTGTTTTTTTCTGAGATGGAGTCTAGTGTTGTTGCCCAGGCTGGAGTGCAGTAGCACAATCTCTGCTCACTGCAACCTCCACCTCCCAGGTTGATGTGATTCTCCTGCCTCAGCCTCCCGAGTAGCTAGGATTACAGGTGCCCGCCACCACACCCAGCTAATTTTTGTTTCACTGTGTTGGCCAGGCTGGTCTTGAACTCCTGACCTCGAGATCTGCCGGCCTCAGCCTCCCAAAGTTCTGGGATTACAAGCGTGACCCACCGCGCCCGGCCAAAATATCCTTTTTTCTCACTGGTTACAATTTTTGTCTTAAAGTTTATTTTGTCTGGTATTAGTAATGCTATTTTACCTCATTTTTGGTTACTCTTTGCATGGTATATCTTTTTCCATTCTTTCATTTCAACTATTTGTGTCCTTGAATCTAAAGTTTGTCTCGGGGGCTGGGCATGGTGACTTACACTTGTAATCCCAGCACTTTGGAAGGCCGAGGTGGGCAGATCAATTGAGGTCAGGTGTTTGAGACCAGTCTGGCCAACATGGCGAAACCCTGTATCTATTAAAAATACAAAAAATTAGCCAAGCATGGTGGCCCGTGCCTGTAGTCACAGCTACTCAGGAGGCTGAGGCATGAGAATCACTTGAACCCAGTGAGTGGAGGTTGCAATGAGCTGAGATCACGTCATTGCACTCCAGCCTGGGTGCCAGAGTGAGACTGTGTCTCAAAAACAAACAAACAAGCAAAAAACAGTGTGTCTCTGGTAGATTGCATATACTTGGATCACTTTTTTTTAATCCATCCTGCCAACCTCTTCTTGTAGTGCTTAACAAACTCTGTAGTGTTTAATATGTTTACATTTAATACACTGATGGGGTAGGATTTACAATTGGTATTGTGGTATTTGTTTTCTATTTGTGTTGTTATTGTTTTATTCCTCTATTCTTCCATTACTACCTTCTGTTATATTACATGAATATTTTCTAGAGTACCATTTTTGTTCCTATATTGTTTCGTATACAGTAGTCTTTGAAATTATTTTCTTAGTGGTCGCCTTCAAGATTATAATTAGCATTTCAACTTAAAACAATCTAGTTTGGATTAATACTAGCTTAACTTTAATCTTACATAAATACTTTGCTCCAAAATACTTCTGTTCCCACCTCTCTTCTTTGTACTATTATTGTCATACAAATTACATATTTATACATTATAAGCCAATATTGGCAGGATAATAACCCCCTCAAAGATGTCTATATCCGAATCTCTGAAACTTGTGAACGTGTTACTCTTACATGGTAAGGGGGAATTCAGGTTGCAAATCTGCTCAACTTCAATTAGGGAGAGGATCTTAGGTTATCCAAGTGGGCCCAGTGTAATCACAAGGGTCTTTAAATGTATCAGAGATGTGGCTGGGTGCAGCGGCTCACACCTGTAATCCCAACACTTTGGGAGGCTAAGGTGGGCAGATCGCTTGAGCCCAAAAGCTCCTCGTTTTCTCATTTTTCACTTCCCTTTTTTTTTGTAATTGCAGTGTAAAGAATTGCTTATTAACTATTTTTATTTTGTCATTTCTACTTTCAGGACTTTTCTTTGTCCTGCAATGTGAAAATACCTCCTATTTTCTTTCTTATTATTTTGCAGATTGGGAGTTTGGAAGAGAAACCAAGAATTTATCTCCAAAGGAAAACATTTATGAAATTAGATCACCACAACAGGAGAAGGCCAGAGTTATCAGAGAAATCAGATGCCAGGTGGAGAGACAACAGGGTCATCAGGAGGGACATTTCAGACCAGCTGTAATACCATTTACTTCCATGCAGTGCACAGCCCATAGAGAATATCAGTGGCTTCATACTGGAGAGAAATCCTGTGAATGCAGGAAATGTAAGAATGCTTTTAGGTACCAGTCATGTCCTATTCAACATGAAATAATTCATAATAAGGAAAAAGAACCTGAATGTGGAGAATGTAGGAAAATCTTTAATAGTGGATCAGACTTGATTAAGCATCAGACGCTTCATGAAAGCAAAAAACATAGTGAAAATAACAAATGTGCCTTTAATCATGATTCTGGAATTACTCAACCTCAGAGCATTAATACTGGAGAGAAACCTCATAAATGTAAGGAATGTGGGAAAGCCTTTCGTTCCAGCTCACAAATTAGTCAGCATCAGAGGATGCATCTTGGTGAGAAACCCTATAAGTGTAGGGAGTGTGGGAAAGCCTTTCCATCCACTGCACAGCTTAATCTACATCAGAGGATCCATACTGATGAGAAATACTATGAAAGTAAGGCGTGTGGGAAGGCCTTTACCCGTCCCTCACACCTTTTTCGACATCAAAGAATCCATACGGGTGAGAAACCCCATAAATGTAAGGAATGTGGAAAGGCTTTTCGTTATGACACACAGCTGAGCCTTCATCAGATAATCCATACTGGTGAAAGACGCTATGAATGCAGGGAGTGTGGAAAGGTGTACAGTTGTGCCTCACAGCTGAGTCTACATCAAAGAATTCATACTGGTGAGAAACCCCATGAATGTAAGGAATGTGGGAAAGCCTTTATCTCTGATTCACATCTTATTCGACATCAGAGTGTCCATACTGGGGAGAAACCCTGTAAGTGTAAGGAATGTGGGAAGTCCTTTCGTCGTGGCTCAGAACTTACCCGACATCAGAGAGCTCATACTGGTGAAAAACCCTATGAGTGTAAGGAATGTGAAAAGGCCTTTACTTGTAGCACAGAACTTGTTCGACATCAAAAAGTTCACACTGGGGAGAGACCCCATAAGTGTAAGGAATGTGGGAAGGCTTTCATTCGAAGGTCAGAACTCACACATCATGAGAGAAGTCACACTGGTGAGAAACCCTACGAGTGTAAGGAGTGTGGGAAGCCCTTTGGTGGTGGCTCAGAACTTAGTTGACACCAGAAAATTCATACTGGTGAGAAACCATATGAATGTCAGCAGTGTGGAAAGGCCTTCATTCGGGCCTCACACCTTAGTCAACATCAAAGAATTCATTCAGGACAGAGGAGTGAATGAAGAAATGAGGGATGGCTCAGAATTTGATTGACATGAGAAAGTTCATACTGATTTGGAAAAAAAAACTTATGATTCTAAGTGTGAGACACCTTATAAATGTTAGGAATTAGCAGGGATTTATTTATGTTTCAGAATTTATTACACATCATGATACAACTGGTGAAAAATTGAAGACCTCCATGAATGTAAAGAAAGTAGGGAGGCCTTTTTGGTGGCTCAGAACGAAGTCAACCTCAGGGAATTCAAATGGGGGAGAGGAGGGCAGTGAATATGCTGAGAGGAGTTAATCATTCAGACCTTTATCAGCAGCAGAGTCATTAGCCCTTAGGGGAAATCAGATGATTCAAAATATAAATGCAGGCCGGGCCCGGTGGCTCCCGCCTGTAATCCCAGAACTTTGGGAGGCTGAGGTGGGTGGATCACAAGGTCAGGAGATAGAGACCATCCTGGCCAACATGGTGAAACCCCGTCTGTATTAAAATGCAAAAAATTAGCTGGGCATGGTGGTGCGCGTGTGTAATCCCAGCTACTTGGGAGGCTGAGGCAGGGGAATCACTTGAACCTGGGAGGCAGAGGTTGCAGTGAGCTAAGACTGACCCACTGCATTCCAGCCTGGCGACAGAGCAAGACTCCATCTCAAAAAAAAAAAAAATTATTATTATACACACACACACACACACACACACACGCTGGGCGCAGTGGCTCACACCTGTAATCCCAGAACTTTGGGAGGCCGAGGTGAGTGGATTGCTTGAGTCCTGGAGTTTGAGACCAACATGGGCAACATGGTGAAACACTGTCTCTACAAAAAATATTTAAAAAATTAGCCAGGTGTGGTGGTGCATGCCTGTAATCCCAGCTACTTGGGAGGCTGAGGTAGGAGAATTGCTTAAGCCCAGGAGACAGAGGTTGCAGTGAGCCAAGATCATGCCATTGCACAGCAGCCTGGGTGACAGAGCGAGACTCTTGTCTCAAAAAAAAAAAACAAAAAAAAAACACAAAAAAACGGGGCCGGGCACGGTGCCTCACGCCTGTAATCACAGCACTTTGGGAAGCTGAGGCGGGTGGATCACTTGAGGCCAGGAGTTTGAGACCAGCTTGACCAACATGGTGAAACCCTGTCTCTACTAAAAATACAGAATTAGCCAGGCATGGTGGCGCACAGCTGTAATACCAGCAACTTGGGAGGCTGAGGCATGAGAATCTCTTGAACCCGGGAGGCGGAGGTTGCAGTGAGCTGAGATCGTGCCATTGCACTCCAGCTTGGGCAACAAGAGTGAAACTCCATCTCCAAAAAAAAAAAAAAAAGAAAGAAAATGTAAATGCCATATATATGGGACACCAATTTGCTTTAGCTAACAAAGTATTCATCTGACAATACTTGAGGAAGGCTAGAGTAGTATTTAAAATGCAGCAGATTCTTTCATCCCACATAAATCTTGTTAAATATTCACGAGCTAATTCTCTAAAATTAACTGGAGCTGAATCAATGTGGGGAAGAATTTAACCAATGTTTAGTTTTTACTCACCCTTATCATTATTACTCATTTCTTTTAGGGTGAATTTATTAACTACATCTACATTTTCTCATTTATAAAATAGTACTGTTAGCACCATATTTCTTAGCTGCATTGTGGGGGTTAAATACATTTATATTATTTAAAGCAGTGTCTGTCTAGTATTGAAAGTGTGCTAAATGAAGGCGTTTATTGTTTTTCTTTGTTATTTTCTTAATCATGCATTATTAGACATGAGAGGAAGGACTTATATTTGCAGTGACTATAGGAACATATTGCATCATCTCTTTTTCTTTATTGAAGGTTAGGTAATTCCTTCTGGAGAAAAATTTAATACTGTGAAGCCTTTATTTATAGCTCACCCTTTTGCCTTACTAGGCAAATAATGTGAAGAAACCCAGTAGAATAAAAGTGGGTTGCTGTGAAGTCAGGCGGAAGATTTAGATATTTATCAAAACTTTTCAAAAGGCTGGGCACAGTAGCTCAAGCCTGTAATCCCAGGAATTTAGGAGGCCGAGGCGGGCAGATCACTTGAGGCCAGGAGTTCGAGACCAGCCTGGCCAATGTGGCGAAACCCCATCTCTACTAAAAATACAAAAAATAAGCCAGGCACGATGGCGTGCATCTGTAGTCCCAGCTACTTGGGAGGCTGAGGCAGGAGAATCACTTGAACCCAAGAGGCGGAGGTTGCAGAATTAAAAAAATAATACAGCCCTAGCCAAAATGTATTTCTCCACTAGAAAATTTTAAAGCTACCTGTATAAATAATTTTTATATTAAAAAGGATATCGGCCTGGTGAGGTGGCTCACGCCTGTATTCCCAACACTTTGGGAGGCCAAGGCGGGTGGATCATGAGGTCAGGAGATCAAAACCATCCTTGCCAACATGGTGAAACCCCGTCTTTACTAAAAATACAAAACTTAGCTGGGCGTGGTGGCTCACGCCTGTAGTCCCAGTAGTCAGGAGGCTGAGGCAGGAGAACAGCTTGAACCCGGAGTGGGAGGTTGTAGTGAGCCAAGATCGCACCACTGCACTCCATCCTAGGCGACAGAGTGAGACTCCGTCTCGGCTGGGCGCGGTGGCTTACGCCTGTAATCCTAGCACTTTGGGAAGCCGAGGTGGGTGGATCATGAGGTCAGGAGATTGAGACCATCCTGGCTAACAAGGTGAAACCTCATCTCTACTAAAAATACAAAAAATTAGCCAGGCCTGTGGTGGGCGACTGTAATCCCAGCTACTCGGGAGGCTGAGGCAGAAGAATCGGCTGAACCGGGGAGGCAGAGGTTGCAGTGAGCTGAGATCGCGCCACTGCACTCCAGCCTGGGTGACAGAGCAAGACTCTGTCTCAGAAAAAAAAAAAAAGATGTCAAGGCAGGCCTTATTAGGAATGAATGACAAAGGGAACACTACATATGGAAATTTATAGGGTGTGAACAAAGCTATAGTCTCAGGAAAATTATTTTAATATGTATAGAAAACAGGGCCAGTTAAGGACTAGGATTCATTCCGACTTCACCCTGTGTGCTCCTGTTCCTAGCAGGTTCTCAGTAAATATTTGATCATAGGAATGTGTGAATGATCCAAGGAGTGAGAGAGTGAATGAATAAGCATTCAACCCTTGGATGTAGAAAAGCTCTAGGAAAATTAATGGAAGGCAAAAACAAAACACAAAACTTTGAAATGAAAAGCATTGCACCCTATGAAGAAGAAACTCAAGCATAGTTGCCTGTTCATTGGTGTTAACCACTCTCCTTTTGGCAGGATTGCCTGCTGCTCTTCTGAATCTGTAAATGCCAGATATTTGATCTCCTAGCTTGCCCTGCATCTGGTCACACATATAATAGCCCTGGATACGGAAGATCTGTGCAAAAGTCTGCAAATGGGCTTCAGTTAAATTTTGTTTCCTAACAAAATGGGAGAAAATGGTCTTCTTCAATACAAGATGCATGTCTGTATGTCAGCGTGATACCTGGAATTGTGGCCATTTTGCAAGCAGAGAATCAAGAGTCTGAGACTGGCACAGAATAGGTTGGAATTATGTGTGTCCTTGACATTTTTGTTTTGTTTTGTTTTGTTTTGTTTTTGTTTTTCAGACGGAGTCTTACTCTGTCACCCAGGCTGTATTGCAGTGATGGGATCTCAGCTCACTGCAACCTCCACCTCCCGGGTTCAAACGATTCTCCTGCCTCGGCCTCCCAAGTAACTGGGACTACAGGCGTGCGCCACCATGCCCAGCTAATTTTTATATTTTTAGTAGAGATGAGGTTTCACTATGTTGACCAGGCTGGTCTCTAACTTCTGACCTCATGATCTGCCCGCCTTAGCCTCATGCTGGGATTACAAGCATGAGCCACCACTCCCAGCCAACATTGTTGATATGATGAAACAATGAAGAACTGCCCTTTCCCTGGACTTGGTGCGAAATAAGAAACTGCAGGAGTATGTTGTAAGTTTATTTTTATTTTTATTTATTTATTTATTTGAGACAGAGTCTTGCCCTGTCGCCCAGACTGGAGTGCAGTGGCACAATCTCGACTCACTGCAACCTCCACCTCCCAGGTTCAAGCGATTCTTGTTCCTCAGCCTCCTGAGTAGCTGAGACTACAGGCGCCTACCATCACGCCCAGCTAATTTTTTTCTATTTTTGGTAGAGACAGGGTTTCACCACGTTGCCCAGGCAGATCTTGAGCTCCTGGCCTCAAGTCATCAGCCCGCCTCAGACTCCCAAAGTGCTAGGATTATAGGCGTGAGCCACCGTGCCCACCTGCATATGTTGTAAGTTTATACTCCACTTTTTACAATATATCTGAGGCCTGGAAAGTTATTTTTAAAGACATTTTTATATATACACACATTCAACTTTCGTAAAGTTTATATTCAGCTTTTTATAGTACATCTGACATTGTAGAAAAGCATTTTCTTATATATAGTTGAAATATATATTCAACTTTGATTTAGTAAAGTATATGAAAAACATAATTTACATTCAGCATTTTATAGTGTATGTTTATATTCAGCTTTTTATAGTATATGTGAAATCCTAGAAAAGTATTATTTTCCTGAATAAGAACCAGGAAGAAACTGATTAAAGAGCTATACCACATAATTTCTCTAGTACTAGATTATCTTACAGTCTTCTACCTCTTCAAGATACAAAAGTCATGGCTGTGAGGCTATCATTACCCTTTTACCAAAGTTGGAAAAGGACAGCATCCAAAATAAGTCAGCTATAAAAAAAAGTAAAGTCGGCCGGGTGCGGTGGCTCATGCCTGTAATCCCAGCACTTTGGGAGGCTGAGGCAGGCGGATCACTTGAGGTCGGGAGTTCGAGACCAGCTTGGTCAACATGATGAAACCCCTTCTCTACTAAAAATACAAAAACTAGCCAGGCGAGATAGCACGTGCCTGCAATCCCAGTTAGTCAGGAGGCTGAGGCACGAGACTAGCTTGAACCCAGGAGACAGAGGTTGTAGTGAGCTGAGATCGCACCACTGCATTCCAGCCTGGGCGCCAGGGCAAGACTCTCTCAGGGAAAAAAAAAAAAAAAAAAAAAAAACAAAAACCTGATGTGTATGCTTCCATGCTTTGCCCACACTAAAGAAGCATACCCACAGCTAGATTTGTTTTGGTACCATAGGAGGTTTCAGGTTGGGGAGAGTAGTTTGAATGACATCGTGCATACACATTGAAGTGTCATCTCCTCTCCTCACTTGGTAACATACCAGGGACATCCTTCAAATTAATACCTGTAGATCAAACTAGCTTGAAATTCTTACATAATGGAGTAGTTCCCCCTTATCCCTGGTTTTACAGTATATTGTTTTAATTGTTCTATTATTGGCTATTAGTTAACTTATAAGTTTTATCATAGGTATCTATGAATAGGAAAAAAGCATAGTATATGTAGGGTACAGTACTCTATACAGTTTCAGGCATCTACTGGGGATCGTGGAACATGTACCCTGCAGATAAAGGACTATTCTATAGACAAACCATATGCAGCCCATTTTTCCACTAATGAAAGTTCAGATTGGGGCCAGGCATGGTGCTCATGCCTGCAATCCCAGCACTTTGGGAGGCTGAGCCAGGTGGATGGCTTGAGCCCAGGAATTTGAGATCAGCCTGGGCAACATGGTGAAACCCTGTCTCTATAAAAAGTAAAAAAAAAAAAAAAAAAAAAGTCAAGTGTGGTGGTGAGCACCTGTAGTCTCAGCTACTTGGGAGGTTCAGGGTGGAGAATAGCTTGGGCCCAGGAGGTTCAGGCTGCAGTGAGCCAAGATTGCACCACTGCACACCAGCCTGGGTGACAGGGTGAGACCTGTCTCAAGAAACAAAAAATTCAAATTATTTTACCAATAATTATACACCAAACAGTTTTGTTGTACATATATTGTTGCATGTTGTACTTTTATATCAATAAAGTAGGTGGAGTCCTACCAGTTGAATTCCTTGCCTACAACATAGTGGATTTAAAATATATTCATTAATGCCTTATTATTGTCTGAAATCATTAATCTTAATGGGAATTTATGTCCATTTCCTGACAAATTCAACCAGGACTGAACTTTTTTTTATGTTGGGTGAAGGAAAAGAAAAAGTGCCTTCAATTTTCTTTTCTTTTCTTTTTTTTTTTGAGACAGAGTCTCACTCTCGGCAGGCTGGATTGCAGTGGTGCAATCTCAGCTCACTGCAACCTCTGCCTCCCTGGTTGGAGCGATTCTCCTGCCTCAGCCTCCTGAGTAGCTGAGACTACAGGTGCCCACCACCACACCCAGCTAATTTTTGTATTTTTAGTAGAGACAGGAGTTTCACCATGTTGGCCAGGATGGTCTCAATCTCTTGACCTCGTGATCCACCCGCCTCAGCCTCCCAAAGTGCTGGGATTACAAGCGTGAGCCACCGGGCCTGGCCTGCATTTTCTTAACTGCCAGTGAGATTGAGCATCTACCATGTCTAAGGGTCATTCGAGTTCTGTTTCTGTGGATTGCTTATTTTTATCTCTTCCTTTTGTTTACATTGGAGTAGTTTTTAAAGCAATCTGTGGAAACTTTGCTAAGGAGATTGTATTGTCATATGCTCTGCAGTTTAGCCTGCATCTTTTGCCATCGTTTATGGCAAACAGAGTTAACATATTTTTCTGTGAAGAGCCAGATAGTAAACATGCAAGGCTTTGTAAGCCATACAGTCTCTACTCTGTCTTTGTAGTGTGGAAGCGCTTAATACATAAGCCAGGTGTTCTCAAACAGGGGCCATTTCGTTTCTCATACCTACACCCCAGTAGGCATTTGGCAATGTCCAGAGTCATTTTTGGTTTTCAGTATGAAGGGTGGGTGCTGCTGGCGTCTGGTGAGCAGAGGCCAGGGATCCTGCTAAGCGTCCTACAATGCATAGTACAACTGCCCCCACCCCCCAAAAAAAGTCTCATCCAGAATGTCAGTAGTTCTGAGGTTGAGAAATTCTACCTATAAGCAAATGGACATTGTTGTGTTCCAATAAAACTTTATTTACAAAAAATAATCAGAAGGCCACATTTGGCCTGTGAGCTATAGTTTGCTTATCTCTATTTTAAATAGCTTTTTGCTATATGATAATATAGTTTTCTGTATTTGTTCCTGAATTGTCTCATTCACCCCAAATATTTTTCCAAATTTTCTTCTATTTTATGCCTTTAAACCTTTACTAAATACAAATAATACACAGAAACAATAGCCCCTGTGTAACTACCACCTAATAATTAAGCATGTTGTTTTATTGTTTTGATTAAAAATTTATAAAAGAAATAAATCATTTCAGAAAAAAAAGTGTAGTCTTCTCTTTTTCTCTTTCCAGTCCTGCTCTTTGCCCTGTGTCTGCACAGCAATAACTTAGTGCACTAATATCTGTAAAACCAGCACGTATCCAATGTACAAGGACATGATACATACTATTATGTGCTTCTAAGTAACACAAATGGTGATACATCTTTCTGCAATTTCATTAACAATATGTGGGATCCAAAACCATTGAAAAATACTGATCTAATTCTTTTATCTGCTGTGTTGCCTTCTTATTTATTTATTTATTTTTTGAGACGGAGTCTCATCTCACTCTGTCACCTAGGCTGAGTGCAGTGGCGCCATCTTGGCTCACTGCAAGCTCCACCTCCCGGGTTTACGCCATTCTCCTGCCTCAGCCTCCCGAGTAGCTGGGACTACACGCGTCCGCCACCACGCCCGGCTAATTTTTTTGTATTTTTAGTACAGACGGGGTTTCACTGTGTTAGCCACGATGGTCTCAATCTCCTGACCTCGTGATCCGCCCACCTTGGCCTCCCAAAGTGCTGGGATTACAGGCATGAGACACCGCGCCCGGCCTGTGTTGCAGTTTTATACAATTTATTCACTGAAGTCCCTTTATTAGAGAAAAACAGTTGTAAATTTAAAAAACTATATATTTTAAGCACTCAGGATTTAATAAAGGATTTTTGTAATTTGAAGAATGTTCAGTAGAGCCAAGAAAGCTTGTGGGCTTTACAACCTAGAAAAAAGTTGTAAGCAGAGAGGCTTAGATCCACTACGGTACTGTTCAAGGAAAAGTGTCAGGGCTACTACTACCCACTGCTCATCACCTAGTGGTTGAGGGCCTGGATGCTGCAAACTTCCACAGTGAGCAGTTCTAAGCAAACCCCAAAGGCCGAGGAAGCTGAGGGGCCAAAGGAAGAGGCTGAAAAATCTAGTTTCTTGGAAACATTTTTTTGTTTGGTTTGGGTTTTTTTGTTGTTGTTGTTTGTTTGTTTGAGATAGTCTCACTCTATCGCCCAGGCTGGAGTGCAGTGGTGCCATCTCGGTTAAGCAATTCTCCTGCTGAATTCAGCCTCTCGAGTCGCTGGGATTATAGGCGTGTGCCACCTGGCTATATTTTTGAATTTTTAGTAGAGATGGGTTGTGGGGAAAAGCAAGAGAGATCAGATTGTTACTGTGTCTGTGTAGAAAGAAGTAGACATAGGAGACTCCATTTTGTTCTGTACTAAGAAAAATTCTTTTGCCTTGAGATTCTGTTAATCTATGACCTTACCCCCAACCCCGTGCTCTCTGAAACGTGCTGTGTCAAACTCAGGGTTAAATGGATTAAGGGCTGTGCAGGATGTGCTTTGTTAAACAAATACTTGAAGGCAGCATGCTCGTTAAGAGTCATCACCACTCCCTAATCTCAAGTACCCAGAGACACAACACACTACAGAAGGCCGCAGGGACCTCTGCCTAGGAAAGCCAGGTATTGTCCAAGGTTTCTCCCCATGTGATAGTCTGAAATATGGCCTCGTGGGAAGGGAAAGACCTGACCGTCCCCCAGCCTGACACCCGTAAAGGGTCTGTGCTGAGGAGAATTAGTATAAGAGGAAGGAATGCCTCTTGCAGTTGAGACAAGAGGAAGGCATCTGTCTCCTGCCTGTCCCTGGGCAATGGAATGTCTTGGTATAAAACCGGATTGTACGTTCCATCTACTCAGATAGGGAAAAACCGCCTTAAGGCTGGAGGTGGGACATGCGGGCAGCAGTACTGCTTTGTAAAGCATTGAGATGTTTATGTGTATGCATATCTAAAAGCATAGCACTTGATTCTTTACCTTGTCTATGATGCAAAGACCTTTGTTCACGTGTTTGTCTGCTGACCCTCTCCCCACTATTGTCTTGTGACCCTGACACATCCCCCTCTCAGAGAAACACCCAATAATGATCAATAAATACTAAGGGAACTCAGAGGCTGGCGGGATCCTCCATATGCTGAACGCTGGTTCCCCGGGTCCCCTTATTTCTTTCTCTATACTTTGTGTCTTTTTCTTTTCCAAGTCTCTCGTTCCACCTTACAAGAAATACCCACAGGTGTGGAGGGGCAACCCACCCCTTCAATGGGTTTTCACCATGTTGGCCAGGCTGGTCTCCAACTCCTGCTCTCAGGTGATCCGCCCACCTCGGCCTCCCAAAGTGCTGGGATGACAGGTGTGAGCCACCACACCCAGCATCTCAGAACCATTTAATAAAAACTAGGAACAGAAGTCATGTCGCATGCAGCTGCAAGATGGTGGATCCCTGCACAATTACCCCAAAGTTCCTGGCTTTATATACCATAGGGAATTTGCCTAAGGGCGGGACTATAATAAGTATGGTTCGTGAGCAAACATCAAGGTTGTTTGACCTAAGGGGGAGAATTTAAGGTAAGTACATAAAAGTACATTTAAGGTGTTCCTGGAACTGGGGCTAATCAAGAGTCAACATGGTAGATTAGCATCCAAGATGGAGTTGCTTTAACCCCCGGCGGAGACCCAAGCCTGCGCCTTGAAGCTCCTTCTCCACCGGTAGAAGTCGACTCAAGGAGGTCGTGAGGACAGGACTCCTGGGGGTCCCGCTCTGGGGCACCCGTAGCCCTCTCTTCCACAGCGCCCTCCTACTGGACTCCCGCTGTAGCCACCGCCGTGACTGCAGCAAGTGCACCCCCTCCCCCAACCCCGAGGCCGCCGCGCCGCCACCGTTGTTTAAAGAAGCCTCTGCCTGACTTCCGGGAGCAGAGCGCTGGACGGACAAGCCAATGCGCATGCGCGAGGCGCCGGCTGTTTCCCCGTTCACAATGACCCCCACGGTTGCCTAAGAAACCAGTCCCTGAGGCTTGGGAAAGCAGGAGCCCTCCGCGGCAGTGCGTCGGTGTCGAGGCTCCGAGGCTCCGGCCTCACCTCTCCAGGAGGTCGACAGAACGACAGGACGTTCTCCGAATGCCAGGAGTCGCAGAGGGCAGAGCAGGATGAAGAAACCACAGGCGGAGTCTAGGGGAAGCAGTACGGCGTCCCTGCCTCAGGCCTGCCCGGACGGTGTGCGGGTGAGTCTCCCCAAAAGTCGTGCCCCTGTCAATTCGAGGACAGGTCTGCCTGTGTGCCTGTAGGCTACTCTCTCACCCGAGGGTCGTTCTCACAGAGAGCAGAACCCCGCAGCCTCAGGAGTTGCCTGGGGCGGGCGGGGGGGGATGTTTGTGTACCACTGCTGTGTGTGTGTGTAGTGTGTGTGTGTCTCACTTTCTTCTCTCTCTCTCTCCCTCTGTTTCTTTCTCTGTGTGTGTGTCCGTGTGAGTGTGTTGTCACGAATGTGCCCTGTGCGCCAAAGGGCAATTTCTTGCATGTCGGCCTGTCTTTGGTGAGCCTCTTTCTGCATCTCTGCCTGGGTCATGTGGAGATGCTTCGGACCCAGAGGAATTGAAATCTCATCCCCAGCCTGAGTGGCAGCTTTTCTAGGATCAAGACCACACCTCAGCCAAGGACAAAAGCATCAGAAGAGCTCATTGTCCTGAGGGAGGGGAGCAGACCGACGTCAAAGATGGTTTTAAGTCCGCGAGACTCTTCTCTGACAAATGAAGCCACACCACGACACAGGCTTAAAGAAGAAGCCGGGAACAGGACATGGCAAGGATCCCTGTCACTGGAACACTGGCCTTTCTGGACAAGTCACCCGTTTGGCACTCCTCCCCGGGTGCCCGTTGCGGTGGCACTGTGCTGTATCCTGCCTGGGCTCTGGCCTCTGCTCTGTCCTCCCTCTTGCTGTGTCTCCCGTTTCTGAGGGGTGCAGATGCTTCTTGGTCTGCCTCAATGTCTTCAACAAAGAACACTTTCCAGTCCATCAGGGAGAAACTTCAAGGAGATCCATGTCATGATTGTTTCCCTCTGCAAACTTGTTTCTGGTGGATTGGGCACGTGTGAAGATCCTGGAGCTCTGGGCATCCATACCTGTCTCAGACAGGGAAGCTCCCTTGGTCTCCATGTTTCACCTGATGGCTGCGTAGTTTCCCTACAATGAATGGTAGGCGACCGTGGCTGGCCTTGGCTTCAAGAGAGGCGGTGTCACATTTCCTCTGCATTTCCTGTCTCATTCTTAAGGGACATCTGCTTCCTCTGCTCCTGGGTGGACTGCCTCCCAGAACTGAATCTTTTGGCAGCCAATAATGTCAGGGAGCCAAAGGGACTGGGCTGGGGCTGGGTGCATGGGAGGTTGCGTTAGGGCTACCTAGGCGGTGGAGGGATGGAGGTGGAGTGATCTTTACAGAAACCTCTCCGCTCCTCCAGCAGGCTCCCCAAAATGTGGCTTGGACTTACGCACAGGGCCTCTTCTGGTTCCCAGCTGTGCTTTGCTTTTCCTTGGCATTGTTGGGGAGGTCACCTGTGCCCCCCTTCCACCGGGCACATGCCTGGACACCAGTGTTCGTCTCGCCATCGCCCCATATGGCCTCGGTGACACACACTCACCCCATCTGCTCTGGGGGACGCCAGTGCCACGTTTGGTCACATTGGCTCCACCTCGGACTCACCCCTGTTCTTGTTTGCATGTCTCCTGGAAAGCGGTGGCGGCACACAGCAGCCCCAGGACTTTGGCAAGCGGGGCAGGCCACTGCACCTCCCAGGGAGGAGGGAGGCAGAGGGCTCATGTTTCAGTGAATTTTCAGCTGACACCATGCCTTCAGGCCCATGGGATCTTTCTGTGCCCCAGCGAGGCCCTGCCTGCCTCACCAGATGAGGTGAGCCCATCCCTGGTCACCTGGTGGGATCCAAAATCGGATCTGAAGAGGAGTACTGAGACCCCAGCAGGCGCCCTGAACCTCCTCTTCCACTGGTAGAAGTTGGCTCAAGGAGGCCCTGAGGACAGGACTCCTGCGAGTCCGGCCCTAGGGCGCCCGCAGCCCCCACTCCCTCGCCGCCCCCTACTTGATCCCGGATTCAGCCACCACCGCGCTGCAGCAGGAGCCCCTACTGCCGCCGCCATTGTTCGAGGGGGCCTCAGCCTGAGTTCCAGGAGCAGAGCACGAGTCGGCCTAGGCAATGCGCATGCCCGAGGCGCGAGAGGATTATCCCGTCACAGTGATTCCCACAGTTGCCTGAGAAACCAGTCCCTGAGGCTTGGCAAAGCAGGAGCCCTCCGTGGCAGTGCTTGGGTGTCCGGGCTCCGAGACTCCGGCCTGACCTCTCCATGGGGTCGAAAGGACGGTCTCTGGATGCCAGGAGTCGCGGAGGGCGGACCAGCATGAGGAAACCATTGGCGGAAAATGGCAGAAGCAGTGCGGCATCCCAGCCTCAACTGCCGGGACGGTGTTCAAGTGAGTCTCCCCAAAAGTCATGCCCCCCGTGATCTCGACGACATGTCTGCTTGTGTGCCCGTGGGCTGCTCTCTCACTTGAGAATCGTTCTCGCAAAGAGCAGAACCCCGCAGCCTCAGGGGTTGCCTGGGGCTATGTGTTTCTGTGCCACTGCTCTATGTCTGTGTGTGTGTGTCTCCCATTCTCTCTTCTCTCTCTGTCACTCTGTTTCTCTCTCTCTGTCTGTGAGTGTGTGTGCCGGTGTGCGTGTGTGTGTTGAATGAATGTGCCCTGTGCATCAAAAAGCGATTTCTTGCATATCGGCCTGTCTTTGGTGCGCCTCTTGCTGCGTCTCTGCCTGGGACATGTTGCCGGTTGTCAATCGGTTTCGCGGCAGTTCCACTTTGGGTTTCTAAAGGCCTCGACGACGTGAGGAGAGGCGTCGGTCCTGGAGGAACTGAAATTTCATCTCCATCCTGAGCGGCCTCTTTTCTAGGATCAAGACGACCACACTCCAGCCAAGGACAAAAGCCTCACAGGAGCTCACTGTCCTGCAGGAGGGGAGCAGACAAACGTCAAAGAAGATGGTTCTATCTCCTCACGGCTCTTCTCTGAAAAATGAAGCCACACCACGACACAATCTTCAAGAAGCTGGGAATGGGACATGGCAAAAACCCCTGGCCTCTCTGGACAAGTCACCTGTTTGGCACTCCTCCCCTCAGCCTGTGGCGGTGGCACTGTGCTGTATCCTGCCTGGGCTCTCGCCTCTGCTCTATCCTCCCTCTTGCTCTGTCTGCCCTGTTTCTGAGGGGCCTAGATGCTTCTTGTTCTGGTTCAATGTCTTCAACAAAGATCACTTCCCAGTCCAACAGGGAGAAAGTGGTGATCCGTGTCATGATTGTTTCTCTCTCCAAACCCGTTTCTGGTGGATTGGGCAGGTTTGATGATCCTGGAGCTCTGGGCATCCATACCTGTCTCAGACAGGGAAGCTCCCTTGGTCTCCATGTTTCATGGGATGGCTGCGTGGCTGGCCTTGGCTTCTAGGAAAGGCGGTGTCGCGTTTCCTCTTCACTTCATGTTTCATTCTTGAGGGACATCCTCTTCTGAGCTCCTGGGTGGACTGCCTCCCAGAACTGAATCTTTTGGCTGCCATGAATGTCAGGGAGCCAAAGGGATTGGGCTGGGGCTGGGTGCATGGGAGGTTGTGTCGGGGCTACCTAGGCATTGGAGAGGTGGGGGTGAAGTGAACTTTGCAGAAACCTCTCCGCTCCTCCAGCAGGTGTAGCAAAATGTGGCTTGGATTCACGCACAGGCCCTCTCCTGGTTCCCAGGTGTGCTTTGCTTTTCCTTGACGTTGTTGGGGAGGTCACCTGTGCCCCCCTTCCACCAGGCACATACCTGGACACCATTGTTCGTCTCGCCATCGCCCCATATGGCCTTGGTGACACACACTCACCCCATCTGTTCTGGGGGACGCCAGTGCCACGTGTGGTCGCATTGGCTCCACCTTGGACTCGCCCCTGTTCCTGTTTGCACGTGTACTAGAAAGCGGTGTCTTCTTGCAGGAGCCCCAGGGCTTTGGAAGCGGAACAGGCCACTGCTCCTCCCAGGGGCGAGGGAGGCAGAGGGCTCATGTGTCAGTGAATTTTCAGCCGACACCACGCCTTGAGGCTCATGGATCTTTCTGTGCCCCAGCGAGGCCCTGCCCGCCTCACAGATGAGGTGAGCTCATCCCTGCTTACTTGGTGAGATCCAAAATCTGAAGAGGAGTCCTGAGACCCTAGCAGGCGCCCTGAAGCTCCTCCTCCACCGGTAGAAGTCGGCACAAGGAGGTCTTGAGGACAGGACTCCTGGTGGTCCAGCCCTGGGGCGCCCGCAGTCGCCTCTCTCAACGAAGCCCGCTCCTCGACCTTGGATCCAGGTGCCCTCCTACCGCCGCGCCGCCGCCATTATTTAAAGGGGCCGCAGCCTGACTTCCAGGAGCGGAGCGCGAGTCGGCCTAGCTAATGCGCATGCGTGAGGCGCGAACAGATTCTCGTCACAGTGATTCCCATGGTTGCCTAAGAAACCAGTCCCTGAGGCTTGGCAAAGCAGGAGCCCTACATTGCAGTGCTTGGGTGTCGGGGCCCTGAGGCTCCGGCCTGACCTCTCCAGGGTGTCAACAGGATGGTCTGCGGATGCCAAGAGTGGTGGAGGTCCGACCAGGATGATGAAGCCACAGGCGGAGTCTGGGGGAAGCAGCTCGGCATCCCAGCTTCAGGCCTGCCGGGACGGCGTTCGAGTGAGTCTCCCAGAAAGTCGTGCACCCCCGTGACCTCGAGGACAGGTCTGCCTGTGTGCCCGTGGGCTGCTCTCTCACCCGAGAGTCGTTCTTCTGGAGAGCAGAGCCCCGCAGCCTCAGGGGTTGCCTGGGGGGGTGTGCTTCTGTGCCACTGCTATATGTCTCTGTGTGTGTGTGTGTGTGTGTGTGTGTGTGTGTGTGTGTGTGTGTGTCTCCCATTCTCTCTTCCATCTCTGTCTCTGTTTCTGTCTCTTTCTTACTTTCTTTGTCTGTGCGCCCGTTTGCGTGTGTGTGTGTTGGGACGAAAATGTCTTGTGCACCGGAGTGCTGTTTCTTTCTTGTAAGCCTGTCTTTGTTGAGCCTCTTTTTGCGTCTTTTACTGGGTCTTGCGGCCCATTGTCAGTTTTCCCTGCCGTTCCACTTTGCATTTTGTGAAAGCCTCGGCAACATGGGGAGCATCGTGGGTCCCGCAGGAGTTGAATTCTCCTCCCCATCCTGATAGGCCTCTTGTCCAAGATCAAGACGACCACCCCACACTTAAGCACATTTTTTAAAGGGGTCGCAGCCTGATGTTTAGGAGCCGGGCCCATGTAGACCTGGCTAATGCACCTTACTCGCCTCTCACTGCCTGTCACTTCGTCCACAGCAGCCCCCGCTCACTATTTTTTAAAGGGGCCACTGACGGGATTACAGGAGCCAGGCGCCTGTCGGCCTTGCCAATGTGCATGCTCGTGGCGTGTGCAGGTTCTCACGTCTTAATGATCCCCTCCATCGTCTGGGGAATGGGTCCCTGAGGCTTGCCGATCACAATCACTCCGTGGCAGTGCATCCGTGTCAAAGCTTTTGCCTGACCTCTCAACGTGGTTGACATGATTGTCTCTGGATGCCCGGATTTGAGGAGGTCACCGACCAGGATGAAAAAACCTCATGCAGAGTCACGGAGAAGCAGCGCGGGATCCCAGCTTCAGGGGACAGATGGAATCTCCGGACTCCCATTTGGATCTGATTTTGGATCCCACCCATTGAGCAGGAATGGGGTTACAATCTGGTGAGGCGGGGAGGGCCTCTCTGGGGCACAGAACGGTCCCACGGACCTCAAGCCATGGTGTCAGCTTAAAGTTCATTGACTCATCAGCCCACTGCCTCCCTTCTCCTTGGACGGAGCAATGGCCTTCTCTGGTTTCCAAAATCCAGGGACTCCTGTATCCTGACACTGCTTTCTGGGACCAGTGCCAACAGGGCCAGGGGTGAGTTTGAGGTGGAGCAAATGCGACCACACGTGGCACTGGCGTCCCCTATGAGCAGATGTAGTGAGCGTGTATCTCCAAGGTCGTTTGGGGTGATGTGGAGACTGACAGTGATGTCCTGGCATGCGCTCAGGGGGCTATGGGGACCTTCGGAAGAAAGCCAAGGAAAAGCAAATCACACCTGGGAACCAGGAGAGGGCCTGTGCCGGAGAACAAGCCCATTCAGGGAGGCCTACTGGAGGAGGCGAGAGGTTTCTGCAAAGTACCCTTCACCCCCACCCCTCCATTGAGTAGGTACTTCTCAAGCTGTCTTTCCTTCACCCAGCCAAAACGGAAAATCGTTCCTGCCTTTTTAGGACAGCAGTGCTGAGCAGCAGGATTCCCTGAGCTTTGAGACCAGGACGGTGCCCTGGGAGGCCCAGGTCGAAGGGAGGCAGTGAGCTCATGAAACAGGGAATTTTCAGCTGACTCCCTCCCCTGGGATCTCAGCTGTTACTGTGCCCCAGCGACCCCCTTCACACCTCACCAGACTGAATAACCAGCCCCATGGGACCCGATTTCTGCCCATACCTTCCAATCCGGAATCGGAGCAGAAGAGCAGTCCCGAGTGCCCACCTCACGGTCTGAAGCGCCTCCTCCTCCACCGGGATCCGAACACGAAGTCGGCTTAAGGAGGCCCTGAGGTCAGGACTCTTAGGGTCCTGCGCTGCTTGTCGCAAGCAGCCTCCTCCCCCAAGCCGCCGCCGGTCCATCTCTAGCATTTTCCTGGGGCTGCCGCCTGACAGCCCTGACATTGCAGCGCGCGCGAGCCGACCACGACAATGCGCATGCACCAAACGCGAGGCACCAGGGCAAGCTCTGAGCCAGGGCTGGCCTCCCAGGGACCACCACCATTGCCTGGGCACGGGTCCCAGAGGCTTGGCAGATCAGGAGCCCTCTGTGGCAGTGTGTAGAGTTGGGCTGATGTCTCTCCTCTCTGAGGGATCAGCACGGTGATCCCACAATCCTTGGAGACTGGCAGGGCCGAACTAGGCTGAAGAAACGTCAAGCAGGGCCCCAAGAATGCACCACAGGATCCCTAAGGATCCCTATGATGTATCAGGCCTGCCTAGATAGTTTAGGGGTGAATCTCCTTGAAAGTCGTCCCCCCGGGATTTGGACATACGGCCTGCCTATGTGCCCGAGGGCTGCTCTCTCCCCGGAGGGGCTTCCTGGCAGAGAGCAGAACCACGCAGCCTCAGGAGCTGCCTGGCTGTGTGTTTCTGTGCGAGTGCTGGATGTCTCTGTGTGTGTTTCTTTCTGTGTGTGTGTGGTTTCTTGTGAAACAAATGTGACTCGTGCGCTGGAGCGCGGTTTCTCTCAAGTCCACCTACCTTCTGATGCTCCTCACTCTGTGGCTCCGCTTGGGCTGCGGGGCCCCACGTCCTTTGTTTTGCTTGTAGTTCCTGAAGCCTCGGAGAAGTGGGGGGCTGGCTCCAACCCACAGGGGTCCAAATCATCTCCCCACCCCGGGGAGCCACTCTTCTAGAAAGAAGATGAGCACAACACACCCAAGAACAGACGCCTCCTAGGGGCCCATAGTCCTGTGGCACATCCAGGGCTGGACCCTAGCTGTCCTGTCCTCAGGATCCCCTTGAGCCCACTTCAAATTCCGTTGCTGGCAGGGCAGGAGCTTAAGGATGTCAGATGGGCACTCAATCTTCTTTCAGTTCCATTCCGGGTCAAAAAGAAATGATGTGTGTAGAAATAAGGTGAGACAGGGGTGAGGATACAGTCTGATGAGGTGGGGAGGAGGTCCCACAACTACACCAGCAGGACAGGTGCAGATAGATGTCAAAGAAGCTGGTTCCAACTCATTCTCCCCTTCCTCTTCACTGCATAACCTGTCCACACCATGGCCTGGTGCTGGTGGAAGAAGACATGAATGTGAGGAGAATATTTGGACTGCAAACTGTGGCCTTTCTGGCCAGCTTCCAGGTTGGGCCCTCATTCCCGGAGCCACATGCGAGTGGGATGGATTGATCCTGCGCGGGCTCTGGCCTCTTCTCTGTCCTCTCTTTTCCTGCCTTCCATGTTTCTCATGGGCCTAGGGTTTCCTTGGTCTGGCTCTACATTCTCTACAACAAACTTTTCCCAGTTAGTTGAGGATGACCTTTCTGAAGATCCATGTCATGAGTGTTTCCTCCTCAACACCCACATTTCCTAATGACTGGGTAGCTGTGATAATTCTTGAACCGTGGGTGCTCGTAGCTCCCACCAACAGGGAAACTTTTGGTCCTCCTATTCCGTCAGATGACTGCATGATTCCCATAGGATGAGAGGTAGTCAGCCATGGCTGGCCTTTGCCTTCTAATCTAGGCTGTGTTTCATTTCCTCTGCACATCCTTTCTTATTGTTGAGTGATCTCCCATTTCTCTATTCCTGACTGGAACTGCCTCTCAGCACGGAACCATTGGCTGTTAGGAATTTCACAGAGCAAAAGGGACTGGCAGTTGACTGGGTGCAGGCCAGGTGGTGAGTAGTGATCCGGTGTGGGGTTTGGGGTGTTTTGCACTTTGCACCTCTTGGCTCCTCTGGCTGGAATCCCTGAACGGGGCTTGGACTCTAGCACAGGCCCCTCCTGTGGTCCCAGTTGTGCTTTGCTTGTCCTTCCCTTTCTTGGGGATCCTCATTGCCCATTGGGAGCATGCCCGGACATCCTTCTGAGGCTTGGATTCACCCCATATGGCCTTTGAGACACACTCTCAACCTTATCTGTCCCCATGGATTGCCAGTTCCAGGTGTGGCCACCTTGGCTCCACTTTCAGCTTGCCTTTGTCCTCGTTCCCGTTGCTACTGGACAGCAGTGCTGAGGAGAAGCAGGAGCTTCTGGCAGCCAGACAGGCATGTTTGCTGAGGCACTAGTTTGCATGACGCTACTGGGACCCCTCGGAGGATGATTTTGGTAGTAGGGCCAAGGCCAAACAGGTTAGTAGCCAGGCTCTATGGGACTTGGGTTGTTTCCAAGTCTGAAGCAAGATGACTGCTGGGTCTACAACCTAGATATGGGTCACTGCTTTCAAAACAACCCTCTTAGGTCTTGGGATCCACAAGGGTTTCATAACCTCCTACATGAATCCCAAGGCTCCCAGAGAGAGACTTTTGCCAATGGATAAGTGCAGAATTCTTACTATTGTGGGGGGATATGAGCAGGTGACCACATATTTCACCATCTTGCTAACATCATCACCATCTGTTTCCTTTATTGTATAATAAACTAGTAAACCTAAGTGTTTTCCACAGATCTGTAGCCATTCTAGCAAATGATGCAACTAATGGAGAGGATCATGGGAACTTCTGATTCAGTCATTCAGTAAGACGTACAGGTGACATCTGGACTTGTGATTGGTGTCTGAAGTGAGAGTAGTCTTGTGGGACTGAGCCCCTGGCCTGTGGGATCTGACTCTAAATCTGATTAGTGTCAGAATTGAAGTGCAGGATGCCCAATTGGTGTGCACAAGGAAAAGCCCCACACAAGTGGTATGAGAAGTACTGAGAGTGGCATGAGTATAGAAGGAAAACCTGCTTTTGCAGATACAGTGGCATACATACAATCCTTTTGTATAACCAGGGTTATACACCATGACCAAGTAGAATTTATTCTTGGAATGAAACAATGGTTAAATATTTGAAATCCTAACGTGTAATATATCACATTAAGAGTGAAGGAAAAACCCCACTTGATTATCTCAATTCACGCAAAAAGTTTCAACCAATTTCAAAAACCATTCATGATTTTTTAAAAAGTCATGCAACAAATTAGGAATTGAAGGAAACTACGTCAACATAATAAAAGTTTTATGTGAAAAACCCACAGTGGACAGCACACTCGGTGAAAGACTGAAAGCTTTTTCTCCAAGATCAGGAACAAAGGAAGAAGGCCTGCTGTCACCATGTTCATTCAGCAGAGTACTAAAAGTACTAGCTACAGAAATGTGGCAAAAAAAACAACAACCGGCATCCAAATTGAAGACAATGAAATGAATTTTCTGTGTTTGCAGATGATATGATCTAATGTGTAAAAAACCCAAAAGACTCCATAAACAAAAAACAACTAATAAAATGAATTCAGCAGAGTGCCAGGATGGTCAACACACAGACAAAAAAAAGTTTCATTTCTATACAATTACACTGAAGAACACAAAAAAAAGAGAAAACCATGCCATTCACAATAGCATCAAAAAGAATAAACTTCTTCAAAGTTAACCAACAAATTGAAAGACTTGTCCAATGAAAACTACATATCATTCCTGAAAAAAAATTAAAGACATAAACTGAAAGGCATCCCCATGTTCATGGATTGGGAAATTTAATATTGTTAATATGTCAATACTATCTAAAGCCATCTACAGATTTCATGTAATCCTTCTGAAATTCTAATGACATTTTTTGTATAAACGGAAAAATCTATCCTGAAATTCATATGAAACCTCGTGGGATTCCAAGTAGGCAAAACAACCCTAAAAACTAGGAATAAAGCTGGAAAAATCACACTTTCTGATTTCAGAACTTACTGCAAAATGAGAGTAATCAAAGAGTCCAATATTAATCAATGCATATATAGCCAGATGCTTATCAACAAGGGTGCCAAGATCAGTCAATGGGGATATGACAGGGTTCTGAACTGTGCTAGGAAAACTGGGTATCTACATAAAAAAGAATAAAGTTGAACTATTTTTATTTTTTGTTTGTTTGTTTTTTTGAGACAGAATCTGTGTCGCCCAGGCTAGAGTGCAGTGGCATGATCTTAGCTCACTGCAACTTCTGCCTCCTGGGTTTAAGTAATTCTCCTGCCTCAGCCTCCTGAGTAGCTGGGATTATAGGTGTGCACCACCATGCCCAGTGAATTTTTTTATATTTTTAGTAGAGGCGGGGTTTCACCATGTTGGCCAGGCTGGTCTCGAACTCCTGGCCTCAAGTGACCCACCCACCTCAGCCTCCCAAAATGCTGGGATTACAGGCACAAGTCACTGTGCCCAGCCAAAGTTGAACTCTTAATGCCATATACAAAATTAGCTTAAAATGGATCCATAAACTAATTGTGAGATCAAATGCTTTCATAGCACTGCATTTGGTAATTTTTTTTGGAGGATACCAAATGTACAGGCATCAAAAGAAAAAACAGACAAGTTGAAATTCATGAAAAGTAAAAAAGAAGTGTGAATCAAAAGACATCAGTAGATTTAAAGGGAAACCCACAGAATGAAAGAAAATATTTACAATCATAAACCTGATAAGGGATTAAGATGCTAAATATATAATCTGTAAAATCCAACAATTAAAAGGGTCCAAAAATCTGCCACAGACTTCAGAGACTTCACGTCTCTACTAAAAATACAAAAATTATTTCTCCAAAGACATACAGATGGCCAATAAGCATGTAAAAAGATACTCACCACACTAATTATTAGGGAAATGCTAATCAAATCTATAAGGAGATACTACTTTATCTCCATTAGAAAGGCTGCCGTTAAAAAACAGAAAATAAGAGCTGTTGGTAATGATATAGAGAAATGGGAACCCTGAGGCACTATTGCAGGGAATAGAAAAAGGTACAGCCACTGTGAAAAACAGCATGGCAATTCCTTAAAAAATTGAAAATGGAGGCCAGGCGTGGTGGCTCAAGCCTGTAATCCCAACACTTGGGGAGGCTGAGATGGGCGGATCACTTGAAGTCAGGAGTTCAAGACCAGCCTGGCCAACATGGTGAAACCCCATCTCTACTAACAATACAAAAATTAGCCAGGCGCAGTGGCATGTGCCTGTAATCCCAGAGGGCTGAGACAGGAAAATCACTTGAACCCAGAAGGCAGAGTTTGCAGTGAGCCAAGATTTGACCACTGCACTCCCAATTGGGGGACAGAGAAAGACTCATCTGTCACAAAAAAAAAAAAATTAAAAATAGAATTACCATATGATCCAGCAATTCCACATCTAGGTAGACACTCTGGGAAACTGAAAGCAGTTTCAAAGAGATATTTGTACACCCACGTGACAGAGCAGGAGCATCGCCATCTTGGACAAACACCGCCATTTTAAATTCCCCTTGGCCGAGCGTGGTGGCTCACGCCTGTAATCTCAGCACTTTGGGAGGCTGAGGAGGGCGGATCATAAGGTCAGGAGATCGAGAACATCCTGGCTAACCCGGTGAAACCCCGTCTCTACTAAAAATACAAAAAATGAGCCGGGCACAGTGGCGGGCGCCTGTAGTCCCAGCTACTCGGGAGGCTGAGGCAGAAGAATCGTTTGAACCCGGGAGGCGGAGCTTGCAGTGAGCCCAGATGGCGCCACTGCACTCCAGCCTGGGCGACAGAGTGAGACTCCGTCTCAAAAAAAAAAAAAAAAAAAAAAGTTTCCCTTGATTAAAAACTGCCTAAATCCAGCCCAAAAACACAACATAATGGCTAATGTCAGCATGACCATAAAGGACAAATGACACTTCTGACCAGAAACATTCCAACCCCGAGATAAACCTCCCTCTGAACAGAAACATTGCAGCCCCACAACAAAACTCTCCTCTACCCAAAAATATTCCAAACTTGCAATAAGCTCTCACTCCCTAAACCCTTAAATATCCTTATTCTGTAAGAGAGAACATGCCTGGCCTAAATCGGCCAGAAGCCCCTCTCAGGTTTATTTTCCCAAATAAACCTGTCTTTGACGGTCAAGCTGCTTTTCGTGTTTGTTTCTTCTTTCTTTAATCCTTACACCATGTTCATAGCAGCATTATGCACAATAGCTAAAGTAGAGGCACCCCAAGTGTCCCTTAGTCAATAGATACATAAGTAAAATGCAGTAAATACACACAGTGCACATTATTCAGCCTTTAAATAGAAGGAAATTCTGACATATGCTGCAACATGGATGTTAAGAATATTATACTAAGGAAATAAGCCTGTTATAAAATAAACACTGTATTATTCCACTTATATGAGGTACTTACAACAGTCAACATTATAGAAACAGATAGTAGAATGGTGGTTGGCAGGGGTTGGGGGAATGGGGAGTCATTGTTTAATAGGTATAGAGTTTCAGTTTTGCAAAATGAAGAGTTCTGGAAATAAATGGTGGTGGTGTTTGTTCAACAATATGAATGTCCTTAATAACTCTGAACAGAAGTGTATGCTTTAAATGGTTATGACACCAAATTTTATGTGTATTTCACAATTTTTAAAAATTAGGAGGAAAATAACCCAGCCAAAATCATGAGCAAAAGACGTGTAAACCAGGAGTTGAGAAACTCTTTCTGAAAAGGTCAAGAGTGCTTTCCTGTTCCACAGAGTCTCTGTACTGACTATTCAACTCTATTATAATAGGAAGAAAGCAGCCATAGACAAAAAGTAGACAATGAGTGTGCTAATCTTGCAATGAAACATTTTTTATTTTTTATTTTTTTTGAAACGAAGTTTCACTCTTGTTGCCCAGGCTGGAGTGCAATGGTGCTATCTCTGCTCACCGCAACTTCTGCCTCCTGGGCTCAAGTGATTCTTCTGCCTCAGCCTTCCAAATAGCTAGGATTACAGGCATATGCCACCACACCCAGCTAATTTTGTATTTTTAGTAGAGATGGGGTGTCTCCATGTTGGTCAGGCTGGTCTCTAACTCTTGATCTCAGGTGATCCGCCTGCCTCAGCATCCCAAAGTGCTTTGATTATAGGCATGAACCACCACACTGGGCCGAAATATTTAAAAAGTTGCATTTGGTTACTGGTCAGAGTTTCCCAATCAAATGCATAAGCTGGTTACCACTTTGAAAATGAGTAGTTGTAGGCCAGGAGCAGTGGCTCACACCTGTAATCTCAGCACTTTGGGAGGCCAAGGCATGGGGATCACGAGGTCAGGAGTTGGAGACAAGCCTGACCAACATGGTGAAACCCCATCTCTACTAAAAATACAAAAATTAGCATGGCATGGTGGCGTACACCTGTAGTCCCAGCTACTCGGGAGGCTGAGGCAGGAGAATCGCTTGAACCCAGGAGGTGAAGGTTGTGGTGAGCCGAGATCGTGCCACTAAACTCCAGCCTGAGCAACAGAGCGACAGTCTGTCTCAAAAAAAAAAAAAAAAAAAAAAAAAAAGAAAAGAAAAAATGAATAGTTGTACATTACTGAGAAAATTGAAAAAATCTGAATTTGGATTCAATTTTGGAATAGGAAATTATTACTAATTTTCTTATGTGTGATTATATGACACTTTGAGTAAACAGGAAATTGTTTTTGGGGAGATGGACTCATGTATTTAGATGTAGAAAATTATATCATCCATAACACTGTCAAATTATATATCAAATGTATAGGGGCAAAAAAATCTAATGTGGCAATATATTAATATATATTTTATTTGCTGCAATTTTAAAAACTTTTCTATATATTTAAACTTAAATATATAATTAAATGTATAATAAAAGTGTAAAAATTGCAAACTAGATAATATTTGGTTAATTTCTAATGCATTTTGAATTGTGCAAAAGGAATATAAATTATTATTTTCACACTTTTGACATTTTAAAAATTTGTACATCTGAATTTCATTCCAGGATTAAGTGTGTGATTCACCTTGACATTCGAATGAGACCCTCTCATGGTTTTTACTTGCTTGAGTTTATCCAGAATGAATTCAAATTCAAAAAGGGATGAGTAATTACATGAAATGCTTCTGAATTCTGTCATTCTTCTGAATTTTATCTCATCAAAATCCACTAACAATTCCACAGAAATGAAAAAAATTAACAAAAAATAGCACCCATAATGATATCACAAATGGAAGCTAATATTTATTGAACATAACAGTACATTCTAGATAGTGTTCCATGTTTTTTTCATGTATTAACTCATGTAATACAGCAATATACTGTAGGTACTACTATCGCCATTTACATATGATGCCCAGAGGGGATAAGTATTATCCCCAATATCATATTGGCTGTAAGGAGTTGAACGCTGATGACGATCATTAAGATATGTAGCATGGGGGCAGGCGCGGTGGCTCACGCCTGTAATCCCAGCACTTTGGGAGGCCGAAGCAAGCGGATCACAAGGTCAGGCGTTCGAGACAAGCCTGACCAACATGGCGAAACCCAATCTCTACTAAAAAAATACAAAAATTAGCCAGGCATGGTGGTGCACACCTGTAATCTCAGCTACCTAGGAGACTAAGGCAGGAGAATCACTTAAACCCAGGAGGCAGAGGTTGCAGTGAGCCGAGATTGCACCACAGCACTCCAGCCTGGGTGACAGAGCGAGACTCCGTCTCAAAGAAAAAGAAAAAAAAAAGATCTGTAGAATGTCTAAAGCCTTTTCCACATCACACAGCTCTGTTTGATGACTTTTCATCAATTTAACAGTAATTGGTGCTGGAAGACTTTTACATACAAAGTATAAAGAGCAATGCAATGCTTTCCTATATCCTCTCAATTTTCCTCTATTACGAATGGTTCGATAATGCAAAAATAGAAGAATGCCAGAAAAGGTTTTCTTTTCTTTCTTTTTTTTTCTTTTTGAGATGGAGTCTTGCTCTGTCGCCCGTGCTGGAGTGCAGTGGCGCAATCTTGGCTCACTGCAGCCTCTGCCTCCTGGGTTCCAGGGATTCTCTTGCCTCAGCCTCCTGGGTAGCTGGGATTACAGGTGCACGTCACCATGCCCAGCTAATATTTGTATTTTTAGTAGGGACAGGGTTTTGCCGTGTTGGCCAGGCTGGTCTCCAACTACTGACCTCAGGTGATCCACCCCTCTTGGCCTCCCAAAGTGCTGGGATTACAGGCGTGAGCCACTGTGCCCAGCCCAAAAGAGGTTTTCTTGTGTTGTTATAAAAATACATTATAAACTATCTGAATCTGAGTAACATTTGGGTTCAGAGCTAAAAAATGACACATTACTGACATTTTGAAAAGTTCACACCGGTACAAACAAATTGATACCTAATAAGAGCTTAACCATATCTAAAAGCCTTCCCGTGTAGTCTTTATCCAAATTGTTTCTCAGTGGTATAAATACATTGACACACTGTACATATATACATATACATATATATGGGTCCCTCCTCTTGGCCAAGGGCATTCCAGAGTTACCTGAAAATCTAGATCAGGCCATGATGGAAGAGGGGTTTTCATATGCCTCATGATACCCCTCCAGCATGAACATCAACACAGACCTTAAGTCTGATAAGAAACATTTGTATCCTCTCTCAAGCCTGCTACTTGGAGGCTTCATCTGCAGAATAAAACCTAGGTCTCCACAACCCCTTTTATAACCCAGACATAACCTACTGATAACTCTTTCCACCGAATGCCCATCGGAAAATTTTAAAATCTACCTATGACCTGGAGGCACCTCCTTCTAGTTGTCCCACCCTTCCAGATTGAACTAGTGTAACTCTGGCATGTATTGATTGATCTCATGCCTCTCTAAAATGTGTAAAGCAAGCTGTACCCGAGCCACTTTGGTTGGGCACATGTTGTCAGGACCTCCTGAGGCTGGGTCACAGGGCATCCTTAACCTTGGCAAAATCAACTTTCTAAATTGACTGAGACCCATCTCAGACATTTTGGGTTCACAAAGGGATTTTTTTGTTTGTTTGTTTTTTTGAGACAGAGTCTCATTCTGTTACCCAGGCTGGGGTGCAGTGGTGCAATCTCAGCTCACTGCAACCGCCACCTCCCAGGTTCAAGAGATTCTCCTGCCTCAGCCTCTCGAGTAGCTGGGATTAAAGGTGCCGTCACCACACCTGGCTAATTTTTTGTATTTTTAGTAGAGACGGGGTTTCACTATGTTGGCTAGGCTGGTCTCGAACTCCTGACCTCAGGTGATCCACCCACCTTGGCCTCCCAAAGTGCTGGAATGACAGGCGTGAGCCACCACGCCTGGCCTTAATTTTTTTAAATAGAGATGGGGTCTCACTATGTTGCCCAGGCTGTTCTCGAACTCCTGAGTTCAAGCTATCCTCTGCCTTTGGCCTTGCAAAGTGCTGGGATGACAGGCATGAGCCACCACACCCTGCCGTAAAGGGCTTCTTACCACTATGAGTACTCTGATATTGAGCAAATTGCCCAAACACACTAAAGGCCTTCCCACACTTCTCACATTCATAGGGCTTCTCTCCAGTATGAATACTCTGATGTGCTTTAAGGCCTGAGTTGAGCCTAAAGGACATCTCACATTTGTTACATTAAAAGGGTTTCTCACCAGTGTGAATATTGATGTTGACTAAGTCATCCATACACACTAAAGGCCTTGTCACATTCCAAACATTTATAGGGTTTCTCACCAGAATGAAATCTATGATGTACAGAAAGTTGGCGGCTAGTCCTAAAAGCTTCCCCACACTCTTTACATTCATAGGTTTTCTCAGCATCATCTCTTGTTCATTGAACATGTATATGAGGCTGAAGGGTGTTTTCCTTGTTTTCTGTAACATCTGAGGAGTAAGGAAAGGGGTATTTTCTTCTTACCTGTCTGAAAATCTTGTTTTTTTAAAGTTAACTGTTGTTGTTTTTTTTAAGTAAGATTGATGTTTTCTCAAAGGTGAGCCTTGAAATTTGTAAAATTGGAATTATAAGAAAGAGAAACCTACAAAGCACAGACATTAAGACAACCAGGTAGCAACAGAATTAAGTTCCTTTTATAATAGCAGACTAATGGACAGGTGGTCTTTTTTATCTTCTGTGATGATACATTATTACACTACCTATCATGTACTTGTTTCTATGGATTATCTTGATTCATCTTCAGACCTGTCATGTGTAGTGAGATGGGGAAACAGAGGCACCAAGATGTTGACATCTCACAATGCAGAGCTCAGTATCACTTTCTTAGAGGCTGAGAAGACAGCCTGTCTCCTTAATTTTACCAGGATACCACTTAATTTATGCATAGATTTTTAAACCTGTCTTTTTTTTTTTTTTTTTTTTTTAAGAGACAAGGTCTCGCTCTGTTGCCTAGGTTGGAGTACAGTGGTGTGAACACTGCTCACTGCAGCCTCGACCTCCTGGGCTCAGCAATCCTCCTGCCTCAGCCTTCCAAAGTGTTGGGATTACAAATCTGAACCACCACACCTGGCCTAAGCCTGTCTTCT
Source organism: Homo sapiens (assembly GCF_000001405.40). NCBI lineage: Eukaryota > Metazoa > Chordata > Mammalia > Primates > Hominidae > Homo > Homo sapiens. The sequence goes on from NC_000019.10 coordinate 37,025,955, forward strand.
TTACTGAGTAATTCATCCTTGATACTATTTACCCATCGATTATATAATTTAACATCAATCTTATTAATAATGGCATAAGGCCGGGTGTAGTGGCTCATGCCTGTAATCCAGCACTTTGGGAGGCAGAGGCGGGCGGATGACCTGAGGTCGGGAGTTCAAGAGCAGCCTGATCAACATGGAGAAACCCCATCTCTACTAAAATACAAAATTAGCTGGCGGGGGTGGGGTTGGGGGGTGACACATCCCAGGCTGGAGTGCAGTGGCACCATCTCAGCTCACTGCAACCTCCGCCTCCTGGGCTCAAGTGATTCTCCTGCCTCAGCCTCCCGAGTAGCTGGGACTACAGGCATGTGCCACCATGCCCGGCTCTTTTTTTTTTTTTTGAGAGGGAGTTTCACTCTTGTTGCCCAGGCTGGAGTGCAATGGGGTGATCTGGGCTCACTGCACCTCCGCCTCCTGGGTTCAAGCGATTCTCCTGCCTTAACTTCCCAAGTAGCTGGGATTACAGGCATGTGCCACCACACCCTGCTAGTTTTGTATTTTCAGTAGAGATGGGGTTTCTCCATGTTGGTCAGGCTGGTCTCAAACTCCCGACTTCAGGTGATCTGCCCACCTCGGCCTCCCAAAGTGCTGGGATTACAGTTGTGAGCCACCGGGCCTGGTAGCCCAGCTGATTTTTGTATGTTTAGTAGGTATGGGGTTTTGCCATGTTGGCCAGGCTGGTCTCGAACTCCTGACTTCAAGTGATCCTCCTGCCTCAGCCTCCCAAAGTGCTGGGATTACAGGCGTGAGCCACCACGCCTGGCTAAAAAAACCAAAAACTTTAGATAAGTGAATTTGGAGGAAATATTTATAACAGATAAAATGGACAAACAGATAATAATTCTAATTTACTGTCTCTCTGGCTTAATAAAATATTAGTCAATACCCTAAGAAGAAAGGAACAAAATAAAAATTAGCCGTTCACAAATACAAATAGTCAACAAAGAAAGCCAAAACCTACGATCTCTGAAATTGGCTCTTGAATTTATTGAACATGCAATGACTTCAGATTAGGAAATTTCAAAAATGTTTTTTAAAGTTTCACTTTTTGGAATTTAAAATTAATCCAAATTATTTAATATTCAACATTTGGAATTTACCAATCAATCCTCTTTCATTTTATTTTTCACCCTTAGAATAATTCCTTTTTCAAGAGTTTAAAACATTTTTAAAATTAATTGATTCTGCAGGCTGGGCAGTGAGCTGTGATTGCACCACTGCACTCCAGCCTGAGTGACAGAACGAGACCCTTTCTCCAAAAGATAAATAAATAATTGACTTAATTTTTAGAACAGTTGTAGGTGTACAGAAAAACAGAGCAGAAGGCAAATTGAGCTCTAATATCCCCCTCACACCATAGTACACACACTTCCTCTATTATCATCTTGTTAGTGTGGTATATTTGTATGCTTGATGAGCCAATATTAATATTATTAAGTTCATGGCTTATATTAAGATTCACTCTTTGTGTTCTACCATTTATGGACTTTGACAAATGCATGAGGACATATATCCACCATTAAAGGGTCACAGAGAAAAGTTTCATTGCCCTAAAAATCCTCTGTGCTCCACCTATTCATCCTTCCCTCTGCTCAAGCCTCTGGCAACCACTGAACTTTTTATAATACCATCTGCCTAGTTTTGCCTTTTTCTAGTATTTTATATAATTGGAACTATACACTATGTGGCCTTTTCACATTGGCTTCTTTCACTTAGAAATACATGTTTAAGATTCCTCCATGTCTTTCCATGCCTTGGTGGTTCATTTCTTTTTATTCCTGAAGAATATTCCATTGTATGATTGTTTCAGAGTTAGTTTATGCATTTCCCTATTGTAGGATATCTTGGTTACTTCCAATCTTTGTTGGTTATGTATAAGCTGCTGTAATCATTCATGTGCAGGATTTGAGTGGATCTAAGTTTTCAACTTATTTGGGTATGTAACAAAGAATGCAATTGCCAGATCATAGGGTAATCATATGTTTAGTTTTGCAGGAATTTGCAAAACTGCCTTCCACAGTGACTGTACCATTTTGCATTCCCAGCAGCAATCAATGAGAGTTCCTGTTGCGCCGTATCCTCACCAGCATTTGGTGGTGTCAGCGTTTGGATTTGAGCCAGTCTAACAGATGTGTAGTGGTATCTCATCTTTGTTTTAATTTGAATTCCCTAGTGACATATGGTGTTGAGCATCTTTTCAGATGTTTATTTTTGCTACCTATATAGCAAAGGGCAGATACAGATGATGGACTGCGGGGAAAGAGCTTGCTGTGATGATAGGAAGCTGCAGTCAGGGATGATCTCAGGGTTACCTGGGCATCAACTGTGCTTTCTCCTGTCACATAAAATGTGGTCTACCTGAGTTTTGATTGGAAACAGAATAATACCTGGTTGTCCATAAATATTTCTGACTGAGGCTTGAGATTTATGTATGTTTTGACTGAAAGGTCATATAAGCCCAATATATAAACAGGTTGGGGTACAACAGGGAATGACTGTCAGAGATGTTGAGAGTCTACACTGAATGGATGATGTCACTGCCTGCCCATGTCTTTCTCATTATGGACTTTCAGTGTTTATTTGCCACTTGAAAGGCCACTGAGATAGGCTACATCTGATTTTTCTCTTGAGGATCTCTATTACTGAGAAATTTCTGTATTCTGGGCCACACTGGGTTCATAATCTGACTATATATATCATGTGTGTGTTTGTTCCTTCCCTAAAATGCTCAGTTCAGCTGCAGTTCTAGAGGTAGATACTACTATGTTTGTATTTCAGAGAGCTGAAGATCTGAGGTCTGGAGAGGTTAGTGTGTAGAAAGTTATGTTGAATAAGTGGCAAGGCTATGTGGCCAGGTCAGATAAGCTGCCTTCGGATTTTGCTCTTGAACTTCTACTGGATAATATCTTTTCATAATAGAAAAGAGGAGAGTGAACTTAGGTGTTTTGTTCAAATCATCGACTGTAGGAGTTCTTTCAAGATATGATGAAAAGCAATAATTGTCTCATTTTACATTACCTATAATTATTGCTCACCAGAAATTGATTATCGATGCAGCAACCTTTTACATTCCTCTCTGCTTTATTATGCATGGCCGGGCTTCACTGTAACTAAGAGGGTCCAAGATTCAGAAATATCTTTAACTTGCAATGCTTGGTCACAGGTATCCAACTGAAAAATATTTTGCTCATTAGCCATATGGACACATATGGTAAACTACAGCCAGAGACACAAAATAAGAAGAAAGGGCGATCAGAAGTCCTGTGTCTCCTTAAATTTTGTATTTCTATTCAAATGCATCTAGAGTCATGAGGAAGTTGAGGAAATGGGAAATGCAAAGTCCTAATCAAAGCATTCCCGCATTTCAGTTATCTGCATTATTGCACATTTACATTTATAATGCATACATAAAATTCAATTCAATAGGTATAAAAATGTTAAGTAACCTTTTCTCTCATGCACTCCAGTCATTCAGTAGCTCACTTGAGAGTCAATATTTTAATTTTGTTTTGAATCCTTTAATTTTTTTTCTTTTTCTTTTTCTTTTTTTTCTTTTACTTTTTTTTTTTGAATCAAAGTCTCGGCCTGTCACCCAGGCTGGAGTGCAATGGCACGATCTCAGCTCTCTGCAGCCTCAGCCTCCCAGATTCAAGTAGCTGGGATTACAGGCATGTGCCACCACACCTGGCTAATTTTTTGTATCTTTAGTAGAGACGGGGTTTCATCATGTTGGCCAGGCCTGATGTCGTGATCCACCCGCCTTGGCCTCCCAAAGTGCTGGGATTACCGGCATGAGCCACGCGCCTGGCCAATTTTTTTCTTTTTTTAAATGAAGTTTTATTGTGTATATTTAAGGTACACAATATAATGTTATAGGATATATATATACATAGTCAAAGAGTTACTATAGTGAAGCCAATTAAAATATCTATCATCTCACAGGTACCCACATTTTTTGGTGTGGCAAGGGAAGCTAAAATCTACTCATTTAGCATGAATCCCATATACAGTACAATTTTATTACCTATACTCCTCATGTTGTATAAAAGATGTATAGGATTGTTCATCCTACGTATCTGCTACTTTGTATCTCTGACCCACGTGTCCTCATTTCCTCCCTTCCTTTCTCACTGGTAATCACTGTGGTTCTCTGTTTTTGTTGTTGTTGTTGTTGTTGTTGTTTGAGAGGGAGTCTCGCTCTGTCGCCCAGGCTGGAATGCAGTGGCGTGATCTCTGCTCACTGCAACCTCCGCCTCCCGGGTTCAAGCAATTCTCCTACCTCAGCCTCCCGAGTAGCTGTGATTACAGGCGTGTGCCAACACACCAGGCTAATTTTTTGTATTTTTAGCAGAGACGGGGTTTCACCGTGTTAGCCAGGCTGGTCTTGAGCTTCTGACCTCCTGATCCTCCCACCTTGGTCTCCCAAAATGCTAGGATTACAGGCGTGACCCACTGCATCCGGCCTTCTATTTCTTTATATGTGAAAATTATTTTCAGATTCCACATGTAAGTAAGGTCATGCAATATTTTTCTTTCTGTTGTTGGCTAACTTCACTTGGTATAATGCCCTCCAGGCTCATCCATGTTGTGGCAAATGGAAAGATCTTGTTCTTTTTTAGGGCTGAACACAGAAGTTATTTTCATATACAAGTATGCAGGTGCCATACACACACAAATATGTATGTATATATCATACTCACATACAATTTCAAATACATCTATGTGTTACATGCATATATAAGTATTTCTGTATTTTCACAGAAATGTCACTCTAAATCAGTACCTAGGGAGGGTCATCGTTTTCTTGAGCTACAAAGCAAGACACAGTATGAGTGGCTGCACCCTAGTTTAATAAGTCCTCTAAGTCATATTGAGGATTTTTCCTGTTTTCTTTCGTTGTTGTTGTTTTATTTTGCTGTGTTTTGAGACTGAGTTTCACTCTTTTGAGTGAAGTGGCATGATCTTGGCTCACTGTAGCCTCCCAAGTAGCTGGGATTATAGGTGCCCCCCCACCACGCCCGGCTAATTTTTGTATTTTTAGTAGAAACGGGGTTTTGCCATGTTGGCCAGGCTGGTCTCAACTCCTGACCTCAGGTGATCCACCCACCTTGGCCTCCCAAAGTGCTGAGATTACAGGCGTGAGCCACCATGCTTGGCTGCTTTCACCATTTCAGACTGAGCTTAGAGAAGAACCTGAGGAAAAACATGACTTCATAATTTGATGAATGGAGAAATCTCTTTCCATTCACCCTCCTTTGCTCTATTTCATTCTTATTGTGAAATTTGCAAACAAAGATGTGGATACATTGGTTATTAAATAAACATCTGTGTGATACCTATCCAGGTGAAGAAATAGAGCACAACCAACACCAAGAAGTCCTCTGTATGCCCCTAACTGATCCTAAAGTCTTCCTTCCCCTTATTAGTAACAGATATACAGATATCCACATTACCTGTGGATATCTGCCATCCTCTCCTTGCTTCTCTTTGTAATTTTATTATGCATTTTCTTTTCTTTATTTTTTTGGACACGGAGTCTCGCTCTGTCGCCCAGGCTGGAGTGTAGTGGCATGATCTCGGCTCACGGCAACCTCCGCCTCCTGGGTTCAAGTGATTCTCTTGCCTCAGCCTCCCGAGTAGCTGGGATTACAGGTACAGGCCACGTGCCACCACACCTGGATAATTTTTGTATTTTTAGTAGAGACAGGGTTTTGCATGTTGGCCAGGCTAGTCTCAAACTCCTGACCCCAAAACCTGGCTTTATTATGTATTTTTTATGTGCCTAAAGTCTGATTTTGCCCGGTTTTTCTCTTACATAATTGGAGTAATAGTTTGTATCCTACTGCATCTGGCTTCTTTTACTCAATATTAAGTATTTAAGATTCACACTTAGCTTTGTTTCTGCATTCTATTAAAACGGTACACCAGCCAGGCGTGGTGGCTTACACCTATGATCCCAGCACTTTGGAAGGCCGAGGCAGGCAGATCACTTGAGGTCAGCCTCAGGAGTTCCAGACCAGCCGGGCCAACATGGTGAAACCCCATCTCTACTAAAAATACAAAAATTAGACCGTGCGGTGGCTAACGCCTGTAATCCCAATGCTTTGGGAGGCCAAGGCAGGCAGATCACGGGGTCAGAAGATTGAGACCATCCTGGCAAACATGGTGAAACCCTATCTTTACTAAAAATACAATTAGCCTGGCGTGGTGGCATGTGCCTGTAGTCCCAGCTACTGGGAGGCTGAGGCAGGAAAACCACTTGAAGGCAGAGGTTGCAGTGAGCCGAGATTGCGCCACTGCACTCCAACCTGGTGACAGAGCAAGACTCTGTTAAAAAAAAAAAACCCAAAAAACTAAAATTAGCCAGGCGTGGTTGTGCGCACCTGTAATCCCAGGTACTTCGGAGGCTGAGGCATGAGAATCACTTGAACCTGGGAGGTGGAGGTTGCAGTGAGCCAAGATCGCGCTCTGCACTCCAGCCTGCGCAGCAGAGTGAGACTCGGTCTTTAAGAAAAAAAAAAAAAAAAGGCTGGGTGCCGTGGCTAACGCCAGTAATCCCACAGTTTGGGAGGCCAAGGCTGGTGGATCACCAGAGGTCAGGAGTTCGAGACAAGCCTTACCAACAAGGTTAAACCCCGTCTCTACTAAAAATACAACAATTTGCCAGGAGTGGTGGCACGTGCCTGTAATCCCAGCTACTTGGGAGGCTGAGGCAGGAGAATTGCTTGAACCCAGGAGGCAGAGTTTGCAGTGAGTGGAGATAGCACCACTGCTTGCCCAGATCAAGAGTTACCAATACCAAGACATAAAACTGCACAGAGATTGGACCTAGAGCAGCAGGAGGTGGTATATAAATCACAGATACTAGAGGAAATTGAAAGAGGGAGCAGAAAAATGATTCATCTGTATCAGGTGTGGTCGGCAAGTTGTAGGATGTAGAATGTAGCTGGTGGATATAGGAAGAGAATTAGAAAAAATTAATGCTCATTCAAGTTTATTTTATGAACTAGCCAAAATGTCACATATGGATATTCACAGTAGGTAGAAAGATCAGAGCAGAAGTAGCACTTTTGGCACATAGTTATTGGGATTGAGGGAGACTTCATTTTAGCTGTAATTTTAAAATAGATTTGGTTACTTTTAATTAATCTTTCTAAAGCTTTTAATTTTGAAAAAGCTTTAATTTTTATTGTGGCAAAATATACATAGCATAACATTTGCCATTTTAACCATTTTAAGTGCATAGTTCAGTGTCACTAAATACAATCACACGATTGTACAACCGTCACACTTTCCATCATCTCTAGAGCTTTTTCCTTTTCAGTTTCCCAAACTGAAACTCTGTACCCTTTAAACAATAGCCCTTCATTACTCTCTCCTCCCAGTACCTGGGAACCATCATTCTACTTTTGGTTTCTATGAATATGACATGCTCGATACCTCATATAAGTGGAATCATGCAGTATTAGTTTTTTGTATCCAGCTTCTTTCACTTAGTCTTATGTCAAGGTTCATCCATGTTGTAGCATGCATCAGAATGTCCCTTTTTAAGGCTAAATAATATTCCACTGTATGTCTGTACCACATTTTGTTTATCCATTCCTCTGTCAATGAATGCTTCCACCTTTTGGCTATCATGAATGATGTTGCTATACACATGAATTTGCAAATATCTGTTGAAGTCCCTGCTTTCAATTCTTATGGGTTTAAACCCAGAAGTGGACTTGCTGACTCATACAGTAATTCTATGTTCCATTTTTATTTATTTATTTATTTTTGAGACAGAGTCTCACTCTATCGCCCAGGCTGGAGTTCAGTGGCATGATCTCAGCTCACTGACACCTCCGCCTCCCAGGTTCAAGCGATTCTGCTGCCTCAGCCTCCTGAGTAGCTGGGATTACAGGCACACAGCACCACGCCTGGCTAATTTTTGTATTTTTGGTAGAGACGGTGTTTCACCATGTTGTTCAGGCTGATCTTGAACTCCTGACCTCGTGATCTGCCTGCCTCAGCATGCTAAAGTGCTGGGATTGCAGGCATGAGCCATGCGCCCAGCCTATGTTCCATTTTTTTTTTTTTTAATTTAGGAACCACTGCACTCTTTTCCACCATGACTATACCGTTGCAGAATCCACTGGAAAGGCACAAGGGTTCTGATTTGGCTACATCCTCACCAACACTTATTTTTTCCTGTTTTTTTGATGATTGACATCCTAATGGGTATGAAGTGGTATCTTATTGTGGTTTTGATTTGCATTTCCTTAGTAATCAGTGATGTTGAGCATCTTTCATGTGCTTGATGGCCAGTTGTATATCTTCTTTGGGAAAATGTCTATGTAAGTCCTTTGCCTATTTTTTAGTTAGGTTGTTTATTGTTGAGTTGTAGGAATTCTTTATATATTCTGGATATCGATCACTTATCAAATATATTATTTGAAATATTTTCGTCCATTCTGCAGGTTGTCCTTTGATTGCACAAAAGTTTTAAATTTTGATGAAGTCCAATTTGCTTATTTTTTTCTTTTGTTGCCCACACTTTTGGTGTCAGACAGCTTTTAGTTTACAGTTATAAATATATCATGTCTCTCCTGCCTCATATGTACCACTGGACAAGGTCCCTTTTATGTGCTCAGATTCTGTTAGAGGTAAATGTATTTTGAAGTGGAGAACAAAGATAATTGCAAAATTGGCATGGAGAACTAAAGTAATTATGAAAGTTCCAGATACAAAGAGAGTGGGCTCAATATGCCAGCAGTTCTCTACCAATCCATCCTAGAAGCTTTCTTTTAGGATTGCCTAAATAATGCAGGGGATGGGTGCAAGACACACAAGTGTTCTAGAAGCATGTAAACAAGGTACAGAGAAGAGGATAAGATAAAATAAGATGAGATAAGAATATTAGGAAAGCCTTGTTCAGAAGATTGCCTACAGAGGCAAAAGGGACAGTTTCACTTTGCTGAGGGAAATAGGGTGGTAAGAACCCTGGTGAGGAAGACCCTCGCTTACCCTGATACAGAGAGAAGGTGTAAAATAACTTAATGGGAGACCATTAGGCTGCGATAGTTCCCATGGCTGGGTTCCTACATAGACAAAATGAAACAAGCTTCACCCATCACAAGTGGCCAGCTGAATATTAGCTGTGTAATGAGTGGCCTTCCACCAGGATAGTTCAAATAATGCAACTGCCCAAATTTTCGCCAATCAAATAATTTATCTACTCTACTTCTACATCCACCCTATAAAAGCCTTCCCTGCAAATGCCTCCAGTGGATCCTCCAACCACTTTCAGTTTGGGGCTGCCTGATCCATGAATCTCTGTTTGCTCAAATAAACTCTTTAAAATTTTAATATGCTCAAGTTTATATTTTTTTTCCATTTTAAAAATTGAGATGGGATCTTCCTATGTTGCCCAGGCTAGTCTTGAACTCCTGAGCTCAGGCAATCTGCCCATCTTGCCCTCCCAAAATGCTGGGATTACAGGCGTTGGCCACCACGCCTGGCCACAAAAAGTCTGCGTGTATGGTAGCTTCAAAACCCATTTGTAAATAGGTGTTTTCATAACAAGATGAAAACAAGAAAACATTGAACTTCATATAATAGAAGGGTTCTGCCTGGATTTGCATGTGGGCCCCATCATTTGTTTGCTGTTGGGCCATGGTCAGGTTACTTCCTCCACATAGGGTTTAAGCCTGTGCATCCTTCATCTACAAAATGGGAATATTAAGAATATCTAACAATTAGAAGTGGAGAAAACATATGTAAGGGCCTTTGACAAGAGCTTGTCAAAGCTCAATAATTGCCCTTAATAATTGTTAGCTATCATTCAATAATCATAATCATAAAAATATATGACTCAAAGAAAGATTCCTACTTCATATCTGGCTTCTCAAAAGAATATCAGAAATTGGACCTGTGAAAGGAATGACACTGAGATGTATTTTCACATTGCTAAGTTGGTTTTTTCTCTTTGCCATTTAATTTCTGCAGTCCCCACTCTAAGCCCATGGTTCACCATTTTATTCTTCCTCCTAAAATTTCTTCCCTTCTGGTAAGATTATCTTTGCCTTAACAAGGGCCCTTTTCATCCACCCACTCCCTTACCCTTCCCAGAAGTGGTTAATGGGCACAAAAATACAGTTAGATGGAAAGAAAAGAACTTCTAGTGTTCAATAGCACAGTAGCATGACGATCGTTAACAATAACTTACCATGTATTTCAAAATGGTTAGAAGAAAGATTTGGAATGTTCCCAACACAAACAATTGATAAATGTTTGAGGTTATGGATATGCAAATTATCCTGATTTGATCACTACATATTGTATGCATGTATCAAAATATCACATGTACCCTAGAAATATGTATAATTGTCATGTATCAATAAAAACAAAAAGGGCCTATTTCTCTTTGCCTTCCTCCCCAAATTCCCTCCTGTCCCAGATATGTGTTGTTCCTGGTGCTCTCCTGCCCCCCGTTCATTCAGCACTGAGCCAGCAGGAAGGATCTCACAGGTCATATCCTGAGATCCAGCCCTCCACCCCTTCAGGTAATAATCCTCCTGCTTTTGGTCATTCGTATCCTTTGGTTCATAGATATTTTGAGTCTAGTGCCTTCTAATTGCTGACCTAAATAATAACCCTTGGTTTTTAAAGATAATACAAAGTGGATTTCAGTAACAATCTTGAGTCTTCACAGAAGCTAATGAAGTCAGGGATTCCATGAAGCCATCCAAGCATATAGAGCTCATTTCCCTGGGTCCCTTTTCCTTAGCTCAAGGCCACACAAAATCAGAACATGAATTCCAGCCCACATTTGCATTATGTCGAAATAATTATGAGTTACAAATGAAGCTAACAAATAGCTAAATATGTTCTATTCATCTACTTTGATAAATATACCGCCATAATAACCCACAAGGTCAAAGTTGAGTGTAGAATTCTCAGATTCTTTGGTGCTCTGCACGAGAATGTGGTAGCAGAAGGAGAGCCAATCCTCAGCCCCAGGCCAAACTTTTCCCTTTCATCGTAGGTAGCCCTGTCCTCACTTGAGAAGCCTTGCGTACCCCCGTGTGGGGGACTCCCTAGGCCCCATGCAAGCTCCATCCACATTTCTCACCCCTTCAGACAGCAGAGTCTTGGGCACCATTTGGACAAGCAGTTTGCGCTTTGAAATAAACCCAGGGGAGAGGCCATGCAGGCTCAGGCACATTTGGCCAGGTGTCTGAGTGCCCAGAGTATGGCCTAGAAGAGAACGTGAGAGCTCTGGGTGGGCCGGGGTACAGTCAGTGGAGGGCCAGAGAGGCACCTTCTCAAGCGCAGGATTCAGGGCAGGGGTCCTCTTGCCGAGATGGATGGCTACGATTGCTCAGTGCAATGGCGCCTGCGTCATGTCTTCTCAGCGCATCTTTCACTCAGTCTCAGCCACCATGGGGAGTTCCATGGAAGCGCAGGCTTCCCCTGTGCTGCCAGTAAACTCAAGCTACACTTTCTGCCCCAGGGCATCTCCATTATTTTGGAGATTATAGGATTTTGGCTGAGCACAAACACACAGCCCAGAAACACTTGCAGGTTAACAGCCTCAGGGGAAGATCTCAACCAGTGTGGGACAGGTGGGCAAATGCTCCAGGCTCCTGTTTCAGGTGGACAGTTCGGGAAGACTTTCCGGAGACTCTCAGAAGGTTCTGGCAGAAAAGAAGTCCATGGCAGCAGCCTCAATAGCATGCCTCAATAGCAGGCCTCAGGTGATCCGTCCACCTTGGCCTCCCAAAGTGCTGGGATTACAGACGTGAGCTATCATGCCCAGCAACATAACATTTATATGCACAGGAAAGCAAAAAATGTCGTGTGACTAGCTCTATTGCGATATTCGCCTTGTTGTGGTGACCTAGAACCAAACCTGTAATATCTCCAAGGTATGCCTGTACCCCTAAAAGAAGAGCTGGAGTAAGGACCTGGGTGTGGGTGGTTTATTTGGGAAGTGATCCCAAGAAGCAAGAGTGAGAAGTGGGGAGAGTGAGCCAGGTGAGAAAGAAAAGCCAAAATGATGGCATTGTTTGAACCCCGGAGGCAGAGGTTTCAGTGAGCCGAGATCATGCCACTGCACTCCAACCTGGGTGACAGAGCGAGACTCCGTCTCAAAAAAAAAAAAAGTTGTGTTTACACTATTGTAGTCAATTAAGTATGCAATAGCGTTATGTTTAAAATATAATGTACATACCTTACTTTGAAAATACTTGATTGCCAAAAAATGCTAACCATCATCTGGTCCTTCATCAAGTCGTAATCATTTTGCTGGTGCATGGTCTTGCTTCAGTGTTGATGGCTACTGACTTATTGGGGTGGTGGTTGCTGAAGGCTGGAGTGGGTGTGGCAATTCCTTAAAATAAGATGACAATGTAGTTTGCTGCATTGATTGACTCTTCCTTTCACCAAAGATTTCACTGTAGCATGCTGTGCAGCTTGATAGCATCTTACCCACGGTAGAATTTTTATCAGAATTGGAATCAGTCCTCTCAAACCCTGCTCTATCAACTAAGTTTATGGAATATTGTAAGTCCTTTGTTGTTCTTTCAACAATGTTGACAGCATCTTCACCAGGAGTAGATTCCATCTCAAGAAACCACTTCTTTGCTCATTCATAATAAGCAACTCCTCATCCATTAAGATTGCAGCTATTTGGCAGGGCGCGGTGGCTCAGGCCTGTAATCCCAGCACTTTGGGAGGCCAAGGCAGGAGGATGATCTGAGCTTGGGAGTTCGAGACCAGCCTCACCTACATGGAGAAACCCCGTCTCTACTAAAAATACAACACATGGAGAAGCCCCGTCTCTACTAAAAATACAACATTAGCCGGAATGGCAGTGCATGCCTATAATACCAGCTCCTCGGGCGTCTGAGGCAGGAGAATCGCTTGAACCCAGGAGGCGGAGGTTGCAGTGAGTCGAGAACGCACCATTGCACTCCAGCCTGGACAACAACAATGAAACTCTGTCTCAAAAAAAAAAAGAAAAGAAAAGAAAAAAGATTGCAGCAATTCACTCACATCTTCAGGCTCCACTTGTAATTCTCTTTCTCTTGTTATCTCCACCACAACTGTGGTTACTTCCTCTGCTAAGGTCTTGAACCCCTCAAAGTCATTTATGAGGGTTGGAATCAACTTCTTCCAAACTCCTATTAATGCTGCTACTTTTACCTCATCTCAAGAATCATGAATGTTCTTAATGGCATCTACAATAGTGAATCCTTTCCAGAAGTTTTCCAATTTACTTTGCTGAGATCCATCAAAGGAATCATGATCTATGGCAGCAACAGGCTTATAAAATATATTTCTCAAATAATAAGACTTGAAAATCAAAATGACACCCAATCCATGGGATACAGAATAGATGTTGTGTTGGCAGGCATGAAAACAGCATTCATTTCCCTGTACATCTCCGTTAGAGCTCTTGGGTGACCAGGTATGTTGTCAATAAGCTGACGTATTTGAAAGGAATCTTTTTTTCTGAGCAGTAGGTCTCAACAGTGGGATTAAAATACTCAGCAACACATGCAGTAAACAGCTGTGATATCATCCAAGTGTTGTTCCACTTATAGAGCATGGGCAAAGTAGATTTAGTATAATTCTTAAGAGATGCCCTAGGATTTATGGAATCACAAATCAGCACTGGCTTTTAACAAGAGAGTCAGCCTGTCCTTTGAATGTTTCTTTCTTTTTTTTTTTTTTTGTGAGATACGGTCTCACTCTGTTGCCCAGACTGGATTGCAGTGGTGTGATCTTGGGCAACTGCAGACTTGACCTCCTTGGCTCAAGTGATCCTCCCACCTCAGCCTCCTGAGTTGCTTGTACCAGAGGCATGCACCACAATACATAGCTACTTTTTGATTTGTTTTTTTGTTTGTTTGTTTGTTGTTGTTGTTTGTAGAGACAGGGTTTCACCATGTTGCCCAGGCTGGTCTCAAACTTCTAAGCTCAAGCAATTTTCCCACCTCAGCCTCCCAGAGTGCTGGGATTACAGGCATGAGCCACCGTGGCTGGCCCCTTTGAAGCTCTGAAGCCAGGCATGGACTTATCCTCTCTATCCAAAGTCCTGGATGGCATTTTCTTCCAATAGAAGGCTGTTTCATCTACATTGACAATCCATTGTTCAGTATAGCCACCTTCATCAATGATCTTAGCCAGATCTTCTGGATAACTTGCTGCAGCTTCTACAACAGAACTTGCAGCTTCATCTTGCACTATTATATCATAGAGATGGCTTCCTTCCTTAAACATCGTGAACCAACCTATGCTAACTTCAGACTTTTCTTCTGTAGCGTCCTCATCTCTCTCGGCCTTCATAAAATGGAAGATAATTAGGGCCTTGCTATGTATTAGGCTTTGGCTTAAGGGAATGTCGTGGTTGACTTGGTCTTCTATCCAGACCACTTAAACTTTCTCCATACCAGCAATAAGGCTTTGTTTTCTTTTTTTAATATTATAGAATTGGTTTATTGTAAAAGCAATTGAAGAATACCAGTTAAAATCTTATCCCAATGCTACCCAATAGAACCAAGAAGCAGTTAAGCACCTTTTACATTAGGAACAAGGACATAAAACAAGATACCACATAAAGGCTATGATTCAAACTCAAAAAGAGAAAGGACTCTTGGGTCTCCTTCAGGTCAATAAAGAGGTTATCATAAGATCAAAGCACTGTGCCAGGTATCACAGTACTGTTACAACACTGAGGTATAACTGGACAAATTAAAGTTGCAGGGAAATGAAGATCTCCATACTATTGTTTTGTGGGTGTACTTAAGTGATTAAAATTCTAGAAACAGCTGCCTTTAATGACAGGAAGATGTAAGACAAGTGTTTATTAAAGAGAAGGAAGCTTATAAAGTTCTCTCTCAATGTCCCCCAAATCTTCACAGCCCCCCAAACTTCCCACCCTCCTCCTAAGCTAAAACTACTCAGCTTTATGATGCAGACTTAATTTATGGCTTACTGGAAAATTATAGGCACTCCTTCCAAGTAGCTTTCATCTTCTGCACATTAAAAAAAAATCCCAGCCGGGCATGGTGGCTCACACCTGTAATCCCAGTACTTTGGGAGGCCGAGGTGGGAGGGTCACCTGAGGTCAGGAGTTCAAGACCAGCCTGGCCAACATGGCGAAACCCCATCTCTACTAAAAATAAAAAATTAGTTAGGCATAGTGGCACACTCCTGGAAATTCTCCTGAGGCAGGAGAATCGCTTGAATCCAGGAGGCGGAGGTTGCAGTGAGCTGAGATCATGCCACTGCACTCCAGCCTGGGCGACGGAGTGAAACACTATCTCAAAAAAAAAAAAAAAAATCCCAACAACATGTTACATAATTTATATACCCAATTTTGCTTTAATCTTTCTGCTGTTTTCGTAATAAAAGCCTTACAGTCAATTATTATGAGTGATCAGCCTATAAACTTATATATAATACAGTGATTGCATTTTTTGAGCACTGGAAGTACTTAAAACTTCTTACTTCCAACTTTTGCACTCCTCCGAAATGAAGGGCCAAAATACTTAGATTTTGTAATTGGGAGGAAAAGCAATCTGTCTTCTCAAGATGATGCTTTTCATAGCAGCTTTTGCCAGGGGAAGCGATTTTATATCTGTAATAAATCCTTGAAAATAAGCGCTTATTCTAGAAACATTGGAAGATCCTTAAAACATAGAGGTGCTAGCTGGTACCATTTAAATTCACAACCAGCTATTACTTTATAGCTTATATTGAAGAGTTCATTCATGCTCATTATTTTCCTTTAAAAAATATAAAAAATACTCTTTAGAACCCATTATTACTCCTGTAGACACATACACTTTTTACAGCATTTCTTTCTGTAAAAATGAAGGTATAATCATGATTATCTCTATTTCTTTGCTAAATTCAACTGTCAATATACATTTATTAACCTGATCACTTTTCCAGGTAACTCAAGACTTTGTAGTATTCTCTCCAGCGTCTATTTTCTTTTTTCTTTTATTTTCTGTTTTTCTTTTTAATGGAGACGAAGTCTCGCTCTGTTGCCCAGGCTGGAGTGCTGTGGCGTGATCTTGGCTCACTGCAACTTCCGCCTCCCCAGTTCAAGCAATTCTCTCCCTCAGCTTCTGGAGTAACTGGGACTACAGGTGCCCACCATCATGCCTGGCTAATTTTTGTATTTTTAATAGAGACAGGGTTTCACCATCTTGGCCAGGCTGGTCTTGAACTCCTGACCTTGTGATCCACCTGCCTCAGCCTCCCAAAGTGCTGGGATTACAGGCGTGAGCCACTGCGCCTGGCCCTCCAGGGCCAATTTTCAGCATATAGAAGTAGGAGTAAGACTTACAAGTAAGAATCATCCTGAAGGCAATTTTTTCATATAGTCTTTAATGTGTTCATCACAAATGAGAACTTGAGAACTACAAACTAGAATTTATTTCCAAAACTAAGGCAAAGGTAAACTTCCAGAACTAAATGTAAGTAAACCACTATAAAGCTTATTTCTGTCATGCACCTTATGAACCTACTCAGTAATTTCCAAACAAGACTCAAATTAGTCCAAGGGAGTCCAAGGGGGAAAATAAAGCCACTTCTGGTTTGCTCTTTTCCAATTCATCAGATAATATCTATTGTGTGCCCAGAGGGCATGGAGTACTCCCCTAGGCACTATCCGTAGTAATTAGGGCTTTGTTTTTTTATTATGCATGTTTTTGCTGGAGTAGCACTTTTAATTTCCTTTGAGAACTTTTTCTTTGCACTTACAACTTGGCTAACTTTGGCACAAGAAGTATAGCTTTCAGCCTAGGTTTTCAACATGGCCTTCCTCATTAAGCCTAATCGTTTCTTGGTGTTGAGTGAAAGTGAAAGACATGTGTCTTCCTTTAATTTGAACACTAAGAGGCCATTTGAGGATTATTCATTGACATAATTTTAATATTTTTGAGTCTCAAGGAAGAGAGAGAGCCAAGGAGAGAGAGAGAGAAATGGCTGGCCAGGGGAGCAGTCAGAACACATACAATTTTTATCAATTAACTTTGCCATCGTATAGGGACCTGATTCATGGCCTCCCAAAATAGTTACAACAGTTACCTCAAAGACCACCTATCACAGATCACCATAACAGAGTAATAGTAATCGAAAAGTTTGAAGTATTGTAAGAATTACCAAAATGTGACAGAGTCACAAACTGAGCACATGATGATAGAAACGTGGCACAGATAGACGCTCCACACATGGTTGCCAAAACCTTCAATGTGTGAAAAACACAGTATCTGCAAAGTGTAACAACATGAGTTATGGCTTCACTCAAAAGAATAAAGGGACAAATCGAGGAAATGAAAGGACCAGTCCATTCCAAGTACAGCAATATCATCAGCACTATCTCACTGGAGTCCTTCAACAACAAAGGCAAAAAGTATCCTCAACACATTTATATTATAACCTAAATTCCTGTTAAACAGGTTTCGGGGATTTTTAAGGGGCTGGCCCCTTTATTCTTTCCTCTATGTTAATTTTTAAATTCCTTATTTATTTATTTATTTTTTTTAGATGGAGTTTTGCTCTTCTTGCCCAGGCATAATCTCAGCTCATTGCCTCAGCCTTCCAAGTAGCTGGGACTACAGGCCCTGTCACCATGCCCAGCTAATTTTGTATGTTTAGTAGAGACAGGGTTTCACCATGTTGGTCAGTCTGGTCTAGAACTCCTGACCTCAGGTGATCCGCTGGCCTCAACCTCCTGAAGTGCTGGGATTACAGGCATGAGCCACCATGCCTGGCCTCTAAATTGCTCTTATGGAGACTCATTTTCATGGTTAAAATGTCCTGAATTGACTGTGGCTTGTTGGTGGGAGGAGGGATGGAGGAAGCTACTTATGGAAAATGAACAAGGAAGGGAAGCACACCAGAAGCTAGAAAGTGTCATCAATTTTTACATCAAAGACTCCATGACAAAGAGAAAGTACAAGTAGCCTGTTTTTGTAGCTGACCATTGGACTGCGGACTGCACATGCAGCTACCAGGTTCTTCTGGATAGTCCCAGTTTTAAATTTTTGACCTGATATTCATGAACATAGTGCTACTGGTCAGACCTTTGTCCAGGTTTAAGCTTCAGAAAATAAGGTCTTCATGCAGTGGGAGGCCTGGTTAGGATCATGATTCTGCCCTGGGGCATCTGCCACTTCTGACCTGGAGATAAACTTGGCATCTACTATTTACCTCCACATTTTAACAGCCAAGGATGGGCTGAGCACAGTGGCTTACATCAGGAACTCCAGCAATTTGGGAGGCCAAGGCAGGAGGATCACTTGAGGCCAGGAGTTCAAGACCAGCCTGGGCAACATAGTGAGACATTATCTTTGTAAAAACAAACAAAACCGAGGATCGGTGGGTGGCAGGGAGCAGATCAACCTGGGCAACCATTAATCTGAGAGCTGGAAGGACCCTTAGACCAGCCCCCCAGTAACAGATGAGACTCTGCTCTGGGATTATAGCCTAAGGTAATGCCCTGAGCTTTTCTAGAGATTTGAAAATAATTAATCCTAAAACCCCCAAGCACACTGCTACTGTTTGCTATTTAATAATGTTTTCCAGGCCGGGTGCGGTGGCTCATGCCTGTAATCCCAGGACTTTGGAAGGCTGAGGTGAGCGGATCACCTGAGGTCAGGAGTTCGAGACCAGCCTGGCCAACATGGTGAAACCCCATCTCTACTAAAAATACAAAAGATTAGCCGGGCATGGTGCTGCTTGGAAGGCTGAGGCAGTGAGGCAGAGTTTGCAATGAGCCGAGATCGCACCATTGCACTCCAGCCAAACTACAAGAGCAAAACTCCATCTCAAAAAATAATAATGATAATAATAATGTTTTCTACAAGCAAGGGGTTACTTTGTACTGTGAACTGGTGTGAAGGGATCCACCATATGTAAGCTTTTGGAGCTGATTTTATTATCTGTGTTGTCCCAAGTGGTGAAGGGAAGATGGCACACCAAAATGGGGGCATTGGTGCCAGTGCATCAGGTAAATAGGCATCTAAAGCTCTGAGAATAGACTGCTACTATGCATTATAATCAATGCTACAATAACCTTGTAGGTTTCTTTTCATGATACTGCTTGCTAAGTTTTTTCTGTTTGCTTCACCATATTTTGAACAATTTTCTATTAAATTAGGATATTTTAAAAGTTTGCCTTTTCAATGTCTTATTTAGATAAATTCTGTAGTTCCAAAGTTATATATTTTCAAAGCCTGATGCCTTTGATGTTTGATGATGTTAACAATATACTATTTTCAAAGCCAGTTTGTTATTTCTACACTGATATTGGGAAAAGAATAAAGTGATGAAGTCAACAGGTGTTATTAAAAATGTGAATAACAGGTAAACGTTTTGTTATTTGTTTTGTTTTGTCTTTGAAGTATTTCACAGACTAGATTTGAAGGTTTATGAAGGATGGGGCAAAATTATCTAAGGAAAGTTGCATCCTATGACCTCAGGCTGACTTCAAGTAAGAGTGGATTTGTTAAAGGCATTGTCTTTCTTGGACTATTTGCATCTTTGTAGAGGAGCCTGGAGAGGCAGTATAGAAGGATTGTTTTAGATGTTGGATCTCTGTAACCTCCATTTACGTTTTCTTGAGCCATTGTCATTTGGGGAAAAGCATGAAAAAGAAAAGATCATTATAATGCTACTGTAATGCACATCACATAGAATTGCAATGATTTGTTGATTGTTCATTCCAGGCCAAGAACAGTGAGTTTCTCCAGCCAAAGGCCTTGTATTTATTGATCTTTCTGTCCCACAGGCCTAAAACAGTGGTTGGCCCATGGACAGTTTAATAAATGTTTGCTGACTAATATGTAGCATATCTAAAACCTTTTCCATGGCCTTGTCTCTGGAGATTAAGATTTTCCAGCATTTGTACATAAAAGATGTTGATGCATAACTGTAGGTGAAAGGCACTTCTTACATGGCAGTGGCAAGAGAAAATGAGGAGGAAGCCAAGGCAGAAACCCCTGATAAACCCATCAGATCTCATGAGACTTATTCACTATCATGAGAATAGCACAGGAAAGACTGGCCCCCATGATTCAACTACCTCACCCTGGGTCCCTCCCACAACATATGGGAATTCTGGGAGATAGAATTCAAGCTGAGATTTGGGTGGGGACACAGCCAAACCATATCACCAAATATGGAGAGACTGGATCAACAAGATCATCTCAAACTAATACAGGAGGTGAGAGTTTAAATTAGAACAACCACTTTGGAAAACAATAGGATTATCTTATAAAGTTGAGCATTCTCATATGTTATGGCACAGTAATTCCTCTACCAAAGGCCCTGGAGAAACTCTTGCCCATGTGTACCCGAAGTAGTAAAAAAAGAAAATAAATGCTCATGTAATGCCATTCATAATAGCAAAAATCTGGAAATAAGCCAAAAGTTCATTAATACTAGAATGGGTACATTAATAGGAGAATGGGTAAATAAATTATACCCTTAAAAACTGAATAATATGTTATTTATGGCAATCATATATATGCAATAAAACAATTTTTTTAAAGGAATGGAATCCTAAATATAAATTCAGGGTAGTAGTTACCGCTGGGGCTGAAAGGTGTGAATCAGGAAAAAAAGACAGAGGAAGAGCAGATGTTAGGATCAGAACCTAGTTCTTGGGTTGTGTGGTGGGTTCACAAGTGATTACCATGTTGTTCAAATACATTCAAATACATTTACATACAGGCCAAGGCACAGGCAAGGATGAAATAGGAGCCAAGGTATGCTGTGAGCCAAGGATTATGATTGATCCAATTTTGTGCACTTTAAGCCATTTGAAAAACAGAAAAGCAAAACAACAAAATAATTTTTAAGAAATTGAATATAAGGTGCTAATTTTTAAGAAATTGAATATAGGCAAGGATGAAATAGGAGCCAAGGTATGCTATGAGCCAAGGATTATGATTTATCCAATTTTGTGCACTTTAGGCCATTTGAAAAACAGAAAAGCAAAACAAAATAATTTTTAAGAAATTGAATATAGGGTGCTAACTTTTAAGAAATTGAATATAGGCAAGGATGAAATAGGAGCCAATGTATGCTATGAGCCAACGATTATGATTTATCCAATTTTGTGCACTTTAAGCCATTTGAAAAACAGAAAAGCAAAACAACAAAATAATTTTTAAGAAATTGAATATAGGGTGCTATGGTCTGAATGTGTCTCCCTAAAACTCATCACCAATGTCATAGTATTAGGAAGTAGGGCCTTTAGGAAGTAATTCAGTCATGAAGGGAGAGTCTTCATCAATGGGTTACACAAAGACTGGAGGGAGTGGGCTTCCCCTGTTTTGCCCTTCCTCCTTCTGCCATGTGAGGACACAGTGCATCCCCTCCTGAAGACACAGTGCACAAGGCATTATCTTAGATGCAGAGACCAGGCCCTCACCAGACACCAATCCTAGTGGCACCTTGATCTTGGACTTCCAGCCTATGGAACTTTGAGAAATACATTTCTGTTCTTCATAAATTACACAGTCTAGTGTATTTTGTTATATAGTAGCACAAACGCACTAAGGCATAGTGCCTCGTCATTTTCTTCTAGAATTTTCTTTGTTGCCTGTCTAGCAGTGTGCCATTTTATATTTGATCCTTCGTAATATCTCTTACTTTTGGATTTTTACATTTCTGTTGCAAGTGTATTCTTAGGTACATGTTTTTCACTATTTGTTAGTGTCCAGGTCAGAAAGTCCAGAATACATTCTCTTAAGGGTTCAGTTTCTGCAGCAACGTAAGTATTAATGCCTCCTGTGAACTAGGTATTTCCTTTCCAATTGTAACTGCCATCTGGAAGCGAATTGGAATTACAGTCTATGAGTGTGGGATTGATTTTTAATGTATCTGGGTTATGGTTAAATGCTGGTTTTTAATCACACAGATTCATCGATGGCTTGGCACACTAGAGCATCACTTGCTAGTTATCTCTATATTTTTCCATGCTGTTAGAGAGGGAAAGTACAGACTGTGAAGTTGGACCAGCTGTCATACACACAACATTTGGGGAGCTTTGATTTTTTTAAAACCTTTAGCTGCTTAACTGTCACATGTAGCAGCTCAGGTGAAAGGCACTTTTATTGTGGGGACTTTCCCTTAGTGCTCTGTGGTGCAAGAGCAGACCTATGTAGAAGCATTTAAGTATTTTGTGCATCAACAGGACAATTATAGGAAAAAATTTTTTAAATATAATTTTATTTCATTTTCTGCATTACTTAGAAGCATCAGTAGGATGAAAACAATATTTGTTTCTTAAACCTGTGCACAAATTAATTGATGTGACACACATTAATTCATGATTATTTTCTTAATGAATTGATTCTAAAGCTTCTCTAAGATAGGAAGGCATAAGACAACCAAAAAGAAATATTGATTTATAACTGTTCTAATACTGCTCAGCATTTTTAAAGTACACTATAGCCAGAAAGCATGTTATAATTACTAATAAGATAATCCACAGAATGCCTTGCTGAGCCAGGTAGGTGTAGAAGAAATAAATTGTTTCATATTGGAGGAAAGTGAACACTATAAATCAATATACTAGTGTGAAATTTTGCATGGCTACATGCTATCATCACCAGCATCACAAATGACTTAAGGAATTCCTCAGATGAGAGTGGACTCCTATTGGTGGCCACAATGTCACACTCTTTTTTTAATTTTTTAATTTTTATTTAAAAATTTTTTTTAATATACTTTAAGTTTTAGGATACATGTGCACAACGTGCAGGTTAGTTACATATGTATACATGTGCCATGTTGGTGTGCTGCACCCATTAACTTGTCATTTAACATTAGGTATATCTCCTAATGCTATCCCTCCCCCCTCCCCCACCCCACAACAGGCCCCAGTGTGTGATGTTCCCCTTCCTGTGTCCATGTGTTCTCATTGTTCAATTCCCACCTATGAATGAGAACATGTGGTGTTTGGTTTTTTGTCCTTCTGATAGTTTGCTGAGAATGATAGTTTCCAGCTTCATCCATGTCCCTACAAAGGACATGAACTCATCATTTTTTATGGCTGCATAGTATTCCATGGTGTATATGTGCCACATTTTCTTAATCCAGTCTATCATTGTTGGACATTTGGGTTGGTTCCAAATCTTTGCTATTGTGAATAGTGCTGCAATAAACATACGTGTGCATGTGTCTTTATAGCAGCATGATTTCTAATGCTTTGGGTATATACCCAGTAATGGGATTGCTGGGTCAAATGGTATTTCTAGTTCTAGATCCCTGAGGAAGCACCACACTGACTTCACAATGGTTGAACTAGTTTACAGTCCCACCAACAGTGTAAAAGTGTTCCTATTTCTCCACATCCTCTCCAGCACCTGTTGTTTCCTGACTTATTAATGACCGCCATTCTAACTGGTGTGAGATTGTATCTCATTGTGGTTTTGATTTGCATTTCTCTGATGGCCAGTGATGATGAGCATTTTTTCATGTGTCTTTTGGCTGCATAAATGTCTTCTTTTGAGAAGTGTCTGTTCATATCCTTCACCTACTTTTTGATGAGGTTGTTTGTTTTTTTCTTGTAAATTTGTTTGAGTTCATTGTAGATTCTGGATATTAGCCCTTTGTCAGATGAGCAGGTTGCGAAAATTTTCTCCCATTCTGTAGGTTGCCTGTTCACTCTGATGGTAGTTTCTTTTGCTGTGCAGAAGCTCCTTAGTTTAATTAGGTCCCATTTGTCAATTTTGGCTTTTGTTGCCATTGCTTTTGGTGTTTTAACATGAAGTCCTTGCCCATGCCTATGTCCTGAATGGTATTGCCTACATTTTCTTCTAGGGTTTTTATGGTTTTAGGTCTAACATTTAAGTCTTCAATCCATCTTGAATTAATTTTTGTATAAGGTGCAAGGAAGGGATCCAGTTTCAGCTTTCTACATATGGCTAGCCAGTTTTCCCAGCACCATTTATTAAATAGGGAATCCTTTCCCCATTTCTTGTTTTTGTCAGGTTTGTCAAAGATCAGATGGTTGTAGATATGCGGCATTATTTCTGAGGGCTCTTTTCTGTTCCATTGGTCTATATCTCTGTTTTGGTACCAGTACCATGCTGTTTTGGTTACTGTAGCCTTGTAATATAGTTTGAGGTCAGGTAGCATGATGCCTCCAGCTTTGTTCTTTTGGCTTAGGATTGACTTGGCAATGCGGGCTCTTTTTTGGTTCCATATGAACTTTAAAGTAGTTTTTTCCAATTCTGTGAAAAAAGTCATTGGTGGCTTGATGGGGATGGCATTGAATCTATAAATTACCTTGGGCAGTATGGCCATTTTCATGATATTGATTCTTCCAACCCATGAGCATGTAATGTTCTTCCATTTGTTTGTATCCTCTTTTATTTCATTGAGCAGTGGTTTGTAGTTCTCCTTGAAGAGGTCCTTCATGTCCCTTGTAAGTTGGATCCCTAGATATTTTATTCTCTTTGAAGGAATTGTGAATGGGAGTTCACTCATGATTTGGCTCTGTTTGTCTGTTATTGGTATATAAGAATGCTTGTGATTTTTGCACATTGATTTTTTATCCTGAGACTTTGCTGTAGTTGCTTATCAGCTTAAGGAGATTTTGGGCTGAGACAATGGGGTTTTCTAGATACACAGTCATGTCATCTGCAAACAGGGACAATTTGATTTCCTCTTTTCCTAATTGAATACCCTTTACTTCCTACTCCTACCTGATTGCCCTGGCTAGAACTTCCAACACCATGTTGAATAGGAGTGGTGAGAGAGGGCATCCCTGTCTTGTGCCAGCTTTCAAAGGAATGCTTCCAGTTTTTGTCCATTCAGTATGATATTGGCTGTGGGTTGTGGGTTTGTCATAGATAGCTCTTATTATTTTGAGATATGTCCAATCAATACCTAATTTATTGAGAGTTTTTAGCATGAAGGGCTGTTGAATTTTGTCAAAGGCCTTTTCTGCATCTATTGAGATAATCATATGGTTTTTGTCATTGGTTCTGTTTATATGCTGGATTACATTTATTGATTTGCATATGTTGAACCAGCCTTGCATGCCAGGGATGAAGCCCACTTGATCATGGTGGATAAGCTTTTTGATGTGCTGCTGGATTTGGTTTGCCAGTATTTCATTGAGGATTTTTGCATCGATGTTCATCAGGAATATTGGTCTAAAATTCTCTTTTTTGTTGTGTCTCTGCCAGGCTTTGGTATCAGGATGATGCTGGCCTCATAAAATGAGTTAGGGAGGATTCCCTCTTTTTCTATTTATTGGAATAGTTTCAGAAGGAATGGTACCAGCTCCTCCTTGTACCTCTGGTAGAATTTGGCTGTGAATCCATCTGGTCCTGGACTTTTTTTGGTTGTTAAGCTATTAATTATTGCCTCAATTTCAGATCCTGTTATTGGTCTATTCAGAGATTCAACGTCTTCCTGGTTTAGTCTTGGGAGGGCGTATGTGTTGAGGAATTTATCCGTTTCTTCTAGATTTTCAGTTTATTTGCTTAGAGGTGCTTATAGTATTCTCTGATGGTAGTTTGTATTTCTGTGGGATCGGTGGTGACATCCCCTTTATCATTTTTTATTGCATCTATTTGATTCTTCTCTCTTTTCTTCTTTATTAGTCTTGCTAGCAGTCTATCAATTTTGTTGATCTTTTCAAAAAACCAGCTACTGAATTCATTGATTTTTTGAAGGGTTTTTTGTGTCTCTATTTCCTTCAGTTCTGCTCTGATCTTAGGTGTTTCTTGCCTTCTGCTAGCTTTTGAATGTGTTTGCTCTTGCTTCTCTAGTTCTTTTAATTGTGATGTTAGGGTGTCAGTTTTGGATCTTTCCTGCTTTCTCTTGTGGGCATTTAGTGCTATAAATTTCCCTCCACACACTGCTTTGAATGTGTCCCAGAGATTCTGATATGTTGTGTTTTTGTTCTCATTGGTTTCAAAGAACATGTTGACAGTGGGGTGTTAAAGTCTCCCATTATTATTGTGTGGGAGTCTAAGTCTCTTTCTAGCTCTCTAAGGACTTGCTTTATGAATCTGGGTGCTCCTGTATTGGATGCATATATATTTAGGATAGTTAGCTCTTCTTGTTGAATTGATCCCTTTACCATTATGTAATGGCCTTCTTTGTCTCTTTTGATCTTTGTTGGTTTAAAGTCTGTTTTATCAGAGACTAGGATTGCAACCCCTGCCTTTTTTGTTTTCCATTTGCTTGGTAGATCTTCCTCCATCCCTTTATTTTGAGCCTATGTGTGTCTCTGCACGTGAGATGGGTTTCCTGAATACAGCACACTGATGGGTCTTGACTCTTTATCCAATTTGCCAGTCTGTGTCTTTTAATTGGAGCATTTAGCCCATTTACATTTAAGGTTAATATTGTTATGGGTGAATTTGATCCTGTCATTATGATGTTAGCTGGTTATTTTGCTCGTTAGTTGATGCAGTCTCTTCCTAGCCTCAATGGTCTTTACAATTTGGCATGTTTTTGCAGTGGCTGGTACCGGTTGCTCCTTTCCATATTTAGTGCTTCCTTCACGAGCTCTTTTAGGGCAGGCCTGCTGGTGACAAAATCTCTCAGCATTTGCTTGTCTGTAAAGGATTTTATTTCTCCTTCTCTTATGAAGTTTAGTTTGGCTGGATATGAAATTCTGGGTTGGAAATTCTTTTCTTTAAGAATGTTGAATATTGGCCCCCACTCTCTTCTGGCTTGTAGAGTTTCTGCCAAGAGATCAGCTGTTAGTCTGATGGGCTTCCCTTTGTGGGTATCCCGACCTTTCTCTCTGGCTGCCCTTAACATTTTTTCCTTCATTTCAACTTTGGTGAATCTGACAATTATGTGTCTTGGAGTTGCTGTTCTCGAGGAGTATCTTTGTGGTGTTCCCTGTATTTCCTGAATTTGAATGTTGGCCTGCCTTGCTAGATTGGGGAAGTTCCCCTGGATAATACCCTGCAGAGTGTTTTCCAGCTTGGTTCTATTCTCCCTGTCACTTTCAGGTACACCAATAAGACGTAGATTTGGTCTTTTCAAATAGTCCCATATTTCTTGGAGGCTTTGTTCATTTCTTTTTATTCCTTTTTCTTTAAACTTCTCTTCTCACTTGATTTCATTCATTTGATCTTCCATCAGTGATACCCTTTCTTCCAGTTGATCAAATCGGCTACTGAGGCTTGTGCATTCATCACATAGTTTTCGTGCCTTGGCTTTTGGCTCCATCAGGTCCTTTAAGGACTTCTCTGCATTGGTTATTCTAGTTATCCATTAGTCTAATTTTTTTCAACGTTTTTAACCTCTTTGCCATGGGTTCAAACTTCCTCCTTTAGCTCAGAGTAGTTTGATCATCTGAAGCCTTCTTCTCTCAACTCGTCAAAGTCATTTTCCATCCAGCTTTGTTCCGTTGCTGGTGAGGAACTGCGTTCCTTGGAGGAGGAGAGGCACTCTGATTTTTAGAGTTTCCAGTTTTTCTGCTCTGTTTTTTCCCCATCTTTGTGGTTTTATCTACCTTTGGTCTTTGATGATGGTGACATACCGATGGGGTTTTGGTGTGGATGTCCTTTCTGTTTGTTAGTTTTCCTTCTAACAGTCAGGACCCTCAGCTGCAGGTCTGTTGGACTTTGCTGGAGGTCCACTCCAGACCCTGTTTGCCTGGGTATCAGCAGTGGAGGCTGCCGAACAGCGGATATTGGTGAGCAGCAGATGTTGCTGCCTGATCGTTCCTCTGAAAGTTTTGTCTCAGAGGAGTACCTGGCCGTGTGAGGTGTCAGTCTGCCCCTACTGGGGAGTGCCTCCCAGTTAGGCTTCTCGGGGGTCAGGGACCCACTTGAGGAGGCAATCTGTCCATTCTCAGATCTCCAGCTGCGTGCTGGGAGAACCACTACTCTCTTCAAAGCTGTCAGACACGGACATTTAAGTCTGCAGAGGATTCTGCTGCCTTTTGTTTGGCTATTCCCTGCGTCCAGAGGTGAAGTCTACAGAGGCAGCAGGCCTCCCTGAGCTGCGGTGGGCTCCACCCAGTTGGAGCTTCCCAGCCGCTTTGTTCACCTACTGACGCCTTGGCAATGGCTGGCGCCCCTCCCCCAGCCTCGCCGCCCCCTTGCAGTTTGATCTCAGACTGCCGTGCTAGCAATGAGCAAGGCTCCATGGGCATAGGACCCTCTGAGCCAGGCATGGGATATAATCTCCTGGTGTGCCATTTGCTAAGGCCGTTGGAAAAGCTCAGTATTAGGGTGGAGTGATCTGATTTTCCAGGTGCCGTCTGTCACCCTTTTCTTTGACTAGGAAAGGGAATTCCCTGACCCCTTGCGCTTCCTGGGTGAGGTGATGCCTTGCCCTGCTTCAGCTCATGCTGGGTGTGCTGCACCTACTGTCCTGCACCCACTTTCTGACATTCCCCAGTGAGATGAGCCTGGTATCTCAGTTGGAAATGCAGAAATCACCCGTCTTCTGCATCACTCATGCTGGGAGCTCTAGACTGGAGCTGTTCCTATTCAGCCATCTTGGCTCCACCGAACAAATTTTTATTGTATCTTTTAGTCTATGAAGACAAAACCACAGTGACAGTAACTAGGTCAAGGCATTGTATTCAGAGAGCGTCAGCCTTGGTCTTTGAGAGTGAGTCCTTTTTACCACACTGTTAAGACTCACTGAGCAGATGGGAAATTTCAGGTGGAACATGCAGTGAATAGCAAACACGGTGGAGGGTGCTCACTGTCATGCGCTGCCATGCCTGCCATGGTCAACAGACCTGTCTTGTCCTTGACAACAGGCAGGTTGATAAACATTTTCTTGGAGAGTTTCTTGATTCTTCTCAGTTGTAGCAGGATGGACTGACTTAGAGGAGCTCAGGAAGATTGTTATACAACACAGAAACACAAGATGAATTGTACTCCTCAGCAAGCCTAAGTTAGAGCAGCAGGTCCTTGAAGCCTCAGCCACTCCTGGGACATAGCATAATGCCCCTAATGATTTGAAATTTAGTGGAGAGTGGGTTGCTACTCCCTGTGTCCAGGAACAAAAAGAGACATAAAGAGCAAAAAGTTATAAAATAAGTGGGACTAATATCTGCTTATTTTGGGAGGTAGGGATTTAAGATACAAGAATTCAGCTGCATGTGGAAGCTTACATCTGTAATCTTAGCACTTGGGGAGGCCAAGGCAGGAGGATGGCTTGAGTCCAGGAGTTGGAGATGAGCGAGGCAACATAGTAAGTCCCCATTCATACAAAAATGTTTCTGAAGAAAAGTAGTTCAGTGAGGTGGCACATGCCTGTAGTCCCAGCTATGTGGGAGGCTGAGGCAAAAAAATCGCTTAATCCTGGGAGATTGAGGCTGCAGTGAGTTATGATCACACCAATGCACTGCAGCCTGAGAGTCCTGAAACCCCAGCCGGCGACCTGAAGCTCCTCCTCCACCGGTAAAAGTCGGCTCAAAAAGGCCCTGAGGACAGGGGTCCTGGGGGTCCGGCCCCGAAGTCCCCTCTCCAACAACGCCCGCTACTCCATCAACACTCCAGCCACCACAGCGACTGCCACAGGAGCCCCCGTCCACGCAGAGCCGAAACCGTTTAAAGGGGCTACAGCCTGACTTCCAAGGGCAAAGCACGAGTCGGCTTAGGCAATGCGGATGCATGAGGCGACACCGCTACTCCTGTCACAGTGACCCCAATGGTTGCCTGAGGACGACTCCATCAACCTTGACAAAGCAGGAGCCGTCCGTGGCAGTGCGTCAGTGTTGAGGCGCCAGGCTGACATCTCCAGAAGGTCAACAAAACTGTTTCAGGATTCCAGGAGACACGGAGGGGCAAACAGGATGAAGAAACAGCAGGCGGAGTCTGGGAAAAGCAGCGCGGAATTCCAGCCCGAGGCCTGCCCGGATGGTGTTTGGGTGAGTCTCCCCAAAAGTCGTGCCCCACATCATCTCGAGGAAGCGTCTGCCTGTGTGCCCGTGGACTACTCTCTAAACCGATGGTTGTTCTTTTGAAAAGCAGAACCCCGCAGCCTCAGGGGTTGCCTGGGGTGGTGTGTTTCCGTTCCACTGCTGTGTATCTGTGAGTGTGTCTCCCATTCTCTCTTCTCTCTCTGTCTCTCACTCTCTGTCTCTCTCTCTCTCTCTCTTTCTCTTTCTGTGTGGCAGGGAGCCGAAGGGACGGGACTGGGGCTGGGTACAGGGGAGGCTGTGTCAGGGCTACCTAGGCGTTGGAGGGGTGGGGATGGGGTGAACTTTGCAGAAACCTCTTCGCTCCTCTGACAGGCATCCCAAAATGTGGCTTGGACTCACACACAGGTTCTCTCCTGGTTCCCAGGTGGGCTATGCTTTTATGTGGCGTTGACAGGGAGGTCACCTGTGCCCCCCTTCCACCAGGCACATGCCTGGACACCTTTCTTCATCTTGGCATAGCCCCATATGGGCTCGGTGACACACACTCACCCCATCTTCTCTTGGGGACGCCAGTGACACGTGTGGTTGCATTGGCTCCACCTTGGACTCGCCCCTGTCCCTGTTTGCACTTGTCCTGGAAAGCGGTGTCTTCTCGCAGGAGCCCCAGGGCTTTGGGAAGCAGGACAGGCCACTGGTCCTCCAAGGGAGGAGGGAGGCAGAGGGCTCATGGGTCAGTGAATTTTCAGCTGACACCACGCCTTGAGGCCCATGGGATCTTTCTGTGCCCCAGTGAGGCCCTTCCCACCTCAACAGATAAGGTGAACCCATCCCTGCTCACCTGGTGGGATTCAAAATCAGATCTGAGGAGGAATCCAAAGACCCGAGCAGGCGCCCTGAAGCTCCTCCTCCACCGGTAGGAGTTGGCTCAAGGAGGTCCTGAGGACAGGACTCCGGGAGTGCGGCCCTGGGGTGCCTACAGCCCTCTCTCCCACGTCGCCGCCTACCGGACCGGGGATCCAGCCACCGCCAGGGTTGCAGCCAAAGGCCCCTGCCTCTGCGCTGCCGCCATTGCTTAAAGGGGCTTCAGCCTGACTTCCAGCAGCGGAGCGCGAGTCGGCCTAGCCAATGCGCATGCGCGAAGCGCCAGCCAATTCTCCCATCACAGTGAGTCCCACGGTTGCCTGAGTAACCACTCCCTGAGGCTTGGCAAAGCAGGAGCCCTCCATGGCAGTGCTTGGGTGTCGGGGCTTTGAGGCTCTGGCCTGACCTCTCCACGGGGGCGACAGGAAGGTCTCCGGATGCCAGGAGTCTCCAAGGACTGACCAGGGTGACAAAACCACAGGCAGAGTCCAGGGGAAGCAGTGCGGCATCCAAGCCTCAGGCCTGCCCGGACGGGGATCGGGTGAGCCTCCCCAAAACTTGTGCAGGCCATGATCTTGAGGACAGGTCTGCCTGTGTGTCCATAGGCTCCTGTCTCATCCCAGTGTCGATCTCGTGGAGAGCAGAACCCCAAAGCCTCAGGGGTTGCCTGGGGCTGTGTGTTTCTGTGCCACTGCTGTATGTCTGTGTGTGTGTCTCCCATTCTCTCTTATCTCTCTGTCTCTCACTCTCTGTCTGTTTCTCTCTCTCTCTTTCTCTGTGTGTGTGTGTGCCAGTGTGGGTGTGTGTGTTGGGATCAATGTGCCCTGTGCGCCAAAAAGCGATTTCTTGCATGTCAACCTGTTTTTGGTGAGCCTTTTTTTTGGTCTCTGCCTGGGTCATGTGGCCGGTTGTCAATCGTTTTCGTGGTGGTTCCACTTTGGGATTGTGAAGGCCTCGACCACATGAGGAGATGCGTCGGTCCCGGAGCAACTGGAATCTCATCCCCATCCTGAGCGGCTTTTCTAGAATCAAGATGACCACACTTCAGCCAAGGACCAAAGCCTCATAGGAGCTCATTCTCCTGCAGGAGGGGAGCAGACCGATGTCAAAGGAGATGGTTGTATCTCCTCGCGGCTTTTCTCTGAGAAATGAAGCCACACCACGATACAGTCTTAAAGAGGAAGCCAGGAACCGGAGATGACAACAATACCTGCTGTCACTGGAATGCTGGCCTCTCTGGACAAGTCACCCATTTGACACTCCTTCCCTTAACCCTGTCGGTGACACTGTGCTGTGTCTTGCCTGGGATCTGGCCTCTGCTCTGTCCTCCCTCTTGCTCTGTCTCTCCTGTTTCTGAGGGGCCTAGATGCTTCTTGGTCTGGCTCAATGTCTTCAACAAAGAACACTTCCCAGTCCATCAGGGAGAAAATTCGTGGAGATCCGTGTCATAATTGTTTCTCTCTCCAAACCTGTTTCTGGTTGATTCGGCCGGTTTGACTATCCTGGAACTCTGGGCTTCCATACCTGTTTCAGACAGGGAAGCTCCCTTGGTCTCCAAGTTTCACCTCATGGCTGGGTGGATTGCCTAGAATGAGCGGTAGGCGATCATGGCTGGCCTTGGCGTCTAGGAAAGGCCGTGCGGCATTTCCTCTGCACTTCCTGTCTTATTATTGAGAGACATCCTCCCCTCTGCTTCTGGATGGACTGCCTCCCAGAACTGAATCTTTCAGCTCTCACAAATGTCAGGGATCCAAAGGGCAAGGGCTGGGGCTGGGTGCAGGGGAGGTTGCCTCAGGGCTACCTAGGCTGTGGAGGGGTGAGGGTGGGGTGAACTATGCAGAAACCTCTCCGCTCCTAGAGCAGGCATCCCAAAATCTGGCTTGGATTCAGGCACGGGCCCATTCCTGGTTCTCAGAGGCGCTATGCTTTTCCTTGGCGTTGACTGGGAGGTCATCTGTGTCCCCCCGCATCCACCGGGCACATGCCCAGACACCATTGTTCGTCTCGCAATCACCCCATATGGCCTCGGTAATGCACACTCACCCAATCTGCTCTTAGGGAAGCCAGTGCCACGTGTGGTCTCATTGGCTCTACCTCGGACTCGCCCTATCCCTGTTTCCACGTCTCCTGGAAAGTGGTGTTGGCTTGCAGCAGCCCCACGGCTTTGCGAATCGGGGCAGCCCACAGCTCCTCCAAGGGAGAAGGGAGGCAGAGGGCTCGTGGGTCAGCGAATTTTCAGCTGATACCACGCCTTGAGGCCCAAGAGATCATCCTGTGCTGCAGCGAGGCCCTGCCTGCCTCACCACATGCCTCCCGCCTGAGCCCATCCCTGCTCACCCAGTGGGATCCAAAATCGGATCTGAAGAGGAGTCCTGAGAGCCCAGCAGGCGCCCTGAAGCTCCCCCTCCACCGGTGGAAGTCGACTCAAGGAGGCCCTGAAGACAGGACTCCTGGGGGTTTGGCCCTGGGACGCCCGCGGCCCCCTCTCCCACGCCGCCCTCTACTGGACCCCGGATCCAGCCGCCGCCGCGGCTGCAGCAGGAGCTTCCCTGCCTTAGCGCAGCCGCGCCGCCGCCATTGTTTCAAGGGGCCGCAGCCTGACTTCTAGGAGCGGAGCGCGAGTCAACCCCGCCAATGCGCATGCGCGAGGCGCGAGCGGATTCTCACCGTTGTCTTAGAAACCAGTCCCTGAGGCTTGGCAAAGCAGGAGCCCTCCGTGGCAGTGCTTGGCTGTCGGGGCTCCGAGGCTCCGGCCTGACCTCTCCACGGGGTCGACAGGAACGTCTCCGGATGCCACGAGTCGCACAGAGCTGTCGAGGATGACGAAACCACAGGCGGAGTCTGGGGGAAGCGGCGCGGCATCCCAGGCTCAGGCCTGCCCGGACGTGTTAGGGTGAGTCTCCGCAAAAGTCGTGCCCGCCGTGATCTCGAGGACAGGTCTGCCTGTGTGCTCGTGGGCCGCCCTCTCACCTGAGGGTCGTTCTTGCGGAGAGCAGAACCCCGCAGCCTCAGGGGTTGCCTGGCATTTCTGTTTCTATGCCACTGCTCTGTCTCTGTCTCTTTCTCTCTCTCTCTCTCTCACTCTATCTCTGTGTGTGTGTGCGTATGTGTATGTGTGTCTGTCTGTGTCCCATTCTCTTTTCTCTGTCTCTCACTTCCTGTTTCTCTCTCTCCCTCTGTCTGTATGTGTGTGTGCCCATGAGCGTGTGTGTGTTGGGACGTATATGCCCCCTGCGCCAAAAAGGGATTTCTTGTATGTCCGCCTGTCGTTGGCGAGCCTTTTTCTGCGTCTGCCTGGGTCACGTGGCTGGTTGTCTCGTTTTCGCGGCGGTTGCACTTCGGGTTTTTGAAGGCCTCCACCACCTCAGGAGATGCGTCGGTCCCAGAGCAACTGAAGTCTCATCCCCATCCTGAGTGGTCTATTCTCTAGAATCAAGATGACCACACTCCAGGTAAGGACAAAAGCCTCCCAGGAGCTCATTGTCCTAAAGGAGGGAAGTAGACCGACCTCAAAGGAGATGGTTGTATCTCCTCGCGTCTCTTCTCTGAGAAACGAAGCCACACCACGATACAATCTTAAAGAAGAAGCTGGGATGGGGACACGGCAAGGATCCCTGTCACTGGAATGCTGGCCTCTTTGGACAAGTCACCCGTTTGGCACTCCTCCCCTCAGCCCGTGGCGGTGGCACTGTGCTGTATCCTGCCTGGGCTCTGGCCTCTGCTCTGGCCTCCCTCTTGCTCTGTCTCTTCTGTTTCTGAGGGGCCTAGATGCTTCTTGGTCTGGCTGAATGTCTTCAACAAAGATCACTTCCCAGTCCATCAGGGAGAAACTTCATGGAGATCCATGTTCTGATTGTTTCTCTCTCCAAACCTGTTTCTGCTTGATTGGGTAGGTTTGATGATCCTGGAGCTCTTGGCTCCCATACGTGTCTCAGACAGGGAAGCTACCTTGGTCTCCACGTTTCACCTCATGTGTGGGGGGGATTGCCTAGAATGAGCGGTAGGCGACCGTGACTGGCCTTGTCTTCTAGGACAGGCGCTGTCGCATTTTCTCTGCACTTCCTGTCTCATTCTTGAGGGACATCCTCTCCTCCGCTCCGGGGTGGACTGCCTCCCTGAATCTTTTGGCTGTAATGAATGTCAGGGAACCAACGGGACTGGGCTGGGGCTGGGTGCAGGGGAGGTTGCGTCAGGGCTACCTGGGCGGTGGAGGGTTGAGGGTGGGGTGAACTTTGCAGGAACCTCTTTGCTCCTCCAGCAGGCATTTCAAATTGTGGCTTGGACTCACGCACAGGCCCCCTCCTGGTTCCCAGGTGTTCTATGATTTTCGTTGGCATCGATGGAAAGGTCACCTGTGCCCCCCTTCCTCCGGAACATGCCTGGACACCATTGTTTGTTTCGCCATCGCCCCGTATGCCCTCTGTGACACACATTCACAGCATCTGCTCTTGAATACACCAGTGCCACGTGTGGTCACACTGGCTCTACTTTGGATTTGCCCCTTTCCCTGTTTGCACGTGTCCTGCACTTTTACCAGAAGGTGGTAAAAGTAAGAGAAGAATAAAATTTTGGACATGTAAAATTCATGTCTTCTATAGAGTAACTGGGTAAAGATATCCATCAGACTGTTATATATGCTCTTCAGGAGCTCAAGTAGGGATTGTATTGCAAATGAGTAATTTGATATTTATCAGTGTACAATGATGACTGAAACCATTATAGCCATTGCAGTGTGGTGTGATAATTCACTGATGCTATGCGGAACAGGATATCAAGCAGGTTTTGGGGACAAGTACCAGTTAAGAAACAAGCAAAGAAAAGAATTCATAAGTGGAAAATTGTTTTTAAGTGATAATTATAATTAGCATCATGAGAAAACAATATGATGAAGCCAAGGAAAATATTTAAGATGTCTTTTTATAAAAGAGCCATGATGAGCAGATTTTAACTTTGCCTCTCATAAAACCAATTAAAAAAACTTAATTTTCAAAGGAATGTAAAAATAAGGGAAAATATCTTAATTTGGGATAGAAATAAGAAATTGAGGCATCCACATATCCCATATTTTGAGGACTTTCTTACAGAAACAATACACGTAAGATGAGACGGAAATCACCAAGACTTGGGTCATGAGTTTCTGAGGAAGAAATGAGGCAAACGTTAATTCAACGTTTAATGGTGACAATCATTGCTCTGAGCAACTTAACAACTCTTTAATTCTCAAAAAACTTTCATCTATGTGTTTAGCCTCACTTTTAGGTCATAAAACTGAGGAACTGACAATTTCAGTAACTATAATTTGCGCATGTCACACAGAAAGTAGTGGAATGAGAATTGAAATCTACATCTTATAACCTCTAAAATATTTGCTTTTAACCTCTACACTGTTAGAAGTAACTAACTGGACACATGGACAGAATAGTTGTGTGTTTGTTTTCTCCTCAGATGTGGAGAATCATGTAAGTAAAGGAATGAGGCAGTAAAGAAAGAACTGTGTAATATATTTAAGTGTAAGTATTAACTAGTGGGGAAGGGTTCTAGAAGTCATAGGAAAGATGGGATGAAAAACAGAAAAGACATTATATTTAAGAGGAGGAACATCTCATTTTTTGAGACCAGAGTAAAGAAGATATGGAGAGGGCTGTGGACCACAAGTTTAAAACTTTGCCAAAGTATTTTACTTCGTGTCCATGAAAATCTTTTATTTTCCTCTGAGAAATTAATAGGCTTTTTTATGAAAGACAGTGCAAACTATATAATGAATTTTGTTAATTTTAGTTTTATGTCCTAATTTGTTTTTCCTATGAAGGCCAGATTCAAATTTGAAGCTTAATTCTTAATGAACTTATTTCTGTATATTTCTAATTGAAAGTTTCTCCTTAATCACTTATGTTTTCCTAATTTTGATCCACTTAGGGTTTTCCATCTTTTGTTGAGATTATTGTTATCTACTTTTCCTGCCTTATAGAATAAGATAATAAAATAAATACATCATTTAAAACTCACGTAGGACTTCATCATTTCTTCTTCCTGGGAGACAGCAGAATCCTGAGATGGCCAAGGTAGGGGATGGGTGAAAAAATAAGCCATCAAAAACCCCACTTGCTTAGCAGCTCTAGGAAAGGCAGACTAGGAATCTCCAGTTAGTTAAGATCATCTGGAGGAACTTTGTGGGGAAATAATCTTAAAGTCTATCAAAAAGCCAAGAATAACTACACTGTTTGCAGGCACCAATATGTACAAGCATGACTGACGAAATCCTATGGAGCTTCAATATGGATTTTTAAACATTATTTCTAAATTAAAAGTATAATTCAGAAGATATTTTTAAGCTAGCTGCATACTTCACTCTTCGATCTATCCATCCATCCATCCATCCAATCACAAACTTACAGAAAGTTGCAAGTATAGCACCAGGAACTTTCTTGTTACTGAACCATTTGAAAGTAAATTGTTGACCTAATGCTACATCACCCCTGAAACAGGAATTAAAAGAAATTAAAGAGTGTGTAAGCAAAAACTCAATTGTATGTGAGAAAACCCAATTCCCCCTGAGAAACAGAAAGAGCTGGAGTCCTTTAAAAAATTAACTGCCTGTTTTTCTGTGGCTAGTGAGCTTTATCTCTCCCTTTCCCAGGCATTGTGAAGACCCGGTTTCCCTAGCTGTGCAGCTGCAAGGTCACTAGACAGATAAACTCAAGTCGCAAAACATGTTTTTCCTTGAAAAGTAAGAAATGATGTAATGCATGTCTCACTTGCATAAGTGCCTTTGTTTCTCGCTTCTGTAGTATGCTTCCCCCTGCATAGATCTCCCCCCTCCCCCGCCTACCCCCACCCGACGAAATGCCTAAAAGGTAATTTAACTCTTTGTTCAGGGCTCAGTCCTTTAGATGTTAATCCGACTGTGCAGTTAAATAATTAATAAATATCATATCCTCCTGAACCCCATCAGTCGCTCTAATTCCTTAAAGATCCCACAACATCCCTCAAAATGCTGCATATTTCCTACAAAAAGGACATGCCCCTACCTACATAACCACAATCCAATTACCAAAATAAAGAAATTAACATTTATTTGTTATGACCATCGATATCAGATTCAAGTGTTGCCAATTGTGCCATTAACTGGATAGCATGAAAGGAACAAATTTAGAATCATGCATTGCCTTTAGATGTCATGTCTCTTTAATCTCCTTTAGTCTGATACAGTTTCTCAGTCTTGCCCTTTTATAACCTTGACACTTTTTATTATTATAAGCCAGTCTGAAGAATTTCCTTCCAATTTGGTTTTCTCTGATGTTTCCTCATGATAAGGTTCCGAGTTGTAGAAAGAATGCCACAAAAGTGATGCATGCTCCTATCAGGGGCACATGATGACATTCTATCCTATTACTGGTAATACTCCTTGATGAAAGAGCATTACATCTTAATCACTAAGATATACCAGCCAGGCTTCTCTACTGTAAAATTACTCTTTTTTTCCTTTGTAATTAGTAAAGATTTTATGGGGAGGTACTCTGAGACTATGTAAACACACCATTCTTCATCAAACTTTCAATTTATTAATTTATGTCAGTATAGACTTGTGATTTCCTATTTCATTCAGAGGTTTGTAATCTATTATTACTTATTTTAATGACCAGTTTGCTCCAGATTTGGCAAGTGGGAGCCCCTCCTGTGTGGGTTTTGCGGCCTTTAACAGGTTCCTATCATTCTTTGAGCGCCCCTTACTTACACATATAAAAGATGTTCCAGGCTCATCTTGTATTTGCTGTGCCCAACACTGGAATCAATCATTTCTTCAAAGAACGCAGATTTTTATCAGAGGAAATAATAATAGTAGTAAAATATATATTTTATGTGTGTATTTATGTATATGAAACATATTTGATCAGTCCCCCCTAGAAGAAGCCACTATCCCATTACTGCCGCCATACTCTCCCTGGATAGATACCTCCTCATTGTGCTCAAGCTACAGTGCAGTGCTTTAGGCCTAAGTAACTGCACCGGCATGTATGCCTAGCTTGCTCAGCCCCTAATGGATTTAGGATTACAGTATTAGGAAGAGAAGGGAAAATGAAGAATCTTTCCTGTTGGGGTGATCAGACCCAACACCAGGTCGTGGGGGTGACAAAGTCCGGCGGAGTCAAAGGATTGAGAAAAAGACAGTTTGAGAGAGAAAAGTGGGACCGGACCCAGGGGGCCATCACAATCGTAGAGGCTGCGAAGGCCCGAGCTCTGGGAGCCCATGCTATTTATTGGTAATCCAACAAAGAAACAGGTGGTGAGAATGTGGAGGTCAAAAGGGCACATTGCATTAAGTACATGATTTACAGCTGTGATGGTTTAGCA
This sequence comes from Homo sapiens, assembly GCF_000001405.40. Taxonomy (NCBI): domain Eukaryota; kingdom Metazoa; phylum Chordata; class Mammalia; order Primates; family Hominidae; genus Homo; species Homo sapiens. The sequence continues at coordinate 37,065,085 of NC_000019.10, forward strand.
TTTGCTCTACTTGAGATAATGGAGAGCAGATTCTTTTAACTCAAGATACAATCAATCCTGGGAGAGCAAGGAGCAAGGAGCCAGCAAGTCTAGATACATTCCAGAGCCATGAGCCCTGGATTCTATCCAAGCCACAAGGGATTTTATGCCCTGGGCTTAGATTATGGTGCATGATGGTAGGCTTCCACCCTTTAGCATAGAGCTTGGTGTTCCAAAGGCCACAAGGGGTTTTAGACCCTGGACCCCGGACATGTTCCAAGACTCTTTTACATTATGTCAGACATGCAAGCCCTGCCTCAGCTTCTCCTAACCCTCAGCTTTTTCCCAACACTTTCCCAGCTGGATCAGAGAGATGCAATGTTTGAAGGACTTGACCCTCTATTGCTGGCTTTTGAGATGGAGGAAGGGGGCCGTGAGCCAAGGAATGTGGCAGCCTCTTGAAGCTGGGAATGGCCCTTGGCTTACAGCCAGCAAGCAAATGGAGACATTGGACTTACAGATGCAAGAAACTGAATTCTGCCTATTAACCTAAATGAGTAGGAAGCAGATTCTCCCTAGAGCCTCTAGAAAATAATGCAGCATTGCTGCCACTTTAAATTTAGTTCAGTGAGGTCTGAACTTCTTGACCTACAGAACTAAAAGCTAATAAATTTGTGTTGTTTTAAGTCACTAAATTTGTGGTAATTTGATACAAGAAAATACTCGTACAGTGGTCACTTAATTTTCAATAAAGGTGCCAAAGACCTCCACTGTTGAAAATACCATTTGCATTTTCAATAAATGGCACTAGAACAACTTGATATCCATACAGAAAAAGAAATAAATGAACTTCAACCCCTACCTGCCACCATGAACAAAAATTAACATAAATCCTAGAACTAATATAAAAAGCTACAACTCTAAGGCTTCTAGAAAGAATAAATATGTAAACATATTTCCAACCTGGCAGTAGACAATTTGTTAAGTCACAGAAAGCAAAACTGCAAAAGAAAAAGAATTGACAAATGTTATCAAAAATGTTTTTCTTACTCATCAAAAGACACTGTTAAAAATATGACTAAGAACATTTATAACTCGGCCAGGCGCGGCGGCTCACGCCTGTAATCCCAGCACTTTGGGAGGCTGCGGCGGGTGGATCACCTAAGGTCAGGAGTTCGAGACCAGCCTGACCAATATGGTGAAACCCCGTCTCTACTAAAAATACAAAAATTAGCTGGGCATAGTGGCATGCGCCTGTAGTCCCAGCTACTCAGGAGGCTGAGACAGGATAATTGCTTTAACCCGGGAGGCAGAGGTTGCAGTGAGCCGAGATTGCACTCCAGCCTGGGTGACAGAGCAAGAGTCTGTCTCAAAAAAAAAAAGAACTTCTATAACTCAACAATAAAAAGATGAACAAACCAATTAAAGATGGGCAAAAATTTTGACCAGATACTTCACAAAGAAAGATGTTTTGCCAATAAGTACATAAAAAGTGATCAACATCATTAGTCATTAGAAAAATGTAAATTAAAAATACTGTGGGACAGTAATGAGATATATAGCCAGAAAGACAGCACCAAATGTTGGCAAAGAGGTAGGGAGACTGAAACTCTCATACTTTGTTAATGGGAGTGTAAAATGGTGCAATCCCTTTGGGTATGGTTTGACAGTTTCTTATAAAACTGAACATACACCTATACACTGTGTCTGAACAATTCCATTCCTAGGTGTTACCCCAGAGAAATGAAAACAGATGTTCATAAACAGACATGTCCAAGAATGTTTATGACACTATTATTCATAATAGCCAAAAACTTGGAAATAGCACAAAAGTTCAACAAGAATATGAATAAACTGTGATACAATCATAGAGTGGAATACAACTCAGCAATAAGAACTATTGAGTATACCACAAACACCCACACATACAACATGGATACATTTTTAAAACATTATACTGAGTGAAAGAAGCCTTACATACAAAAAACACATATTTCAATCCCAATTATACGAAGTTCTAGAAGAGACAAAAATTAATCTACAATGGGAAAATATCAGAATGGCAGTTGTTTCTGGATATAGAGTGGGAAATGACTAGGAAGGAGCATGAAGGAACTTTCTAGGGTGATGGTATTTTTCTTCACTTTGACAGGATTTTGGTTTGCACAAGTATTTGAATCTGTCAAAATTCTTCAAATGGTAAATTTAAGATTACACAATTTTACTGTATGTACATTTTACCTAAAAAGCTGTAACTAGATATTGAACTTTAGTTAGTGGTATGCATGCTAAAGTATTTAGGGGTAAAGTATACGATGTCTACAACTAACTTTGAAATACAACAAAAAATGGATCAATTCATCCTTATGGATGAATACAGGGCTGGATACAAGGCTAATTATTTGGTAAAGCAAATACAGCATGATATTCATTATAGTACTTAGATAGCGAATGTATGGGTATTTTTGTACAATTCTTTTAATTTCTACATGTTTGGAAATTTTCATAAAATGGTGAAAATACAAAACTATCAACTTATAATTCTACATTCAGCAAAAATATCTTTCAAGAATTAGAAGTTTTTAGACAAATAAAGACAGAAGTTTTCAACAATAGATCCTCACTGAAGAAAACTGTGATAGATGCACTTCAGGTAGAAGAAAAGTGATGCAAGAAGGAGAGGTAAGCAAAGAAAGCAGTAAACTGGTGTGTAATCAAACACTCAGCTCATAAAACATAATAATGTCTCCATATGTGTGTGTACATTATTTTGGTGCTTATGTTTACAATATAATTTAGCAGGATATACTTAAGTTATCAAAGTCTAAATAGTATTTTTATTTCCTGCCAATGACATTGGCATACTTCAACACTAATCACTTCTACCAACTTAAAAGCTATTGCTGTGGTATTTTTAAAATATATATTAGTGTGTGTGTGTATATATATATATACACTTACACACACACATACATATAGATATATAACCAGATTATACCACAAAGATAGCATGTAGGTTGGTAGAAACAATGCTTGGTGCTAAAGTATTCTAACATCATTATTTTGCTGGGCAGGAAAAATGTTTTGTTCACACATTGATAACTTAAGTATGTCCTGTTAAATATTTTGCAAAAGTACTAAAATAATATAAATAGAATGCATATTACCCCAAAGAGTAGCAGAAAAGGTTGGGGAGGGGGAACCAAACTGAAGAAAGAATAAAGGAAAGAAATGAAACATTAAAGTTACATATACATCACATCACAAAATAAAATCATAGAAATAAATACAAATGGCCGGGCGCGGTGGCTCATGCCTGTAATCCCAGCACTTTGGGAGGCTGAGGCGGGCGGATCACCTGAGGTCAGCAGTTCAAGACCAGCCTGACCAACATGGAGAAACCCTGTCTCTACTAAAAATACAAAAATTAGCTAGGCGTGATGGTGGACTCCTGTAATCCCAGCTACTCGGGAGGCTGAGGCAGGAGAATTGCTTGAACCCAGGAGGCAGAGGTTGTGGTGAGCCAAGATTGTGCCATTGCACTCCAGCCTGGGCAACAAGAGTGAAACTCTGTCTCAAAATAAATAAATAAATAAATAAATAAAAATATGCCAGTACATCTCTGATTGGATAAATAAGTAAAATGTAACTAAAATCTGTTTTCAAGAAGTATATTAAGGGAAGCATATAGAAAGACTGAAAATGAAGAACAGAAAAAACATTTGGAAAATACTAATCAAATGAAAGCTAGTGTTGTGATATTAGTGTCAGATAAAACAGACTAGAGCATTATTATAAAGTGATCACTAACTGCATCATGATGAAATGTTCAATTTTCCATGAAGATATAAAAATTGCAAGCTTAAGTTACTAAAAATACACACTATAAACCAAAAATTAATGAAACTACAAGGAAAAATAACCTTACAGATATGGCGAGATATTATACATAGTTCTTTTAGTAAATGATAGATAAAAGAGATACAATCAGTAAGATTATAGATTTCAACAAAAATTACAACTTTATTTAATGGCTATGTATTTTTAAAACAGTTACTATTATACACAATAGCTGCAAAAGACAAATTCTCATCAAAGACACACTGAATATTTAGAAAACTTAGACACGTATTAGCCTATCGGGCAAATCTCGAAAACTTTCAAAGGACTAGTTTTATATACCGTACTTTCACTGCCCACAAAAGTAGCTATGTTTGATATATGTCATCAAAGGAAAATTAGAAAGACCTATATAGTTAAGAAATATAATTCTAAATTATTTATGGTTAAAAGAAATCATAGTAGAAATTTAAAAGTATTTAAAACTGAATGATGAGATTACTACTTAATATACTGATGCTCCTGGACTCAATGGGGTTATGCCCTAATAAACCCATCACAAGTTGAAAATATCATTAAGTCAAAAATGCTTTTACCTAACCTACCAAGCATGACAGCTTAGCATAACCTACTTTAAACATGATCAGAACACTTATATTACCTACCAGTTAGATGAAATCATCTAACACAAACCCTATTTTATAATTAAGTGCTGAATGTCTTAATTTATTGAATACTGAACTAAAAGTGAAAAACAGTATTGTCGTATGGATATTTGAAATACGTTTCTACTGAATCCATATGGCTTTTACACCATCATAAAGTTAAAAAAATCATAGAACCATTGTAAGTTGGAGACTGACTGTATATAAAATTCTGTAGGATGCAGCTAAAGTTGGACCTCGAGGAAAAGTTATAACCTTACCAGTTTATATTAGAAGTGTAAAAATTGATAATATCTAGCATCCAGCTTAAAAATGTGAGAAAACAATGGCAGAATAAATCCAAGGAAAGTGAAAGCAAGGAAATAATAAAGACCAAAACAATACAAGAAATAGAAAAATAGTTATATTATGGAGAGGATTAATAAAGTCTCAAATAGATTTTTGTGTTATATCCCAAAAATTATTATAAAACTGCTACAGCATGGAAATAGCACAGGGAACAAATTGACCAATATAATTGAATAATGAATTCCCAACATATGTGACACATACATATGTGTTGTATGTCCCATACACATATAATAATCCAATTTATGACTACTGATAAGTGAAAAAGTTGGTCTTTGCATATTCTGGGACAACTGGTATATGCACACATACATAACACAGAAATTGTATCTCTCCTTTAACTTACTACAGAGATGAATTCTAAGAGATTTTATAAAAAAAATTGTGAAAGGCAAAACTATAAACCTTTAAGAAGATAATATATGAAGCTAAATTTATGACTTTGATATAGAGAAGGATTTCTTAAAATGCAAGAAAGTACAAGCCATAGAGAAAAAAATTCATAAATCTGACATTAAAACAGAGAATTTCTATTTGTTAAAAGATCCCTATTGTAAACAAAGACAAGCTATAAACTGGGATATTTTCAACACATATAGTTGATACAGAATAAACATCCAAAATATTTTTACAAAGTCCTATAATAATAAAAAGACAACCCAAAGAAATTGAGCAAAGGGTTTCAGTAGGCATTTCACAGAAGAGGAAGGGCCAATAAACAAGTCTTTAAAATCTTAACCTTATTAGTAAGCAGAGAAATGCAAATTAAAACCAAAATGAGATTCTACTGCATATACATCTACCAGAATCACCTGAACTTAAAATTCTGAGCATTTCAAATGTTAGTAAAGAGTATACATTGGAAAATCCCCTTTGGAAAATATTGCATATTGCCTAGTAAAGTTGAGAATATTTGCATGGTATATGTACTCTGTGTTCAGTAATATATTCTTCATATATATCCTAGAACAGGGCTTAGCAAACTATGGCCCACAGGCTAGATCCTGCCTTGGCATAAAGTTTCACTAGAACACACTCGTTCTTTTACATATTGTCTATGGCTGTGATTTCATGATACAATGGCAGAGTTGAGTAGTTGTGACAGAAACTGTATGGCCCGCAAAGCCTAAAATATTTCCTATATGTCCCTTTGCACAAGAAAGTTTGATGACCCTTGCCCTAGAACAGCCTCTGCATGTCCATCAGTAAACATGTACAAGAATGTTCGTAATAGAACTATAAATTCAAACTTTGAAGCAACTCACATTTCTATCAACTGAGAATGGATTTTAAAAACTGTAATATAGTCAAGCAATGGAATACTGTACCATAAAAATGAATGGATTATAGCTACACTACTTAATCTCAGGAACATAATGTTGACAAAAAAGCGAGTCACAGAATGATATATGAAATAGTTATATAAAACTCAAAAACATCCATAAACAACATAGTTTTGGAGTAAGTAGCTGAAACTATAAAGAAAAGCAAGAGAATTATAAACATAAATCTCAGGATAATTGTTATGTCTGAAGGAAAAGGGGATAGAAATGGGAATAGATGTCTAGGAGTCTTCAAAGTTAGTAGTTAATATTTTCTTTTGGCTGGGCGTGGTGGCTCACGCCTGTAATCTCAACACTTTGGGAGGCCGAGGCAGGTGGATCACCTGAGGTCAGGAGTTCGATACCAGCCTGGCCAACAAGGTGAAACCCCATCTCTACTGAAAATACAAAAATTAGCTGGGCATGGTGGTGCGCACCTGTAGTCCCAGCTACTCGGGAGGCTGAGGCAGGAGAATCGCTTGAACCCAAGAGGCGGAGGTTGCAGTGAGCTGAGATCCTGCCACTGCACTCCAGCCTGGGCAACAGAGTGAGACTCCATCTCAAAAAAATAAATATTTTCTTTCTTAAAAAAGGTAGTTGGTACACAGGTTTTTGCTGTATTGAGAATTAAAAAAATACATATACTTCATAAATATTATTTTGTATCTACTCTATATTTAATAGAAACTATCTTTGAAACATACGAATTTAATTAAAAGACAGGGTGAAGGTTAAATTCTTTTGGTAGGTCATAATAAAGTAGACTCAATTTCCTCCAATGGACTGGAGCCTCTAAGGCAAATACTCGAATAACATTGTAAAATATGATTTCTGTTGACTGAAAAACTGGGCTTGAAAAACCAACGGTTTCATTCTACCTGATTCTTCCTCCCTCACCAAGACTCTTTCATTTCTTTTTTAACCATATCTTTCTTTCCCATTATCTGATAAGGAAATTATAATGGGCTTAAAAACTTAGAAACCATCTTGCATATCGTAAAAGATAAGAAATTGGTCAGACTCTGGCTGTGGAATTAAGACCCATTTCCATGGTTGTCAGGGAAGCAAGGCCATCCTAGGAAGGGCTAAAGAAAGCTACAATCAGAGTTGCCTCCACACGATTCTGCAAAGCTCTAATTATTTTCTGAGAACAAGGGACAAAAATTCAGGCAAGCACACAGAATCCACAGGATTCACAAAGGAAGAAGATACTCCAGATTGTAAATTTTAATTTGGGGGAGAAGATGTCCTTCCCTAGCCAGATAGATTCTTCTAGTTTCCAATATAAAATCTGTAAATAATCTCTCTGAATTCAGTTATCTCTACTCCTTTTAGGAAAAGTCTTGAAGGTCACTGGCCACTGCAATGAAAAATTGTTAATCACACAAAGCCAGGGTCAAGATTCATGACATAGATGGCCATTGTGAATGAGGAACTATTCATATATATTTCAGGATTCTCAATCCAACAACAGTAGAATGGTTAAAAAGGATTATGATGATCAATAGACACTATGTAATCTTTAATATGTTCCAATTAAAATACATCATATTAACAAATTTTAATTTTGTAATATTCAAAATGTTTTCTGTCATTATTTCAAAATACTAATGATGTCTTTTTAAATATTATGAACATTTAAAAGGTATATGCATTTTATTGCAATATTTTGTTTTAAAACATGAAAAAAACAGATTACAAAATAGTATGTAGTAAGTGATGTTTTTGATATGACTGTACAAATATTTAATGGCATTTGAAAAGATATGTGTTTATCTTTTGATTGTGATACCACTGGTGGTTTTAAAAGTTTTCTTTTCCTAGGGCTGGCCAGGGTGGCTCATGCTTATAATCCCAGTACTTTGGGAGGCTGAGGGAGGTTGACTTGACCCTAGGAGTTCAAGGTTACCATGAGCCATGATTACACCACTGCACTCCAGCCTGGGTGACAGAGCGAGACCCCATCTCTTTAAAAAAGAAAAATGTCACTGACATAATACTGCGTAAAATTTTAAGATTCATTTTGTTAATTTAAAATTTATAATCCTAAGTTTATTGGATGCATAACATTCTGCTCCCTGTGTACTATAAATTACTTAACTATTTCTTTGTTGAGAATATACATTGAAAAGATCATCTCAAAAATTCTCCTCACAAAGTGGCTAATTCCAAGTCTGGGACAGGGAATGCACAATATAAGTACGAAATATCTGTGCCAGGTTGGGCGTGGTGGTTCACACCTGTAATCCCAACACTTTGGGAGGCCTAGGCGGGTGGATCACTTGAGATCAGGAGTTTGAGGCCAGCCTGGCCAACATGGTGAAACCCTGTCTCTACTAAAAATATAAAAAAATTAGCCGGGCATGGTGACAGGTGCCTCTAATCCCAGCTACTTGGGAGGCTGAGACAGGAGAACTGCCTGACCCGGGAGGTGGAGGTTGCAGTGAGCCGAGCCGAGATCATGCCACTGTACTGCAGTCTTGGCGACAGAGCGAGACTCTGCCTGAAAAAAGAAAAAAAAAAAAAAAGAAAAGAAAAGAAAGAAAGAAAAAGGAAAAAAAAGAAATACCTGTGTCAAAAAGTAAGGAAGTGCTCAAAGACAAATGGGGACACGGGCACCAGCGTCAGGGGTTCTTACAGGCCAATTTGGAACAATTTGAGCAACACAGAGGATGATAACAGGCTAAAGTACTTTGGACAAAAAATAAAAATCCATGAGCCATAGTGATATTCAAAAGAGAAAAAATAAAGAGGTATAGAGGGAAAGGGTGGAAAGGCAAAGCTCTTTTATATACAAGAAGGAATGGTAAAATTAAAAATCACCATTTTGCAACTCCTAACTTAATAACTGATTTAGACAAGAATCATTAATGATTATTAAAACCATCAGGTAAAAGGCTATTTGGGAAATGGTTTCAAAATATCCCCATCAGATTACTTCTTAGCCTCAAAGAAAAAAAGGTATTTTTTTACCATGAAGAAATCAGGTGCACATCTCCTTGAACCAAAGTAATAAAATTTAGTATCATTGGTAATGGATCAAACTGAAATTATGTGTCACTTAATATGATGCAATAGGAAGAACACACCAGCATTCATAGTTTTCTTGCCAAATATATTTAAACTTAACCTAATTATGACAGAGCAATCAAACAAATCCAGAATGTTAGGCATTCTACAAGACAAATATTCTGGACCCTTCAACTCTTAAAAAATGTCATGAAATACAAAAACAGGCTGGGGGAATGCTGTTCTAGATTAAAGAAATTAAAAAGATAGGCCCACCTACTGTAATGTGTGACCTTAATTGGGACCAGGATGGATATTTTAAATACACATATCAGACATTTGGGAAACACTAGGGCAATTTAAATGTGGACTATATATTAGATAATATTATGAATCATTGTTAAAATTTATATGTATATTCATGATATCGAGGTTATGCAGGAGAACAACCTTGTTCTTCGAGATGCGTGCTGAAATCCTCAATGGTGAAATATATAATATCTGCAGCTTACCCATAAATGGTGAACAAAAAATAAACAAAAATATGTAAATACATGCAGACAGAGATTAAGCAAATGGTCCAAAATGTTAAAAACTGGTGAATCTAAGTAAAGGATACACAGTGCAAATCATTATTCTTTTAATTTTCCTGTAGCTTTAACATTTTTCAAAATAAACACTTAGGGAAAAGTAATTATATCAGAGTGCCTCAGATACTTTTTTGGGATTGCTGATTAAATGCTAGACTCATACGTACTGGCATAAACCTAATCTGTTGGAAGAAGTTCAAAATCATTTGCCAACATCAACAAAGACTCTCAAAGAAAATAATCCAGTGCCAGGAAAGAGAACATACTTACCAATGCTGTCCAGGGTCAGACACTATAACGGAGCTGAATCCAGTAACTGGGCTGAAGAGATAACTAATCCTTAAAGGTCAGCAAGGTCAAAATGGGTTATAAGGACATAAATATGAAACTGGCATTTCATAAACAAACAAGACACCTCAGGCCTATGAAAACTTGTTGCCTTACTATTCCCTTCTCTCTGCAGTCTTCCTAAGGTGTAAGTTTTTCTGGATTTTGTCTGCTTCCACAGTTTAGGTTCCTTGGCTCACTTCCTTGCTCCAAAACCAACGTCTCTATTGACTTTTATATTTTAAAATTAAATTTTAAATATATGAGTGATGCTACCTTGCTAAAAGAGAGAGAGAGGCCGGGCGCGGTAGCTCACGTCTGTCATCCCAGCACTTTGGGAGGCCAAGGTGGGCAAATCACGAGGTCAGGAGTTCGAGACCAGCCTGGCTAAAATGGTGAAACCCTGTCTCCACTAAAAATACAAAAAATTAGCTGGGCGTAGTGGCAGGCGCCTGTAATCCCAGCTACTCGGGAGGCTGAGGCAGGAGAATCACTTGAACCCGGGAAGCGGAGGTTGCAGTGAGCTGAGAGCGCACCACTGCACTCCAGCCCGGGCGACAGAGTGAGACTCTGTCTCAAAACAAAAACAAAAACAAAAACAAACAAACAAACAAAAACAGAGAGAGAGGGAGAGAAATGACCTATAATGCTTAAGTTCCCTTTGACATTTACTTCTCCCCCTTTACCCTAAATCCTCTCTTCTCTCCCTAAAGGTTACCATTAGCAGGAGTTTTGTGTGTATCCCTCTATAAAATATATACTATTTTTATACTAATTATATCACATAGTATTCTAACAAATCCTTCTCAGTTCCTGCAGTCTACGTTTCTGATGGTCTTAACCTTTTTTAGCTTAAAGTACCTCTTTGTGAATCTGAAAAGCTGCCTATACTTTTTTTAAAAAAATCACATATCAACACATATAAAATGTCATAAGTTTAATATACAAGAAGCCCATCCACATGGAATCTATTCATCTCAGGTGAACAACTGTTTTTTACTTTTAAGTGATAGCTTCCTTTTTCTTGCAAGCACTCATCGTAACTATTCAAAAGCCAAAAGTAGTGACCCAGAATCACACAGATGCGGCTCAAGATCAATGCATGCTGTTCAATTTGAAACCAGAATGTGTCTGTCACCTCCTAAAAAAAAAAACAAAACCCAGTATATATCTCCCATATATAATTGGACATAATTCTTTTTTATTTTTATTTTTATTTATTTATTATACTTTAAGTTCTAGGGTACATGTGCACAACGTGCAGGTTTGTTACATATGTATACATGTGCCATGTTGGTGTGCTGCACCTGTTAACTCATCATTTACATTAGATATATCTCCTAATGCTACCCCTCCCCCTACCCCCACTCCCTGACAGGCCCCAGTGTGTGATGTTCCTTACCCTGTGTCCAAGTGTTCTCATTGTTCAATTCCCACCTATGAGTGAGAACATGTGGTGTTTGGTTTTCTGTCCTTGCGATAGTTTGCTAAGAATGATGGTTTCCAGCTTTATCCATGTCCCTATAAAGGACATGAACTCATCCTTTTTTATGGCTGCATAGTATTCCATGATGTATATGTGCCACATTTTCTTAATCCAGTCTATCATTGATGGACATTTGGGTTGGTTCCAAGTCTTTGCTATCGTGAATAGTGCCGCAATAAACATACGTGTGCATGTGAATTGGACATAATTCTTGCCTGACTTTGACCCACTCTAACTCAGTGCAATTTAATTATCTATATTTCACATAGCTATGCCTGATCACACACACAGGTTCATTCCCTCAAGAATTCTGATCACCAAATTTGCTATTCCAGTCACATTACCGGTAAGAGATCAATGTATTTGATATATGGTCTTGCAAGACCAAGTTTTATTAATTTTTTTCCCTCTGAAGGAGTGGTGAAATTATACTCTATCTTCTCTGTGCTGGAAGTTCACAAGTTTTTGATTATTCAAAAATCATAAAAGGCCAAGAGGTCTTGAAGTAAGTAAAAATAAGTTCAGGTTTACCAACAAACTCTACAGCCTTAAGTTACTTTCTGCCGGCCAAGGTTTTCTCATCAGAAAATGAGGACAAGTGTTTGACCTAGAATTTGGGAAATCTGACTAGTGCTGTACTGTGCTAAAATTCACTCTTCTTATGTATAACGTTGTTTTATTATTTTATTAGTTGATGGCCTCTCAACCGTACCCAGTAATAAGAGAAACTTTACCCTCTAATTAGAAAATAATGGATATCTACTTTTGGCCTGCTGTGGCAGAGGAAAAGGCAGTTACCCTAGGACTGGTTTTGAAATAATCTTTCTAAAAACAAAGAAAAAACTACGTTAATTTTGGATTCTTCCCGATAACACATATATTTGATCCAATAGAAAAATGATGTCTAAATTACTTGTCAGATAAATTGATTATCTTTTCCAGATTATTACATTACTATTTAAGGAAGAAATAACTTGGCCATAGTATTTTCACTGTCACACACGATCACACACAGCTCATTTGCTCTTGGCACCCTTACAGACACTGAAATACAAGCACAAAGAAAGCACGTTTATATAACACAGATCACCAGTTACTCAATTACGGCCACACACAAAAAAGCAGATATACATACAGATACCCTTCATAAGCAAACCACAATAGAGATCTGTGTAAAATCGTCTTACTCTGTTAGACGATTCTACACAGTTATAAAATCCCATTACTACGCAGCTTAAAGTACAAATCACCTCACACCCCACAGCAGGAAGAATCACACACAGGCAGAAACACAACCATACACACCCGGCCACGGAAAGACTCTCAGTCCACCTGGCATCTCCCATTGTCACACACACCCCAAGGGCCTGGGAGGGCACACACAGGGTCCTCTGCAAATCCGAGGTTCCGGCGGGTCCCCGCACCGGCCCCAGCTCCTCCCCCGCACCTGCCTGGCCGGCGGGTCCCACCCTCTCTCCTGCCAGGGGTAGACCCTGGGACCACTCAGCTCGCTCTCGCAGGCCCTGAGCGTCTGACGCCTGCGCACTGAGCGCGGGCGGGCGGGCACTCCCAGAAACCTCCGGGGCGCTGCAGGCGGGACAAGCAGGTTCCACAGGCCGAGCCCACGAGCCCCTCGAGGGGTGAGCGGCCCGGGCCTCCTGGCGTTCTGGCCGGCTAGCCAAGCGCTGGACTACATTTCCCAGAGGCACGGCGTCCGGAGCGCTGGACTACATTTCCCAGAGGCACCGCTCCCGGAGCGTAGCTTCATTTCCGTTAGTTTGCGAGATTTGGAGGCCTCGCGTGGGGAGAGGGCCGCGTCTGTGGAGGAGCTTGGCTCCGCACCTGCTGGGCTGGCGAACCCGAAATTGGGCTTGGAACCCGGGAGCCAGATCTTGGACCCTGAACTGCACCTCTGTCAAGGTAGGAGTGTCCGGGATGCCGGAGCGGACACGCGCGGAGAAAGCGTCGCTGGGGTTACTCGTGTGGCCGTGTCTCCGGTTTTGTGTGCAGGCTACAGCCTGCCTGGTATTGGCGACTGCCTGTGCATACACGACTGGACGTGTGTGGCTGTGGTTTTGTGTATGAGCATTTGTATGAGTGTGAGTTGTGACTCTGAGGGTGTTTGTGACTGTTTGCTTACCTGGCTGGGATATACTTATGTGACTGTGATTTTATGTGTGCCGCGTGTATAATTGGGGTTTGCCTGTGACTATGAAGTGTGTGACAGTTGTGACAAGAGTGTTTGGATGTTCTTGTGTCACTTTGAGGTTGTGTGTAAACCTGATATCGTGGGATGGATTTGCCAGTAAATTTAAGGTGTGTGACAGTGTTGCTGTGACACGGTGTTTATTACCGCGTGTTTCCCTGATTTCGTACTGGGTTGGGTGACTGTCTGATTGTGTGTGACTGTGGGGTTGTGTGTGCTGTTTTCATGACTGTGTAAAGAGACTAAAATTGCAGCTTTGAAAGGGTGTTTTTGGCGGTATGTGTCTCTGACAAGGTGCTTGGATGTAATTATATGCCTTGTACTTAATGGGATTTTGTTTGAGACAAGGTGGTCTAACAATGTAGCATAATTGGGTGATTGTGCCTCTAGCTGTGTAACTGTGGAAATGTGATTATGTGTGACTTTATGTGGCCATTTGTATATTCTGTGACCTTATGGGGGTTTAGTCCAGTACAGAAGTAAATTTCTTTTTGGTATTTCTGGGGTTCATTTGGGGCTGAGGTCTGCCTATGGATTGTGAGTCCCATGTGGCTCTGTGCTCCTCCCATGTGGCTCTGAGGACTTAAGGACTTTTTGATTTGACCACAGTGGCTGCCCTTTCATCCATGGCCTGTATTGCTTCATTTCTGTATCCATCCTCGGTTCACCTTGGGAAATGTAGTTACTTACGAGTTCACGACTTCTTCCCTGCGTCCTCTTGCCTTATAGCCTTAAGGGGATTGGGTGCAGGGAAGTGGCAAGAAGTAAGGAAGTCAGACATTTGGACACCTGAGTGATGAATAGGAGTTATTTGCAAGTTACAGACCTGGTCTTAGGATGAGAATTTTAGGGCTGATAATACCTTCAAGACAGCCACTGGATGCTGTGCGCGGTGGCTCACATCTGTAATCCCAGCGCTTTGGGAGGCAGAGGCGGGTGGATTACCTGAGGTCATGGTTTCACCATGACCTCTACTAAAAATACAAAATTAGCTGGGCGTGGTGGCGCATGCCTGTAATCCCAGCTACTTAGGAGGCTGAGGCAGGAGAATTGCTTGAACCCGGGAGGCGGAGGTTGCAGTGAGCCAAGATCAAGCCACTGCACTCCAGCCTGGGCAACAAGAGTGAAACTCATTCTCTAAATAAATAAATAAATAGGCCACTGGAAATATAATGGGACTCCAGGAGTGGGAATAGTTTCAGAGGGAGTGCTTTAGGAGACAGCCACCCAGTTCTGAACCTGAAGCACCCCACTGCAGGACTGTCTCCAGTGTACAGCTTTGAATACAGAAATAAATTCAAGCCCAAGACAGCTGTGACCTGGCCCTTCTTTCTGATACAGAAGGTAGAAGACTTATTCTAGTCTCCTCCTGACTTTTCTTTATGTTAAATGAGATTAAGAGGATGGAGGAAGAGGGTATGTTATAATTTAGCATATTCCCCAAGAAAGGCCTAATATCTCATTCCATTTTTCTTTTTCTGAGAGTAGAGCCCAGAGGAGAAAGAATGGCTGTTTCAGTAGCAATGTCCAAGGTGAGTATTTCCTCTTTGTTTCCTGAAATACCTTTGTTATTACAGGACATAGACATTTTTGTTTTCTTTTTGAAATTTCTTGCCTTCTCAAATGATAGAGGGGCAAGGCAATTTTTGGTAGATTGAGAGCAAAGAAAATGTGCCATTAATCGGGATAGATGCTTCCCCAATAGTGGTTAAATTTACGAAGAATGGATTTGAGACTCATGGATTTAAAAAGGGGAAGAGAGAAATAGCTCTATTGTGTTATTTAAAAAGGGAAAGAGCTCTATTGTGTTATTTCTGATACAGCACCATTTTGATTTTTTAACTTTTTTTAGCTTGTTATGGAAAGTTTCAAATGTACACAAAAGTATAATGAATATGCCTAGCTTAAAAACGATCACGGCCAGGTGTGGTGGCTCATGCCTATAATCCCAGCACTTTGGGAGGCCGAGGCGGATGGAACGAGGTTAGGAGATCGAAACCATCCTGGAAAAAGGTGAAACCCCGTCTGTACTAAAAATTAAAAAAAAAAAATTAGTTGGGCGTGGTGGTGGATGCACATAGTCCCAGCTACTCGGGAGACTGAGGCAGGAGAATGGCGTGAACCTGGGAGGCAGAGCTTGCAGTGAGCCGAGATTGCGCCACTGCACTCCAGCCTGGGCAACAGAGCGAGACTCTGTCTCAAAAAAAAAAAAAAAAAAGCGATTACTTTCCAATCTTGTTTCATTTATTCTACCTTCAGTTCAAAATCCTTTCTAATTTGCCCCTTTGATTTCTTGACTTATAGGTTATTTTGATGTGTCATGTTTTCAAATATTTTGAGGATCTTCCAGAGATCTTTTGTTACTGATTTCTAATTTCATTACATTGTGTTCACAGAATATACTTCATATGATTTTAATCCTTTTAAATTTATTAAGATTTGTTTTATGACCCAGAATTTGATGCATCTTAGTAAATGTTCCATGTGCACTTGAAAAGACTATATTCTGTGGTTGTTGGGTGGAGTGTTCTATAAATGTCAACTAGGTCAGGTAGGTTGATAGTATTTTTTAAATCTTCCATATCTTTACTGAGTTTTTATTTGTTGGATTTTTCTCCTTGTAGTTTCTTTCAGTTTCTGCTTCATGTATTTTTTTTTTTTTTGAGGCAGAGTCTTGCTTTGTCACCCAGGCTGGAGTGCAGTGGCCCAATCTTGGCTCACTGCAACCTCCACCTCCCAGGTTCAAGCAACCTCCACCTCCCAGGTTCAAGTGATTCTCCTACCTTAGCCTCCCGAGTAGCTGGGAATACAGGCGGGCACGACCATGCCCAGCTAATTTTTGTATTTTTTTTTTTTTTTTTTTTTTTTTAGCAGAGATGGGGTTTCACCATATTGGCCAGGCTGGTCTCAAACTTCTGACCTCAGGTGATCTGCCCACCTCGGCCTCCCAAAGTGCAGGGATTACAGGTGTGAGCCACTGTGCCTGGCCTGCTTCATGTATTTTGATGCTCTGTTATTAGGTATAGAAAGGTTTTAGATTTTTACATCCTACTGGTGAATTGACCCCTTTATCATTAGGAAATGGTCTTCCTTGTCCCTCATAATATTCTTTGCTCCAAACATCTACTTTGCTTGATATTTAATGTAGCCATTCCAGCTTTCTTTTCATTAATATTAGCATTGTGTGTCTTTTTCTATCCTTTTTCTTTTAACCTGTTTGTGTTTGGTATTTCAAGTGCATTTCTTACAGGCAGCATGTAATTGGGTTTGTGTTTTTATTCAATTTGGCAATCTCCATTTTTTGTTGTTGTTGTTACTGTTGTTGAGACAGAGTCTCACTCTGTCACCCAGGCTGGAGTGCAGTGGTGTGATCTCAGCTCACTGCAACCTCTGCCTCCTGTGTTCAAGTGATTCTCCTGCCTCAGCCTCCCAAGTAGCTGGGATTACAGGCACACACCACCACACCCACCTAATGTTTTTGTACTTTTAGTAGAGACGGGGTTTTGCCATGTTGGCCAGGCTGGTCTCAAACTCCTGAACTCAGGTGATCTGCCTGCCTCGGCCTCCCAAATTTCTGGGATTACAGGTGTGAACAACCACACCCAACCAGCAATCTCTATCTTTTAATTGGAGTATTTAGTCCATTTATATTTAGTGTGATTATTGATATGGTTTGGTTCAAATCCATCATTTTGCCATTTGTTTTATATTTATCCCATCTGTTCTTTATTTCCTGTTCTCCCTTTTCTGCCTTCTTTTGGATTGAGACAGAGTTTCAAAATAACAATACCAATATTTTAACCAACCATATGAATATAGAAAAACAACATAAAGTCCTGTTGGAGTTTGACAGGATATAGCCCACTAGGGATCTATAATCAAATTACTGTGTTTAAAAGTCGTCTACAATAACACTTCTCGTATGGTTAAGCTGCCAGCTGGAAATGCAGTTATGCTCATTTGTTTTATATTGCTTTTCATGTTTAGGGATTGCTTTTCTCCCACTATGATTTAATTTTGTTTTAAAATTACATAACATATATCTAAAATCAAAAGTACAGAATAAGATGAATTTGAAGAAGTCTAGTGTCCATTTCTGTCCCCTCTACCTGCTCCTTTCTTCCCTCTATAGTAGCTGGGGCTACAGGCACGCGCCACCATGCCCAGCTAATTTTTTGTATTTTAGTAGAGACAGGGTTTCACCATGTTGGCCAGGATGGTCTCGATCTCCTGACCTTGTGATCCGCCCACCTCTGCCTCCCAAAGTGCTGGGATTACAGGCGTGAGCCACCATGCCTGGCCCCGTTTTTGCTTTTTTTTTTTTTTTATTTTAGTAATCCATCATACATAGTGATGTGCACTTCTCTGAAGTAGGGCATAGTATCTGGTTGTTTTCCTTTATGTGATGTTAACAGCCAGCTACTGACATCTTTATGTGAATATGTTATTTTATCAGTGGTTACAGAATTATATTCTAATTCTTCTGCATTTATTAGCTGGACTATATCTATAAAGGGAGCCATCCTTTCTCAATGTCTTGGTTACCTGAAGAATAGTTTATGCAAAAAGAAAAACTGGAATGAAAGATTGGTTTTTCTCTTATTATTTTTCAGCATCTTTCAAAGCTTATTCTGTGTTTTTCTTTTAAACTATTATTATTAACTTGTGTATTAAAACATATCTGTTATGTTTCGATCTGTGACAATAACTGTTCTTATTAATGCTCACATTGTTCCATGTATGGCAAGTGGAAGGTTTACCCTCTCTGATTTGTCTGCTTTTGGATTCCTTTTTATTCTTTTTGACATGACCCCAGTAGTCTTTGGCAGATTCCAGACTTTCCGTGCTGACAGAGTATTCCAGGCTCATTTTGTACAATTTCCTGTCCCAAACATAAAATCAGCCACTTCTTTATGGAGCCCTGGTTCCTTTTATAAGAAGTGCTTTTAAGAAGTCACAACAAGGATAGTAGGAACTCTCATTGCTCCTAGTTGTCATTGCTTATAGCCTTAACAGAGCTGGTGAAATACAAATTTTTTAGAAGGAGAAAAAAAATCCTGAGTGTATACTGATATTTCCAATTGAAATAAAAGATTATAGAGTTTTTCTTACTATCTTTGATTTTATATTTGTGTTTTATAATCTGAAAAAATCTTAATTCGTAATGATTAATGATATTAAGATTCTCACTGATATATGTGTGTGTATAATCATTTCAGGTTATATACATATATTACTTTTAGACTAACAATGCCAATATTATTAATAACAGTATAACTACTGAAAAACTCTAAGACATAACTTCATAAAGTTATAAACTCTTAAGACAACTTTGAAAAACAGTTTATAGTTATTTTGTTTGTAGGTTATATTGGGTCTAATGTCAAATGACTGTATTTTAAAGTTCCCGAAAATAATCACTTCCTTTATATGTTTAACCTTCCAGCTTTATGCACAGATAAGTTTGTTTCATTTTGCTTTTATTTCTTAGAGATTTTTTTTCATTTTGATTTAATTTTGTGATTATAGTTATAGAAAACATACTTGTGGTTCCAAAGTCAAATAGATTTGATTGGTAATACTTTATAACTTTGTTGTATGTCTGTCTTCCTAGAAGCTATTGAGCTGTAACTTTTTTCATGTAATATCTTTGTGAGGTTTTAGTATTATGGTTATTTGGCCTCAAAATGTAGAACAGACTGCTGTCTCCTTTTTCTGTTTTCTGAAAACGTTTGTGAAAGAACAGTATTATATCTGCCTTAAATATTGGTAGAATTTACCAGTAAAGCCATCTGGGCCTTCTCTGTGGACAGTTTATTTGTTTGTTTCTCACATTCAATTTCTTTAATATCCATGGGATGATTTGTATTTCTGTTTTTTCTTGTGTGAATTTTGGCAATTTTTGTTTTAAGGAATTTGTCTATATTGTTGAAATTGCCAAAATTATTGGCATAGAATTGTATTATCTTTTTAATTAAAGCCTTAAAAAATCTGTGGTCCAGTCTCCACTTTGGTAATATTTTTTTTTGAAAACTTGATAGGGGTTTGTAAACTGTATTAATCTTTTGAAAGAATTGATTTTTGAGTTTGTTGATATTCTCTATTGTAATCTACTTTATATTGTGGATTTTGTGCTTATTTTTATTCTTTCTTTTCTTCTTACTTTCAGCTTCACTTGCTCTTCTTTTTCCAGCTTCCTAAGGTGGGAGCCTAAATCATTTTTCTAACATAAGCATTTAACACTATTAATTTTCCTCTAAATACTGCTTTTGTTGCAGCTCACAGAATCTGATAAGTGTGTTTCCATTGTCACTCAGTTCGGCATATTTTTCAATGTCTTTTTGCATGGGTTATTTAGAAGTATGTTTAATTTCCAAATATTTGGAGATTCTTGTTACTAGTTTGTAATTTAATAATATGTGGACACTGACCACAGTATATTCTCTGTATAATTCAGTTTTTAAAATATTTACTGTTACTTGTTTTATGACCCAGCATCTGGTTTATTTTGATGACCTTTCCATACGCAGTTGTTAATGAAGAGTCTGACTCTTGCTAAAATCCTATGTGTGGGTTCTCAGGCTCCACCAGGTCATTCCTGGCAGGCCACACAGGGGAAAGGTGGCCTCCCCGCAGCAGACTTGGTGCACTTCTAGTGCATTACAGTCTCTAAAGGGAGTTGCAGTGCAGGACTCAGGCCTCCCAGACCAGCCATGCTGTTATGCGTGTTTACATTCCTAACCCAGGCACCTCCATTAGGAGGCCTCTTTATCAGGTGCCTCTGCCAAGAGGACATCCTAATCTAGGGGAGAGGGGAAACTTTGAAGACACTTTCTTTCCCCACTCTTAGTATCCGGTAGTTTTAATTTTTTTCTTTATTTCTTTTTTCTTTCTTCTCTTTTCTTTTTTTTTAACATATTTTTGGAGACAGGATATTGCTCTGTCGCCCAGACTGGAGTGTAGTGGCATGATCATAGCTCATTGCAGCCTTGAACTCCTGGACAGTTCAAGCAATCCTCCTGCCTCAGCCTCCCAAGTAGCTAGGACTACAGGTTTGCATCACAATGCCTGGCTGATGTTTTATTATTATTATTATTATTATTATTATTATTATTATTATTATTTTGTAGAGACAGATTCTTGCTATGTTGCCCAGGCTGGTCTCAAACTTCTGGCCTCAAGTAATCTTCCTGCCTCGGCCTCCCCAAGTGCTGGGGTTGCTTACAGGCATGAGCCACCGTGCCCAGCCAGGCCTCACTACTTTTTCACTCTTAGCCCTTCCCTTGTCTTCTTGTCCCCTGGTCCCAGTCCATAAAATGAATGATAGGAGCTTTTTGTTCTGCATTCCCTTAGCAGTGAGATGACTCACTTCTGCACTGATCCACATTTGCACTGATCTGCCTGACCCTCTCTGACCCTCTCCAGGTGCTATTTCATGGTTGGGGTTGGGGGAGTGAAACAGTGGAGTACTCAGCGCTTTCTCTGGGTTAGCCTCTTAAATTAAGTGACTACTAAGTGATTAAAGGCTGGTTGTGTTAATCACTTATTCCAACACCTTGCAGCTCAGTTCTCTTCAGCCCAGCTTGGCTTTTGGTAAGTGGGTGTGGTATTCTATTAATATATATTTATCATCTTGGCCAAGGTACTTGATATAGTGGTATGTAAATCCTCTATATTGTTATCGATTTTATTGTCTACTTGTTCTGTCAGTTACTGAGCAAAAGATTTTACAATTCCCAACTCTGTGGGTTTGTCTCTTTCTTCCTTTAGTACTGTCAATTTTTGCTTCACACATTTTGAAGCTTTGTTGTTAAATCTCTACATTTGGATTGCTGTCTTCTTGATGAGTTGATCCTCCTTATTGCTAGTATTTCTCTTTATCTTGAAGTCTATTTTGTCTTATACTAATATAGGCATACAAGCTTTCTTGTGATTAGAGTTTGATGGTGTATCTTCCCATTTTACTTTTAGCCCATCTTTATATTTAAAATGTGCTTCTTGTAAAGAGCATGTAGTTGGAACATGCATTTTTATCTTGTCTTGTTACCATTTTTTTATTGGAATGGTTGAACTATTATTAATACAATTTAGTTTAAGCTCTGCCATAGATGGGAGCATCCATATGTGGCTCTTAAGAAGAGCTTAGGGCCACATGTGGTGGCTTATACCTATAATCCCATCACTTTGGGAGGCTGAGGCAGGAGGATTGCTTGAGGCCAGGAGTTCAAGACCAGCCTGGGCAATGTAGCAAAACCTCATCCCAACAAAAAAAGTAAAAATTAGGTGAGTATGATGGCACATGCCTGCAGTCCTAGCTACTTCGAAGGCTGAGGAGGGAGGATTACTTGAGCCTAGGAGTTCAAGGTTACAGTAAGCTATGATCATACCACTGCACTCCAGCTTGGTTGAGAGTGAGACCCTGTCTCAAAAAAAAAAATAAATAAATAAATAAATAAATAAATAAATAAATAAATAAATAAAAATTAAGAGCTTGGCACTTTTTTGGAGTTTAGGTCTTTTAAATTTGTGCCCTCAGCTCTCTGATGAATTTAAAAGAAATTATGACTTTTCATCTTATCTGAATTATTTTTAGGTTGTTAGGATGGGCCCAAGTATCTCTTGCAGAAATCTATATGTTGAAGAAGTCAAATTTTCAGTTAAAAATGTATTGAGCACCTGTATCAATGATTCTCTGCAGGGGCAGTTATTCTCCCTAGAGGGTGTTTTGGAAATATATCTAGGTACTGTTGAATGTTAAAGTAAGTGGGTTGAGGGTAAAGACTTCTAGCTTTTTTGTTTGTTTGTTTGAGACAGAGTCTCACTCTGTCGCCCAGGCTGGAGTGCAGTGGCGCGATCTCGGCTCGCTGCAAGCTCCGCCTCCCGGGTTCACACCATTCTCCTGCCTCAGCCTCCTGAGTAGCTGGGACTACAGGCGCTCGCCACCACACCCGGCTAATTTTTTTTATTTTTAGTAGAGACGGGGTTTCACCATGTTAGCCAGGATGGTCTAGATCTCCTGACCTCGTGATCCGCCCGCTTCGGCCTCCCAAAGTGCTGGGATTACAGGCGTGAGCCACTGCACCCGGCCGATTTCTAGCTTTTGAAGGAGTGAGGTCTCGGATCTAGGTTAGAGATTACCCAACTTTTTCTGTAAAGGGCTAGACATTTCATATGGCTTTGCGGGCCACATGGTCTCTGCTGCAACTCTTCAGCTCTGCTGCTGTAGTGTGAAAGTAGCCAAAGGCACTATATAACTGAATGAGTATGGACGTATTCCAATAAAACCTTATTTACAAAATTAGTTGGTAGACAGTAGTTTGCCAAGTTATGATTTAGTTGTCCATCAGTGCATAACAAAAAATTGTCTGTGATTTGCAAAATTGAGAACCATACCTGGAAAAAATGTGTTTATGATTTTCCAGGTCTGGAATCTCTTACATAATGCATTTTGTGCATGACTTTTTCAATTTGCTGAATTTATCTACTTTCCTATTATTGGATGGTTTTACTATTAGCTGTATCTTCCAGGAATGCAACCATGATTTGATTGAGAAAAAGGCTCTACTTCGCTTAAGAAATTTACTGAGTTTTTTTTAACCATTTCAAAAAGTTATAGTATTGATGGCAATGCTAATTGTGTTATTTGTCTTGCCTATAGCAAATATGTATAGAAACCTCCATTTATAGATAATGCATTTCTATTTATTCTATACGTACACATGAACACACATATATTTAGCCTTTATTTCAAAATGTCAAATATAAAAGGTGTCAACAATACTTAGTTACATATTGTCATTTTATAAGTCTAAATTTCTTCATTATAAGTAATTGTAGGCATAAGCATTTAATTATTTGTGCCTTCTAATGTAGTTGTGTATGATCATAAATATATTGAAATATTAAGTTGTTCATTATCTCCATTTTTGACATCTATAGATGTGTCGTTATTACCTATGAGTTTCATTTCAGAAGTAGTAGAGACATTGTTATATTTTCTTTTTGTATATAGAAAGCATTGAGTTTGATCAAGTTAAGAACCACAACATATGTCTGTCCCCCTTAGTGTGTGTTTTGGGGGTGGGAGAAACAGGAAGAAAAGAACAACAAAGATAATTCCAACTGAATCATTTGTTACTTTGCAAAACACCTGGTCTCATGGTTCTGCTTTCTCCTCCGTAGCTCTGCATTCTCCAGACTCTGTGCTTTCCTAAGATAGGAACCCAGAAGAGGACTGATCATTTCTTGCAGCTCTAAAAACCATGGCTCGGGTAAATTGGAGTTTCCTTGTGCTCTTTTCACTTACTTTTTTACAGAGCATGTGTGTGTTTGTATTCCTTACTCCTGAAACTTCATTCCTAACTGACCTCACTCAGGAATGTGCTCCTCAGTTTGTCCCATTCTGATAAGTGATAGTGTCTTCCCTAAGTGTGTCTTTCGAATCTAACCTTTAGTCACATACTTACTCAACAATATGTATATTGTTCAGTAATCTTTGACTAGGAACACTGATCTAACAAAAGTAGAGTTCCCTGATTTCATAAGGTAGAGGAGGATGTTAAATGGCACCACACATGAAAACCTTTTGAACTTCTCTTTAGATCTAAGTTCCCAGGTAGACAAGACAGGAGTTGGTCTTGACTGGGCTCACTCTCAGTATGTGGCAAGCGCTCATGCTTTATGAGTTTTTAAGATTAGGAAGATGATTAGGGACTGAATACAGAGAGATCAGGGATCTTCCCCAGGAACATATAATTTAATATGGATCAATTTGAAATTCGACATTATGTGCTGGTCTTGAATGTATAAATTTGGATTATGTTTTTCACCTTTCTATTGTTTAGAATGATGAAAAGTTACATTTACGGATGAATGGTAAATATGATCATAGTGAAGATGATCATTCACCAGCAGAAGTTGTTGAGAATTATAAACTCTGAGAACCAAGAAATACTTACAAGATTTTTACAACCTAAAATGTTCAAATATGAGCACTTATTAAGTCAGACATATTCATTATATGGAGCTATTCTGTAGCCTATAAAATATTTACTAAATTATTGATGACAAGGAAAATGTTTATGATATAGTACTCTGATCTAATGGTGAATCTGGAGCTTCAATAAATTCTTTAATTTTATACAAATCTTATTTTATAAGGTTTTACAGAAAAATTTTACCATTTTGTTTATTCCTTAAATAATGAAGAGAGAAACTTACATTTATTGAGAATGTATGATACACAATATACATATTGTATAAAATGCTTGTGTATGCTACTTCTTTTAATTGGGACATTGCATTTATTTTATTCCCAGACTTATCTGTAAAGTAAGATGTTCTGTATGCAGAAAATATGTGTAGCAGGCCAGGTGCAGTGGCTCACACCTATAATCCCAGCACTTTGGGAGGCCTAAGCCTTAAGGCCAGGAATTCAAGACTAGCCTGGGCAACATAACAAGACCCCTGTCTCTACAAAAAAATTGGAAAATTATCAGGGCACAGTGGCATGTACTGTGAGTGGCACGTACTGTGGTCTCAACTACTCAGGAGAATGAGACAGGATCACTTAAGCCTAGGAGTTGGAGGCTGCAGTGAGCTATGATGGTGCCACTGCACTCCAGCCTGGATGACAGAGCAAGACCCTGTCTCCAAAACAACAACAACAAAACTATAGCAATAGGAATAATCAGGAACATATTTGTACTTTTCAGCCCATGTGCTCTGTTGCTTCCTTTGTGGAGGGATCTTCATCTCCCTCTCCATTGAAAAAGTATTTTTTTGGCCGGGCACAGTGGCTCACACCTGTAATCCCAGCACTTTGGGAGGCCTAGTCGGGTGAATCACAAGGTCAGGAGTTCGAGACTAGCCTGGCCAAGATGATGAAACCTTATCTCTACTAAAAATACAAAAATTAACTGGGCGCAGTGGCAGGTGCCTGTAATCCCAGCTACTCAGGAGGCTGAGGCAGGAGAATTGCTTGAACCTAGGAGGCGGAGGTTGCAGCGTGCCGAGATCGCGCCACTGCACTCCAGCCTGAGCGACAGAGCAAGACTCCATCTCAAAAAAAAAAAAAGAAAGAAAAAAAGAAAAGCATTTTTTAAATTTCCAAAATTAACATTTTGTTTGTTGTTTCAGAAATTAGTGATGTTCAGGGATGTTGCCATTGACTTCTCTCAGGAAGAGTGGGAATGCCTGGACTCTGCTCAGAGAGATTTGTATAGAGATGTGATGTTGGAGAACTATAGCAACTTGGTATCACTAGGTAAGGAATCTAGCCTTCATATTTCAGGATCTACCTTTGGATTGGCTGCTTTCTCTGCTGTTATTTCAAATTTCCTTTTTAAGTAATTAACTGAATTTCTTATTCTTTTCAAAGGAGGAGTTTGAAATTACTGGAAGTAGACATGGTTTCTCAGGGCACCTTTATCTTTTCCATCCTTCAAAAAGCCTTACCACTGCCTTCTAATACCATCTTCCCTGATGAACAAAGGGCTAGATTTGAAGTTTGGGATACTTGGAATATTGGCAGATAAAACAGCCTATACATTGTTACACTTTAGATCTGCTAAAGGAGCTCTAAATAATTCACACGCCCAGTCACAGATTTAAAAAATAGATGCAGAGATGTATGTTTTTTCTGATAAAAGAGTTTACATCATTTGTATAGTGATAGAGTAGATCAATGCATTTCACCAACAACTCAAATGAAGACAACCCATTAATTAGAACAAACACATTGTCTTATATGTGCTTGGTAGTTGAATATTACATATTAAGAACTTTGGGCTGGGCTCGGTGGCTCACGCCTATAATCCCGGCACGTTGGGAGGCCAAGGTGGGTAGATCACCTGAGGTCAGGAGTTCAAGACTAGCCTGGCCAACATGGCGAAACCCCATCTCCACTAAAAATACAAAAATTGAGCTGGGCATGGTGGTGTGTGCCTGTAATCCCAGTTACTCAGGAGATTGAGGGAGGAGAATTGCTTGAACCCATGAGGTGGAGGTTGCAGTGAGCTGAGATCACATCACTGTACTCCTCCAGCCTGGATGACAGAGCGAGACTCCATCTCAAAAAACAAAAAAAAAAGAACTTGCATTGGACATTGAATGAATATGCTAGAATCATCTTTTATTGTAAAATAGTTGAGGGGGAACCTGTGATTGTCTAAGAAACTTTATTGTTTTCTTCTGTAGTATTTTTATATGAAACAAAATCCGTATCAATTACAACTTTAATAAGTGATTTTCCAACCTACATGATAACTTTATTCCTTGTGCTGGAATAAACTGTCTCTTGCCTCTTCCTTCCTTTCTCCTCTGAAGCCTTTAGGAAGTCAGTGATTAACACATGTCCCTAGAGGACCCAAGTGGTGTGGAAAAAAACCTATGACTTGAGGAGAAAAGCAAGGGTTTTTCACCATGATCTTCCTAAAGACTCTTACCTAATTTCTACTGCGTCCTTTCCCTGTTGGTTTTTATTATCATTCTTCCCACTTTCAAAAGAGGGAATGGTTGGCCGGGCGCGGTCTTGTATGTGCTTGGTAGTTGAATATTACATATTAAGAACTTTGGGCTCGGCTCGGTGGCTCACACCTGTAATCCCAACACTTTGGGAGGCCGAGGAGGGCGGATCACCTGAGGTCGGGAGTTCGAGACCAGCCTGACCAACATGGAGAAACCCCGTCTCTACTAAAAATACAAAAAATTAGCCGAGCATGGTGGCGCATGCCAGTAATCCCAGCTACTCTGGAGGTTGAGGCAGGAGAATCGCTTGAACCTAGGAGGCAGAGGTTGCAGTGAGCCGAGATTGTGCCACTGCACTCCAGCCTGGGCGACAGAGGGAGACTCTGTCTCAAAAAAAAAAAAAAAGTGCAAATTAAAACCACAATGATATAGTTATTTCACATGCTATAAATTGGCAGCTTGACAGTACCAGGCATTCTCAAGATTTGAAGGCAGAAGTGCACTATATCTTGATATTCACAATAGCCAAAAAGTGGGAACAACCCAAATGTCCATCAACTAATGAATGGATAAAATTTGGTATTTTCTTAAAACGAAATATTATTCAGCAATAAAAAGGAATGAAGTTCTGATACATGCTTTAACATGGATGAACCTTGGAAACATGCTATAAAGAAATACCCGAGGCTGGGTAATTTATAATAAAAAGAGATTTACTTAGCTCATGCTTCTGGAGGCTGTACGAGCATAGCACTAGTGTCTGCTTGGCTTCTGGTGAGGTCCAGGAAGCTTTTAGTCATGGTGGAAGGGAGGGGGAGTCGGTGTGTCACTGGCAAGAGAGGGGGCAAGAGAGAGAGGAGGAAATTCAGGCTCTTTTAAACAACCACATCTCGCGTGAACTCATAGCGTAAGAACTCACGACAGAGTCTTGCTCTGTCGCCCAGGCTAGAGTGCAATGGCCCAATCTTGGCTCACTGCAACCTCCTTCTCCTGGGCTCAAGCGATTCTCCTTCCTCAGCCTCCCCAGCAGCTGGGATTACAGGCACCTGCCACCACACCCAGCTAATTTTTGTATTTTTAGTAGAGATGGTATTTCACCTTGTTGGCCAGACTGGTCTCAAACTCCTGACCTCGTGATCCGCCCACCTCCCTCCCAAAGTGCTGAGACTACAGGCGTGAGCCAGTGCACCCGGCCAAGAACTCACTCTTTACCACAAAGATGGCACGAAGCTATTCATGAGGGATCCACCCCCATGATCCAAACACCTCCCACCAAGCCCCACCTCTGACACTGGAGATTACATTCAATGTTAGATTACATCAACATGAGATTTGGAAGGGACAAACATCCAAACTATATCCCATGCCAAGTGAAAGAAGCCAAATACAAACACTGCATATTATATGATTGCATTTATATGAAACGTCCTCAATAGGGAAATCTATACTGACAGAAAGTAGGTTACTGGTTACCCAGCACTGGGGATGGGGAAGAGGTAGAACAGATGGAGAATGGGGAGTGGGGAGATGAGAAGTGACTGCTAATGAACACAGACAGCATTTCTCTTGGGGGTGAAAAAATGTTTAAAAATTAGATTGTTGTGATTGTTGCACATCTCAGTGGGTATACTAAAAGCCACTGAATTGTGCAGAAATAATATGGAAATGGTTGCCAAACTTGTGTGTACTTTAGAAATAGCTACGGTCTTTTAAAAAATTCCACAGCCCAGGCCACACCCCAGACCAATTAAATAATAATTTCTAGGCATGGTACATGAGTATCATATTTTTTGAAATTCTCTAGGTTTTTCAAATGTTTAGCCATGTTTGATAACCACTGCACTGTGGTATTATCTGAGAATTTTTTTTAATTGAATGTTCACTCCATTTAATTTATTACCAATATACTTGGATTTATTTATCCCCTATTTTATGCTTTTTGTTTCCTCTTTTTATCTTACGGGCTTAAAAAACTTTCTCCCTCCTTAATGAGGGTGGATACAATCGTGTTTTATTTTTTGCAACTCCATTTTCCCCCTTGTTTTGTTTGGAAAACGTACAGTATTTATTTATTTTTAAAAGTTATCTTTAAATTTTTATCATGTGTACCTAATTCCTTTTAATGTCAATGGTATTTTATAGTTTTTATTGATTGTAATTGTGTCTGAAAATTATATATTTAATGGACATTATATATTTTGATGGATACTAAAACATATTTATTCAGTCCACATACAATATTTGGTTTGCATATTGCTTTGCAATAAACTTGCTCTATCTCCACCCCTAGGATTTCAAGGCCAGCAAGTTGAAAAACAGACATATAAATAATAGTATCTACTGTGAAATAAATTGGTAACCTTTGTGGCAATTAGTTGAGGTTCTAAGGAGAGATAAGAAATTGACATCTCTATGTCAAATATATATTTTATTGTCACAGAATTCTTATCAGAAGTATACCAGCAATGTATATCTATTATATACTTTATCAACAGTGGCTATTAGCACGTAGAAATATCTTTGTTAAGGCCAGGCGCGGTGGCTCACGCCTGTAATCCCAGCACTTTGGGAGGCTGAGGCGGGCAGATCACGAGGTCAAGAGATCAAGACCATCCTGGCCAACATGATGAAATCCCATCTCTACTAAATATACAAAAATTCGGTAGGTGTGGTGGCACATGCCTGTAATCCCAGCTACTCAGGAGGCTGAGGCAGGAGAATCGCTTGAACCTGGGAGGCGGAGGTTGCAGTGAGCTAAGATCGCGCCACAGCACTCCAGCCTAGTGATAGAGAGAGACTCTGTCTCAAAAAAAAAAAAAAAAAAGAAATATCTTTGTTGATTTGTAGATGAAAAACAGAAGAACATTTCTGCCATTGCCGGTGAATTTAAATACTTTGGGGGTATTTCTGCCTGTTTTGGTACTTTAGTAATTATCATTATTGTTTGTGTCACTTGACAAATACATGCTTAATTTAGTGAAGTCTAAAATTCATGTCTAACTTTCCTTAAGATAATTAAAGGATATTGAAATGCTTTAACTTTGATCTGTTTCTCCAATCTGGTATTGTTGTCTGGTATTTTAGTTCTGTTCTTTTTTTAACCTACAAAATGGGCATTATTTTTGTTTCATAATGGCAATGTTTGCTTGTGGATTTGTTGATGTAATTATCTTTTATTTGTATGCTATTCCTCTTTCATTATACCTTCCTTCTGGGATATTTTATTTATCATGAAATACATTAGGGAAGGCTTATTGGTTTTATTTTTTTCTTTTCTTTTCTTTTCTTTTTTGAGATGGGGTCTCATTCTTGTTGCCCAGGCTGTAGTGCAGTGGCGCAATTTCGGCTCACTGCAACCTCCGCTTCCCAGGTTCAAGCGATTCTCCTACTTCAGCCTCCCCAGTAGCTGGGATTACAGGCGCCCGCAGCCAAGCCCAGCTTATTTTTTAATTTTTAGTAGAGACGGGGTTTCGCCATGTTGGCCAGGCTGGTCTCGAACTCCTGACCTCAGGTGATCCACCCACCTCCACCTCCCAGAGTGCTGGGATTACAAGTGTGAGCTACCACCCCCGGCCTGTCTTATTGTTAATAAATGCTCTAAGTGTTTGTTTTTGTCATTGTTGCAAAATAACCTTGTTTCACTGTCATTCTTGCCTGATGATTTAACTAGGTATAAAATTCTATACTGACAATTATTTTTTTCTCAGCACTCTGAAGATATTATTCCACTGTCCTCTGGCTTCTATTGTTGCTCTTGAGAAGTCTGCCATCTGTTTCATTGTTATTCCTTTTGTAAGTAATCTGTATTTTCTCTGGCTGCTTTTAAGATTTTTTTCTTTAAGATTTAAATGTAATTGATTATATTGTTTCACTTCTAGATGTTTGATGTTCTCCCCCTCTCCCAGATCTTTTTTTTTTAAGCTCATCCCTTTCTCATGGTTTTTATCTTATACTTTCATATATTTCCAGCACTTATGTGTCATACAATCCCAATTTCTGGGAAACAGGTCTAATTTTGCTGTTTCTTGTATCCATGGGGACTCTTGTGTAATGATGAATTATCCATAGCACTTTTTTTCTCCTTTTCTTTGAGAGTCCAGGCCAAGACTGAAAAGTCCCTTGTCATTTTCCTTTAAGGTTTGCTGGATTTGTTTTTCTTTCTCTGAACTTTATGTCTTGAATATTTCCAATTTTGTAAAGAGGTTTGTTTGTAATCCCTGCTCTTTTGTTGAGGAAAGGTCTTGTCTGTTCAGTTTTTTCAGACCATTAATATACAAACATCTAGGTAATTAAAATCAACAAATATCCCAAGGGTAACTGTAACTTCAGAGCATATTTACTCCATCTACTTTCTGGTTCCTACTTCATTGTAGCACCCCTGGATCTTGTTTACTTTCTTTTATGCTTCACATACTTTTAAAAGGACATCTGTCATATTTTTCCAGTATTTGTTAGTGTTTTTTAAGAAATCGGATGCACCATTTACATATTAACAATATTGAATCCTTTTATTGTTCAGCATGCTAAATCTGCTTTTCTTTTTATGTTCTCTGTAAAGTTTCATGGTTTTTTCTTATTCTTTTTTTTTTTTTTGAGACAGAGTCTCGCTGTGTCACCCAGGCTGGAGTGCAGTGGCGTGATCTCGGCTCACTGCAACCTCCGACTCCCCAGTTCAAGGGATTCTCCTGCCTCAGCCTCCCAAGTAGCTGGGACTACAGGCACCTGCCACCACACCCAGATAATTCTTGTATTTTTAGTAGAGACAGGGTTTCACTATGTTGGCCAGGCTGGTCTTGAATTCTTGACCTTGTGATCTGCCTGCCTCGGCCTCCCAAAGTGCTGGGATTAGTTTCATGGTTTTTTCTTAAAAGATCTTGCACATTTCTTAAGCAATTTCTCAGTACATTTTGTTTATAATATGAATAGGAATATTTTGTTCTGTAACATTTTCTAAATGGCTAATACTGATATATATTATATATGAGAAAGTATTGATTTCTATAAATTGAAAATCTTATGGAAATATAGTTTTTCAGTGGATTATAGTGGATTTCTAGGTGGACAGTTTTGCTCTCTACATACAATATGTGGTCTCTTCCTTTTCTGTTTGTACCTTTAAAAAAAGGCAACTAAATTCAGTAGGACCCTGTAGCGGAATTTGAAAACAAATCATTCTTATCTTTTCTCAAACTTTATTGGCAGTGTTTCTAATGTTTAACTATTAAATGTATTTCTATAGACATCTGGTAGATACTCTTAACTAGGTTTTTACCTAATTCCAGTTTTAGAGAACTTTTAATAAAAGGTCTTAGAATATATTAAAAATTTTTTTGCATTTCTTGAAATCATGCTATTTTATTCTTTAAGTTCTTTATGTGGGAAAATGGACTCTGATGTTGAATTATTCCTGCATTTGTGGGATAAAGTTTATATGATCATGATGTGTTATGCCTTAAATACACAGCTAGATTCTATGTTCCTAATATTTTCTTTTAAAATTTTACCTTTGTTCACGAGATTGGCTTCGTTTTCCTAAGGTCATTTTTCAATGCTGTTATACTAGTTAATTTAACTTTGTAAAATGACTAGGGTAGATTACAATATTTTTATATGTTCAACAACAGTTATGTACGATTGGAATTATATATCCTTTTTTCTTTTTTTTGAGACAGGGTCTCCCTCTGTCACTTAGGCTGGAGTGCAGTGGCCTGATCACAGCTCACTGCAGCCTCCACCTCCCTGAGCCCAGGTGATCCTAGTTGAG
This sequence comes from Homo sapiens, assembly GCF_000001405.40. Lineage (NCBI taxonomy): Eukaryota > Metazoa > Chordata > Mammalia > Primates > Hominidae > Homo > Homo sapiens. Next base: position 37,098,088 of record NC_000019.10, read on the forward strand.
ACTACAGGCATGTGCCACCATGCCTGGCTAATTTTTGTAGTTTTTGTAGAGATGAGGTTTTGCCACATTGCCCAGACTAGTCTCGAACTCCTGGGCTCAGGCAATCTACCTGCCTTGGCCTCTCAAAGTGCTGGGATTACAGGTATAAGCCACCACACCCGGCCTATATATTCTTTAATGTTTGGATAATATTGCCAGTAAACCTACCAGTCACTGGAATCTATTGCCTTGAATATTAGATATAATAGGTACTATGACCAGCAGATACAAATGATCATCAGTCATAGGTATCTATTGCCTTTTAGGAGCACAGACACTGAGCTCAAATTTAAATTTTTTATGTGGTTATTGCTGTATATCAGTTATTATATCTTCATGGGTTATTTTTCATGTTTTTCATCTGTTTCATCCAGTTCTAATTTACTGTTGCGTTAATAGGTTTTTTCATAAACACTTTTAAAAGTTTTGTTTTATTTTAGTTGAAACATAATGCACATATTTATGGGCTACCATGTGATGTTTTATACATATGTGTATTGTGTAATTATCAAATCAGGATAATTAGCATATCTGTCACCTCAAACACTTGTCATTTCTTTGTGGTTAGGACATTCAAGATGCTCTCTTCTAGCTATCTGCAGGCATTCAGGACATTTTTGTTGACTATATAGTCACCTTATTGTGCAATAGTACATCAGAACTTATTTCTCCTATCTAACTATAACTTTGTACCCATAGACCAATCTCTTCCCAGCCACCCCCTCAGCATCTGGTAACCACTGTTCTACTCTCTACTTATATGAGATCAACTTTTTTAGGTTCCACATATGAGTGAGATCATGTGATATTTGTCCTGTTCTTGGCGTATTTCACTTAATATAATGTCCTCTAGCTTCATCCAAGTTGTCAAAAATAACAGGATTTTATTCATTTTTATAGGTTAATAGTATTCTATTCTGCATATATACCACATTTTTGAAAATCCATTTATCTTTTGATGGACACTGAGTTCGAGTCCATGTTATTGCTATTGTGGATAGTGCTGCAGTAAACATGGGAATGCAGATGCCTCTTTGACATACTGATTTCCTTTCCTTTGGATGTATACCCAGTAGTTAGATTGTTGGATCATATGGTAGTTCTATGTTTACTTTTTTGAGAAACCTCCATACTATTTTCCATAATGGCTGTGCTAATTTACATTCCCACCAAGAGTGTGTAAGAGTTCCCCCTTTTTCCACATTTTTACCAGCATTTGTTATCTTTTGTCTTTTTAATAGCCATTCTAACAGCAGTGAGGTGATATCTGATTGTAGCTTCGATTTGCATTTCCCTATAATTAGTGATATTGAGCATTTTTTCATTTACCTGTTTGCCATTTGTATGTCTTGAGAAATGCCTATTCAAATCTTTTGACTATTTTTTAATCAGATTATTTGTTTTTTTGCTGTTGAGTTGACTTTCTTATATATTCTTGGTATTAACACCTTATTAGATGCATAGTTTGTGAATATTTTCTTCCATTCTGTAGGTTGTCTCTTTTTTGTTTGCTTTGAGATGGAGTCTCGCTCTGTCACCCAGGCTGGAGTGCAGTGGTGCAATCTCGGCTCACTACAACCTCCGCCTGCCAGGTTCAAGTGATTCTCTTGCCTCAGCCTCCAGAGTAGCTGGGACTACAGGCACATGCCACCACGCCCGGCTAATTTTTTGTATTTTTAGTAGAGACGGTGTTTCACTGTGTTAGCCAGGATGGTCTCAGTCTCCTGACCTTGTGATCTGCCCGCCTGGGCCCCCCAAAGAGCTGGGATTATAGATGTGAGCCACCATGCCCAGGCTGTAGGTTGTCTCTTTACTCTCATTTCCTTTGCTGTACAGAAGCTTTTTACTTTGATGTAGTATGTTTATCTGTTTTTGCATTTGTCAGTGCTTTTGAGGTATTATTAAAAAATCCTTGCCCAGATCAGTGTCTGTTTCCCTGTGTTTTCTTCTACTGGTTTCATAGTTTCCAGTCTTACATTTAAGTCTTTAATCCATTTTGAGTTGAGTGGTGAGACAGGGGTCTAGTTTCATTCTTTTGCAGGTGGATATTCAGTTTTCCCAGCAACATTTACTGAAGAAAGTATCCTTTTCCCAATGTGTGTTCTTGGCCTTCTTGTTGAAAATCAGTTGGCTGCAAATACTTGGATTTTTTTTTTCCTGGGTTCTCTATCCTGTTCCATTTGTCTATGTGTCTGTTTTCATGCCAATACCATACTGTTTGGTTACTATTGTTTTGTAGTATATTTTCAAGTCATGGAGTTTGATGCCTCCAGCTTGGTTCTTTTTGTACAAGATTGCTTTGGCGGCCTGGCGCAGTGGCTCACACCTGTAATCCTAACACTTTGGGAGGCTGAGGCAGGTGGATCACCTGAGGCCAGGAGTTTGAGACCAGCCTGGCCAACATGGCGAAACCCCATCTCTACTAAAAATACAAAAAATTGCTGGGTGTGGTGGCAGGCGTCTGTCATCCCAGCTACTCAGGAGGCTGAGGCAGGAGAATCACGTGAACCTGGGAGGTGGAGGTTGCAGTGAGCCAAGAGTGTGCCATTGCACTCCAGCCTGGGCGACAAGAGCAAAACTCCATCTCAAAAAAAAAAAATTGCTTTGGCTGTTTGGGGACTTTTGTGGTTCCATATGAATTTTAGGATTCTTCTTTGTATTTCTGTGCAGTGTCATTGGTGGTATTTTGATAGGGATTGCATAGCATTTGTAGATTGTTTTGGGTAGTATGGACATTTTAACAATGTTAATTCTTCTGATCCATGAACATGGAAAATATTTCCACTTATTAGTTTCCTCTTTAATTTCTTTTGTCAATGTTTATAGTTCTCATTGTAAAACTCTTGCCTCTTTGGTTAAATTTATTCCTTTTTTTTTTTTTTTTGCTATCTATTATAAATGGGATTGATTTCCTTTTCACAGTTTCCTGTTGGCCTATGGAAATGCTACTTATTTTTGTACATTGATTTTGTCAGTCATTAGCACCTTATTTTGTTCATTTGTTGAGCTCATATTTTCCTGAATGTTCTTGATGTTTATGGACACGTGATGTCTGTGCACTGAGCAATTTATTCAAGAGTTTGCAGGCCGGAACCTGGTATCTCACGCCTGTAATCCCAGCACTTTGGGAAGCTGAGGCGGGTGGATCACCTGAGGTCAGGAGTTCAAGACCAGCCTGACCAATATGGTGAAACCCCATTTCTACTAAAAATACAAAAATTAGCTGGCCATGGTGGTGTGTGCCTGTAGTCCCAGCTACTCAGGAGGCTGAGACAGGAGAATTGCTTGAACCCTGGAGGCAGAGGTTGCAGTGAGCTGAGATCATGCCACTGCACTCCAGCCTGGGCAGCAGAGCAAGACTCCATCTCAATCAATCAATCAGTCAATCAATCAAGTTCACAGTCTAGCTTTGTTTGTGCCCATCCTTCTTCCAAAGGCCTTCCAGACATTCTAAGCAGACTATCTATCTGTTGTATTCCCTTGAGCCTGTAACCACTGCATCCATCTCAGCATTAAAGGGCATTAAGCCCAGGCTTCCTGCTAGCCTTGCAAGGGCTCCAAGGTTGTTGTGGCTCTCCACCTGGGTGGACCTAGAGAAAACCCAAGAAGGATACTGGTGCTGTATGGGAGTCCAGACAGGGACCTGAGCCCAGAAGACTGTCCTGGTGGCCCAGATGGGTGTGCCTTCAGCAGGTCCTTGCACAGGCAAGATAGGTCTCTAATTACAGTGAGAGGGCTGGAGCTGAGACTGGGCCCCCTCAGGATTTGCTGTCCTACAGGACAGAGGCTGGCAAGCCTATCTTGTTGGCTTAGACAGGTGTACATCTCCCAGCATGTCTCTGCACAGATGGGGTAGTTCTATGACTGCAACAGGAGGGGCTAGAGCTTAGACTGGGCCCTCTCGGGATCTGCTGTGGGACAGAGGCTTCCATGCACAGATGGAATAGTTCCCTGACTGCAGTGGGAGGTGCTGGAGCTGAGCCTGGACCCCCTGAGGATGTGCTATGGGATGGCAGCTGATGAGCCCATCTCAGCCCACATGGGTGTGTCTCCCACCGTGTCTACACGGAGGGGATAGTTCTCCAGTTATTGCAGGAGGGCCCAAGGCAAAGACTGGGCTTCCTCAAGGTCTGCTGTGGGACAGAGGTTGGTGAGCCCATCGTGAAGACTCCAACTCCCAAACCATGAGATACGGATGAATCTTACTCTGGATCCTTGTATGAGCGGTTCTGAGCTGGCACCCCCAGCTGAGGAGGCTGGAGCTAAGCCACAGAGCAACTGTGAGGTTCACTACCAGGACTGTTGTCAGCAGGCATAAGAGACTCTCCACCTAGACACTAGTGTGCATGATTCCTCCTGGACCTTTAGGCAGATGGTTTTGATTGCACGCCCAAGGCCAAATGGGGCTGTAGCCAAGCCCTCTGGGGAATGGGGCCATTTTCAAGCTTTGAACATGGGATCAGCATGGGAGATCAGCCACCTGCGTGCCAGTCTGCACTCTCAAAATGACTTTCCTAGGTCTTGGGCTTTACTCAAGTTTTACAACCTCCTACCTGAATTCCAAAGCTTCTGCAAAGAGACTTTTATCTGTGGATGGGTGCAGAATTCTCGTGAGGGGATATGAGTGGGTTACCTCCTATTTCTGCCATCTTGCTGACGTCACTCCCATAATCTCTCATAAACACTTTTTAACTCCTCAATTTATGGTTACCTTTTTCTCTCCAGTGCTTTGGATTTGTGCTAAATCTAATTTTTTTCTACACGTCACTTTTTTTGTATTATTTATGGATATTTTCAAATAATTTTGGTATTTTGATTTTGCTAATTATTTCTGCTGTTTCTACGTTTCTAATTTACTCATTTTCTGATTTTTTATCTCACTTATATTTTGGTTTTTAGTTATGCTTTTTGCTCACTTCTTCTTGAGGTGAAATCTTAATTCTCTTAACTATAGTATTTCTTGTTTTTTAATAAATGCACTTAAGACTGTAAATTTCCCTGGGTACAATTTTAGCTGATTTCTTGGGATTTCACACAAAGTTTCTTTTGCTATTTGGCTCTAAATTGTTTTAAAATTTTATTTTTATTTCCTTCTATAACAAACATCATATAGAATTGTCTTAGTAACTTAATTCTAGGATTATATGTTTTTTCTATGTTTTTATAATTTTTAGTTTTATGCTAATGTGATAATTAAAAACATTTTATGTCAGTTTTATCTATCTTCCTATATTACTAATTATGTTATAGTCTTCCTTGTTTTTATTTCTGGTCTGTTTATATTCTATTCTCTACTATGACGGTGATTAATTTCTCTATATGTCTGCTAGTTTTTGTTTATTTAGGAGCTAAGTTGTTGGTTACATAATGGTCATGACTATTCATCCTCTTGCCTGGCTCTTAGATGATGTCCCTGAGCTGATCTCACTGAGAAAACTGAAGCTAGCAGAAGAGAAGAGAGATTCTTGCTTCCTTGTCTGTTTACCTACCTTCATCTATACTAATTCAACCTCTTTTCCTATTAACATGTAACCTTTTTGTGCCTTTACTTAAGCCCAGTACCCTCACTTGTATACTGAATTCCATTCCTTCTCATATTTTTAAGGACACTGTTGAAGCAATTGCCCTTTGTCTCTTCTAACATGAACTTGTCCATATCTTTTACAATAATTTTCATCAGCATACAAACATGCCTTAATTTCTTCTATCTTAAAAGGAAAAAAAACAAAACCAAATATTTTGACACACATTTTCCTCTTGATATAGCTCCATTTCTTTGCTACTTTTTACAGAAAAATACAAAAGAATTTTCCATATTCCCTAACTCCAGCTCTTCTCTCATTTTTTTTTTGTCTTTTTTTTTTTTTATTATACTTTAAGTTCTAGGGTACATGTGCACAACGTGCAGGTTTGTTACATATGTATACATGTGCCATGTTGGTGTACTGCACCCATTAACTCGTCATTTACATTAGGTATATCTCCTAATGCTATTCCTCCCCCCTTCCCCCTCCCCCGACCCCACAACAGGCTCCATTGTGTGATGTTCCCCTTCCTGTGTCCAAGTGTTCTCATTGTTCAATTCCCACCTATGAGTGAGAACATGTGGTGTTTGTTTTTTTGTCCTTGAGATAGTTTGCTAAGAATGGGTTTCCGGCGTCATCCATGTCCCTACGAAGGACATGAACTCATCCTTTTTTATGGCTGCATAGTATTCCATGGTGTATATATGCCACATTTTCTTAATCCAGTCTATCATTGATGGACATTTGGGTTGGTTCCAAGTCTTTGCTATTGTGAATAGTGCTGCAATAAACATACGTGTGCATGTGTCTTTATAGCAGCATGATTTATAATCCTTTGGGTATATACCAGGTAATGGGATAGCTGGGTCAAATGGTATTTCTAGTTCTGGATCCTTGCGGAATTGCCACATTGTCTTCCACAATGGTTGAACTAGTTTACAGTCCCACCAACAGTGTAAAAGTGTTCCTGTTTCTCCACATCCTCTCCAGCACCTGTTGTTTCCTGACTTTTTAATGATTGCCATTCTAAGTGGTGTGAGATGGTATCTCATTGTGGTTTTGATTTGCATTTCTCTGATGGCCAGTTGATGATGAGCATTTTTCCATGTGTCTGTTGGCTGCATATGTGTCTGTTGGCTACATAAATGTCTTCTTTTGAGAAGTGTCTGTTCATATCCTTTGCCGACTTTTTGATGGGGTTGTTTTCTTCTTATAAATTTGAGTTCTTTGTAGATTCTGGATATTAGCCCTTTGTCAGATGGGTAGATTGCAAACATTTTCTCCCATTCTTTAGGTTGCCTGTTCACTCTGTTGGTAGTTTCTTTTGCTGTGCAGAAGCTCTTTAGTTTAATTAGATCCCATTTGTCAATTTTGGCTTTTGTTGCCATTGCTTTTGGTGTTTTAGACATGAAGTCCTTGCCCATGCCTATGTCCTGAATGGTATTGCCTAGGTTTTCTTCTAGGGTTTTTATGGTTTTAGGTCTAACATTTAAGTCTTTAATCCATCTTGAATTAATTTTTATATAAGGTGTAAGGGAGGGATCCAGTTTCAGCTTTCTACATATGGCTAGCCAGTTTTCCCAGCACCATTTATTAAATAGGGAATCCTTTCCCCATTTCTTGTTTTTGTCAGGTTTGTCAAAGATCAGATGGTTGTAGATGGGTGGTATTATTTCTGAGGGCTCTGTTCTGTTCCATTGATCTATATCTCTGTTTTGGTACCAGTACCATGCTGTTTTGGTTACTGTAGCCTTGTAGTATAGTTTGAGGTCAGGTAGCATGATGCCTCCAGCTTTGTTCTTTTGGCTTAGGATTGGCTTGGCAATGCGGGTTCTTTTTTGGTTCCATATTGAACTTTAGTTTTTTTCCAATTCTGTGAAGAAAGTCATTGGTAGCTTGATGGGGATGGCATTGAATCTATAAATTACCTTGGGCAGTATGGCCATTTTATTGATTCTTGATTCATCATTGATTCAGTATGGCCATTTTACGATATTGATTCTTCCTATCCATGAGCATGGAATGTTCTTCCATTTGTTTGTGTTCTCTTTTATTTCACTGAGCAGTGGTTTGTAGTTCTCCTTGAAGAGGTCCTTCACATCCCTTGTAAGTTGGATTCCTAGGTATTTTATTGTCTTTGAAGTAATTGTGAATGGGAGTTCACTCATGATTTGGCTGTTTGTCTGTTATTGGTGTATAAGAATGCTTGTGATTTTTGCACATTGATTTTGTATCCTGAGACTTTGCTGAAGTTGCTTATCAGCTTAAGGAGATTTCGGGCAGAGACTATGGGGTTTTCTAAATATACAGTCATGTCATCTGCAAACAGGGACAATTTGACTTCCTCTTTTCCTAATTGAATACCCTTTCTTTCTTTCTCCTGTCTGATTGCCCTGGCCAGAACTTCCAACACTATGTTGAATAGGAGTGATGAGAGAGGGCATCCCTGTCTTGTAATGCTTCCAGTTTTTGTCCATTCAGTATGATATTGGCTGTGGGTTTGTCATAAATAGCTCTTATTATTTTGAGATACATCCCATCAATACCTAATTTATTGGGAGTTTTTAGCATGAAGGGCTGTTGAATTTTGTCAAAGGCCTTTTCTGCATCTATTGAGATAATCATGTGGTTTTGTCTTTGGTTCTGTTTATATGCTGGATTACATTTATTGATTTGCATATGTTGAACCAGCCTTGCATCCCAGGGATGAAGCCCACTTGATCATGGGTAGATAAACTTTTTGATGTGCTGCTGGATTCGGTTTGCCAGTATTTTATCTTCTCTCATTCTTTTGAATCTGGTTCAGTCAGAACTTGCTCCCATTATTCTGCCAAAACTATTATTGTGAAGATTACCAGTAATCTCCATTTTGCTAATAATGCCATTTTTAACTTAGGAAGCACGATTTAGGCCGAACACGGTGGCTCACACCTGTAATCCCACCACTTTGGGAGGCCAAGGCAGGGAGATCACCTGAGGGCAGAAGTTCAAGATCTGAAGGGGTGGCCTGCCCCTCCATACCTGTGGGTGTTTCTCGTCAGGTGGAACGAGAGACTGAGAAAAGAAAGAGACAGAGACAAAGTGTGGAGAAAGAAAAGTGGGCCCAGGGGACCGGTGCTTACTGGTCTCTGAGTTCCCTCAGTATTTATTGATCATTATCTCTACCATCTCGGAGAGGGGGATGTGGCAGGACAATAGGGTAATAGTGGGGAGAGGGTCAGCGGGAAAACATGTAAACAAAAGTCTCTGTGTCGTAAACAAGGTTAAGAAAAGGTGCTGTGCCTTGATGTGCACGTGTACAAACATCTCGGTGCATTAAAGAGCAGTATTACCACTAGCATGTCTCTCCTCCAGCCCTAAGGTGGTTTTCTCCTATCTCAGTAAATAGAACATACAATTGGGTTTTACACTGAGACATTCTATTGCCCAGGGACGAGCAGGAGACAGATGACTTCCTCTTATCTGAACTGCAAAGAGGCCTTCCTCTTTTACTAATCCTCCTCAGCACAGACCCTTTTCGGGTGTCGGGCTGGGGGATGTCGGGCTGGGGGACAGTCAGGTCTTACCCTTCCCATGAGGCCATATCTCAGGCTATCACATGGGGAGAAATCTTGGGCAATACCTGGCTTTCCCAGGCAGAGGTCCCTGTGGCCTTCCACAGTGTATTGTGTCCTGGGTACTTGAGATTAGAGAATGGTGATGACTTTTAACAAGCATACTGCCTTCAAGCACTTTTTTTTAACAAAGTACATCCTGCATAGCCCTTTGGTAAATCCATTAAACCTTGAGTCAACACAGCACATGTCTCTGTGAGCACAGGGTTGGGGCTAGGGTTACAGATTAACAGCATCTCAAGGCAGAAGAATTTTCTTGGTACAGAACAAAACGGAGTCTCTTATGTCTACTTATTTCTGCATAGACACGGTAACAGTCTGATCTCTCTTTTCCCATTTCCCCCTTTTCTTTTGGACAAAACCGCCATCGTCATCATGGCCCGTTCTCGATGGTCGCTGTCTCTTTGGAGCTGTTGGGTACACCTGCAGACTAACAACAGACAGAACAGGCACACAAGGATTAATAGGAAATTTACAATAGTAGAACTTCCGATGGTCTTAACCCAAGTGACAGGGTTAAGATTTGTGAGACCATCAGCAACTCCATGATTGCCTCAGTTCCTGGTACCAAATTTAATGGGCTTTGATCCTTCAAAAATTTGTTCTTTTAATTTGGAAATGTCTAAAGTGAGATTATCTTTTCTTCCCTGTAGACGGCATCTAACCATGTCCCAGTGATGCTCAGACTCATTATAAACTCCAGGTGTAATACAAAAATCTGACGTATTCCAGTCACACTGTAACTGGAAATGATGTTCTAAGCTCATGAGCCTATCTCCCATCCAAATGACAGTCTAAGATCATTAATTTGATTTGCCAATTTTTGATCAATACCAGATTGTGAATTCCACCATCTTGTAGAATTCTTTTGCCAATCATTAACAAAGTTTACTGTCCGAACAGAAGAGTGCAATGCAACTCCTGCCACAGCGGCTGTAGTTGTGACTGCGATTAATCCCATAATCACTGCAATTAAAGTAAAAATGAATCTTTTGGATCTATTTAAAATGACTTTTAATACTTCAGTCAAAATATGGATGGATGGCGAGGCCTCCCACTGTCGGTCCATGGACACAGGGATCCACACGCCTTCCCTTGCTCTCACTAGCAGAATACGGTGCTGCCAATTGAAAGTTGAATCAATGCAAGTAAACAATCTGCAATTTTCACAGGTTATATAGTTTGGGAGTCTGGTTTAATAACTATATTTCCTACAACTAGCATATAAGGGCGCTTTATACAACTTTGTAAAGAAACCGTTAGACTTGAATTTAGGTCGATAGTATAAAATGGCTTATGATCTCCTGTTTCTATAGCTTGATTTCCAGATCAAATTCTAATGCGGTATGAGGCCACAGTAAGCCTCCATAATTCTGGATGTTCAGGACCAGAAACAGGACTTATTATTTTTGGTCTTGGAGTAGAGATTCCTTTTTCTCCCCATTCCCAAGGGTAGAAAGACTGTAATTTTTTGTGCTTATGTTTGTCTAAACTTTCTGTTAAGTCACTATCAACAGTTGGACTCACTTGTGCACTGGGACATGACTGAGTTTGTCCTGTGCAATTGTGGTAGAATTGACCTCGAGGTGCCCAATCTATAATAGTTCCAAATTCATCATTTTGTAATATCACCACACTATTGGCCACACATTCTTCCTAAACTAAAACTTCTGTGTCTTTTGATACCTTGGGAATTTCCGTGGGGCAAGGTTTCCCTTTAGGCCTACATTTTAATGATCTTTGATAAGAAAAGTCCTGTAAATAATTTACCTGTGGCCTGAGTGACATTCCGCTTACCATGTGATAAGTGAATCTACTGGTGGTACAGTAAGTAAGTACTTCTACCAACCAATTTTGGATTGTAGGCATTAAACATCCTGGTGTTCTCCCTAGACAAATAGGAGGATAACGATACCCAGTAGAAATATTTATCGTCATTCCTTCTTCCTCAGGTTTGGCAGGGCAGTGATCATCTGTGGGGCCAGGTACCCATACACTGTTATTAACATATACTTCAATAGGATTATCCATCCATGCGACTGCCCGAATTAAGGGCAGGAAAGGCACACAGGCCCAGTAGGTATAATTAGCTGCAGCTGCTCCTACAGGCATGGGGAGACTTACCACCATTGATACAATCATCAAAGCTGCAAGCAGCATACTCTCTGGAGTTTGTGTCACCTTTGTGTTCTCAAGGCCTTTTTTAGCTAACTGTGTCAGCTTCTTTAATTGTGCCCAAGTCGGCGGCTCTGCCTTCTTGGTGAATGGCAACTTCATCTATTCTTCTGACATCACCATTTTATCTTGTGAGTTGATGGTGCTTGATTGCAGTGTTTCTGTCTCCGTGGAGGTGCTTTTCTTTGCATCTCCGACAGGTTCATTGTAGAACTTCAAATGTCTAGTTGGTATCCAAACAGGAAGCTGATTTTCTCCTGGTGAAACACAAGCAAAACCTCTCCTCCACGTTACCACCTTCCCTATTTCCCATGTCTTATTGTTGTTGTCTTTCCACCAAATCAGTTTTCCTTCATGTGGGCTATTCTTTTTTTTACCAGTAAGATGTTGTTCTGCAGGAGTAGTAGTCTGATTTCTATAAATGTTTAAAAAATTTAAAGTATAGAGTGCTAGATTAAGTTGCATCTGAGGAGTGGTACACTCCTTACTGTCTCCCCCTTCTTTTTGTTTAACTAATTGAGTTTTGTGTGTTCTATTAGTTCTTTCAACTATGGCCTGTCCTTGGGAATTATAGGGAATTCCTGTTGTATGTGTAATTTTCTTGGAAAGCTTTACTACAGTATCCTGGTCCATTGTTAGTTTTAATTTTTTCTGGAACTCCCATTACAGCAAAATAAGATAATAAATGTTTTTTAACATGGGAAGTACTTTCTCCTGTCTGGCAGGTTGTCCATATGAAATGTGAGTAAGTATCAACTGTTACATGAACACATGATAATCTTCCAAATGAAGGTACATGCGTGACATCCATTTGCCATAACGCATTAGGACACAGACCTCTGGGATTAACTTCTGCCTCTTGAGTGGGCAGGTGTAGGACTTGACACTGGGTGCAATGTTGTACAATATTTTTTGCCTGTTTCTATGTGACATCAAATTTGTTTTTTAATCCTGCTGCATTTGCATGAGCCAAAGCATGAAGTTCTTGTGCTTTTATGAATGCAGATGATACCAGTAAGTCAGCTTGTTCATTTGCTTTAGTCAAAGGCCCTGGTAAATTAGTGTGTGCTCGAATATGAGTAATATAAAATGGGAAATTTCTTTTTCTTACAGTTTGTTGTAATAAATTGAATAGCTGGTTTAACTGATCATCCATGCTATATTTGATTAGAGCTGTCTCAACATCCCTTGTAGCCTGTACTACATATGCAGAATCTGATACAATATTGATAGATTGATCAAAATCTTATAACACTGTAATGACTGCAACCAACTCTGCTCTTTGAGCCAATTGATACTGAGTTTTGATTACTTGCTCTTTTGGCTCTGTGTAAGCTGCTTTTCCATTGTTGGAACCATCAGTATATACTGTCAGAGCATTTTCTAAAGGTCCGTGACTGGTAATTTTAGGTAAAATCCAAGTAGTCAATTTTAAAAACTGGAGGATTTTTGTTTTTGGGTAATGATTATCAGTAATTCCCACAAAATCAGCAAGACCAATCTGCCATGCACCAGAATTGATAAAGGCTTGTCTAACTTGTTCCTTGGTTAAAGGGACAACTATTTTGTCTGGGTCATTTCCACACAATTTTATTATTCGTAATCTTGCCTGACCAATTAATGTAGCTATTTGAGCCAAGTATAATGTAAAAGTCTTAATTGTACTGTGAGGAAGGAATGACCACTCCACAAGATCAGTATTTTGAACAATGATGCCTGTTGGAAAATGTGCAGTAGCAAAAATCAAAAGTTGGAGTGGGGCTAAGGGATCTATTCTATTTATTGCACTGACTGAATTTTTTCTTCCACTAATTTAATTTCTTTTGTTGCCTCTCGGGTTAATATTCTTTTACTATTTAAGTCTGGGTCTCCTCTTAAGATAGAGAACAAATTTGACATGGCATAAGTAGGAATACCTAGAGTTGGCCAAATCCAATTAATGTCTCCTAGCAATTTTTGAAAATCATTTAATGTTTTTAATGTGCCTTTTCTTATTTCTATTTTTTGTGGCTTAATTTTTTTATTTTCTATCTGCATCCCTAAATAATGAAAAGGAGTAGAGGTTTGAATCTTACCAGATGCTATTGCCAGTCCTGCGTTGGCAACCTCTGCTTGCAGAAATGTGTAACAGTCAATTAATTTGTCTCTCGTTTCTGCAGCACATCAAATATCAACGTAATGAATAACAGTCTGAAAACTTATCTCTAACTGGTTGAAGAGCTTGACCTACGAAAGTCTGACAAATAGTTGGACTATTAAGCATTCCCTGAGGTAACACTTTCCACTGAAACCTGGTGGCTGGTTCTTTATTATTTATGGCTGGTATAGTAAAGGCAAATTTTTCACAATCCTGCTCCACCAGAGGAATGGTAAAAAAGCAATCCTTCAGATCAATTATAATTAAAGGCCAGTCTTTTGGGATCATGGCCGGAGAGGGCAACCCTGGTTGGAGATGCCCCATGGGTTGAATTATGGCATTTACGGCCCTTAAGTCAGTTAACATTCGCCATCTGCTGGATTTTTTCTGAATTACAAACACAGGAGAATTCCAAGGCGAGAATGAAGGCTCAGTATGTCCGTTTTCTGATTGTTACTTTGCTAATAAATGTAAAGCCTCCAGTTTTCGTTTTGGTAGCAGCCACTGATTTACCCATACAGGTTTTTCTGTTTTCCAAGTTAATGGAGTGGGTTTAGGAGGATCTACAGTGGCCGCCCCTAAAAAGGATACCCTATTGCTGCTGTTTCTTGATTTCCCTCAATCTCAATTGGGACTTTAATGCCATTTTCATTTTTTCCTAGTCCCTTTCCTGGTATATATCCCATCTTAGTCGTGATTTTTTGATTTGTGGGGCTATATAATGGGGCAGGCATAGTGATTTCCTCACCCCATTGTTGTAATAAATCTCGACCCCACAGATTAACGGGAATTGAAGTAATCATTGGCTGAACAGTACTTTCTTGATTATCTGGCCCTAAGCAATGTAAAATCTCAGCACTTTGATACACTTCTGAGGCAGTGCCTACGCCGACAAGTCCTGTAACAGCCTTTTGTTTAGGCCAATTTTTTGGCCACCGATTGAAAGCAATGATAGAGACATCTGCTGCAGTGTCTACCAACCCCTCAAACTGTTTTCCTTGAATAATGGCCTTACACACAGGTCTGCTCTCTGAGACCTGACTTGCCCAATATGCAGCCTAGCTGGATCAGTGCTTCCAAACCCTCCTGTTCTTTTTATCTCACTGTTTTCAACCTTAATATAAGGCAGGAATAATTAAGCAATCCTGTCTCCTGGACTGGCACTCCAAGGAACTGAGGAGCTAATAACCAATTGAATTTCGACTTTGTAGTCTGAATCAACCACACCAGTATGAATTTGAACTCCCTTTAGATTTAGACTCGATCTTCCTGAGATTAGTCCTACAGTCCCCTCAGGCCGTGGGCCATATATCCCTGTGGGGATTTTTTTGTGGGGGCTCCCTGGAAGCAGAGAGACTGCTTGTATAGTACACAAATCTACTGCTGCACTGCCGCTTGTGGCCGGGGACAGTTGCTGTATTGTGGTAACTGGCCCATTCCCTGAAGCACTTGTGACAGTGGGGGTTGTTGTCCCTGAAAACCCTGAGGAACAAAGGGCTAAATTGGGAATGCCCCAGTTTGTTGCGGGGCCTGAGGCTGGCCCCTCTTCTCGTTTCCCGACAATGGTTGCCCATTTTTATCAAATTTAGAATGACATTGACTAGCCCAATGTTTTCCTTTTTTACCTCTTGGACATAAGTCAGGTGGCTCTTTATCTGTTCTTGTAGTAGTTTGAATAGTTATATTTTGTTTATTTGAGGCTGGGCAATTCTTTTTTTGATGACCAATTTGTCCACAATTATAACATTTTCCCCTAAATGTTCTAACTTGTCCTCCTAAAGCAAGTCCCGTTATTGCTTGAGCGATAAGCATAGCTTTATGCATAGCTCCTCCAATTCCATCACAGGCTTTTACGTACTCTTGAGATTACATCTGATCCCACTGGGACCTTTCCTTTTAATGGTTTAATGGCTGATTGACACTCAGGATTGGCATTTTCGTATGCCATCAACTCCACTATGACCTTACGGGCATTCTCATTGGTAATTGACTTTTGAGCAGCATCTTGGAGGCTTGCCGCAAAATCAGGGTAGGGCTCCTTTAGCGCCTTGTCTTATTGTATTGAATGAGGGGCAGGCGGTTCCTGGGTCTTGGCTTTTTTCCCAGGCTCTAAGGCAGATAGGTCTAACTTGCTCAGTGGCCTCATTTTACATTATTGCTTGTTAATTAGTAGTGCTCCAATTTTGACCTGTTCCTAATAGTTGATCTGCATCTATGTTAACTGGAGGATTGGCAGCCCTATTTTTTTGGACCTGTTCTTGTGCCCCATCAATCCACCAAGTCTTCACCAAGTCTTAAATTGTAAACATTGAGAGGGTGAGAGCGATCATTTGGCCAAAATCTCCCAATCATAAAGAATGAGTCTATGTCCATGAGCAATGGAATCTAATAATGTCCTCATATAAGGGGAGTTGGGTCCATACTGTTTTACTCCCTCTTTCATATCTTTTAGCATTTTTATGGAAAAGGACTCATATCTGGCCTCAGCTAGGGGAGGCGCTCCCTCTTGGGCCTCTTCTTCAGGTGGTATCGGTTCTAATATTACTGGGAATTGCCATGCCTCGGTATCTCCTTGTTTTCTTGCCTTATCAATAATTTTATGTAATGCACTACCCTGTCCACTAGGTGGTGGTGTAGGATTAAATCTCATAGTGGGCTGCTGAGGATATAGCGCCCTGCCCTGTGGTGCTGGAAACATTCCTGGCTGTCCATACTGATTTTCTGGGGGCGGCTGATCCTGAAGTTCGGCTGGCGGCCAGTATTGATAGGTTACTGGCGGTTGGGTCTTATTTTCCACCGGCTGATATTGTGGATACTGTATTTGGATTGGCATTGCCGTGACAGAGACTCTATCTTTCCCTATTTGATATTCTTTTGGGGTTTGTACTTGTCTAACCTGCATTTGAGGTTGTAATGTTACAGGCATCTGAACTGCTGGGAGAGGAGTTGGCCATCGTGGTTTAGACTCTGATGGCCCCACTAATTCTGGACCTTTTTCTTCTAATTTTAACATTTCAGGATATATCACTTCCTGTAATTGATTATAGTCAACATTTTGCATTGACCGAACCATTACCGGCTCTGCTACATATTTACAATGTGAACTTTCCGTTCCTTTCCCAGATTCTATCCCTGCCTCTTCTTCACAATCTATTACACATTTTCCAGGGCATCAGAAACTGAAATGCTATCTTCTCCTGTTTGAAACAGTTCTAAAGCTACTTTAATAATGGCCCAATCATTCCATACTGTAAGTGGGATGATTTTACCCTCCCTACTTGCTTGTTTTAATTCTTTGCCAATTTTTTCCCAATCTTTTAGATCTAAAGTTCCCCGTTCTAGAAACCATGGGCAGAATTGTTCTATTGTTTGAAATAGAGTGATTAGATTTTTTTTGTAGAGACTCTGACTCCCCCTCTTTTTAAAAGAATTTTAATGGAGCTAAGAGGCATATTTACTTTTAGTTTGTCCCATTGTTACCCTGGCTTCTTCTGAGCGCACAAGTTTACCGCAAAGGGTGACCATAGACGTACTCAGGAATCTCTCGTTGACTTGTCCTCATTGACCACGCTCGAGCGTACCTTCACCCTAGAGAAAAGCACCTACGTTGGACACCCGATGAAGGAGTGGCCTGCCCCTCCACACCTGTGGGTGTTTCTCGTCAGGTGGAATGAGAGACTTGAGAAAAGAAAGAGACACAGAAACAAAGTATAGAGAAAGAAAAGTGGGCCCAGGGGACCGGCGCTCACCATACGGAGGACCCGCGCCAGCACTGGTCTCTGAGTTCTCTCAGTGTTTATGGATCATTATCTCTACCATCTTGGAGAGGGGGATGTGGCAGGACCGTAGGGTAATAGTGGGGAGAGGGTCAGCAGGAAAACATGTGAACAGAGGTCTTTGTGTCATAAATAAGTTTAAGGAAAGGTGCTGTGCCTTGATGTACATGTATACAAACATCTCGGTGCATTAAATAGCAGTATTGCTGCTAGCACGTCTCACCTCCAGCCCTAAGGCAGTTTTCTTCTATCTCAGTAAATAGAACATACAATTGGGTTTTACACTGAGACATTCTATTGCCCAGGGACAAGCAGGAGACAGGTGCCTTCCTCTTATCTCAACTGCAGAGAGGCCTTCCTCTTTTACTAATCCTCCTCAGCACAGACCCTTTACGGGTGTTGGGCTGGGGGGCGGTCAGGTTTTCCCTTCCCACGAGGCCATATCTCAGGCTATCACATGGAGAGAAACCTTGGACAATACCTGGCTTTCCTAGGCAGAGGTTCCTGTGGCCTTCCACAGTGTATTGTGTCCCTGGGTACTTGAGATTAGAGAATGGTGATGACTTTTAACAAGCACGCTGCCTTCAAGCACTTTTTTAACAAAGCACATCCTGCATAGCCCTAAATCCATTAAACCTTGAGTCAACACAGCACATGTTTCAGGGAGCACAAGGTTGGGGGTAGGGTTACAGATTAATAGCATCTCAAGGCAGAGGAATTTTTCTTAGTACAGAACAAAATGGAGTCTCTTATGTCTACTTCTTTCTACATAGACACAGTAAGAGGCTGATCTCTCTTTCTTTTCCCCACAAAGACCAGCTTGGCCAACATGGTGAAACCCTGTCTCTACTAAAAATACAAAAAAATTTAGCCAGGCATGATGGCACACGCAGGGATTCCCAGCTACCTTGGAGCTGAGGCAAGAGAATTGCTTGAATCCAGGAGGTGGAGGTTGCAGTGAACCGAGATCACACCACTGCACTTCAGCCTGGGCAACAGAGCAGGACTCCACCTCAAAAAAAAAAAAAAAAAAAAAAGAATGCACCATTTCGCCTCATCTCTCAGCATTTGACATAACCGATCATTCCTTCTTAAAACACTTTTTTTGGAAAATATGGGTGGAGCCAAGATGGCCAAATAGGAACAGCTCTGGTCTACAGCTCCCAGCATGAACGACGCAGAAGACGGGTGATTTCTGCATTTCCATCTGAGGTACCGGGTTCATCTCACTAGGGAGTGCCAGACAGTGGGTGCAGGACAGTGGGTGCAGCACACTGTGTGCGAGCCGAAGCAGGGCGAGGCATTACCTCACTCAGTAAGTGCAAGGGGTCAGGGAGTTCCCTTTCCTAGTCAAAGAAAGGGGTGACAGACGGCACCTGGAAAATTGGGTCACTCCCACCCTAATACTGCGCTTTTCCAACGGGCTTAAAAAACAGCACACCAGGAGATTATATCCCACACCTAGCTCAGAGGGTCCTATGCCCATGGAGTCTCACTGATTGATCTCAGACTGCTGTGCTAGCAAACTGCAAGGCAGCAGCGAGGCTGGGGGAGGGGTGCCTGCCATTGCCCAGGCTTGCTTAGGTAAACAAAGCAGCCTGGAAGCTTGAACTGGGTGGAGCCCACCACAGCTAAAGGAGGCCTTCCTGCCTCTATAGGCTCCACCTCTGGGGGCAGGGCACAGACAAACAAAAAGACAGCAGTAACCTGTGCAGACTTAAACGTCCCTGTCTGACAGCTTTGAAGAGAGTAGTGGTTCTCCCAGCACGCAGCTGGAGATCTGAGAACGGACAGACTGCCTCCTCAAGTGGGTCCCTGACCCCCGAGCAGCCTAACTGGGAGGCACCCCCCAGTAGGGGCAGACTGACACCTCACATGGCCGGGTACTCCTCTGAGACAAAACTTCCAGAGGAACGATCAGGCAGCAGCATTTGCGGTTCACGAAAATCGGCTGTTCTACAGCCACCGCTGTTCTGCAGCCACTGCTGCTGATACCCAGGCAAACAGGGTCTGGAGTGGACCTCTAGCAAACTCCAACAGACCTGCAGGCGAGGCTCCTGTCTGTTAGAAGGAAAACTAACAAACAGAAAGGACATCCACACCAAAAACCCATCTGTACGTCACCATCATCAAAGACCAAAAGTAGATAAAACCACAAAGATGGGGAAAAAACAGAGCAGAAAAACTGGAAACTCTAAAAAGCAGAGCACCTCTCCTCCTCCAAAGGAATGCAGTTCCTCACCAGCAACAGAACAAAGCTGGATGGAGAATGACTTTGATGAGTTGAGAGAAGAAGGCTTCAGACGATCAAACTACTCCCGAGCTACAGGAGGAAATTCAAACCAATGGCAAAGAAGTTAAAAACTTTGAAATAAAAATTATACGTATGTATAACTAGAATAACCAATGCAGAGAAGTACTTAAAGGAGCTGATGGAGCTGAAAGCCAAGGCTCAAGAACTATGTGAAGAATGCAGAAGCCTCAGGAGCCGACACGATCAACTGGAAGAAAGGGTATCAGTGATGGAAGATCAAATGAATGAAATGAAGCAAGAAGAGAAGTTTAGAGAAAAAAGAATAAAAAGAAACAAACAAAGTCTCCAAGAAATATGGGACTATGTGAAAAGACCAAATCTATGTCTGATTGGTGTACCTCAAAGTGACAGGGAGAATGGAACCAAGTTGGAAAACACTCTGCAGGATATTATCCAGGAGAACTTCCCCAATCTAGCAAGGCAGGCCACCATTCAGATTCAGGAAATACAGAGAACGCCACAAAGATACTTCTCGAGAAGAGCAACTCCAAGACACATAATTGTCAGATTCACCAAAGTTGAAATGAAGGAAAAAATGTTAAGGGCAGCCAGAGAGAAAGGTCAGGTTACCCACAAAGGGAAGCCCATCAGACTAACAGCTGATCTCTCAGCAGAAACTCTACAAGCCAGAAGAGAAGGGGGGCCAATATTCAACATTCTTAAAAGAATTTCCAACCCAGAATTTCATATCCAGCCAAACTAAGCTTCATAAGTGAAGGAGAAGTAAAATCCTTTACAGACAAGCAAATGCTGAGAGATTTTGTCACCAGCAGGCCTGCCCTAAAAGAGCTCCTGAAGGAAACACTAAACATAGAAAGGAACAACCTGTACCAGCCACTGCAAAAACATGCCAAATTGTAAAGACCATCAAGGCTGGGAAGAAACTGCATCAACTAATGAGCAAAATAACCAGCTAACATCATAATGACAGGATCAAATTCACACATAACAATATTAACTTTAAATGTAAATGGGCTAAATGCTCCAATTAAAAGACACAGACTGGCAAATTGGATAAAGAGTCAAGACCCATCAGTGTGCTGTATTCAGGAAACCCATCTCACGTGCAGAGACACACATAGGCTCAAAATAAAGGGATGGAGGAAGATCTACCAAGCAAATGGAAAACAAAAAAAGGCAGGGGTTGCAATCCTAGTCTCTGATAAAACAGACTTTAAACCAACAAAGATCAAAAGAGACAAAGAAGGCCATTACATAATGTTAAAGGGATCAATTCACCAAGAAGAGCTAACTATCCTAAATATATATGCATCCGATACAGGAGCACCCAGATTCATAAAGCAAGTCCTGAGTGACCTACAAAGAGACTTAGACTCCCACACAATAATAATGGGAGACTTTAACACCCCACTGTCAACATTACACAGATCAGCAAGACAGAAAGTTAACAAGGATACCCAGGAATTGAACTCAGCTCTGCACCAAGCGGACCTAATAGACATCTACAGAACTCTCCACCCCAAATCAACAGAATATACATTTTTTTTCAGCACCACACCACACCTATTCCAAAACTGACCACATAGTTCGAAGTAAAGCTCTCCTCAGCAAATGTAAAAGAACAGAAATTATAACAAACTGTCTCTCAGACCACAGTGCAATCAAACTAGAACTCAGGATTAAGAAACTCACTCAAAACCACTCCACTACATGGAAACTGAACAACCTGCTCCTGAATGACTACTGGGTACATAATGAAATGAAGGCAGAAATCAAGATGTTCTTTGAAACCAATGAGAACAAAGACACAACATACCAGAATCTCTGGGACACATTCAAAGCAGTGTGTAGAGGGAAATATATAGCACTAAGTGTCCACAAGAGAAAGCAGGAAAGATTCAAAATGGACACCCTAACACCACAATTAAAAGAACTAGAAAAGCAAGAGCAAACACATTCAAAAGCTAGCAGAAGGCAAGAAATAACTAAAATCAGAGCAGAACTGAAGGAAATAGAGACACAAAAAAAAACCTTCAAAAAATTAATGAATCCAGGAGCTGGTTTTTTGAAAAGATCAACAAAATTGATAGACTGCTAGCAAGACTAATAAAGAAGAAAAGAGAGAAGAATCAAATAGATGCAATAAAAAATGATAAAGGGGATATCACCACCAATCCCACAGAAATACAAACTACCATCAGAATACTACAAACACCTCTATGCAAATAAACTAGAAAATCTAGAAGAAATGGATAAATTCCTTGACACATACACCCTCCCAAGACTAAACCAGGAAGAAGTTGAATCTCTGAATAGACCAATAACAGGATCTGAAATTGTGGCAATAATCAATAGCTTACCAACCAAAAAGAGTCCAGGACCAGATGGATTCACAGCCAAATTCTACCAGAGGTACAAGGAGGAGCTGGTACCATTCCTTCTGAAACTATTCCAATCAATAGAAAAAGAGGGAATCCTGCCTAACTCATTTTATGAGGCCAGCATCATCCTGATACCAAAGCCTGGCAGAGACACAGCCAAAAAAGAGAATTTTAGACCAATATTCCTGATGAACATTGATGCAAAAATCCTCAATAAAATACTGGCAAACCGAATCCAGCAGCACATCAAAAAGCTTATCCCACCATGATCAAGTGGGCTTCATCCCTGGGATGCAAGGCTGGTTCAACATACACAAATCAATAAATGTAATCCAGCATATAAACAGAACCAAAGACAAAAACCACATGATTATCTCAATAGATGCAGAAAAGGCCTTTGACAAAATTCAACAACCCTTCATGCTAAAAACTCTCAATAAATTAGGTATTGATGGGATGTATCTCAAAATAATAAGAGCTATCTATGACAAACCCACAGCCAATATCATACTGAATGGGCAAAAACTGGAAGCACTCACTTTGAAAACTGGCACAAGACAGAGATGCCCTCTCTCACCACTCCTATTCAACATAGTGTTGGAATTTCTGGCCAGGGCAATTAGGCAGGAGAAGGAAATAAAGGTTATTCAATTAGGAAAAGAGGAAGTCAAATTGTCCCTGTTTGCAGATGACATGATTGTGTATCTAGAAAACCCCATTGTCTCAGCCCAAAATCTCCTTAAGCTGATAAGCAACTACAGCAAAGTCTCAGGATACAAAATCAGTGTACAAAAATCAGCAGCATTCTTATACATGAATAACAGACAAACAGAGAGCCAAATCATGAGTGAACTCCCATTCACAATTGCTTCAAAGAGAATAAAATATCTAGGAATCCAACTTACAAGGGACGTGAAGGACCTCTTCAAGGAGAACTACAAACCACTGCTCAATGAAATAAAAGAGGATACAAACAAATGGAAGAACATTACATGCTCATGGGTTGGAAGAATCAATATCATGAAAATGGCCATACTGCCCAAGGTAATTTATAGATTCAATGCCATCCCCATCAAGCTACCAATGACTTTCTTCACAGAATTGGAAAAAACTACTTTAAAGTTCATATGGAACCAAAAAAGAGCCCGCATTGCCAAGTCAATCCTAAGCCAAAAGAACAAAGCTGGAGGCATCATGCTACCTGACCTCAAACTATACTACAAGGCTACAGTAACCAAAACAGCATGGTACTGGTACCAAAACAGAGATATAGATCAATGGAACAGAACAGAGCCCTCAGAAATAATGCCGCATATCTACAACTATCTGATCTTTGACAAACCTGACAAAAACAAGCAATGGGGAAAGGATTCCCTATTTAATAAATGGTGCTGGGAAAACTGGCTAGCCATATGTAGAAAGCTGAAACTGGATCCCTTCCTTACACCTTATACAAAAATTAATTCAAGATGGATTAAAGACTTAAACGTTAGACCTAAAACCATAAAAACCCTAGAAGAAAACCTAGGCAATACCATTCAGGACATAGGCATGGGCAAGGACTTCATGTCTCAAACACCAAAAGCAATGGCAACAAAAGCCAAAACTGACAAATGGGATCTAATTAAACTAAAGAGCTTCTGCACAGCAAAAGAAACTACCATCAGAGTGAACAGGCAACCAACAAAATGGTAGAAAATTTTCGCAACCTACTCCTCTGACAAAGGGCTAATATCCAGAATCTACAATGAACTCAAATTTACAAGAAAAAAACAACCCCATCAAAAAGTGGGTGAAGGATATGAACAGACACTTCTCAAAAGAAGACATTTATGCAGCCAAAAAACACATGAAAAAATGCTCATCATCACTGGCCATCAGAGAAATGCAAATCAAAACCACAATACCATCTCACACCATTTAGAATGGCAATCATTAAAAAGTCAGGAAACAACAGGTGCTGGAGAGGATGTGGAGAAATAGGAACACTTCTACACTGTTGGTGGGACTGTAAACTAGTTCAACCATTGTGGAAGTCAGTGTGGTGCTTCCTCAGGGATCTAGAACTAGAAATACCATTTGACCCAGCCATCCCATTACTGGGTATATACCCAAAGGACTATATATCATGCTGCTATAAAGACACATGCACACGTATGTTTATTGTGGCACTATTCACAATAGCAAAGACTTGGAACCAACCCAAATGTCCAACAATGATAGACTGGATTAAGAAAATGTGGCACATATATACCATGGAATAGTATGCAGCCATAAAAAATGATGAGTTCATGTCCTTTATAGGGACATGGATGAAACTGGAAATCATCATTCTCAGCAAACTATCTCAAGGACAGAAAACCAAACACCGCATGTTCTCACTCATAGGTGGGAATTGAACAGTGAGAACACAGGGACACAGGAAGGGGAACATCACACTCCAGGGACTGTTGTGGGGTGGGGGGAGGCGGGAGGGATAGCATTAGGAGATATACCTAATGCTAAATGACGAGTTAATGGGTGCAGTACACCAACATGGCACATGTATACATATGTAACAAACCTGCACATTGTGCATATGTACCCTAAAACTTAAAGTATAATTTAAAAAAACAACAACACATTTTTCACATGGCTTCTGGGGTTCCGTGCTCTCTTAATTTTTCTCCTTCCTCAATGGCTATTCCTTCTTAGTCTCCATTGCTGTTTCCTTCTCATCTACCTGAAGTGACCCAGGGTTCAATCCTCAAACTTCCCTTTTTCATCCTTCCCCTTCTGTTTTGTATATAAAGGTACGCCCTGGGTGACCTCATCAAATCTTGTAGCTTTAAATGTTATTTCGTGATGACTTTCAAACTTATATTTGTAATCCAGATACCTCCCCAGAGTCACATACTTACACATTTGTGTCTATTGAACATCTTCATTTGATATCTAATAGTTCAAAACCAGACTTTTCACAATCCCTCCCAGGTCTGCCCCATCACAGTGAGGAGTTCTCAGTAAGTAGCACTTCCATTGTTCCAACCTTTCAGGCAAAACCTGCATAGTCTTCCTTGTCTTCTCTTTTCATGTTACATGTCCATTCCACCAACAAATCCTCTGTAGTATACCTTCAAAATATATCCACTATCTAATGATACCTCACTTCCTCCACCCTTACCTCCACCATCATCTGGTCTGAGTCAGGTGGATTATTGTTGTAGCCGCCTAATTTCTATCCATCTAGCTTCTGTACTTTCCCATTAACTATCTTTGTATTTACTAATTTTGGCTCCCCAACTCAGAGTAAAAGTCGATTTTTTAAAGATGGCTGAGACTGAGGTCAGATGGATTTTTTCCTGTCTCTGAACTTTAGGCCTTGAATAGGTTCCAATTTTGTAAAATGGTTTATTTCTAATCCCTGCCCTTTTGTGGGTGAAGGCCTTGTCTCTTGAATTTTTTCAGAACACTAAGATACAACCTTAGGCTATTGAAGCCAGCAAATGTCCCAAGGGTAGCTCTAACTTCAGAGCATGTTCACCTCTCCAGTTTCTGGCTCTCAGCTCTCACTTCATTGCTTGACTTCTTTATTTTCTTTTACTCTTGTCTTTTTTTTTTTTTTTTTTTTTTTGAGCGGAGTCTCGCTCTGTCACCCAGGCTGGAGTGCAGTGGTGCAATCTTGGCTCACTGCAACCTCCACCTCCTGGTTCAAGTGATTCTCCTGCCTCAGCCTCCCGAGTAGCTGGGACTACAGGCGTGTGCCACCATGCCCAGCTAATTTGTGTGTGTGTATTTTTAGTAGAGAGGGGGTTTCACGAGTGTTAGCCAAGATGGTCTCAATCTCCTGACCTCGTAATCCGCCCGCCTCAGCCTCCCAAAGTGCTGGTATTACAGGCATGAGCCACTGCGCCCAGCCTTAATCTTGTCTATATTTTTAAAAGGATGTTTGTCATATTTTACCCACCATTTATTGGTGTTTGTTAAGAAATCTGATATACCATTCAGATACCAACTGTATCCACCTACTGTCACAGTCATAATATACAACAGTTCTATTAACCATCCCTAAATTCCCTCATGCTTTCTTCTTTCATTGTCAACCTCTCCCCTTTAACCATTCCCAGCCTATGAAAAACTACTCACCAAATTCCATCCATATAGTTTTGCTTTGTCAAGAATGTCATATAAATAGAATCAAAATATGGCTTTTCTCACTTAGCAAAATATATTTAAGATTTATCCATATTGTTGCATGGATCAATTTGTTTCTGTTATTGTTGAGTAATGTTGCATGAATCAATACTTTGTTTCTGTTATTGCTGAGTAATGTTCCAGTACCTGGAATGGCCAAAGTTTGCTGATTCATTCGCCTTTTGAGGGACATCTGGTAGTTCCAGTTTGGAGCACTTCTGAATAAAGCTGTTATAATCTTTGACATATAGATGTTTGTGTGAGCATAAGTGTAAATACTAATGTGACTGCTGTATCATATGCTAAATGTATGTTTAACATTATAAGAAACTACCACACTCTTTTTTACCATAGTTACAGTGTTTTGCACTCTCAGCAACAGTATTTGAGAATTTTTGTGTTCTGTTTCTTGATCTGTATTTCTAACTGAAATATTCTTTATCACTATAGACTCCTTCCCTTATATTGGATAATTGTTTTTTTTTTCTTTTTCTTTTTTTATGAGCCAGAGTCTCGCTCTGTTGCCCAGGCTGGCTTGCTAGTGGTGAGATCTTGGCTCACTGTAACCTCTGCCTCCCTGGTTCAAGTGATTCTCCTGCCTCAGCCTCCCAAGTAATTGGGATTACAGGCACCTGCCACCACACCCAGCTGATTTTGTATTTTGTTTTTTTTGAGATGAAGTCTTGCACTGTCACCCAGGCTGGTGTGCAGTGGCATGATCTCGGCTCACTGCAACCTCCGCCTCCCAGGTTCAAGCGATTCTCCTGCCTTAGCCTCCCGAGTAGCTGGGATTACAGGCACCCGCCACCATGCCTGGCTAATTTTTTGTATTTTTAGTAGAGACGGGTTTTCACCATGTTGGCCAGGTTGGTCTCGAACTCCTGACCTCAAATGATCCACCTGCCTTGGCCTCCCAAAGTGCTGGGATTACAGGCATGAGCCACTGCGCCTGGCATGAATAATTGCCTTTTTTCTCTCCAACATTCCATGAGATTATAGAACCCTTTCATTACGTTATAGACCTGTAGTAGTGCCTGGGAACTCTAGGATGTGTTCTTCCCAGAACACACAGAATTGTCCTTGAATAGACAAGTAAATAAGAGAAGACATGAGGCAAGGCATGAAGAAACAAAGGAAACTGTGAAGTAAGGATAAGTAAAAGCAACTTAGTATCCTATTTGAAAGGGATAGAGAGAGCTAAAGAGCAATTGGAGAGGCATATAGGATCATAGATTTAGTATGGAGGTGCTTTTGTTTCTATGTGTAAGGAAGTTATAGGGAAACCACAGATCACTGGTTTCTAGGCATGTACCACTAGGGTGGTATGAAGGGTTGATTACAGAGAAACAGGACAAGGGTATTTAGGAGTGACAGAAGTATGACGGTGGGTGGATACATGATTTGTGTCCTTATAAGTCAAAGTTTCTTTTGTTTTTTCTCCTGTTTTTCATTCACCTGGTTTTTATTGAGTGCTTTCATTACCTAGTTTTTATTGAGTGCTAGACATCACAAAGAAAAGTTATAAGGTTTCAGTCCTTGGATAACATTATACAAAATCCAATAAAGATTTAAGTTTGCTATGGCAAGCAGTCTTGAATCACCATAATCCAAATTTTTGAAATTTGAGCTGATTCAAAGATGATTCAGACTTCAGACTCTGTCCAGATTGGTCTACTGTTTCTCCTTTATTCCTCAGTATAGCTCTCAGGGTTCCCAACCCAAAGTATAAAGAATTCATGGCAGGCCCTATCCTCCAGTTATTGTTGCCCAGCCCTGTGACACAGTCCAAAACACTGTTTAGTTTCTCCCCCTCTTAGCTTTTTCTAGAATCATAAGACTTCTCTAAGTGGAAATGTGGACCCAGATGTTGGGCTTATCTCTTTGATTTTCATATTTTTCAATTTTTAGCCACCCACTCTTTATTATGTAAACGCTCCAGTGGCTTCACTCAGGTGCCTTTTATAATTTGCTTAATTTGTATAATTGCTATCATCTAGAAGGTTGGTCTAAATTACCTAAATTACCAGAAATTAATGTTTAAGATTTAGGGGCTGATAATTAAATTAAGACCTGAAGAATGAGGAAGAGTGTTTGTATAGTCTCATCCAGAGCAGTCCAAAGAAATGGAATAGGCTCTGGCTAGCTTTTAATTGAAAAAGGTCTGTGACTTTTTCAGAGTTGAAAGGAAGCTAGTTTTTCTGGCAAATAAGGAGCGAAGCTGAGAAGGCTCAACAGATACATAAGCAAGGAGAAGACCATGGAAGGGGAAATAAGTCAAAGTCATTGAAGAGTTTGGATTTTATATTAATATGGAAGCTACTAAAAAGTATTAAGCAGATAAAGAAAATCATTATCTGAATCTGAATCAGTTGATAGGAAGGATTAAAATTACAGATCTCCAGGATCTTTTTCTGATTCACTAGCAGTTAGTCTGGTGTAATGTTGGACAGCTATAATTTTAACATGCTCCCCAGGTGATTTTGATCCCCACCAAGGCTTGAGAACTACTCACTTTAAAATTGTTCTTAATCTCTTCCCTTATCTTCTCAAGTGAGTTTTCATTATTCTCTAATCTCTCAGATGCCCCTTTCATATATTAATATATGAGATCCTTCTTAGCTAATTTTTTTTAAAATTCTAGATAGGAACATTACTGTACCATGAAATCAGTGTAGTGGGGTTTGTCTGCATGTGTATGAGACAGAGAAATTGAAAAAAGTAGAAATATTGCAGAATAGAATAGAAAGCAGGGAAGATACTGTTTTATGAAACTGTATATATATAGTAGGTTGTGATGTGAAAGGTAGGTATTATATGTCATAATAATCAATATTTGAAACAAACTCATGTATGTCTGTTATTTCTTATGGGCATTATTTTCCTATTATTTGTCTTTTCTATAGAAGTTATATTTCTCAATTTTTTTATTCTCTCTTATCTTTCAGACTTGCCTTCAAGGTGTGCAAGTAAGGACTTATCTCCAGAAAAGAACACTTATGAAACAGAATTATCCCAATGGGAAATGAGTGACAGACTTGAAAACTGTGATCTTGAAGAGTCCAATTCCAGGGATTATTTGGAAGCCAAAGGCAAGATGGAGAAGCAACAAGAAAATCAGAAGGAATATTTCAGGCAAGGGATGATCATATATGACAAAATGTCCATTTTCAACCAGCATACTTACTTATCTCAACATTCAAGATGTCATTCTACTGAGAAACCCTATAAATGTAAGGAATGTGGGAAAGCCTTCAGACGAGCCTCACACCTAACACAACATCAAAGTATTCATACTGGTGAAAAACCCTATGAATGTAAGCAATGCGGGAAGGCCTTTAGTCGTGATTCACAACTCAGTCTTCATCAGAGACTTCATACTGGTGAGAAACCCTATGCATGTAAGGAATGTGGGAAGGCCTTTACTCAAAGCTCACAACTTATTTTACATCATAGAATTCATACTGGTGAAAAACCATATAAATGTGAAGAATGTGGGAAAGCCTTTATTCGTAGCTCACAACTTACCCGACATCAAAAAGTTCATACTGGTGAGAAACCTTATGAATGTAAAGAATGTGGGAAGGCCTTTACTCAGAATTCACAACTTACACTACACCAGAGACTTCATACTGGTGAAAAGCTCTATGAATGTAAAGAATGTAGGAAGGTCTTTACTCAGCTCTCACAACTTATTCTGCATAAGAGAATTCATACCGGTGAGAAACCCTATGAATGTAAGGAATGTGGAAAAGCTTTTATTTGTGGCTCACAGCTTTCTCAACATCAGAAAATTCATAATGGGGAAAAACCATATGAATGTAAGGAATGTGGAAGGGCCTTTATTCGGGGCTCACTACTGATGCAACATCAGAGGATTCATACTGGTGAAAAACCCTATAAATGTGAAGAATGTGGGAAGGCCTTTATCCGTGGCTCACAACTTACTCAACACCAGAGAATTCACACCAATGAAAAGCCCTATGAATGTAAGGAATGTGGAAAGATGTTTAGTCATGGCTCACAACTTACTCAACATCAGAGAATACACACTGGTGAGAAACCCTATCAATGTAAGGAATGTGGAAAAGCGTTTAATCGTGGCTCACTCCTTACACGACACCAGAGGATTCATACTGGTGAGAAACCCTATGAATGTAAAGAATGTGGAAAAACCTTTAGTCGTGGCTCAGAACTTACTCAACATGAGCGAATTCACACAGGTGAGAAACCCTATGAATGTAAGGAATGTGGGAAATCTTTTATTCGTGGTTCCCAGCTTACTCAACATCAGAGAATCCATACTGGTGAGAAACCTTATGAATGTAAAGAATGTAGAATGGCCTTTACTCAGAGTTCACATCTTTCCCAACATCAAAGACTTCACACTGGTGAGAAACCCTATGTGTGTAATGAATGTGGAAAGGCCTTTGCGCGTGGCTTACTACTTATACAACATCAGAGAATTCATACTGGTGAGAAACCATATCAATGTAAGGAATGTGGGAAAGCCTTTATTCGTGGTTCACAGTTGACTCAACATCAGCGAATTCACACTGGAGAAAAACCCTATGAATGCAAGGAGTGTGGCAAGGCCTTTAGTCATGGCTCTCAGCTTACTCTACATCAGAGAATCCATACTGGTGAGAAGCCCTATGAATGCAGAGAATGTAGAAAGGCCTTTACTCAGAGTTCACATCTTTCTCGGCATCAGAGAATTCATACTGGTGAGAAACCATATCAATGTAAGGAATGTGGGAAGGCCTTTACTCGTGGTTCACAGCTAACTCAACATCAGAGAATTCATATCAGTGAGAAATCTTTTGAATATAAGGAATGTGGGATTGACTTTAGTCATGGCTCACAAGTTTACATGTGAATTGTCTGATTATTTGAGATCACTATGAAGAGGTTCTCTGGTTGTTAGCAGCAAAGAATTCTCACAAATGTGAATATGGGCGCACATTTGCCTCATAAAGCACAGCATCAGATAATTTATGTGAGAGAAAATGGTAGTGTCATTCATATAGAAAAACATCATTACTGGAAACCTATTAAACATTAGCAAATTGGAGAATAGTTTTAATATAGTAAATGTAGGAAGCCCTTTAGCCATATTGAAAACAAATATCTTTTTCAACGTTATCTTAGCTCTACTAGTTGATCTTTTTGTTATATGTATCATGATACTTAACCTCTACCTTGGTTTAATCATTTTAAGATAGACCTAAGTATATTACCTTTATTGTAAGATTCTTGGAAGTATTATGTAAGTTATTACATGTAAAAGCTCTTAGAATGGTGCCTTGAACGTAGCATACCACAAATATTAGCTACCATTTTCACTAGTGTTATTTTAGAGAATTTGCATGAGAGGAGAGTACTTATGAGTATAATGAATATTGAGAAATCTTTTATCAACACATCCAAG
Organism: Homo sapiens; assembly: GCF_000001405.40. Taxonomy (NCBI): domain Eukaryota; kingdom Metazoa; phylum Chordata; class Mammalia; order Primates; family Hominidae; genus Homo; species Homo sapiens. Next base: position 37,129,611 of record NC_000019.10, read on the forward strand.
ATGACTTGGTTGGGGGGCACTGTATGCCATAATGAATGTGAGAAAGCTGTCATTTAAATCTCATCCATTATTGCTATAAGAGGAAATTCATACTGTTAAAAAAAAAAAAACCCAGTGGATATAATCAGTGTATTATTAAAAAAAAAAAAACCCAGTGGATGTAATCAGTGTATTATTGAGCACAGCTGTTAGAGAAGTGGGACAAGGTGTGAAGTGATTTTTAACGAAGTCTAAGATCCAAAGTCTAATAAATCTAGGAATTTTTTAAAAACTTGAATGTATTGCTTTTGAAGTAAACAAAATAACTGATATTACAGACTATTTTGCAATGAAAAATGATGAGAGTTTGTGATACAGACTGCTTTTTTCCTACCCTATATCTATTTTCTCTTTTTTAGTAACAAATTTCTGGGCTGAAAATCTCAGCCTTCCTTGCAGGTCAACAAGATAGAAGTGATATTTATATGAGTAGGAGATTTACGAAATCCATTTTTCCTGTCTTTTTTTCCGTGCCTACAATGTGGACATCTAAGCTGGAGCTCCGTTACTCTCATGGGGACTTTGAGAATGGTATCTGGGTGTTATGGATCATGGAGCAGAAATACAGAAGGAGTCTGCAACCCTGATGACTTTGTGGAACAGCCATACTAGCTCTGGTCTGCTTGCCTCCTGTTTCTCTTTAAATAAAATTAAACATCTTATTTGTTGATGCTATTGTAGTTCTGTTATTGACAATAAAAATTCTTAAGGATATAAAATTTTGTACCTGGAAGTGGGATGCTATGGGTAAAAGAAATCTCAAATGGGGTATTGACTTAGGGCCATTGAGAATGAGGAACTGCCCAAATTAAGCTAGGAATTTGAAGATTCTTGTTTTAATAGGCAGGATGTTTTGTCACTGCCTCCCACTCTTACAAGCATGCTTTATATCAGTTGATGCTATAATGTTAGAGGAAATGCTAGAAGTGATTCAGAATATGTGTGTTGCATGTTTCTTGCTGCTTTCAGTAATGTCTTGTGAACGAGATAAATTTAGAGTAGAGCTAGGCAGCCCACTAGCAGCAATTGAAAGCAATATTGCTTTGGTAAGATGTTATCTATGATGGCAAGCCCTCAATCCTCCACCCTTAATCCACTTACAGTGATTTAATGTGACAACCTGAACAAGAAATCAGACCACTGCCAATGCATACAAAGGCAGTCTGCTAGTAAATATGGTTATGTTTTCCTCACAGGAGCCTATTGTTCTAAAAGTAGTCAGTTATTAGGTACTTAATATATTCCAGCCACTATCTTAGGTGTTTTGGATATTTGTCAGTGAACAATTCTAACAGGAGGAGATAATCATACACACAGAGTATGTTAGAATATAAGTGTTATGGGGAAAAAGTCATTGAAAAGACAATGGGAGGGATATGATCATTTAGATTGCTTTGTGAAATACAGTGATCAAGGTAGACCATCAAGAAGGATAGACTTGAGCCAAGACTTGAAGGAGTGTGGTGATTCCAGGCAGAGGAGAGAGGTCCTACAATGGGACTACACTGAAGTGTTTTAGGAAAAGTGGAGAAGTTATTGAAGAACACTGTGCAAAGGGATGGTTGCTAGAGCAGAACTGAGAGATAACAGAGAGCTATGTCTTGCCAAGCGTGCAAGCCATTGGAAAGATACTTTATTTTGAGGGAAACACAACTGTTGAAAAAAATCGATGAGGAGGTTGTAGTAACTCAGATGAAAGAGGATGTCATGGCTTCGGAAGAAGAGGTAACAATGGGTATAGTGGTTATTGGTTGTATTCTAGGTATATAGTAAATGTGACAGCAAGCAAGATTTGTTTAAGGGCTAGATGTAAAAGAGACAAGTCTAGGGTGACTTTAAGTCAAAGATTTTAGTCTTGAGCATCTGGGAATACAATGTTTTCATCAACCAGGATGGAGAAAACTTCAGTTCCAGGGTTTTAGGGGAAGATTGAGAGTTCAACTTTGAACATGTTGAATCTGTAGATGTCTTTTAAGACACAAAATGGCAGTAGTGAGTAGGCACTTCATGTATGAGATATACCTAACTTGGTATTATATTACTTTAGTAGGTATTGCCCATATTTATTTAAATGATTAGGGTTTTAGTATAGAAAAGGTAAAGAACAGCAAGGACTGAACCACGGAGCACTCCAACATTAAGAGTTCAATGATAAAAGAACAACATGAAAGAAGCTAAAGGCCAGGTGCAGTGGCTCACACCTGTAATCCCAGCACTTTGGGAGGCTGAGGCGGGCGTATCACGAGGTCAGGAGATTGAGACCATCCTGGCCAACACGGTGAAACCCCGTCTCTACTAAAAAAAAATACAAAAAATTAGCCAGGCGTGGTGGCGGGCGCCTGTAGTCCCAGCTACTCGGGAGGCTGAGGCAGGAGAATGGCGTGAACCCAGGAGGTGGAGCTTGCAGTGAGCCGAGATCGCGCCACTGCACTCCAGCCTGGGTGACAGAGTGACAGTGTCTCAAAAAAGAAAAAGAAAAAAAGCTAAGGAGGAGAACCAATAATAGAGGAAAACCAAGAAACTGGAATCACAAAAGCCAAATAAAAGTGAATTGAAGGAGAATCAACAGGTATCAGATAGCTTTGGCAGACTGATTATACAACACGAGGTTTGAAACGGCCATTGAATTTATCAGTATCCGTGTCAGTAACTTTGAGAAGAGCACAGGGTTTTTTTTCTTTGTTTATTTCTGGTGTATTGACTTTGGAGTGATAGAAGCAAAAGCTTGAAAAGATAGTTGAGGATGAGTACAGAGAACACTGCATGAGGGACACAGCAAGCCACAGGCACATCTGTTAGCCCAGCCTCCAGGTAACAGTGGAAACCCTGCAGGAGAGTCACATGCACACCCTCAGATCAGTCTGAGGGAAGGATCCCATGTTGTATCCTTTGCTCCTGAAGTTTTCTCAGCCTGGTCAGCTTCCTCAACACCTAGAATCCCTGGAACTTCTGCTTGACCTCCTGAAGGAAATAGGCCAGAGCCTAAACTCAATGCACAGCTGCAGAGTTCCTGGATCCAATGCTGCAAGGACCCATCCAGGGCAACCACAGAGGTCATTGAGATGCAAATTCACTGCTAGTGCCATGTACGTGTGCAATTGGAGGATCAGTTTGAACTTCCAGACACCAGGCTCACACAGATGCAAAGAGAAGGGTGGAGCTGGTGCCAGAAAAAGAGCTGGCTGCTATCTTCCCTTACTCAGGTCTGAATAACCACAACTGGGTCTCCTTGGACACTCTATTAAAGGACAAAATTAGGGCTTAAGGTATGCCCTCTGGACTCCCCTTTAAATCAGAGGCAAACAGCAAATAATGCAAACTCTAAAATACCCAAACAGGAACTATAATGGAAAAAAAATCACAAGCTGAGGGTCAAACAGAAATACAGGAATAGGTTAAATAGAAGAACTGCAGACCTGAAAAGGCTTGACGCCAGTGCAGTCACAAAGGGAAAAAAGTACATATCACTCAAGAAGGAAAAGAAAAATGTCGATGAAATTAAACACAATGTTTATTAGAACGACAAGACTGGCTATAACTGGATAATCATCTTGTGAATAGTGAAGCCATCTGAATAGGCACAGACAGAGTTAGCTTGTTGGTAAAAGTAATGGAAACCCACAACTCCATAATAATCACACCTGCCCAATCATTAACAAATAAATGTGGAGAAAGCAGCACTATAGAAATGGATCCCCAAGAATGTTGGCCCTGATGAACTGGAAAATTATTTTTGTTGATAAGATTGAGCCTGACAAAAATCTAGACCCATCAGAAATAGGGAAGACAAAAAAAGACGGCGGTCATGGAACAGGCTAGAGCTCACCCATGATAAATCACAGCCAACTACCATATGGAACTGGGAACAAATGCAAAATGAAGACTATTTCACTAGACACCACACATAGACACACAAAAAGACAAAATTACATTCACACACACAGACATACAACAGTGACACAGAAACACACACTCAGGCAGCTCCTGAGGCTGCAGGGTTCTGCTGTCTGTGATGAAGTCCCTTTAGGAAAAGAGCAGCCTTGAGACACAGGCCAGTCCTCAAGGTGACAAGAGGGACAACTTTTGGGGAGACTCACCCGCACACTGTCTAGGCGGGCCTGAGGCTGGGATCCCGTGGTGAATTTCTGGGGCTCCCCTTGATGTTTCTTCAGCCCTCCATGATGCCTAGGATCCCAAGACCATCCTGTTGAACCCCTGGAGAAGACAAACCAGAGCCCAAGGCCAATGAACTGCCACAGAGGGCTCCTGCTCCGGTGGTGGAGGAAAAGAGGTTGCACGGGACAGAAGGCCCGTCCTAGCCATCCTGTCCTCAACCCCCACTTCACTGGACTTCTTCCTGAGTTCCTGGTGGAGGAAGAGCTTCAGGGCAGGAGATTGGTACTCCTTACTCCTCTTTGGATCTGATTCTGGATTGGATGCTGTGGGCAGAAATTGGGTCAGATGGGGGTGAAAATAAAATCAGTGAGGTGTGGAAGGGGCTGCTGGGGCACATAGACACCTGAGTTCCCCAGGGAAGGTATCAGCGAAAAATTCACTGACCCATGAGCCCACTTCCTCCCTTCAACCTGGCCCTAGCAGGGCCCTGCCCTGGCCTCAAAGCCCAGGGGCTCCCGCTTGTCACCACTGTCCAGGAAATGTGGAAATGAGGTCAAATGCAAGGTGGGGCTAAGGCAACCACACCTGGAACTATCATTCCACAGGGGCAGATGGGTTGGGAGTGTGTCTCTGAGGCAGCTGGGGTAATTCCAGGACAGACAGTAGTGTCCAGGCATGCTATCAAGGGGCACTGAGGACCCCCAAGAAAGCAAAGAAGAATCAAAGGACTCCTGAGACTAAAAAAGGGCCTGTGCTGGAGTCCAAGCCACCTTTGGGGATTCCTGCCAGAAGACCCACGAGGTTTCTGCAAAGTGTACCCATGCTCAACTCCAACACGGGGGACCCCTAACACAGCCTCACCTGTATCCAGCCAATCCCCAGTCCCTTTTATTCAATTAAAAAAATAAGTGGCAGCCAAAGGATTCAGTGCTGGAAAGCAGTCTCATCCAGGAACAGGGGAGTTAGATATCCCTCAAGAGTGAGAAAATGGAAACAAAATGCAAGACAACCTCAATTAGAAGGCAAAGGCCAGCCATGGGTGTCTACCTCTCATCCTGTGTGAATCACGCAGCCATCTGATTGGATATTGTGAGCAATTGTCTTTTTGTTTTTTGTTTTTGTTTGTTCGTTTGGTTTTTGGTGAAAGCTATGAAAACCTAGAGCTCCATGATCATCACACCTGCCCAATAATTAAAGATGTGTGGAGAAGGAAACACTCATGAAATGGACCCCCCAGAATATTGTCCTTGGTGAACTGGGAAATATTTTTTGTTGATAAGATTGAGCCAGACCAAAAAAATCTAGGCCCATCAAAAATATGGAAGACAATAAAAGATAGAGGGCATAGTAAGAGAACAGAGGCAATGTTGGGGAAATTACTACCACTGCCATGTGGATGCAGGAATGAGTGCAAAACTCGTGACCTAGCCAGAAAGGCTGCAGTTTGATTTAAAGAGATTGTTCACACGTTATTGTGTTCTTCTCAATATTGAATCATGGTGAGTTTTCATGCGACTATTAAGGGAAAGGAAGAATGGAGTTACAAGCATCTTCTTTGACATCTGACTACACCACTCCTGCTCATGGAAAACGTGTTCCTGTGAGGTTTCTGTTGTTGGATGTGGTATCGTCACCTTATTTTAGAAAAGTTGGCCTCTCCAGAGACAAGGCTATTTTTATTCCTCCTGGTGCCAAGCAGGCCCCCACCTCGCCCAGGCCTTAACAAAACACAAGCTGGAACCACACAGAAAACAGATTACACACAGCCCAAGCAGAAACACAAGGAGAGGTAAACCAAAAGGAAGCCTGACGAAAGAAACCCCCTCCAGTGCACAAGGCACATTTGTCCCACTAGATACCACAAAGAGAAGACACACACACAAACACATCCCACACAAATACACACACAGATATACAACACTTACAAAGTGCTGACCAGCTACAGCCAGTTTGGACCAATAAGTATCGGTTTATGCCAGTTCTAATTTTTCATCGCTGGTTCTGACTGGTTTAGAATGGCTTCAACTGGCCAGAACCTATTTAGTGAGACTATAGTGAATTTGACCAGCTTGGACCTGTTTTGACTGGCCAAAATCAGTTTATGCCAGTTCTGGTCTTTGTTGGTTTTGACCAGATTAGACTCATTTCAACTGGCCACAACTGTTTTATGCCCAGTAAAAATGGCCTCAACAGGTTTTGACCACTTTCTTATATCATCTATATCCTTATGTAACCCTTGTTATTTTTTATGAGAGACTTCTTACCAAATGAGGGACACAAGAAATATTAGAACTTGAGCACACAAACAAGAACCACTCATAACCTACAGGAGAATTATCATTATTGTAGATGAAAGAGGACCTTCCACATTTTCCCTTAGACCTTAGAATCTTTTTCAGTCTTTCAGTGTACAATTTTGAGCACGTGTTTTTACTGGTTTTCACAATCTGGAATTGTTTTATGCCAATTGTGATCAGTCTAAGTTGGTTCTGACCAGCTTAGACCAGTTCCAACTGGTCAAAACTGGTTTGTACTGGGTATTACTGGCCTTGACCAGCCTGAACCAGTTTTGATTGGGCAAAATCAGTTCATGCCTATTCCAAATGGTCTTGCCATTTCTGACCAGTTTAGATCAGTTCCTCTGGCCAAAAATGACTGATACTGGCTCTGACTGGCTACAACTGGCTTGAACAAATAAGCACCAATTTATGCCACTTCTAATTTGTCATAGCTGGTTCCAACCAACTTAGAATGGTTTCAGCTGGCTACAACCACTTTAGAGGGGCTTATAATTAGCCTTGACCAGCTTGCACCTGTTTTGACCAGCCAAAATCTGCATATGCCAGTTCTGACTACTCTTGGCCAGTTCCGAAAGGTTTACACTGATTTCAACTGGCCACGATCAGTATAGATGGAGTATAACAAGCATCAACAGGTTTTGATCACTTCAATGTAGAATCTATAGCATCACATAGGCCTTGTTAGTTTCTTTTTGACATATTTCTTACAAAATCAGAGACAACTAGACACACAAGCAAGAAACACTCAAAACCCTTTGAAGAAAGTTTCACTATTGTAGATTAAAGGAGACCTTCAATGTTCCCTTAGACTTAGAATACTTTCCCTCTTTCATTGTGAAACCAGCCCAATTTTCCAACAAGCTGGATGTCCATAAAACTGAAGCTTGAGAAACTTACATTTGTACAATGAAATACATTTGCTGCTTGTTGACCAACTCCTTTCCCCCTGTTTTTATTCGGGGCTATATAAACCCTTAACTTTAGTCAAGGAGGAGGGATGAATTTGAGGTTTGGCTGCCATCTCACAGGCTGATGTCACCTGTGCAATAGTAAGCCTGCCTCCCTGGCAATACTCAACTCACTGATTGGCTTTTTGTGTATTGACCAGTGGGACCCAAACATAACCCCTGGTGTTTGGTAACAATTGTACAATTTTGAGCACTGGTTTTGACTAGTTTTATAAGCCAGAAACTTTTTTTTTTTTTTTTAGATGGAGTCTCACACTGTTGCCTAGGCTTGAGTGCAGTGGCGCAATCTCGGCTCACTGCAACCTCTGCCTCCCAGGTTCAAACGATTCTCCTTGCCTCAGCCTCCCAAGTAGCTGGAATTACAGGTGCACACCACCATGCCCAGCTAATTTTTTTGTATTTTTAGTAGGGAAGGGGTTTCACTATGTTGGCCAGGCTGGACTCGAACTCCTGACCTCTTGATTCACCCGCCTCAGCCTCCCAAAATGCTGGAAATACAGGCATGAGCCACCATGCCTGGCCAAGCCAGAAACATTTTATGCCAGGTGTGACTAGTCTTGGCTGGTTCCAATCAGTTTGGGTCAATTTCAACTGACTGCAAACGGTTAAGACTGGCTCTGAGTGGCTGCAACCAGTTTGAAATGACCATAATTGGTTAATGCTGGTTCTGACTGGTCATGTCTGGTTCCAAATGGTGTAGATTGGTTTCAACTGCCCAAAATCTGTGTAGCTAGTGTAAAAGGAAAATAAATATCAGGACCCCAAAATCACTAAACCAAAGGAAAAAGTCAAGCTGAGAACTGCATCAGGCAAACCCTGTCTCCCATTTTATTTCTAAATACGATAGCTACAAAGATAAAAAACTATTATACATACCTCCCTCACAATTTGTCCACAAGAAAATTTCTTGTGGGCCTCAAGATCTTTACCCTAAAACAGTGCTGTTGAATTTAACCCTGGTAAGGTAACTTGATAGTTTATCTTCACAGGTGTGAGACAAAGAACAGAACTCAATCATCCCTCTGCTCACCTGAGACAAATGCACATCTGATTGCTTTCTCTGCCCTATTGTTTATGTAAAAATTCAGATTCACTAAGCCAGACTAAGGATTCAGTAAAAGGCTAATCAGAGACTCAAAAGAATGCAACAACTTGCCTCTTAGCTACCTATGACCTGGAAGCCCCCACTTCAAGTTGTCCTGTATTTCCAGACTGAACCAATGTATACCTTACACATACTGACTGATGTCTCATGTCTCCCTAAAATGTATAAAACCAAGCTGTGCCCCAAAAACCTTGGGCACATGTCATCAGGACCTCCTGAGGCTGTGTCATGGGGTGTCCTTAACCTTGGCAAAATAAACTTTCTGAATTGATTGAGACCTGTCTCAGATACTTTGGGTTCACAACAGGCTACATCTGGCCTTGACTGGCTTGGACTGGTTTTGACTGGCCACAATTGGTTTATGTCAGTTTTGACTGGTCTTGGCCATTTCCAACAAGTTTACACCAGTTTCACCTGACCACAAACGGTTCAGACTGGCTCTGTCTGGCTACTATCAGTTTTGACAGACTGAAATTACTTTATTCTCTTTCTGATTTGTTATGGCTAGCTTTGACCAGCTTTTACCAGTTTCAACTGGCCATGACTGGTTTGGATGAGCTATAACTGGCATTAACCACTTTGAGAACCCCTTGAGACTTTTTCATTTCAGCTATTGTACTCCAGAATTTTTTTGTTTTCTATTTCTTTATTGATATATCTATTTTGTTCATACAATGTGTTCTAGCCAGTTACTGCCCAAAGAAGTCTACAGTCAATGCTATTCCTATCAAAATACTGTCATTTTTCACAGAAATAAAAGAAACTACTCTAAAATTTATACAGAATCAAAAAGGAGTCCAAATAACCAAAGCAATTCTAAACAGAAAGAACAAAGCTGGAGGCATCACATTACCCAACTTCAAACTACTATAAAGCTACAGTAACCAAAACAGCATGGCACTGGTAATTAATAAATAAACAAATAAAAAATAAATAAAACAAAACCCACAAACCCACATACACCAATGGAACAGAATAGAGAACCAAGATATAAAGCCACATACCTACAGTCATCTGATCTTTGGCAAAGTTGACAAAAATAAGCAAAGCAGAAAGAATTCCCTATTCAATAAACAATGCTGGGATAACTGGCTAGACACATGCCAAAGAATGAAACTGGACTCTGACCTTTCAAAATATAAAAAAATTAATTTGAGGTGGACTAAAGATTAAATGTAAGACCTCAGGCCAGGCGCAGTGGCTCACAGCTGTAATCCAAGCACTTTGGGAGGCCAAGGCGGGCCAATCACCTGAGGTCAGGTGTTCGAGACCAGCCTGGCCAACATGGTGAAACGCCGTCTCTACTAAAAACACAAAAATTAGCCTGGCATGACGGCAGGCACCTGTAATCCCAGCTACTCAGGAGGCTGAGGCAGGAGAATGGTTTGAATCTAGGATCAGAAGTTGCAGTGAGCCAAGATCATGCCACCGCACTCCAGCCTGGGTGACAGGGTGAGACTCTGTCTCAAAAAGAAAAAAAAAAAAAAGACCTCAAACTATAAAAATCTTAGAAGAAAACCTAGGAAATACCCTTCTCAACACTGGCTTTGGCAAAGAACTTATGGCTAAGTCCTCAAAAGCAACTGCAACAAAAACAAAAATTGACAAATGGGACTTAATGAAACTAAAGATCTTCTGCATAGCAAAAGAAATTATTAACAAAGTAAACAGGCAACCTACAGAATGAGAGAAAATATTCACAAACTATGCATCTAACAAAGGTCTAACATTCAGAATCTATAAGGAACCTAAACAAATCAAACAAAAAACAAATCAATTTAAAAACGGGCAAAGGACAGACACTTCTCAAAAGAAGACATACGAGTGTCCAACAAACATGAAAAAATGCTCAGCATTCCTAATCATCAGAGAAATGCAAATCAAAACCACAATGAGATACCATCTCACACCAGTCAGAATGGAGACTGTAAAAAAGTAACAGGTGATGACAAGGCTGTGGAGAAAAGGGAATGCGTATACACTGTTAGCGGGAATGTAAATTTAGTTCAGCCACTGTGGAAAGCAGTTTGGAGATTTCTCAAAGAACCTAGAACTACCATTTGACCTGACAACCCCATTCCTGGGTATATACACAAAGGAAAAATATATCGCTCTACCAAAAGACACATGCACTCATATGTTCATTGTGAATAGCATTGCAGTGCTATTCACAATGGCAAAGACAAGGAATCAACCTAGGTGCCCATCAATGGTGAACTGGATAAAGAAAACGTGTTACATACATACCATGGAATACTACACAGCCACAACAAAGAGTGAAGTCATGTCATTGATCCAGTTGGAGGCCATTATCCTAAGCTAATTAACGTGGCAACCGAAAACCAAATACCACATGTTTTCACTTATAAGTGGGAGCTAAGCATTGAGTGCACCTGGACATAAAGATGGGAACAATAGTCACTGGGGATGACTAGAGGAGGGAGAGAGAAAGGAGGATGTGGGCTGAAAAACGACCTGTTGGGTAGTATACTTACTACCTGAGTGACAGGATCATGTGTACCCCAAACCTCAGCATCACGCAACATACTCATCTAGCAAACGTGCACATGTACCCACTCAATCCAAAATAAAACTTGGGAAAAAAAAGAGAAAAGCAACTAAATGAGTTTTTTTGTAGAAAACAAATAATTGGGTCTTATTTTTATATGCACTTTGACACTTTGACAGTGTCTTTTAGTGATTGTTGCATGTTTCTTTTTATGTACAATTTGCATGCAACGAAATGCATACATAAATCTTAAGTGTACCATTTGCTGTTTTGACAAATGCATAACATGTTGAATATTTATGTTTAGCAAACCTGTTCAGCATCAAGCTCCTGCCCCAACACTTCCCAGTCTGCGCACGGCCACTTTGCTGGCTGTAACCCTTTATAAAGTCTCCTTGTTTTTTAAATTTAAATAGTGTGTGGCCAGGCATGGTGGCTCATGCCTGTAATCCCAGCATGTGGGGAGGCCAGGGTGGGTGGATCATTTGAGGTCAGGAGTTCAAGACCAGCCTGGCCAACATGGTGAAACCCCATCTCTATTAAAAATACAAAAAAAATTAGCCAGACCTGGTGGCATGCACCTGTAATCCCAGCTACTTGGGAAGCTGAGGCAGGAGAATCACTTGAACCCGAGAGGTAGAGGTTGCAGTGAGCCGAGATCACACCACTGCACTCCAGCCTGGGCGACAGAGTGAGACTCCATCTCAAAAAAAAAAAAAAAAACAAAACAAAACAACAACTGTAGTTTTTCTTAAAGTTAACATATCCATATCAGTACTTAGTGGCCCATGAAGGGAAGGTAAAAAGGGTAGCTCCATTTGGTCCTACCTAATTAATGTTTCCTCTGTCTTAGCTTGGGCTGCCATAACAAAATTGCATATACTCAGTGGCTTAACAAAATGGAACACAAATGAATTTTCTTAACAACAAAAATTAATTTTCTCACAGTTCTGGAAGCTGGAAAGTCCAAGGTAAGGTGCCAGCATGGTCCGCTTTTGGTGAGGGCTGCCTTCTTGCTACGTCCTCATACGGCTTTTCCTAGGTGCAGGAGACAGAGAGAGCGAGCGAGCCTCTCTTCCTATTTTTGTAAGACCACCAATTCTACCAGATGAGGATCCCACCCTTATGAACTTAATTAACTTCAATTACCTCCTAAAAGCTCTATCTCCAAAATAGCCACATTGAGGGTTAGAGCTTCAACCTCTGAATTTTGGGGGGACACAGTTTAGTTCATAGCACCCTCCAAAGGATACTCCTCTCCTTTGACATGTGTGATGTTATCCACAACCATCAAGGGGTGGATAGCGTTCCTGATTATAAAACTTCAGCATCCAAAAGCTTGGAGCTACCCTTGGTTCTGGAAGCTTCCTTACTTTTACTTTGAAGTTTTCAGTTCCCATTGGGAGAGACCCTCATCCCAACTGTAGATGAATCATTTTTCTTCTTGGCCAAGCTGGAGACTGCATGGAATCACTTTTATTCTTCTGCAATATCATTCCAAAGTCAGGAGAGACAGCTTTAAATTACAGCACCTGGCTGAGACCTGGGAAGCTTGCCCCATATTCCCGACATTCCTCACTGTGGCCTTCCATTGAGTGACTGCAGCTGACTGCCAATTCCCAGAACCATAAGCTTATGTTTACAATCAAGGACTCTTCCACCTGCCTTACACACAAACTCAGCAGACTCATTTTAATTTTTTTTAGTTACTTTTTTTTTTTTTTAGATGGAGTCTCGCTGTGTAGCCCAGGCTGGAGTGCAGTGGTGGGATCTCAGCTAACTGCAACCTCTACCTCCCAAGTTCAAGCAATTCTCCTGCCTCAGCCTCCCGAGTAACTAGGACTACAGTGTGTGCCACCACGCCCAGCTAATTTTGTGTGTGTGTGTGTGTGTGTGTGTGTGTGTGTGTATTTTTAGTAGAGACGGGGTTTCACCGTGTTAGCCAGGATGGCTTCAATCTCCTGATCTCGTGATCTGCCCGCCTCGGCCTCCCAGAGGGCTGGGATTATAGGCATGAGCCACCGCACCCAGCCCATTTTAATTTATTTTACCTCCTACAGGTGGTCCTGACACATACACACTGAACAAACATGCGTGTGACATATGAACCATGTTCACTTTGGGGTAGAGACACAACATTTAAATTTATTACAATTAGGTCCTATTATATCAAAAGGTCTTTTCAGGTCAGGAAGCCACACAAGTGCGCAGTGTGTGTATACTAGCCAGGACCAGTCTGTGCTCAGTGGTCTTTTCATCAGGAGAAAGTTACTGAAGTTAGTCTCTTGTCCAGTCAAAGCTATAGTTATAGCTGGTGGAATAGTGGGTGGAGGTCAGTCATCATCTGGTGGAGCTGCAAATTGTTTTAATATTGTTTATGTTGAGGCCAGTGCTTGTTTAGCTGCCAGAGAGGAAAAAAAAAAAAACCTTGTGGCAGTTAGAGGCAGTTAGAACATACTTTATTCTTTTTATTTATTTATTTATTTATTTTTGAGATGGACTTTCACCTCACCATAACCTCTGCCTTCTGGGTTCAAGCAATTCTCCTGCCTCAGCCTCCTGAGTAGCTGGGATTACAGGCATGCGCCACCACACCCAGCTAATTTTGTATTTTTAATAGAGATGGGGTTTCACCATATTGGTCAGGCTGGTCTCGAACTCCTGACCTCAGGTGATCCTCCCGCCTTGGCCTCCCAAAGTACTGGGATTACAGGCGTGAGCCACTGTGCCTGGCCAGAAAAGAATTTATTCCTTAAGTGTAGGGGGATGTGACCTATCCCTTGCCTGGCATGGCTTTGCGTCCAGCTTATGTCTTATTGCCACAAAGCATCTGTTCTGTCAATCTTATGATCTCTGTTTTAACATTCATGTTGGTCAGTTGTTATATTTAAACCACAAAAGAGAGGGGTATAATGAGGCCTGTCTAACCTTCCATCCTGTCATGGCTGGGAACTAAGTATTTAAGAGTTTTCTGGGGGCTGGGCGCGGTGGCTTTACACCTGTAATCCCAGCACTTTGGGAGGCCGAGGCAGCCAGATCACCAGAGGTCGGGAGTTCAAGACCAGCCTGACCAACATGGAGAAACCCCGTCTCTACTAAAAATACAAAATTAGCTGGGCGTGGTGGCGCATGCCTGTAGTCCCAGCTACTCGGGAGGCTGAGGCAGGAGAATCCCTTGAACCTCGGAGGCAGAGGTTTCAGTGAGCCGAGATTGTGCCACTGCACTCCAGCCTGGGCAACGAGCAAAACTCTGTCTCAAAAACAAAAAAAAGGAGTTTTCTGGGGTCCCCTTGGCCACAAGGGGGTCCATTCAGTTGGGGAGTGGCTTAGGATTTTAAGTTTATAAATCTTAGGGAAAGACTCCCAGGAGAATAAGTGAAGACATAAAGCCATATCATGGAAAGATTTAAGTGTTCATCACTGTTATAATAGGCACAGTTATAATATTAAAATAATGATAATAATGATGATGTTAACAATGTCCTCCTCCTATGGGGCGGGGATGCAGGAATAGCCAGCCTTCTCAGGAGAAGTATTATGGCTACACTATTACTACTGTATTACTTTATAACTACAGCATGATTACACTATAACCAAGCCTGGGAGTGATCACACTAATGATGGCCTTTCAGGTGCAGCACTGCATAGGGGTTAATGGAATGGACTCTTTAGTTGGCCAGCCCAGGTTTGAATTTCCCTGTGCTTTTTAAAAGTTTTGTGATCTTGGAAAATTCCTTTATTCCTCTGTGACACATTCTTTGTGTGGGAAACGAGTATAATAATTGTGCTCATCTCAAGCATTAGGAGGACTGAATGAACCTAGAACATGGCCTGGTGCACATTAAACACTTAACTAAAATTTGCTGTCATCATTATTGTCATCACAATCAGCACTGTGTACTGGGTACCACATCATTTATGCTTCACAAATACCTTATAATGTGCGGACTATTTCCCTCTGGGTTACGAGATTGTCATTAGTCAACAGTGGTATCAATTGCAATGATAATGGTAATATAAATGCAAATGACCACAATGTCAGTGTGGTAGCCAGCCTCCAAGATTGCCCTCAATCAATCTTATCTCCTGGTATTCAAACTCCATAGAGTCTTCTTTCACGATAAATAGACTGACCACTGTAACCAATACTTTCACTATGTGGTGAACACACTCAAGTATTCTTATGGTGGGTTCCATGTGGTGAGAAACTGAGGCCTTTCACCTTCTGCTCATAGTCACGTGAGCTTAGAATCAGATCCAATTAGCCCCAGTTAGCCTTCAGATGACTGCAATTCTAGCCAACATCCTGATTGCAACCTCATGAGAGTTCCTGAGCCAGAACCACCTAGCTAAACTGTGCCTAGATTTCCAGTCCTCAGAGAGTATGTAGGAGAATAAGTGTTTATTATTATGTCACGCCACTAAGTTTTGAGTAATATGTTACACATAGCGATAGATAATTAATATGGTTGTCCTAGTCTGTTTGGGATGCTATAACAAAATGCCTAGGCTGGGGGATTTATTAAGAAGCCAAATTTATTGCTCACAGTTCTGATGGCTGAAAAGTCCAAGATCAAGATGCCAACACATTCAGCGTCTGGTGAGAGTTGTCTGCTTCTCAGATGGTGACTACTTGCCGTGTTCTCGCATGGCAGAAAGGAAAAGAAACTCCCTTGGCCCTCTTTTGTAAGGCCATGAATTGCATTCCTGAAAGCAAAGCCCTCATGACCTAATCACCTACCAAAGACTCCATCTCTTAATATTATCTCAGTGGGAAACTGATTTCAATATGTAAATGTGGTGGGGGAAGGCACAAATTTAGACCATTGCAGCAGTCGACGCTGTATTGTAAATGTGCCCATTTTCCGCAATATAATAGAACACACCATGGGTTTTCAGGATTGGCATTTATTATAGGCACAAACTTAATATAACTCAAATGATTGTACTAATGTGCTTCTTATATTGTCCTATTTCACAAATGTAAACAGAGAGCACAATTTTTTGTTTTAATAGCAGCATTCCTTGTTATAATAAATATTAAAATAACACCATAATAAAATCACTAAGGATGTAACCTAATTGTGCTGATTTCACAGAGGGTGGAAAACATCAGCCCAGGGGTGGGACTACTGTGTTTATATAATACAAACACCTGAAGGTGGCAGAAACTAGCAGAGACAGAGGATTTCTTAGCATCAGAATTGATATGTTGTTATTTATGATATCTTAATAATTTAGAGGCATATAATAATGACAAGGATTCTGATATTTGTTATAAAGTATAATTGTGTTGATTATATTTAAAACCATTAATAGAAACAATATAATTATAGAATTAAGTAAAACTGTAAGTGGTATGCTATGGCATGGTGTACGGTATGGTACGGTATGAGGAATGTGGAGTAGAGTGTGGTGGGGAGGTGTAGGATATACCATAAATAGTCACACTGGGTTGGGCGAGGTGGCTCAGGCCTGTAATCCCAATGCTTTGGGTGGCCGAGGTGGGCAAATCGTGAGGTCAGGAGATTGAGACCATCCTGGCCAACATGGTGAAACCCCATCTCTACTAAAAATACAAAAAATTAGCTGGGTGTGGTGGTGGGTGCCTGTAATCGCAGCTACTCGGAGGCTGAGGCAGGAGAATCACTTGAACCCGGGAGGCAGAGGTTGCAGTGAGCCAAGATCACACCACTGCACTCCAGCCTGGCAACAGAGTGAGACTCCATCTCAAAAAAAATAAAAATAAAAAATAGTCACATTGGCACTAGTAGCCCATTTGAGAGCTGAGGGTGGAGGGTGTGATTCATCCTGGCATTATGGGAAGTGTCCATGACAACCTTGGCTTTAAGCTGACTTTGGCCACGGGGTCAATGTCTGCCACACTGCATCACATCCATTATCCAACAAGGTGCCTGAGCCCCAGAACCCTCAGCCCTGCCACATTCCTCTTGCTCCTGGGGTTCTATATTTTCCAGTGGCTGCTCCAGTGGAGGAGGTGGGGCAGGTGACACTGACAATGGGGTGCAGGATAGAAAGTGCTAGGCTAGATGCTGATGGGAGTGGCCCCCTGCCTATGGATCCCCCACTCCTGCCCCTTTCCCCCTCTATGTGACCTGCCACTGTGACCAGGAGGAGGCTAAGTTAGATCTTGTAAACAGTGTGGAATGTATGTAGGTAGGATACTCAGTTTGGTACTGCCCTGACATGGAGTTAGAGCTGGGTGTGCTGGACCATGGTGGGAGGAGGCATTAAATCTTGAATTAGAGGACCCAAACCCACCCCACCAACTTCCCCACACATGTTACCAATCTGTGCGGGGCATCTGGTCAACCTCGATATTATTGCTATTATTCATTCATCCATTTAACAAGCTTGTACTGAGCATCTGCTTTGAGCTGGCACCGTGCTGGGCGCCTGGTATACAGCAGAAACAGGACAGACAAAGTCTGGTTCTCATGAGGCTGATGGTCCAGTGGGGAAGAGGGATGAGAAACCAAAAAAAGGAATATTGAATCAGGTCAGATAGTAATAGTATTTGCAATGCAAATATCATACAAAATAAGGGAGCAGCAAGTGAGCTCTACAGATGTGTTACTTCAATGGCAGGATAAGATGGGGATGGAGGCACTGCAAAGGTGGAAGAGGAAAGCAAGATGCACGGGCACTGGAGAAGCAGAGCACTCTCAGAACAGTCGGTGCAAAGGCCCAAAGCCAGAGAAAAGATCCTTGATGTTAAAACAGCCAGAATTGAGATGCCTGACAAATAAAAATGTTGACTAACTCCAACTGCAGACTCTCTGGCCTCTTTTATTGTAGTTATATCTTTACACTACAAACATTAAATGCAACTACGTGAAAGTAGAAATAACCAAAATATTATGTGAAAGTTTGATATGTAAAATATTAAAATTAGGTAATCATATAAAATAAAACATATACTATAAAACAGGTACTATTATATAAAATACAAACTATTTTATTGTCACAAGGAATATACAGTAATAAATATTACAATATGCTATATAACATACTGTAGACACAATTTTCTATAGTATGTAATGACAGGCACATATAAAATTAAAATATATAAATCTAGTTTTTACACTTATAAATCTTTTATCAAATGTAATTCAAGTTATCACATGGTTTACCTAAAATACAACAGCACTTTTGAGATTCATCCATGTTGTAGTAAGTGTCAATAAATCATTTCTTTATGTCTGAGCAGCCCTCCATAGTATTGGTGTACACAATTTGTTTAATCACTCATCCACTGATGTACATTTGTGTTACTTCCTAATTTGGGCAATTATACAATTGCTGTGAACATCTGAGTATAGGTTTTCATGTAAACAGAATTTTTCTTTCATCTAGGGTAAATACCTAAGTGTGGAGTTGCTGAGTCATATGATAAATGTATGGTTAATAGTATAAGAAGCTGCCAAACTTTTGTGCATAGTGGACAGACCGTTTTACAATCCTACAAGCAATGCATGAAAATTTCCATTGGTCTGTATTCTTGCCAATTTATGGCACGTTTTCATTTTTAGCCATTCTAAAAGCCATTCTATAGTAGTATCTCATTGTGGTTTGATTTACATTTTCCTGATAATTAAAGATGTTGAGCATCTTTTCATCACCTTATTTTCCATTTGTTTTTCATAGAACCATATGGATGAATCTCAGATACATCACATTAAATGAAAGCACTCCGACTCAAAAGGAGATATACATACACGTACAAAACACACACACACACACACACACACACAAGGACTCCACTTATACAATATTATGGAAAAGGCAGAACTATAGAGACGGAAACAGACTGGTGATTGCCAAGGGCTGGGAGTGGGAAAAGGGACTAAAAAGGGATAGGAAAGAAGTTAGGGAAGTGAGGGGCCTGTTCTTCATCTTGATTGTGGTGTTGATTGCATGATTAGATACAACTGTCAAAACTCAGAACTCTACACTAAAAAGTGTGACTATTACTGAATGTAAATTATACCTCAATAAATATAACTTTAAAAATATTTCAGTTATGTCCACACAAAAAGCCTGCACAGATATTTATAACAGCTTTCCTCATAATTGCCAAAAGGAAGCATCCAACAGTCCTTCAGTAGGTGAATAAATAAACATCCAGACGATGGAACATAATTTGGCTCTAAAAAGAAATGCATTATCAAGCCATGAAAAGACATGGAGGAAACTGAAATCCACATTACTAAGTGAAAGAAGTCAATTTGAAAAGGCTACACACTGTATAATTTCAACTATATGATATAAAAGATCAAAGGTAAAACTATGGAGACAGAAAAAATGTTGCCAGGATTAGAGGAGATGAAGGGATGACAGGCAGAACACAGAGGATTTTTAGGGCAGTGAAACTACTCTGTGTATAACAGTGGAAACATGCCATGATCCACTTGCTCCAACAAGCAGAAAGTACAAGACACATTCTATGGTGTTACACCAAGGATGAACCCTAATATAACCTATAGACTTGGGGTGGTAATGAGTGTCAGTGGAGGTTCACCAATTGTAACAAATATACTACTCTGAGAGGAATGCTGATAATGTGGGAGGCTATGCATATGTGGATTAGGGGATATATGGGAAACCTCTGTAATTTCTACCCAATTTTGCTTTGAACCTAAAACTACTCTAAAAAATAAAGCCTTCCGTATATACGGGTATATGCATATACATATACGTAAGTATTATAATATTGTTACAATAAATATATAAGAGAAATAATCAAAAGTCATTTACAATAAATTGTTTCCCTTCATGAGGCTTGGGCATACAGAGGATAGTCAGATGCTTATGTTGACTGATGACTAATATTAACAGGATGCTGTCATTGGGCCCTGCTGGCTTGGATCCCATCCATCATGTGACCCAAAAAAAGTCACTTCATTCTCCCATAATCCCATTTTACAAGTGAGAAAATTGAGGCCCAGAGGAGGTTTCTGGGCAGGCTGAGGGTCCCTAAGTGGATCAGTGTTGGCACCAGAATTTGAACCAACATAGACAGCTTTCACTGTTCTGCTCACACCATACTCATGTAGTAGACAGGAAGCCCAGCTTGTGGTCTCCTGAGATCTCCAGATCATCCCTGGCCCACCCTGGGTCCATCATTCCATTGTGCCTTGGGGGGAACTCAGAGGAAAAGGTCTATGAGGCTGGGACCTCATCCTCATCACCATCTTCCAGGGATCATGACCATGCAAACATGGAGATGCAATCTTGGGGGAAGTACAGTAGCCAAGGGTGACTAAGGAACCGCATGAAGCAATGTGGGAAATTGGGAATCAGCAGACATTGGGTTAACGGGACAATGGGGAGCCAAGAGATACCATCAAAATTTAATGGAGGGGTCAGACACTGTGTTAGTGATTAATGGGCATCAACAGACATTGGGCTAGTTTTTGTTTTTTTTTTTTTTAACTGGGGTCCTAGAAAGAAGGGGACAGAAGAGGCTCCAAAATACAGTTGGGAAATGTGGACATTATGGTTCATTGTAAGTCACCGCCATTGCCTGAGGGGAAGGAAGAAAGTTAACAGCATCCACCGTATTGAGGGCATTCCCACATGCTGTGTTAGGGACAGTTAGATACTGCTAGGTGAGTAACGGGAGATAATTGTTCATCATCGTGAGGGAAAAATCAATAAGGAGGATCACAAGACATCCTGCTAGAGGTGTAATAAAAGTATCAGGAGATAGAAACCATTGTATTGCAGGGGGCACACCACTGTCCCCTATTCTGAGGGTTGTAATAAGTGGTCATCACACAGAATGGAGAGTGGACCTTACTAGACATTGTCACAAGTGGGAAGAGGTAACAGACACCATGCTGGAGTGAGGTGATTGTAAAAGAGGTAATGAGGAGATCTCCAGAAACTGTTTCCGGAATTGATGAAGTGTGACACACATAAGAGTAAGGTAAAACAGGAAAAATGGCCAGGCGTCATGGCCCTTTCCAGCCCTAAACATATGGTTGTGTTGGTTTTCATATAAGTTATTAATCTGTTACATGAAAGTTACATCCTTAAGGAAGCCAGATACTAAGCTTCAAGTCAGTGATGAGTACGAAAAAAAAAAAAAGGCAACTGAGTTGGAAGAACTATGACAGCAGAAGGGAGATTTAAGTTGTCCCAGATGACCATAAAATTCTTACCTCGGAAGCTTTCTTGAAGGTGATGGGAGTTCACAAGACACGGTGCTGGGGGTCAAAACACAAAGTGCTGAGGGCCCGTGAGGCTGAGAGACAGTCATGGTAGATAATGAGGGGGGTGCAAGTCTTGGTAGATGACAGTGGGGACTCAACATACATTCTGAGGTTTACGTCTGTATACATAAAGGTTTTTTCTTTTTTTTTTTGTAGCATCTCTTTCTTGATAGAAATACTGAATGAGGGTTGGATATGACCAACTGTGGTAGATTCGAATGAGAAAGAAAAACACCCAGGAGTCTGTTACACAATGTGTTCCACAACGAACAACTCACATAACTTAGGATTCATCACTATCAAAATAACTACGTATTATGTTGTTTTATCATTCAATTTGTTGGCACTATACCTAATCCACAGTAAACAGGATTATCGTTAACTTAATACGATCTTTCTTAGGAAGAATTTGGTAACAGTATTCTATTGTAGTTTTCATGAGAAGGCTTTTCCTATTCACCAAATTGACTCGGTTCCTTGTCAGTATGAATAATGACCCAAGGTTTACTGGGGATGGTGACAATGTAGGAAGGGTCCCTCGCCTCATTCAGTGCCTTCTCAGAGGCCCTCTCCAGAACAGCCATGTGTGACATTCTGCTGTGGTCATTTCTATTTACAATAATATACATATTTTTCTGCTGCATGCGTGCAACAGTGTACAATCAGACCCAACCCTCAGGGGGGTTTTCTCACACTGTTTCTCTCAAGCGTGGCTGCTCTGATGGACGCTGAACACTGATTTCTGAACGAAGCCTTTCCCACAGATGCCACACTTGTAGGGTTTGTCTCCAGTGTGTGTTGTCTGATGTTTATTCAAATTGGACCTGTCAGTAAAGGCCTTCCCACACTCAGCACACACGTAAGGCTTCTCTCCAGTGTGAATTCGCTGATGCACTTGGAGCTGTGATTTTTTAGTGAAAGACTTCCCACAGTCACTGCACTCATAAGGTTTCTCTCCAGTATGAATTCTGTGATGTGTAATCAACTCTGACTTCTGTCGAAAGGTCTTCCCACATTCAGAACAAATGTAGGGCTTTTCTCCGGTATGAGTTTTCTGGTGCTTACTGAGATTTGACCTGCCACTAAAGGCCTTCCCGCACTCGGCACACACATAGGGTTTCTCTCCTGTGTGAACTGGCTGATGCACCAGGAGCTGAGACTTGGAGGTAAAGGACTTCCCACAGTCACTGCATTCATAAGGCTTCTCTCCAGTATGAATTCTTTGATGAGTAATAAAGTTTGACTTGCGGATGAAAGCTCTTCCACACTCAGTGCATACATAGGGTTTCTCTCCTGTATGAATTTTCTGATGAACAATGAGTATTGATTTCTGGTTGAAGGCTTTCCCACATTCGTGGCATTCATACTGTCTCTCTCCAGTGTGAATTTTCTGATGTATATTGAGGTGTGACTTCTGAGTGAAGGCTTTTCCACAAGTATTGCATTCATAAGGCTTCTCCCCAGTATGGATTCTCTGATGTGTAATCAAGTCTGACCTCTGGGTGAAGGCCTTTCCACATTTGGAACATATATAAGATTTCTCTCCTGTATGAGTTTTCTGATGTGTAATGAGATTTGACCGGTTGGTGAATGCCTTCCCACATTTATTGCACATATAGGGCTTTTCTCCTGTGTGAATTCGTTTATGAACATGGAGTTGCGACTTGGAGGTAAACAATTTCCCACAGTGACCACATTTATGAGGTTTCTCTCCAGTATGAATTATTTGATGTGCAATCAAGTGTGCCTTCTGAATGAAGGCCAGTCCACATTTCATGCATATATACGATTTTTCTCCTGTATGAATTCTCTGATGCACTGTGAGTGCTGACTTCTGAGTGAAGGCTTTCCCACAGTCACTGCATTCATAAGGTTTCTCTCCAGTGTGAATTCTCTGATGAATAATCAACTCTGACCTGTAGGTAAAGGCCTTCCCACACTCAGTACATATGGAAGATTTCTCTCTACTTTGAACTTTCTTATGTGTAACGAGGTTGGAATTATTGCTGAAGACCTTCCCATATTCGGTACATATATAGGGCTTCACTCTTGTGTGAACACGTTGATGTACCTGAAGTTGTGACTTGGAAATGAAGGATTTGCCACAGTTACTGCACTCATATGGTTTTTCTCCAGTATGAATTCTTCGGTGTGCAATCAAATGGGTCTTCTGGATGAAGGCCTGTCCGCATTCAATACAGATGTAGGATCTCTCGCCTGTATGGATTTTCTGATGCATCTTGAGTGTGGACTTTTGTGTGAATGCTTTGCCACAGTCAGTGCATTCATGGTGTCTCTCTCCAGTATGAATTTTCTCATGTATACTGAGATCTGAGTTATAAGAGAAGCCTTTCCCACACTGGCTGCATTCATAGAGTTTCTCTCCGGTATGAATTCTCTGATGCCTGAAGAGGGACGACACTTGAAAAAAGGATTTTCCACATTCATTGCATTTAAAGGGTTTCTCTCTCATATGGGTTTTCTGGTGTATAATAAATTCTGGCTTCTGTACAAAAGCCTTCCCACATTCAATGCATACATAGAGCTTTTCTCCTGCAAGAACTTTCAGGTGTACTTTGAGCTGTGACTTCTGGGTGAATATCTTTTCAAATTTGGCGCATTCATAAGCTTTCTCCCCAGGATACATTTTTTGAGGTTGAGAGGATACTTGTTTATAACTGAGGATTTTTCTACATTGATTATGGTCCCATAATTTCTCTCCTGTTGGAATACACTCATGGTTACTATAGGAAGACATTTTATCATTTGGTAATCTTTTTAACATTCTTTGAAGGATTATTTTTATTATGACTGTATAAATCTAAATTATGCTTTAAACCATTTCCAAATGAGGCATATTGATGGGGTCTTTTGGGAGGAGAAATGATGTTTGGGTTCACATGAATTATTTTTCTACTATCCTTATAGTCATATTGCCTCTTTGTTGTCAATATTTTCTTGATGAAAGCAACATCATTTTGATATTTATTTTCTCTGCTGATAGCTCTCTATTTGTCACCAATCTGTCACAATTATTCTAGAATAAAATAGAATCTCACATCACTTTCATCATGACCTTTTCTTTCAATTTGGAAAGAAACCTCTTCAGAGATTCCGTGCTATAAGGTCTGGAATCTAAACTCCGCTCAAATGAGAAACAGGTGATTTTAGTTCAAAGAACAGCTAGCAGAGGCTAGGGGGTATGGTACAAATGACTCATCCAGGCTGAACACAGAGAAAAGGGTGAGGGTGAGTAACGTGAAGAGGAAGGCAGTAACAATGTTGATAGGAAATGTTCTGGAAAACAATTCAGCAGTTAGAGGAAATAAACTAAATGAACAGATAACACCATGGACAGATGTGGAAAAAGTAAGGCAAAAAACACTATATATACCACAGCATCATTCATATAAACTAATGATCCAAACTCTTAATTCACTTACAACATGCATGAAATAAAAAATGTTTCCATCATATAAAACAGTAGCTTATGACAGGCAGAAAAATGGGTGTGGGGGAAAGAGAAAAAGGAATAAATCAAAACATAAATAAGAGAGAATCCTGACCCAGACTCATGATGATAGTGTGTCTTAAACTGAAGACTATGATTAAACTCAAACCTCATCAGGTAAACTATAAAAATAAAGCAATCAAAAACAACAACAAAAACGAACCCTGGTCAATGTGGAATCACTCAAGCAACATCAAGAAAAAAGGTCAGGAAGGGTGATTAATTATGTTAAAGACAGCAGAAAGATAATCCCAAAGATTAAGTAACAGTGACCCCCAAAGTCATCAGTTTATCCAGGCATGAAGGACTGGGAAGAAGTAAGAAATTTCATGGCCACTCCTCTGCAGAAAACAAAAAGAGAGGGTGATTGGACAGAAAGCTCTGAGGCATCTCACAGTAAAAAAAAAAAAAGAAAGAAAAAAAAGAAAAAAGAAAAGAAATAAAAGTGACTAGCAGGAGTGGGAGTGGGTGACACAGAGTAACTTTGAAAGAAAGCAGATCCGTGAATGCGTGAAGGTTAAAGAAAGACTCTAGGACTATGGGGAATGTAGGGGAAAAGAAGAATGTTAGAGAAAATGAGCATAACCAAGAAAGAAAGATCTTTTTTTTTTTTTTTTTTTTTGAGACGGAGTCTCGCTCTGTCGCCCAGGCTGGAGTGCAGTGGCGCGATCTCGGCTCACTGCAAGCTCTGCCTCCCGGGTTCATGCCATTCTCCTGCCTCAGCCTCCCGAGTAGCTGGGACTACAGGCATCCACCACGGCGCCCGGCTAATTTTTTGTATTTTTAGGAGAGACGGGGTTTCACCGTGGTCCCGATCTCCTGACCTCATGATCTGCCCGCCTCGGCCTCCCAAAGTGCTGGGATTACAGGTGTGAGCCACCGCGCCCGGCCAAGAAAGATCTTTAATGAGGGAGACTGGCACATGATTCAGAATCCACGAAGCCAAAGAAGAACACAGAAGTGACAAAGGTCGGCCAGGCGCAGTAGCTCATGCCTGTAATCCCAGCACTTTGGGAGGCCTAGACGGGTGGATCACTTGAGGTCAGGTGTTAGAGACCAGCCTGGCCAACATGGTGAAACCCTGCCTCTACTAAAAGTACAAAGATTAGCTGGGCATGGTGGCTGGCAAACACCTGTAATCCCAGTTACTTGGATGGCTGAGGCACGAGAATTGCTTGAACCCAGGAGGCGGGGGTTGTAGTGAGCTGGGATCATGCCACTGCACTCCAGCCTGGGCAACACAGCCCCGGCTGCGACCCAGGCTGTGACAAAAAATAAATGACAAAGGTCATCCAGGGAGAATGCATTTAGTGATCTGAGAGGCCAAGGGGGCATCAAGCAATACAAAAACATTCAGAACTTTCCAGAAAAAGCATCTTAATAGTATTCCAAGGGTGTTGGTGTTTCTCAAGACAGCTGAGATTTCCTCCCATCTCCCATCTACCGGATTCACACTCGCTTCACTCACCTGGGCAGCTCTGACGTGGCCTCTCACCCTGCAGTGCCCATGGTTCCTTTCCTTGCTCCAACATGACCACCTCTGCTTCAGGAACTTGATATCCTGTTCATGGGAAATGATAAAGGTCTGGGTCCAGCTAATTGTGTTTCAGGGCCCAACCAATAATCTCTTATTCTTTGATGAGGATTTTTTCTTCAGAAAAGTAACCATAACTTTTCAGGGTAAAATTCTGAGTGCCCTAAACAAATAAAGAATCCTAGACAAATCAAGAACAAAATCATCACCTATTTAAGATGCGGACAGCATTCACCAACTGAGAATGAAAACACTCTCAGTGAGGCCTCCTTTCAGATACCAAGGTGACTGTGCTTACCTACTGAGAGCAGGTGGCTGTAGGTCTCCAGCATCACATCCCGGTACAGGTTTCTCTGAGAAGGGTCCAGGTGCCGCCATTCCTCTCTGCTGAAATCGATAGCCACATCCCTGAAGGACACTGATCCCTGTAAGGGCAAATTCTTGTTCAATGTGCACAGTCAGCTTAGAGGGTTGGAGAGACTATATTTAGGAATATGGAATACAGGTCTTGTTGTTTTAAATTTACATTCTCTTTTTAAAAACTCACTCCCATTTCTCTAATACTTTATTATGAAAATTTTCAAACATACCGACAATTTAAAATAATTATGCAGTAAGAAATGTATACCTACCACCTAGGATCAATCATTAACACTTTACTTGCTTTATCATACATCTAAGCCATTCTTTTATCTATCCATCTTGCTTCTTTGTACATTTCAAAGTAAGTTGCAGATGACACCACACTTCTTCCTAATACTTCATTTTTTTTTTCTTCCGAAACAGAGTCTCGCTCTGTTGTCCAGGCTGGAGTACAATGGTATGATCTTGGCTCACTGCAACCTCCGCCTCCCAGGTTCAAGAGAGTCTCCTACCTCAGCCTCCCGAGTAGCTGGGATTATAGGAATGCACCACCATGCCCGGCTAATTTTTGTATTTATAGTAGACACGGGGTTTTGCCATGTTGGCCAGGCTGGTCTTGAACTGCTGACCTCAGGTGATCCACCCGCTTTGGCCTCCCAAAGTGCTGGGATTATGCGTGAGCCACCGCGCCTGGCCTCTCTTAATACTTCAAAATGCAAATCATGAACTAGGGTGTAAAACGTATCAACCTTTTGTAAGTAACATTTACATACAATTAAATGCACCAATCTTTAATTTACCATTTAAAGTTTTGACAACTGTGTACACCTGTATAATCCAGAAATTTCGAAGAAACATTTTATATATATGCATATTAAATATTTAGTTTTACATATTTTGTGGAACACAGAAATCCCATCAAGAATTTCTGCTATTTGTTCTGTACTATAGTCAGCCAATTACTCATTTTTCAAAACTGGCAATTGAAATAAGCTGTGTTTTAGTTTCCTAGCAACTGGATGAATGACCTGCGATATGCTTTCTGATCAATTTAGGACGAGCCCTTATGCTAGCCCTGGGAACACAGAAATAATTATGTGTCCAATCTTCTAGCAACTTAAAAGACTTGGAAAATAAATCAGACTGAAGTTTTTTAAAAAAGAAGACATAACAAATTCATTAAGGTGTTGAAAAGTAGATGCCTTATGGTGGAACACACTGAGGGCCCAAAGGAACAAAAAGTACATTTTACTTGAGGGAGTAAGTTGACATTCCGTAGAGTTGAGGAATTTAACTTGGAAGATACAAAGTGTAACCCAGAATATGGGGTGAGGGGGACAATGCCCAGAAAAGACAAGAATAAAAGGTGTAGAGATAGAAAAATACACCATGAGTTTAGGGAACAGCAAACAGGTTTATATAAATGGAGAGAAGTCTGTCTGATGTGTCAGAAAAGCAGTATAGGAAAAACAGTTTGGTCAAAGTATGGAATTTTTACTTTCAGTAATGGTAATTAAGGTAATCAGATTTATATGTAAATTTTTTTTAAGTTCTGTATTACACAGGATAACCAAACAGCTGGTGAGGAAAAGTTCTTTTTTTTTTTTTTTTTTAGACAAAAGTCTCACTCTGTCGCCCAGGCTAGAGTGCAGTGGTGCGATCTCGGCTCACCGCAACCTCCACCTCCCGGATTCAAGCCGTTCTCTGCCTCAGACTCCCGAGTAGCTGGGATTACAGGCGCACGCCACCACACCAGGCTAATTTTCGTATTTTTAATAGAGACAGGGTTTCACCATGCTGGCCAGGATGGTCTCGATCTCCTGACCTCACGATCTACCTGCCTCGGCCTCCCAAAGTGGTGGGATTACTGGCATGAGCTACTTTACCTGGTTGGAAAAGTTTTTTATAGAATGATTCTAGCTAATAAATAAAGAAGTTAGGATAAAATTAAAATACCACCATGTATAACTACTAATGAAATAACAGATTTAGACAATAATCATTAATGGCTGTTGGAATGTTTCAGTTGAAAGGCTGAAGGGAAGCGTACAATGGATAGATCAGCTAGTAACATCAGCATCCACAAACCAGCTCTCATGTGCCTGCTGACATGGCATAGTAATTAATTTCATTACACTACTTATGAAGTATTCTTGCCAAAAAATAAAATTCAAACCCCTATCTCATCAAGTCTCCAGATCTAACAAGCCATTCACAGGAGTGGGAAGGAGAGTGAAACGTACTGAACAATATGAAGACCAAGACATCAGCTAAATTCAGAAGGTAGCAAATGGCCCACTTCTTCAAAAAATTACAAGAGAATGGACATGGAAGGGAATATTTTCTTTATTAATAGAGACTTTAGAGCCATACTAACCAAAGGCAACTTGTGGACTTTCACTAATTAAAATGAACCAATCTTAAAAAAATATTTATGACAATTTAGAGAAATGCAAATGGTGGGTATTAGATGATATCAAGGAATTACTGTTATTTTGTTGTGTGACATTAGCTTACTGGTTATGCTAAACACAAAGGAAAAAGGGAATTCATATCTCTCCGAGATACATATCAAGGTATTTTTACACAAAACATGGTGTTTGAGATTTGCTTTAAAATAATCTAGCTGCTGAATGGGAGGTGGTTTCAGATAAAGTAAGAATGGCAGAATGGGCCAGGTGTGGTGGCTCACACCTGTAATCCCAGCACTTTGGGAGGCCGAGGCAAGTGGATTGCTTGAGGTTGGGGGTTTGAGACCAGCCTGGCCAACATGGAGAAATCTCATCTCTACCAAAAAATACAAAAATTAGCTGGGTGTGGTGGCACACACCTATAATCCCAGCTACCCAGGAGGCTGAGGCACGAGAATCACTTGAACCCAGGAGGTGGAGATTACAGTGAGCTGAGGTCGTGCCACTGCACTCCAGCCGAGGCAACAGAGTGAGACTCCATCTCAAAAAAAAAAAAAAAAAAAAGGCAGAATGTTGATGACGACTGAAACTGGGTGACAGGGACAATCGGTGAAAGGGATCTTTATACTATTATCTTTACTTTTGCATATATTTAAATTTTTTCATAATAAAATGCTTTTTGAAAACAAAATACATGATCCTCCAAATTAAAAAATCTAACTTGGAATTGCACAATGAAAGGAATGCCTATTACCACATGGAGCTGTATACATTTAAAGAAAGTATGCTAGGGACTTGAATACCCCTCCCTCACCTTAGCAATTTATCAAAATACTAGACAGGACATCATCAAGGTTATAGAAAAGGCAGCTGCAACAAACAACAGCAGAATGCACATTCTTTTCAAGCACCCATAGAAAAGTGAGCATGACAACCATACCCTAGGCTGTGAAACAAACCTCAACAAGTTTACAAGAATTACAACAATACAAAGTATGTTCCACAAGGGAATCAAACAAAAATTAATAACAGAAACAAAACAGACAAAATCTCCAAGCAAATTAAAAAATAACAAACAAAAACAACCTAAAAAACCCACAAAATATTTGAAAATTAACAGCACTCTTCTTTAATGACCCACAGGTCAAACAAGATATCGCCAAAATAATATTTAAAATACACAGAGTTCTATGTATAGACAGTAAAAATACAACCTATCAAAATCTGTGGGATGCAGGTAAAGCAAGGCTGAGAGGGAAATTTATAGTACTAAAGGATTACATTAGAAAAGGGAAAAAGCTACAAATCAATAATGTAAGCTTGTACCTCAAAAAACTAGAAAAAGAGGCCAGACATGGTGGCTCACTCCTATAATCCCAACACTTTGGGAGGCCAAAGTGGGAGGATTGCTTGAGCCCAGGAGTTCGAGATCAGCCTGGGAAACAGGGCAAAACCCCATCTCCATCAATAATACAAAAATTAGCCAGGTGTGGTAGTGTGCACTTCCCAAATAGTGGTCCCAGCTATTTGGGAGGCTGAGGCAGGAGAATCACTTGAGCCTGGGAAGGCAGAGGATGTAGTGAGCTGAGATGGCACCACTGCACTCCAGCCTGGGCAACAGAGCCAGAACCTGTCTCAAAAATAAATAAATAAATAAATAAATAAATAAATAAATAAATAAATAACTAGAAAAAGAAGAGCAAAAGAACTCAAAAGCAAGCAGAAGGAACTAAATAATAAAAAGTAGAAATCAACAAAACTGAAAACAAAAGATAGAGAGAAAAATCACTGTAACACAATCCAGTTATTAGAGAACAAAATAATAAAACCGATAAATTCACTGATTGGTCTATTAGTCAACCAGACTGGCAAAGATAAAAAGACACCAATATTAGGAATAAAACAGTAAATATCATTATAGATGCAGCAGCCATTTAAAATACAATGAGAAAAATAAACACTCCAAGCTAATAAATTCAATAACTTAGAAAAAAATAAGCCAATTCCTCAAACATCACAAACTACCAAAACTCAAACCTTTGAAAATGGATAAGATAAACCATCTTATGACCATTAAATTAATTTAAATTAATAATTTAAAAGCTCCCGAAAAAGAAACCTCTAGGCTAGATAGTTCTACCAGAGAATTCTTTTTTTCTTCTTCTTTTTAATTTTTTTTGTGAGACACGATCTTGCTCTGTCGTCCAGGCTGAAGAGCAGTGGCGTGATCATCGGTCACTGCAGCCTCGAACTCCTGGGCTCAAGCGATCCTCCTGCCTCAGCCTCCTGAGTAGCTGCCACTACAGACACATATCACCATACCCAGCTTTTACCAAAGAATTCTATCGAACTTACAAAGAAGAATGTGTCATTTTTACATAATCTCTTCCAGAAAATAAAAGAGGAGAAACACTTCCAAACTAATATTTTTAAGCCCAGTATTACTCCAATGTCAAAATCAGACAAACACAGTAACAAAAAAAAAAACTACAGGCCAATATCTCTCATGAATTTAAATGCAAACATTCCCAACAAAATGTCAGCAAACTGAATTCAAGAATCACTAAAAAGAATCACGTACCACAATAAACTGGAATTTATGGGGGAACTCTTTGTACTATATTTTCTAACTCCTTATGAATCTGTAATAATTTCAAAATAAAAAACTGAAATATACATATTACTTAAGAAAGATTATTTTCAAAACATACATAACATTTGGGAATGGACAAGACTGGAAGATCAGAGACTCATTGCACAATTGATGAGAGAGAATATAAATTGTAGTTGAGCCTGAACAACACAGGTTTGAACTACGCAAGTCCACAGATACATGAATTTTTTTCAATAAAAGTTACATATAGTGTGCATGCCTCTCCTGCCTCCCCTTCCACCTTCTCCTCCTCTTCCGCCTCTGCCACCCGAGCCAGCAAAACCAAACTCTCCTTTTCCTCCTACTCCTCAGTCAGCTCAGATGTGAAGATGACAAAGATAAAAACCTTTACGATGATCCACTTTCACTTAATGAATATTGAATACAAATATCTTCCTTTTGATTTTCTTAATAACATTTTTTTCTCTAGCTTACTTTATTCTAAGAAAAAAAAAGTCATGTATGAGCAGGTCTCTGAATTCAGGAGAGTGCACGAGCACACAGGAAGAAATTGGAGACAGAAATGTATTAAAGATACTTGTGATCATTAATATCTGAAAGTATGATTCTTTTTTTTGTTTTTTGAGATGGAGTTTCACTCTGTTACCCAGGCTGCAGTGCAGTGGCGCAATCTCGGCTCACTGCAACCCCTGCCTCCCAGGTTCAAGCGATTCTCCTGCCTCAGCTTCCCAAGTAGCTGGGACTACAGGCACCGGCCAACATGCCTGGCTAGTTTTTCTATTTTTAGTTGAGATGGGGTTTCACCATGTTGGCAAGGCTGGTCTTGAACTCCTGACCTCGGGTCATCTGCCCATCTGGGCCTCCCAAAGTGATGGGATTACAGGCGTGAGCCACCACGCCCGGCCTAAAAGTATGATTCTTAAAAGCTACTTTTTTAATTTATTCATTTAATTGTGTTCGGAGATTACAATTTGTTTCTTTGTGATGTGTGTTGATTCTGTTTATGAGGCTTACAATATCTTCATTTCTTAAAAGGAAGGCTTATACACTGTTGGTGGGAGTGTAAATTAGTTCAGGCCTTATGGAAGACAGTGTGGCGATTCCTCAAAGACCTAAAGACAGAAATACCATTTGACCCAGCAATCCTGTTACTGGATATATACCCAAAGGAATATAAATCATTGTATTATAAAGACACATACCCACATATGTTCTCTGCAGCAGTATTCACAATAGCAAAGACATGGAATCAATCTAAATGCCCATCAGTGATAAACTGGATAAAGAAAATGTGGTGTCTATATATACACCATGGAATACTATGCAGCCATAAAAGAGACTGAGATCATGTCTTTTGCAGGAACATGGATGGAGCTGGAGGTGATAATCCTTAGCAAACTAATGCAGGAACGGAAACCAAATACCACACGTTCTAACTTATAAGTGGGAGCTAAATGATGAGAACACAGGGACACAAAGAAGGGAACAACACACACTGGGGCCTTTTGGAAAGTGGAGGGTGAAAGGAGGGAAAGGATCAGAAAAAATAACTAATGGGTACTAGGCTTAATACCTGGGTGATAAAAGTCTATACAATAAACCCCCATGACACAAGTTAACCTATATAACAAACCTGCCCTTGTACCTATAAACTTAAACCAAAAAAAAAGTTCCCTATATACCTGAAATGAAGACGCATGCTCTAGTTTTCTCTTCATCACACACTTGCATATTCATGCCCTACACACACTGAACCCCCAGCCCCCAAAACTAATGTCATCAAAAAATTTAATGGGGAATCAAGACAATGTCATGTTAGGCTAGAATGGAGTTTTGACACCTCACCAAATGATCTTATACAAACAGTTTGTCAGGAAGAAATCTCCTCATTCAAAGACAATAAACATCTCCTGATGTACAAAGATGCTATGAGTAAAAGGATGAAAAAAAAAAGAGAGGAGATTAAGAAGAATACACTAGAAATAAATTGACATACAACAGAAGAAATCATAACCTCCATGAATTCAAGGAATTTACTAAAACAATTAACTGCTTAGGGAAAAACAGATTAAGAATATAGTGATATAAATTTCTGAAAAATAAATTAACAGAACTCAGTAAAAAAGTAAAAAAAAAAAAAGCAACACAAAAATAAAAGTCTCCCTGAAAAAAATGAGAAGACCCTGCAAAAACACAAAAGGTGGCAAAGAGCAGATTAAGGCAAGTGAGCAACATGAGACGGAAATAAAGATATTTTTTAAAGAAAATAAGAGGAGTTTAATAAAAACATCCAATGAACAAAAGAATCCTTGAATTGGCAGTGTAGAACTGTTATCATTATTCACAGTACAAATTTAATAAATACTGTCTTAAAGAGTAGATTCGAATATTTAGTTCAAGAAGTTAACATCATAAAGATGACACACACACACACACACACACAAAAACAAAAAAGAATCCAAACATTCCAAATTACATGGAAGACACACAGAAACAAAGCACAAATATAGAGTATATAGTGAAAGATTTATAAAATAGCCACATCAGAAGCATAACATAAAATGCATCTTTCCACACACACACACAAAAAAGCACAAGAACTCCAAAGGATGACATTAAAAAGATGACCAAAGGCATATCTGGAGTTGCCAACAGAAAAGAAATAAGAGCCTCCTCCTTAATATTAGATAGGGCTGAATTGCAGGGGAAAAAATATTAAACAAGGACACAATGTGAAATGAGTTTCGGATGCCGTATTTACTATCTGTGCACCAAACTACATAACATCAAAATTTATAAACAAAAACTATAGGAAAAAGGCCGGGCGTGGTGGCTCATGCCTATAATCCCAGCACTTTGGGAGGCCGAAGCGGGTGGATCACGAGGTCGGGAGATCGAGACCATCCTGGCTAGTCTCTACCAAAAATACAAAAAATTAGCAGGGCGTGGTGGCGGGCGCCTGTAGTCCCAGCTACTCGGGAGGCTGAGGCAGGAGAATGGCGTGGACCCGGGAGGCGGAGCTTGCAGTGAGCCGAGATTGCACCACTGCACTCCAGCCGGGGCGACACAGCAAGACACTGTCTCAAATTAAAAAAAAAAGAACTATAGGAAAATATAGATAGAAATACATTTGTGGTGGGAAACTTTAATAATATCTCTCAGCAACTTGAGACAAAGTAGAAAAAAATGAGTAATACTATAGAAACCTCATAGCTATATATCTTATTGATAAGCTATCAAATTTTTTTCTTTTCAAGTGCCTATACAACAATCCCAAAACAAAACAAAAAACAAAGAAATACCCGTAATAATCTCTCGAAAAGTAAATTTCTCCAATGCTGCAATCCTAATCTTATTGAAGTTTTTTGCTTTTGTTTTCAAGACAGGGTGTCACTGTCACCTAGGCTGGATGTAGTGGCAATGTCGTGGCTCACTGCAGCCTTGACAGGCTCAAGCCGTCCTCCAATCTCAGCCTCCCAAGTAGCTGGTATCACAGGTGCCCCACCACCACACTCAGTTAATTTTGGTTTTTGTTGTAGAGACAGGGTCTCACTATGTTGTGCAGGCTGGTCTCAAACTCATGGGCTCAAGCAATCCTCCCGCCTCAGTCTCCCAAAGTGCTGGAATTACAAGTGTGAGCCACCACATATGGCCAAAAGTAAAGTTAAAAAATGAAAATCTTAAAACCTAGAAATAAAATGTGGTAAATGGTATTTAAAGATTTGGTGGGGTAGTTAATGTTCTAGAAATTCATCCTTTTCAGCTGGGTGCGGTGGCTCATGCCTGTAATCCCAACACTTTGGGAGGCTGAGGCGGGTGGATCACGAGGTCAAAGTTGAGACCATCCTGGCCAACATGGTGAAACCCCGTGTCTACTAAAAAAATACAAAATAATTAGCTGGGCGTGGTGGCGCACGCCTGTACTCCCAGCTACTCGCTGGGCTGAGGCAGGAGAATTGCTTGAACCCGGGAGGCGGAGGTTGCAGAGCCAAGATCACATCACTACACTCTAGCCTGACTACAGAGCAAGACTATGTCTCAAAAAAAAAAAAAAAGAAATTCATCCTTTTCATTTAGATTTTTTTATTCATTTGCATGAGATAAATTATTTTTCTAAATTATTTTTAGTACAGTTTTGCTATATACCAGAGCTTCTGATATATATATACCATTTTTATTGTTTTTGAGATATTTTACAATTTTAGTTTTGACTTTGGCTTTGGAGTGGGTTGCTGAGAACATAGCAGTTGTTTCACTAATCCCAGTAAAAACCTACTAGGCTATTGTTTTCTTCTACTCTTCAATGCAGTTAGTTAACATATTTGACTTCTGAATCTATCTTCATAATTTCCAGTTCTTTCAGGCATCAAGGTTAACACTGTAAACAAAATAAAACAAAAACCAAAAGCAAGGTTGAGAATAATTTTAAATATTATTCTTTACCCAAAACTTCAGCATAATGACCAACTATAAAAATGCATGACCTTTCCATTATTTTTTACTGTGTTGGAAATGCTGAATCAACATTTTAATTTCTTCAAGGACTTTGAACCATTTAAATTCTTACCAATTATATCTATTTTTTGTAAACTTTTATCCTTTTATTTATACTTTCATATTTTTGGCATGATTTTGTATAATATTCATTCATGATTGTTTGAATCTTAGGTACGGAACTAACTGTTTCTCCTGTTTTGTTACATTCTTTTGTCTTTTTTTCAGTCTTGCTCCGTCGCCCAGGCTGGAATGCAGTGGTATGATCTTGGCTCACTGCAACCTCCGCCTCCCAGGTTCAAGCCATTCTCCTGCCTCAGCCTCCCAAGTACCTGGGATTACAGACCTGCACTGTGGCACCCTGCCAATTTTTGTATTTTTAGTAGAGATGGGGTTTCGCCATGTTGACTAGACTGGTCTTGAACTCTTGGCCTCAAGTGAACCACCCACCTCAGCCTCCCAAAGTGCTGGGATTACAGGTGTGAGCCACCATGCTGCCCAGTCTTTTTTTTTTTTTTTGAGACAGAGTCTCGCTCTCGCTCTGTCCCCCAGGCTGGAGTGCAGTGGCACAATCTCGGCTCACTACAACCTCTGCCTCCTGGGTTCAAGCAATTCTCCTGCCTCAGCCTCCTGAGTAACTGGGACTACAGGTGCGCACCACCACATCCGGCTAATTTTTGTAGTAGAAACAGAGTTCCACCACGTTGGCCAGGATGGTCTTGGTCTCCTGACCTCGTGATCCACCCATCTTGGCCTCCCAAAGTGCTGGGATTACAGGTGTGAGTCACCATGCCCGGCTGCACAGTCTTTGATTATGTAGATATTTACTCCATTTTTTGATTGTCAACACATCAACTTGTCAACACATTTTTTGATTGTCAACACATCAACACAGCAACTTGTGTTTCTGTCAAACTCATACCTTAGGTCTTTTTTTTTTTTAAACGTCCAGGATTCCAAAAAGAAGCAATTAAATCTATAGTTTTTCCCCTCTACCCACAGGATAGCTTTAGCACATAAACTTACTTTATTTATTTATGAGACAGGGTCTCACTGTGTCACGCAGACTGGAGTACAGTGGCATGATCTTAGCTCACTGCAACCTCTACTTCCCAGGCTCAAGCGATCCTCCCACCTCAGCCTCCTAAGTAGCTGGGACTACAGGCCTGCACCACCACACCTGGCTAATTTTTCTATTTTTTGTAGAGACGGGGTTTCACCATGCTGCCCAGGCTGGTCTTGAACTCCTAAGCTCAAGCAATCCACCCACTTCAGCCTCCCAAAGTGCTGGGATTACAGGCATGAGCCACTACACCCAGCCTACCACACAAACTTTAAAATGCACTACTTTATCCAAATGTTTTGTTTTGTTTTGTTTTTGACATGGAGTCTCACTCTGTCGCCTGGGCTGAAGTGCAGTGGCACAATCTTGGCTCACTGCAACCTCTGCCTCCCAGGTTCAAGCAATTATCCTGCCTCAGCCTCCTGAGTAGCTGGGATTACAGGTGCCCGCCACATACCCAGCTAATTTTTTGTGTTTTTAGTAGAGACGGAGTTTCACCATGTTGGCCAGGCTGGTCTCGAACTCCTGACCTCATGATTCGCCCACATTGGCCTCCCAAAGTGGTGGGATTACAGGCACTGGGCCTGGCCCCAAATGCTTTTTAATTGTGGTAAAAATACACATAACATAAAAGTTGCCATTTTAATATTTTTAAGTGACCAGTTTAGTGACATGAAGTACATTCACGTTGTGTAAGAGCCTTTTACTTTTTATTTTTATTTTATTTTATTTTATTTTATTTTATTTTATTTTATTTTATTTTTGAGATGGAGTCTCGCCCTGTCGCCCAGCCTGGAGTACAATGGCACGATCTCGGCTCACTACAACCTCCGCCTTCCAGGTTCAAGTGATTCTCAGCCTCAGCTTCCCAAGTAGCTGGGATTACTGGTGCGTGGCACCACGCACGGCTTATTTTTTGTGTCTTCAGTATGAGTCTTCAGTATATGAGTTTCACCATGTTAGCCAGGCTGGTCTCCAACTCCTGACCTTGTGATCCACCCGCCTTGGCTTCCCAAAGTGCTGGGGTTACAGGCGTGAGCCACCGCCCCAGACCTTACTTTTTATTTCTAATTTAATGCTCTTAGAAAACAGAATCAGTATGATGGCAAAGGTTTCTATTCTTTGTCTGCCTTGAGAGTAGTGTACTAAAATGGCCAATGGCATATTTAATGATTTCTGTTCATTTTTACTTAATATAGTTCAAAAATACATTATTAGTTAAACAAATGTTGATAACTTTTATAATTATTTGTATATTCTTCCTTTTATAAGTATGAACCATCCTCTTCATCCCTTTAAGTGATTTTCACCTTAAATTCCTTTTGACCTGTTCCTAAATTGCATCCCTAGCTTTCTTTTGGTTCATTCCTTTATTTTTAAATGAGGATAAAAGCAGCCCCTGACCGCTGAGAGTTAGCCTGGTACTATCAGTTAAACCTCAGTTTTGCTAGAAGCTAGCCTGGCAGGGGCCAGCTAACTCATGGTGTTCTCCATGGCGCTACACAAAAATAATCTCTTGGAACACCAACAGCAAACAAGACCAATCTCTGACCACCATGGTGGAAGACAAAACCAAGACCACTCTGTCATTATACTTGAGCACAGACAAAAATCACAATCTTCTTCAAACCATAAAAATCTCCTTACTCTGCATAAGGAAAGTGACTGCCAATTATACCTTTACCAATTATAGCTTTTGCTTCAATCTACCCTTCATATTTTCTAGGTAAAAATGATTAAGATACCCAATCATAAAATTTCCCAATAGGAACAGAAGTAGAGGTTCAGTGAAATTCAGCTAGAAGATTCTTATTACCTGTGACTAAAACCAGAAATGAAATTCTACTACAACTTACACATGCAACAGAAAGGAAAGACATGAGAAGAATGCCTACTGCTACATAGTTCATAATATGAGCTGTATTTTACCAAACAAATATTTAAAAAGCAATGTGTGAAAATTTAGTCTACTATGGCACCTTTTGTGAAATAGAAAGAAAAAAATGTGTACTTGTTTTTACTTGTTTATAGAACTAAGCAATCAAAGAAAAAGAATAAAATCGGTCCTGTATGTTGAGAAACATGGGGGTAGGTGGGGAACGGAGGTGGGTGAATCACAGATCCATGTTTCCCCTGAATTTGTTTCCTATAACACTTTTCAGGGTGTGTTGCCTTTAAATGCATTTCTAATTGTTTTTAATTTTTATTTTTTACTATTATTCCCATTTTACCAATATTATTTTTGAACGAAGTGTATATATTCCCTATTCAGAAAACTAAACTTTCCTAATACACTATCACAATATCTCCAGAGGCATAAGAAATAAAATTATACCCATGAAATAAGAACAAGATGCTAATCAAAAAGAATATTTAGAAAATAAATTACAGTTATTAAAAATTAAAACGTTGAATTAAAATGTTGATAGTGGTAACGAGAAACTCAAAAGAAGGGCTGGAAGGCAAATGTGACAAAGCTTCCTGAAAAAGAGAGCAGCAAAGAAATAGAAAACAGTAGAGGGAAAAAAATGGAGAACCAATATCCGAAAAACAGAAATGTAAAAAAAAAAAAAAAAGAAAGAAAGAAAATATTTGTGTTTGAGGAGGCAGTTTAGGAAGAAACAAGAGAAATACTTTGAAAATCCCACAGAAAAGTGACTTCTAACCAGGAAAATCTATCCACAGCCCAAAGATCAATGTAGTGTGATGACAAAATAAACAACAGTTTTTCTTAATAGTCCACCTCTCCACTGTCGCACAGATGGCCTCCAGAGACGAAGACATTACCCACATGTTGCTCATTCTCAACAGGAAGATCAAGATTTGTTTCAGGAGCAGCAGGTCTAGAGTCCAGCTGCTTCCTGTGGCCCAGCTCCCTCCCTCAGTCATGAGGTTCTAGTGACAGACCAGAGATACCTAGTCCTGGATTGAATTCCCACCCCCCTGGGACTCCTCCTTCTCACCTCATAGGAGCTGCCATGATCCTCTGGAGCCAGGGCTGAGGATTTCTGAGGTGAGGTCCAATTAGCTGGCATGGCCACACTGGGTCTCAACCCTTTTTCTGTAGGGTGTCTGAAGCTTGGCAGTCATCTGTGAACTCAAGCAGAGCTGCTCTGAAGAGATGGGCTGGAGTCTAGAGGAAAATCTGGCCCAGGGGCTCCCCAGAGACACCCAGAAACCTGGAAAGACAATGTTCCCATAGTCAGTCATTTCACATTCAACACATAAGCACTTCCTGGATATATCAAGGTGCAGGTCCCTGAGCTAGAAACCAAAGCAGTGGTTCTCAAATGGGTATGCATTCAAGTTACCTGGAGGACCTGTTAAATGAAACACAGTTAAAAATTCTCAGCCTACTCCACAGTTTCTGATTCAGTAGGTCTAAAGTAGAACCCAAAAAGTTTCGTTTCTAACTGGTGCCCAGGAAACGCTGATGCTGTCAGTACAGGGACCACACTTTGAGAACCAGCGCTGAGGAGAACATAAAATTTAACAAAATCTGTGATAGGTATTAGTTACGGTGAAATATGGGAAAAGTCATGAGAGATGGAGTAATGTTACTGCAGATTTGAACTGCAGCTCTGACACTTTTCACCTATGAGAACAGAAGTTTCTTCACTTTCTTTTGAGACGGAGTCTCGCTCTGTCGCCAGGCTGGAGTGCAGTGGTGCGATCTCGGCTCACTGCAAGCTCTGCCTCCCAGGTTCAAGCAATTCTCCTGCCTCAGCCTCCCAAGTAGCTGGGATTACAGGCATGCGCCACCATGTCCAGCTAATTTTTGGTAAAGACGAGGTTTCACCATGTTGGCCAGGATGGTCTGGATCTCCTGACCTCCTGATCCGCTCGCCTCTGCCTCCCAAAGTGCTGGGATTACAGGCGTGAGCCACTGCGCCCAGCCATTTCTTCACTTTTAATTTCAGAAATGAGGATGAAAATGCTTATCTCAAAGTTACAAAAATTAAATGAGATAATACTTGTAAAGTACTCAACACCTCCCAGGCACACAAAAATCATACAATACATATCAGCGATTACCATGCATTATCAGATATTAAAACAATATAAAAACAATGTAATAAAAACAAGTAAAACAATAAATATACCAGACAATATTGATCTATATATGTGATAAAAGTGGTATTCAAATGAGTGTGCATAAGACATTCATTGCATAAATGGCAGTGATATAATGCAGTGATATAACTGGCTGGCCACCTGGAAAAAAACAAACTAGATCTCCATCACACACTATTCAGTAGGCAAATGCCAGCAGGACTGATCACTTAATTATGTGTATTTGTTAAATCACAAAGACTATTAAAATAAATTTTAGAAGTATACATGTGTATAACACTGTGGTGGGCTGGGAGGGATCTTATTACACGTGAGAGGAAACACAGACTCTGTAACAGAAAAATCAGATACTTTTGATTAGATGATATTTCCTAACTTTATGTTAAAATATACCACAAAAAAAAGTAGGACAAAAGATATGAAAATTCACAGAAAAGGAAACAAATGGCAATTAACCAAATAAGATGCCAACTTTAGTAACTGGAAAATGCATTGGAGCAATTAGATATAATTTTCCCTCAAAATTTTAAAAACTTTTAAAATGCAACAATATCCACTGCTGGAAAAGCATCTGGGAAAATGAGTTATTTTATAAATTGTTGGTATAAGCTTGAATTGTTATATTTTGAGCTACTTAGTCATATCTATAAAGTATTAAAAATGCACATATGCCGGGCGCAGTGGCTCACGCCTGTAATCCCAGCACTCTGGGAGGCGGAGGCAGGTAGATCACCTGAGGTCAGGAGTTTGAGACCAGCCTGGCCAACATGGTGAATCCCCGTCTCTACTAAAAAATACAAAAAATTAGCTGGGCGTGGTGGCGGGTGCCTCTAATCCCAGCTACTCTGGAGGCTGAGGCAGGAGAATCCGTTGAACCCACTAGGCAGAGGTTGCAGTGAGCTGAGATCGCGCCACTGCACTCCAACTTGGGTGACAGAGCGAGACTCCATCTCAAAAAAAAAAAAAGTGCACATAGTTATTCCTAATAATTTCA
Organism: Homo sapiens; assembly: GCF_000001405.40. Taxonomy (NCBI): domain Eukaryota; kingdom Metazoa; phylum Chordata; class Mammalia; order Primates; family Hominidae; genus Homo; species Homo sapiens. The sequence goes on from NC_000019.10 coordinate 37,171,944, forward strand.
CATATATAAAGCAGAAAAAGAAGGACAAATGGACAAATAACCTTTCCAGAGTTGAGTACTTTACCTTCCTCTGTAATTAAGCAGACAAAATAATCTGTGAGGAGACAGATATATTTTTTGAATATATGCTTAATTAATATCTATAACAATACAATTAGAGAACATAGTACACTGTTTCTATGTAATAGATGTGACATTCATGAAAACTGACCACGAACTAGGTCATAAAGCAATTTTTCAATTTGACCATTAAACAGACATTACTTTAAAAAGGAACTTCTAAATAACTCATGGATCAAAGAAAAAACCACTTAGATTTGAACAATTTTTAATACAAAGATTCACCAAAACTTGAGAATTTTTATATTAAAGAAGACTGAAAATTAAAAAGCTGAACTTTCAACTCAGGTTAGAAAGCAAGCTGATTACAGTCCTCACCGATCACCATAACTGACCCTACAGGCTCTGTCACTGACCACAGACTCCCATCACTGACCCCCAAACCTCAATCACTCATCCCAAAGAGCTCCATCAATGACCTGAGAAATCCGTCACAATCAACAACGGACGCCACAGAACCCCATCACCGAAGCCTGAAACCGCAATCACTAACTCCACAGGCAACCTCGACACCCCCTATTACTGGCTCCACAGAAACCCCAATCGTGATCAACCAAAATCACCTCAAAGATTTATCGGTATTGGAATATGAAAATACTCCTGACACCAGCGGCAAAAAAGCCTTGGAAGACCACTTCCACTTCCGGTCCGACTTCTAGCACCTCCCCTTTGTAGGCTGTTGATATGGCGCATGCTCTGAATAAACTTGGAAGCCAGTTTCCTCGAACAGTCAACAGGGCGCAGACACAGCGCACAGGTTCCGTAATGTGGCGCTGTCCGGCAGAGAACATGGCCGCGCCCTTATGGTGTTTATTCGCGTGGGCCGCCATTTTGAAAGCATATCCATTCCGTAGAGCAGAGGAATTGGCCGCTGGCAGGGTTTCCTAGAGCGAGGCAGGTATAGTTACATAGGATGCTGGAGTGTGACCCTTGTCTGACTAGGCTTCTATTTCGGAGGAGAAAGTTACTGGAAATGTGGGTCTGGTGCTGTATGTTATATTTAGAAAAGCTAAGTTACCTTTCTGAATACAGGACACTGAGGATAATAATTACCAGGGAATAGAGGAGCCAGGGAAAAATCACCAAGTGAAGGGGATCCTGGGAGAAACCACAGGCAGATGATAGGAGGAATCAGGATAGTACAGTCCATTTTTTACAGACGCCATTCAGGGAAAAGGTGGAAAGGTCACTAGGGGAGTCATCTCTTGAGTGAAACCACCCTGAAAGTCTGAGAGACATCTGAATGAGTAGTAGGCTGCAGGAAGAGTGGTACAACTTTTAATGGGAGAAACCGCCTTGGGAAATAGGGTAGAAGTCCAATAGTATTAATACAATCCTCTCCTGGGAGATACCACCAGAGGAGGGAGGAGAAGTCCGGGCGTCCCCTTCTGAAGGGCTGGGTCGGGTGGGAAGGTGAATAGAGATTTGAATCACCCATTACCCTCCACACTAAATACCTCAAGTGCAACTATAGTAGGCAGCAATAATAACAACACTAATAGTCTTTAGTATGGCCAACGTGTTACTAAAAGCACCTAAAGAAGACTGTTTTTATTTACCTTGAAGTTAAAATATAATTAATAACAATCGCCTTACCATGTCAATGAAGCTTTAAGTGCAGTCTCTGACCCTTAGCTTCTCCTCTGTGGAAATTCTGAAACCTCCTTACTCCCCTTTTTGGAGGGTGTGGATGAGGAGTTGTAAAGATACAATTCCTTTCACTTGGTGAACTCCTAAACATGATTCACAGCTCAGCTTCTGACAGGAAGTTCTACCTGAACAGTGGTGGGAAATTACTACCCAATGTGTTCAGTTCCAGCAGGTGGGAAACTTGTTTTCAGGGAATTGAACCTACACTCTGATGTGGGCATGCTGGATGCCTTCAGGCCAGTTATGTCTGTCTCTGGGACTCGGCTTAAAAATATGTTTAGAGAATTAGACTCTGCTGATCTCAGGTTTTCTTTCTTCTCCGAAAGGACGGTCTAAGGAAACATCTGTGGAAGTCCGTTAGTAAACACACAATTTCTACCAAGGGGCTAAGAATTACTGTTGATTTTGTCAGTAATGCAGCTCTGTTAAAAAGAAGATGACTTAACTTTTAGGGATTCGTGTGGAAATATTTATGGGTGGAATAATATTAGCTTTAAAAACTCCACTGAGAAAAAAAAAACTCCACTGAGAAGGGGTATATGGTATTGCAAAAGAAAATGTTGATAAATGTTAAAGCAGAGTGATAAGTAGACAGAACTCATTATAATGTTCTCTTCCATAGTATTTGTGTGAAATTTTCATAGTAAATTTCTAATTTAAAAAGAAAGGAATTAAAAACATTTACAAGGAAACATCAAGAAGACAGCAGGTGTGGTCATAGTGTTAGGGAAGATGAAACCTAGGAGACCCAGAGTGACACCATTTTAAGTTCAGCTCCATCTTGACACTAGCAAGGCACATTCATTGCAAGTCACAACTCATGGTCCTAATGTGTTTACAGCGAAGGAAGCAGCCCTGTAATGCCTGCAAAGACAAACTCCTAGAACAACAGAAAGTCCAGATGTCCAATACCCATAACAATAAATGCTTTCAAGATCATTATAGTTATACTTTGATGTACTTACTAAAATGTCAGGGATAGTTTTCTTTAAATCAATAGAATAATAAATTTTGTCATAATGTCAGGCCACCCACGCATAGGCACAGCTTACTTTAGTCTTTACATAGACAAGACCCCTATATAAGAAAAGCTTAACAGATGTTCCTCCACTTGCTTTCTGAGGACACCCTACTCTGTTGTGGAGTAGCTTTCAATAAACTATCTCTTCTCACTGCACTCTACAACCCACCTGGAATTCTTTCCTGCATGAGATCAAGAACCCTCTCTTGGAGTCTGGATTGAGACCCTTTTATTTCCATAACAATAGTATTATACAAACACAGGCATACCTCAGCGATATTTAGGGTTTGGTTCTAGACCACTACAATAAAGCGAGTCACACAATTTGTTTGGTTTCCTGGTGCGACATACACTGGGGCCTGTTGGGGGTGGGGTGGCGGGAGGGAGAGCATTAGGAAAAATAGCTAATGCATCCTGGGCTTAACACCTAGGTGATGGGTTGACAGGTGCAGCAAACCACCATGGCACACGTTTACCTATGTAACAAACCTGCACATCCTGCACACGTACCCCAGAACTTAAAATAAAAATTAAAGGCTGGGTGCCCGTGGCTCACGCCTCTAATCCCAGCACTTGGGGAGGCCAAGGCAGGCGGATCACGAGGTCAAGAGGTCGAGACCATCCTGGCCAACATTGTGAAACTCTGTCTCTATTAAAAATACAAAAATTAGCTGGGTGTGGCAGTGCACACCTGTAGTTCCAGCTACTCGGGAGTGTGAGGCAGGAGAATCACTTGAACCCGGGAGGCAGAGGTTGCAGTGAGTTGAGATCGCGCCACTGCACTCCAGCCTGGGCGACAGTGCAAGACTCTGTCTCAAAAAAATAAAATTAAAATTAAAAAAGTCTATTTTGAAAAAAATAGAGAAAGAAAACAACATGAGAAAGAAAAAGGAACATTACTACTGAGAGAAAGATTTAAAACTCAAGAGAATTCTAAGGATATTTTGAGAAATCCATTTGAAAATGTAATAAAATAGGAAGTTTCCTAGGAAAACACAGATGAAAATTGCCATGTATAGGAAGAAAATTTGGATAGGCCAAAAACAATAAAAGAAATTGAATTGGTAGCATATGCAAAAACCAATCCTATGTGTATTAATGATTCAAATGTTAAAAACATAGCTTTAAGACTTTTAGTAAAAATATTAGTAAATGTGTTTTAGACTCTGTGGCAATGGAAAGATCTCTTAAACAGAACACCAAAAAAGTATTATATATAAAAGGTTGATAAAACTGACTATATTAAAATAATAATTTTTGTTCATCAAGTGATAGTAAAGAGAATGAAAAGGCAAGGTATAAACTGGTGCAGATACACATAGAACACAGGCTACCCGAGATAGCAGGAATATGCTTTTTAAAAAACCCTCCAAATCGGCTGGGCGCGATCTCGGCTCACTGCAACCTCCGCCTCCCGGGTTCAAGCGAGTCTTCTGCCTCAGCTGGGATCACAGGCGCCTGCCTAATTTTTGTATTTTTAGTAGAGACGGGGTTTCACCATGTTAGCCAGGCTGGTTTTGAACTCCTGACCTCAGGTGATCCACCTGCCTTGGCCTCCCAAAGTGCTGGGATTACAGGCGTGAACCACCGCACCCAGCTATGCATGCATTTTTATGCGCTGGGAGTGAAGGTGTAGGATTAACCAGCCTTCTCAGGAAAAGCATTATAGCTATGCTATAACTATTATACTCTGTTATAACTACAGCATAATTATATACAACACTATAACAGAGACTGTGAATGATCATACTAGTGATGTCTTTTGAGGGGCAGCATTGCATGGGGGTTGGTATAATGGACTCTGTAGTTATCTGTCCTGGGTTTGAATCTCTCTGTGCTGTTGACTAGCTCTGTGATCTTGGGCGAGCTCCTTCATTCCTCTGTGACTCAGATTATTCATGTGGAAAAGGTGAATATAATAATTGTAGCTATCTCAAGCATTATGTAAATTGAATGAGTTTATACATTTAACGAGTCTAGAACAGGGGCCTAGTATACATTAAACACGTCCCTAAAATTTGCTGTAGTCATCATCATCATTATCATCATCATCACAATTAGCACTGTTGTGGGTGCCACATCTTTTTTTTTTTTTTTTTTTTTTTTGAGACAGAGTTTTGCTCTTGTTGCCCAGGCTGGAGTGCAATGGTGTGGTCTTGGCTCACCACAACCTCCGCCTCCTGGGTTCAAGTGATTCTCCTGCCTCAGCCTCCCGAGTAGCTGGGATTACGGGCATGCACCACCATGCCCGGCTAATGTTGTATTTTTAGTAGAGATGGGGTTTCTCCATGTTGGTCAGGCTGGTCTCGAACTCCTGACCTCAGGTGATCTGCCTGCCTTGGCCTCCCAAAGTGCTGGGATTACAGGCGTGAGCCACTGCGCCTGGCCGGGTGCTACATCATTTCAGCCTCACATAGACCTTACAATGTGCAGACTATTCCCCTCTGGCTTACAAGACTGTCATCATTCCTAATAGTGGTATCAATTGCAATGACAATAGTAACAAATGCAAGTAACCACAATGTCCATGTGGTAGCCAGCCTCCAAGATTGTTCTCAATCAATCTTACCTCCTCGATATTCAAACTTCTATGTAGTCTCCTTTCACAAACAAAAGTGACCACTGTAACCAATACAGCCACCATGTGGTGAAGACACTCAAGTATTCTTGTGGTGGGTTCCTTGTGGTGAGAAATTGAGGCCTTTCACCTTCTGCTCATAGTCATGTGAGCGAGCTTGGAATCGGATCGAATTAGCTTCAGTCAGCCTTCAGATGACTGCATTTCTGCCATGTCAACATCCTGATTGCAACCTCATGAGAGCTCCTGAGCCAGAACCACCCAACTAACCTTTTAGATTTTCAGTCCTCGGAGACTATGCAAGAGAATAAGTGTTTATAGTCACTTTAAGTCACTAACATTTGGGTAATTTAGTGATAATTTTCTGTGATATTATTATGGTGTTAATTTAATATTTACTATAATAGTGGATATTGCTATTAAAACAAACTGGAGCTGGGCACAGTGGCTCACACCTATACTCCCCGCACTTTGGCAAACCAAGGCAAGAGGATCACTTGAGGTCAGAAGTTTAAGACCAGCCTGGGCAACATAATGGGACTCCATCTCTACAAACAAACAAACAAACAAAAATCAGCCAGGCACGGAGGCACTTGCATGAAGTCCTAGCTACTCAGGAGGCTGAGGCAGGAGGATCATTTGAGCCCAGGAGTTTGAGGTCGCAGTGAGCCATGATGGCACCACTGCACTCCAGCCTGGGCAACAGAGCCAGACCCTGTTTCAAAAAAAAAAAAAAAACACTCAGACTGAGGGATTTATAAACAAGAGACATTTATTGCTTATAGTTGTGGTGGCTGAGAGGTCCAAGATTAAGATGCCAGAACATTCAGTGTCTGGTGACAACTCCCTGCTTCATAGATTGTGCCATCTTGCTATGTCCTCATACAGTGGAAAGGGCAAACAAGCTCCCTTAGACGACTTTTATAAGGTACTGATCCAACTCATGTGAGCAAAGTCCTCATGACCTAATTATCTGCCAAAGGCCCCACCTCTTAATATTATCCCACTGGGGATTAGGCTTTAATATGAACTTCGAAGGGACACAGACATTTAGACCATAGCAATAGACAACACTGCATTATAAATGGGCCCATTTTTCAGAGTATAATAGAACACACCGGGTTCTCAGGATTGGCATTTATTATAGTCACAAACTTTATATAAATGCTTGTATTAATGTGGTGTTTACATTATCCTATTTCACAGATGGAAACAGAAAATACCAGCTTTTTTAAAATAGCAATATCTATTATTATAATAAATATTGAAATAACACCATAATAATATCACTAAGGAAGTAATCTAATTGTGTTGATTTTGCAGAGGGAGAAAAACATTACCTCTAGAGCTGAGGCTATTGTGCTCATGCAAACTCCAATCTGAAGGTGGTAGAAACTAGAAGGGACAGGATTTCTTAGCATCAGAGTTCATAAATTATTCATGGTATCTTAATAATTAAAGGCATGTAACAAATAGCGACAAAGATTGTGATATTAGTTATAAATTATGATAATTATACTTAAAACCAATAATAGAATCAACATAAGGTAGAATTAAGTATTGTAGTGAATAAGTGGTATGATATGGGGAGTGGGGAGTAGAGCAGGATAGGGTGGGGTAGGATATAACATAGATAAGAGTCACATGGGCACAGTAGCCTCACTGAAGCTGAGGGTGGAGGGCTCAATTCATTCTGACATTAGGGCAAGTGTGCATGACAACCATGGCTTTAACCTGACTTTGGTCACGGGGTCATCTTCTGCCACACCGCATCACGTTCATTTTCCAATTAAGTGCCTGAGACCCAGAACCCTCAGCCCTGCCACATTCCTCTTGTTCCCTAGGTTCCATATTTGCTGGTGGCTGCTCCAGTGAATGGGGTGGAGCATATGGCACTGATGATGGGGAACGGGATTGAAAGTACTAGGGTGGATGCCAATGGTAATAGACCTCTGCCACTGGGTCCCTTACGACTGTCCTCCACCGACATGGTATGCCACTGTGACCAAGAGGAGGCTGAGTTGGGAGACCTTGTGGAATGCCAGGGAAGGATGTAGGTAGGATACTTGGGAGGAGGGTAGCAGGGTGGTTGGGCACCACCCGCACATGGAATTAGGGCTGGGATATGCTGAAGCATGGGGTGGGGCATTAGATTTTGAATTAGAGGACCTGGAACCAACCCTACCACCTCCCACGCATTTAGCCAATGTGTGTGGGGCATTTGGTCAATGTCAATACTATTGTTATTATTCATCCGTTCATTCGTTTGTTCATTCATTAACACATTTAACAAGCTTGTACTGAATGTCTGCTTTGTGCTGGCACCATGTTGGGTGCCTTGGACACAGCAGAAACAAGACAGACCAAGTCCAGGTCTCATGAGGTCTAGTGGAAAGGTTGGATGAAAAACCAAAAAAAAAGAAATATTTAATATCAAATCAGATGGTGATGCCTGCAACACAAATATATACAAAATAATACAGCAGAAAGTGACCCCAATGGATGTGTTACTTCAGATACAAATGGTGGGGTGGATGCTTTTCAAAGATGGGGGAAGAAAGCAAGATGCATGGGCACTGGGGAAGCAGTGTATGCCCAGAGAACACAGTTGGTGCAAAAGCCCAAAGCTGGAGAAAGCTTCCTTGGTGCTAAATCAGCCAGAATTGGGATTCTTGACAAACAATAAAAATATTGACCACCTCCAACTGCAGGCTGTCTGAACCCTATGACCCGTTATTATAGTTATAACTTTATACTATAAACATTAAATGTGATTATGTAAAAGTAGAAATAACTAAAATGTTACATGAAAGTTTGATATATAAAATATAAAAATTATATAATCATACGATACTATATATTATATAAAATGGAAACTATTTTGTAGTAGGTATAATATCATAATGTGCTATAACATACTGTCAACACAATATACAGTGTATGATATGCACACATAAAATAAAATACATAAATCTATATTTATAATCTAGTATCTAATAATTTTTCAAATGTCATTTAAACTATCACATAGTAAAATAAAAGAGTACTTCTGAGATTCATCCATGTTGCAGCCAGTGTCAATAAATCACTTCTTTTCATGTTGGGGTAGTATTCTATTGTATAGATGTTTAATTAGTCACCCACTGTTTAATTAGTCACCCACTGTTACATTTGGGTTGTTTCCTAATTTTGGCAATTATACAGTTGCTGTGAAATTTGAGTACCCGTGTTTTTATATAAACAATTTTTCACTTATCTAGGGCAAATACCTAGGAGAGGGATTGGTGGGTCATATGATAAGTGTATGTTTAACAGTATAAGAAGCTGTCAAGGCTGGGCATGGTGGCTCACGCCTGTAATCCCAGCATTTTGGGAGGCTGAGGCGGGCAGATCACCTGAGACCAGGAGTTCGAGACCAGCCTGACCAACATGGAGAGACCCTTAACTAAACCTCTACTAAAAACATATAAAATTAGCCAGGCGTGGTGGTGCATGCCTGTAATCCCAGCTACTTGGGCGGCTGATGCACGAGAAACGCTTGAACCTGGGAGGTGGAGGTTGTGGGGAGCCGAGATCATGCCATTGCACTTCAGCCTGAGCAATAAGAGCAAAACTTCATCTCAAAAAAAAAAAAAAAAGCTGCCAAACTTTTTGCCCAAAGTGAATGTAACATTTTACATTTCTACCAACAATGCATGAAAGTTTCCATTGCTCTGCATTGTTGCCAACTCTCAGCATTATGTCTTTATTTTTAGGCATGCTAAAAGGTGTGTACAGGTATCTCATTGTGGTTTTCATTTTCATTTTCTTGAAAATTAAAGATGTCGAGCATCTTTTCATCACCTTATTTTCCATTTTTATCTCATATAACAATATGGATAGATCGCAAATACATCACATTAAATGAAACAAGTCCGACTCAAAAAGAGAGATACATACACATATATAAACAGACAGAGACACACACAGGATGTCTCCATTTATACAACATGTGGAAAAGGCAAAATTATACAGACAGAAAATGGGCTTGTGATCATCAAGGCCTGGGGGTGGGCAAAGGGATGGACTAAAAAGTAATAGGAGGAAATGTAGGGAAGTGAGGGAACTGTTCTCTGTCTTGACTGTGGTATTGACTGCATGATGTAATTGTCAAAACTTTGAGAATTCCACACTAAAAAGGGTGAATATTACTGTATGTAAATTATACCTCAATAAATACGACCTTAAAATATTACAGTCATGTTCACACAAAAACCTGCACACAGGTGTTTATAGCATCTTTATTCATAATCAACAAAACTTGGAAGCAATTAAGGTGTCCTTCAGTAGGTGAATGGATAAATAAGTCATGGTACTTCCAGACAATAGCATATTATTCAATGAGAAAAAAAAAAAAAAAAGAGCTAGCAAGCTACGAAAAGACATGGAAGAAACTTAAATCCACATTACTAAGTGAAACAAATCAATCTGAAAAGGCTGCATACTTTATGGTTCAGAGGCAAAATTATGGAGACAAAAGAAAATAGCCAGGAGTTTAGAGGAGTAGGCGAAACACAGAGGATTATTGGGACAGTGAAACGGCTCTTTATCCTTCTGTAATAATGCATACATGTCATTATTCATTTGTCTCAACCCACAGAATGCACATCAAGACTGAACCCTAATTAAACCATGGACTTTGGCCGATAGTGTCAATGTAGTTTCATCAATTGTAACAAATGTACCACTCTGAAGGGGGATGTTGATGATGGGGGAGGCTGTGTATATGTGAGGGTAGGGGATATATGGGAAATCTCTGTACCTTCTGCCCCATTTTGCTGTGAACCTAAAATTTCTCTAAAAACTAGTCTTTTATATAAATGGGCATACATATACATATATATGTCAGCACTAAAATATCACGTTACAATAAATATAAAGGAGAAATTATTGAAAGTCATGTACAGTGAAATGTGTTTTCCTCCATATTTCCTGGAATTCATGAGGAGTGATACACTTAGGAGTAAGGTAAAATGGGAATAATGAAGGGGACCAGACCTTGTTCTAGGGTATGTTAGGAAGGAAGAGGTGATCTCCAGGCACCCTCCTGAGAGTCAGCTGACATTGTCCTAAGTTGGGGATAATGTTGTATCACAAAATATCCAAAACTGAAGGAAGAATAGTGAAGCTTCAGATACAGTGCTGGATGAGGTGAAGGGAGGTAATGGGTGAGCAGACATTGGTCTAAGATGTTGAGCAGCATGTGATGGGCCATCAGATACTGTGAAGAAGTGAGGAAGCAGAGCTAATGATGGCTCAGTAGACATTGATCTAAGGTGAGGTAATGGGATGTGTCACCAAGCACTGCCCAACTAGGGCTTGGGAATTAAAGGGGCATTGTGGCCCTGCTTCTTTGACTATGTTCTATCCTTTGGGCCCCATCTTCACCTCCCCATACTGCCCTTCTTAAAGGTGAAACCATCTTTGCAGAGCCCAAATAGTTCCCACTCCCAGAACTGCCAATAGACTGGCCCCAGACGCCACCCAGCAACTGTGCATCTAATCAGATCATCTGTCAGCATCTGTAAGGCCACTGCTGCCTATCTAGGGCAAGATACCTAATATCCAATGAAGATCCACCCAAGTCTGCTCTAGTTCCCTGCTATTGGCTTCAGGCACTCCTCTCGGGGCAGGATGAGCAGGTGTGTGGATTGGGTTCTGGAGTAAATGCGGCTCTGTCGAGTTGCAACTGAGACAGGACAGCGCTGTGCATGCTGAGGAAAAATGAGCAGGGAGTCTTTTGCAATCATGTTGGAGCTGTGGGATTCTGGAATCATGGCAGGAAATCCTGGAAGCAAGCATCCACATGGGATTTCCTGTACCTGTTTTCCCTTCTTTAGCATCAGACCAAAAGGTTCACAATGACTTTTTAGCTTTAGGGTTGAGAAGGGATACAGCCCAGGTACAGACTAGAGGTGAAAAAGCCTGGTGTGTTTTAGCCAAGTTGGTTCTCCCTATTAGCGCTTCTTATGCTGCAACACAGAAAAAAATCAGACAGAAGTCACGCAACAAGCATGGGTCAACTCTCCACAGGTGCATTTATGGAATGCCTGCTGTATGGCAGTCATGGGTCTAGACTCATAGTGGTGAACAAAAGGGAAATATTTTCTAGTGTAGAAGCCACAGAGAAATGAGGAAAATACACCAGGCAGCATGGTGGAAATTGCTAGGGAGAAGAATAAAGGAGGAAGGGTAAGGGGCTGGAATTTTAAACCAGGCAGGCAGGGAAGGCCTGTGTGGAGGTGTCATGGAAAAAAAGACATGACGGACAAGCCACAGATAAAATAAAGAATTGTGCTCTTTGCAACGGGCACTGCAAATACAAAGGCCCTGAGTCAGGAACTGATGTTTGAGGCACATGGCGGGGAAGGTCCTTGTGGGGTGCGTGGGACGAAGATGGACACAAGTAGACAGTGAACATATGGTGGGGTTGGTTTTCATATGAGTTATCAATTTCATATGATTTATGATTTATCTCATATCTCATATAATGTAAGATAATGATTTCATGACTTATCAACTTATGAAAGTCAGATCATTAAGGAAAGTAAAATGCTGGGCTTCAACTCAGTCACAAGTAAATTAAAAAAAAAAAAGAGGCAGGCAACTGAGTGAGAAGAATTGTAATAGCAGAAGGAAGAATTTAAGTTCTCCCAGATGACCTGAAAATCCTAACCTCAAAGGCTTTCTTGAGGGTGGTGGGAGTGTACAAAACACTGTGCTGGGCCGGGCGCAGTGGCTCACGTCCGTAATCCCAGGACTTTGGGAGGCCGAGGCGGGCGGATCATGAGGTCAGGAGTTCGAGACCAGCCTGGCCAGCATGGTGAAACCCCCGTTTCTACTAAACATACAAAAATTAGCTGGGCGTGGTGGCACACGCAATCCCAGCTACTCAGGAGGCTGAGGCAGGAGAATTGCTTGAGCCCGGGAGACGGAGGTTGCAGTGAGCCAAGATAGCGCCACTGCACTCTAGCTTGCCCGACAGAGCAAGACTCTGTCTCAAAAAAAGAAAGAAAGAAAGAAAGAAAGAAAGAAAGAAAGAAAGAAAGAAAGAAAGAAAGAAAGAGAAAGAAAGAAAAAGAAAGAAAGAAGGAAAGAAAGAAAGAAAGAAAGAAAGAAAGAAAGAAAGAAAGAAAGAAAGAAAGAAAGAAAGAGAAAGAAAGAAAGAAAAAGAAAAAACACTGTGCTGGGTGTCAAACACAATGTGCTGAGAACCTGTGGGGCTCAGAGAGAGTCCTGGCAGATAATGAAGGGGACTGTAAGTCTTTTTCTATGACAATGGGGACTCAACATACGCTCTGAGGTCTGTGTCTGAATACACAGGGAGTTTGTCTTATTGCAGTATCTCTTGCTTGATAGAAATACTCAATGGGGAATTGGATATGCACAACTGTGTTCGATTCAAAAGAAGAAAATACCCACAATTCTACTAGACAGTGTGTTCTGGAACAAACAACTCACAGAAGGATTCATCACTATCATATATATTATGTTGTCTTACCATTCAAACTGTTGGCACTATACCTAATCCACAGTAAACAGGATTATCATTCCCATAATATGATCTTTCTTATGAAGAATTTGGTAACAGTATTCTATTGTAGTTTTCATGAGAAGGCTTTTCCTATTCACCAAATTGACTCGGTTCCTTGTCAGTATGAATAATGACCCAAGGTTTACTGGGGATGGTGACAATGTAGGAAGGGTCCCTCGCCTCATTCAGTGCCTTCTCAGAGGCCCTCTCCAGAACAGCCATGTGTGACATTCTGATGTGGTCATTTCTATTTACAATAATATACATATTTTTCTGCTGCATGCGTGCAACAGTGTACAATCAGACCCAACCCTCAGGGGGGTTTTCTCACACTGTTTCTCTCAAGCGTGGCTGCTCTGATGAACACTGAACACTGATTTCTGAACGAAGCCTTTCCCACAGATGCCACACTTGTAGGGTTTGTCTCCAGTGTGTGTTGTCTGATGTTTATTCAAATTGGACCTGTTGCTAAAGGCCTTCCCACACTCAGCACACACGTAAGGCTTCTCTCCAGTGTGAATTCGCTGATGCACTTGGAGCTGTGATTTTTTAGTGAAAGACTTCCCACAGTCACTGCACTCATAAGGTTTCTCTCCAGTATGAATTCTGTGATGTGTAATCAACTCTGACTTCTGTCGAAAGGTCTTCCCACATTCAGAACAAATGTAGGGCTTTTCTCCGGTATGAGTTTTCTGGTGCTTACTGAGATTTGACCTGCCACTAAAGGCTTTCCCACACTCGGCACACACATAGGGTTTCTCTCCTGTGTGAACTGGCTGATGCACCAGGAGCTGAGACTTGGAGGTAAAGGACTTCCCACAGTCACTGCATTCATAAGGCTTCTCTCCAGTATGAATTCTTTGATGAGTAATAAAGTTTGACTTGCGGATGAAAGCTCTTCCACACTCAGTGCATACATAGGGTTTCTCTCCTGTATGAATTTTCTGATGAACAATGAGTATTGATTTCTGGTTGAAGGCTTTCCCACATTCGTGGCATTCATACTGTCTCTCTCCAGTGTGAATTTTCTGATGTATATTAAGATTTGACTTCTGAGTAAAGGCTTTTCCACAAGTATTGCATTCATAAGGCTTCTCCCCAGTATGGATTCTCTGATGTGTAATCAAGTCTGACCTCTGGGTGAAGGCCTTTCCACATTTGGAACATATATAAGATTTCTCTCCTGTATGAGTTTTCTGATGTGTAATGAGATTTGACCGGTTGGTGAATGCCTTCCCACATTTATTGCATACATAGGGCTTTTCTCCTGTGTGAATTCGTTTATGAACATGGAGTTGTGACTTGGAAGTAAACAATTTCCCACAGTGACCACATTTATAAGGTTTCTCTCCAGTATGAATTATTTGATGTGTAATCAAGTGTGCCTTCCGGATGAAGGCCAGTCCACATTTCATGCATATATACGATTTTTCTCCTGTATGAATTCTCTGATGCACTGTGAGTGCTGACTTCTGAGTGAAGGCTCTCCCACAGTCACTGCATTCATAAGGTTTCTCTCCAGTGTGAATTCTCTGATGAATAATCAACTCTGACCTGTAGGTAAAGGCCTTCCCACACTCAGTACATATGGAAGATTTCTCTCTACTTTGAATCTTCTCATGTGTAATGAGGTTGGAATTATTGCTGAAGACCTTCCCATATTCGGTACATATATAGGGCTTCACTCTTGTGTGAACACGTTGATGTACCTGAAGTTGTGACTTGGAAATGAAGGATTTGCCACAGTTATTGCATTCATATGGTTTTTCTCCACTATGAATTCTTCGGTGTGCAATCAATTGTGTTTTCTGGATGAAGGCCTGCCCGCATTCAATACAGATGTAGGATCTCTCGCCTGTATGGATTTTCTGATGAATCTTGAGTGTGGACTTTTGTGTGAACGCTTTGCCACAGTCAGTGCATTCATGGTGTCTCTCTCCAGTATGAATTTTCTCATGTATACTGAGATCTGAGTTATAAGGGAAACCTTTCCCACATTCACTACATTCATATAGTTTTTCTCCGGTATGAATTCTGTGATGCCTGAAAAGAGACGATACTTGAAAAAAGGATTTTCCACATTCATTGCACTTATAGGGCTTCTCTCTCATATGGGTTTTCTGATGTGTGATGAATTCTGGCTTCTGTACAAAAGCCCTCCCACATTCAATACATACATAGAGTTTTTCTCCTGTAGGAACTTTCAGATGTACCTTGAACTGTGACTTCCAGGTGAAGCTCTTTCCAAATTCAGCACACTCATAGGATTTTTCCCCAGAATAAATTTTTTGATCTTGAGAGGAAGCTGGTTTATAACCGATGATTTTTCTATGTTGATTATGGTCCCATAATTTCTCTCCTGTTGGAGTACATTCACAGTAAGTATAGAAAGACATTTTACCATAGTTAGTACTCTTCTTAACATTCTTTGAAGCATCGTTTCTATCATGAATGTGTAGATCTAAATTATGCTTCAAGCCATTTCCAAATAAGTCACACTGATAGGGTTTTTAGGGGGATGTAAAATGTTTGGGTTCACATGAATTATCCTTCTGATAGCCTTATATTCATAATGCCTATTTGTAGTCAATATTTTCTTGATTAAAGCAACATCACTTAGATACTTATTTTCTTTTCTGATAATATTCTATCTGGTTATCAGTCTGTCACTGTTATTCTAGAATGAAATACAATCTCACATCATCTCTATCATCATCTTCCCTTTCATTGTGGAAAGAAGTCTTTTTTTTTTCCAGAGATTCCCTGTAATAAGGTTTGAAATCCAAACACTTTTTCAAGGGATAATAAGTCACTTTTTGCTTATAGAGCAGCTAGCAGAGGCTAGAGGGGAAGGTAAAAATGGCTTATCCAGCTTGAACACAGAGAAAAGGGTAAGGGTGAGTAATTTCATGAGAAGGGTGTGACACTACTTAAATGAAACATTCTGGGGAACAATTCAGCAGTTAAAAGAAATAAACTAGATGAACAGATAACACCATGGATAGACATGGAAAAAGGCAAAAAACATGATATATAGCATAATAAGATTTATATAAACTAATGATCCATGCCCCTAATTCACTTTAAATTTTACAACATGCACGAATTAAAAAATGCTTCCATTATACAAAACAGTGGCTTCTGGTGGGAAGGCAGATGGGTGAGGGGAAAGAGAGAAAAGGGGATATTATCACAAAAATAAAATGAGAATCTTCACCCACATTTTCATGGTCATAGTGTGTCCTAAACTAAAGACAATGATTAAACTCAAACCTCATCAGGTGAAATATAAAAATAAAGCAATGACAAAAACAAACAAGCCCGGGCATGGTGCCTCATACCTGTAGTCCCAGCACTTTGGGAGGCTGAGGCGGGCGGATCACCTGAGGTCGAGAGTTGGAGACCAGCCTGACCAACATGGAGAAACCCCAACTCTACTAAAAATACAATGTTAGCTGGGCGTGGTGGCTCATGCCTGTAATCCCAGCTACGTGGGAGGCTGAGGCAAGAGAATCGCTTGAACCCGGGAGGCGGAGGTTGCAGTGAGCCGAGATCGTGCCATTGCACTCCAGCCTGGGCAACAAGAGTGAAACTCCGTCTCAAAAATAAATAAATAAAAATAAAAATACAAAAATTAGCCAGGCGTGGTGGCCCACCCCTGTAATCCCAGCTACTCGGGAGGCTGAGGCAAGAGAATCATTTGAACCTGGGAAGTGGAGGTTGCAGTGAGCCAAGATTGCGCCACTATACTCCAGCCTGGGCGACAGAGTGAGACTCCCTCTCAAACAAACAAACAAACAAACAAAGCCAACCAGGAAGAGAGACCCTAACAGTGTGGAATCGCTCAAGCAACATCAGAAGGAAATGTGAGAAAGGGTGATTAATCCATGCCATGTCAAACACAGCAGAGAGGTATTCCCAAAGATTAAGTGACAATGATTCCCAAGTCATTAGCTGGATGAAAGGCCTGAAGGACTGGGAAGATAAGAGAAATCTCATGGCCATTACTATAGCAAAAATAGTTAGAGAGCCTGACTGGAAATAAAGTTCTTTTTTTTTTTTTTCTTTTTCAGACTGAGTCTTGCTCTGTCACCCAGGCTGGAGTGCAATGGCATGATCTTGGCTCACTGCAACCTTCACTTCCCGGGTTCAAGTGACTCTTGTGCCTCACCCTCCCAAGTAACTGGGATTACAGGCATGCACCACTACACCCAGCTAATTTTTGTATTTTTAGTAGAGATGGGGTTTTGCCATGTTGTCCAGGCTGGTTTCAAACTCCTGACCTCAAGAGATACACCCACCTTGGCCTCCCAAAGTGCTGGGATTACAGGCATGAGCAACTGTATCTGGCCCAGAGATAAAGTTCTGAGGCATCTCACAGTGAGAAAGACAGAAATAAAAGGGGTGTAGCACGAGTGGGAGTGTGTGACACAGAGTAAATTTTGAAAGAAAGCAGATCCAGGAATACCTGGATGTAAACGAGAGACTCTAGGACAATATGGAAGGCAGGGAAAAAAAGACTGTTACAGAAAAGGAATATAATAAAGATTTATCTTTAATGAGGCTGACTGGCACATGACTTATAATCAACAAGGAAGGTCATCCAGGTAGAAGGCATTTAGTGATCTGAGAGGCATCAAGCAATATAAAAAATTCAGAGCCTTACTGAAGAGTGGTCTTAATAGCACTTCACAGGTTCCAGTGTTTTTCAAGACAGCTGAGATTTCCTCCTGTCTCCCATCTAACCTGAGTCACATTCACCTCACTTCACTCACCTGGGCAGCTGTGACGTGGCCTCTCACCCTGCAGTGCCCATGGTTCCTTTCCTTGCTCCAACATGACCACCTCTGGTTTAGGAACTTGATACCCTGTTCATGGGAAATGATAAAGGTCTGGGTCCAGCTAATTACGTTTCAGAGCCCAACAAATACAGTCTTATTGTTCAATGATGGTTTGTTCTTTAGGAAAGTAACCAGATATCTCTGAGTAATATTCTGAGTACCCTAAACAAACAGAGAACCCTGGAGGAAAAAAGGACAAAACCATCACCTATCTAAGATGCCAACAGCATTCGTCAACTGAGAATGAAAACACTCTCAGTGAGGCCTCCTTTCAGATACCAAGGTGACTGTGCTTACCTACTGAGAGCAGGTGGCTGTAGGTCTCCAGCATCACATCCCGGTACAGGTTTCTCTGAGAAAGGTCCAGGTGCCGCCATTCCTCTCTGCTGAAATCGATAGCCACATCCCTGAAGGACACTGATCCCTGTAAGGGCACATTCCTGTTCAATGTGCATAGTCAGCTTTGCACGGTGGAGTGACTATATATGGGATTACGGAACATGGGTTTTGTTGTTTTTAATTTACTTCATTTTTTTTTTGAGACAGTCTTGCTCTGTTCCCCAGGCTGGAGTGCAGTGGCGCGATCTTGGCTTACTGCAACCTCCACCTCCCGGGTTCAAGTGATTCTCCTGCCTCAGCCTCCTGAGTAGCTGGGATTACAGGCACGTGCCACCACACCCAGCTAATTTTTGTATTTTTAGTAGAGACGGGGTTTCACCATGTTGGCCAGGATGGTCTCAATCTCCTGACCTTGTGACCTTGTGATCCGCCCACCTCGACCTCCCAAAGTGCTGGGATTACAAGCTTGAGCCACCGCATCTGGCCGTTTTTGTTTTTGTTTTTGTTTTTTTTCCTTGAGATGGAATTTCACTCTTTTGGCCCAGGCTGGAGTGCAATGGCGTGATCTTGGCTCACTGCAACCTCCACCTCCCAGGTTCAAGCAATTCTCCTGCATCAGCCTCCTGAGTAGCTGGGATTACAGGTATGTGCCACCATACCCGGCTAAATTTTGTATTTTTAGTAGAGACTGGGTTTCACCATGTTGGCCAGAATGGTCTCTATCTCCTGACCTCGTGATCTTCCCGCCTCGGCTTCCCAAAGTGCTGGGATTACAGGAGTGAGCCACCGCGCCTGGCCAATTTACTTCCTTTTTAAAGAACCTGCCACTCATTTCCCTAATAGCTTATTACGAAAAATTTTAAACATACAGAAAATTAGAAAGAATTGTACAGTAAAAACCTATATATCTACTACTTAGATCTACCATTAACACCTTACCCTACTTGCTTCATCACACATTGATCCATCTTACTTTTTTTTATGTATTTCAATGTAAATTGCAGTCATCACTACACTTTCTCTTAAGCACCACAAAATGCAAATTATTAACTAGGGTGTAACATTTGTTAACCTGATAAGGTAAAATTTAGTACAATACAAATAAATGCAACAATCTTTATTTTGCCATTTGACCTTGTGACAAATGTATACACCTGAGTGATAAGAAATTTCTAAGAAATAATATTTTACATAGGTCACATATTAAATATCCAGTTTTAGCTGGGGTGCAGTGGCTCACGCCTGTAATCCAAGCAAGAATGTCAGAGGGGGCCGGACACGGTGGCTCATGCTTGTAATCCAAGCACTTTGGGAGGCCAAGGTAGGTAGATCACCTGAGGTTTGGAGTTCGAGACCAGCCTGGCCAACATGGTGAAATGCCGTCTCTATTAAAAATACAAAAAATTAGCCAGGCTGGTGGCACGTGCCTGTAGTCCCAGCTATTTGGGAGGCTGAGGAGGGAGAATCACTTGAACTTGGGAGGTGGAGTTTGCAGTGAGCTGAGATTATGCCACGGCACTCCAGCCTGAGCGACAGAGGGAGACTCTGTCTAAAAAAAAAAAAAAAATCTAGTTTTACATAATTTGTGGAACACAGAAATCTAACAAAGAATTCCAGCTATTTGTTCTGTTCTACAGTCAGTCAATCACTCATTTTTCAAAACTGGCCATTGAAATAGGCTGTCTTGGCTGGGCCCGGTGGCTCATGCCTGTAATCCCATCACTTTGGGACGCCGAGGTAGGTGGATCACGAGGTCAGACGTTCAAGACCAGTGTGGCCAACATAGTGAAACCCTGTCTCTACTAAAAATACAAAAAATTAGCCGGGCATGGCGAGCACCTGTAATCCCAGCTACTCAGGAGGCTTAGGCAGGAGAATCGCTTGAACCTGGGAGGCGGAGGTTGCAGTCAGCCGAGATCATGCCACTGCATTCCAGCCCGGGATACAGAGCAAGACTCCATCTCAAAAAAAGAAAGAAAGAAAGAAATAGGCTGCCTTTTAGTCTTCTAGCACATGGATGAACAACCTGCCACACAGTGGCTGATCAATTTAGGACCAGTCATTATGCTACTCCTGAGGACACAGAAATGAATTATTTATGTTACTAGTCTTCACGCAACCTGAAATACATAGAAAATAAATAAGACCAAAGTTTGAAAAAGTGAAGACATTAAGTTCATTAAGGTGCTGAAAAGTAGATCTCTATCTGAGACACCCTGAGGGCTAAAAAGAAGAAAAAGTGCATTCTACATGAGGAAATAAGTTTACATTTCATAGAGCGGAAGAATTTAACTTGGAAGATAAGAAGAGTAATACAAAGTATGGGGTAAGGGGGACATTGCCCAGCAAAGACAAGAACAAAAAGATGGGGAGATGGGCTCCAGTGAGCCACGATTGCATCACCGCACTCCAACCTGAGTGACAGAGCGAGAACCTGTCTCAAAAAAAAAAAAAATAAAATAAGGCCGGGCGCAGTGGCTCATGCCTGTAATCCCAGCACTTTGGGAGGCCGGGGCAGGTGGATCACCTAAGGTCAGGAGTTCGAGACCAGCCTGGCCAACATGGTGAAACCCCATCTCTACTAAAAATACAAAAAATTAGCCAGGTGTGGTAGTGTGTGTCTGTAATCCCAGCTACCCAAGGCAGAGGTAGGAGAATCGCTTGAACCTGGGAGGTGGAGGTTGCAGTGACCCAAGATTACGCCACTGCACTCCAGCCTGGGTGACAGAGTGAGACTCCATCTCAAAAATAAATAAACAAATAAATAAATATTAAAATACACAATGAGGGCCGGGCACAGTGGCTCACGCCTATTATCTCAACAACTGGGGAGGCCGAGGTGGGTGGATCACGAGGTCAGGAGTTTGAGACCAGCCTGGCCAACATGTTGAAACCCCCTCTCTACTAAAGATACAAAAAATTAGCTGGGCACAGTGGCACATGCCTGGAATCCCGGCTACTTGGGAGACTGAGGCAAGCGAATCGCTTGAAGCCAGGAGGCAGAGGTTGCAGTGAGCCGAGATTGCGCCACTGCATTCCAGCCTGGGCGACAGTGCAAGACTCCATCTTAAAAACAAAACAAAACAAAAAAAAACACCACATGAGTTTAAAGAACAGCAAATAGGGCTGGACATGGTGGCTCACACCTGTAATCCCAGCACTTTGGGAGGCCGAGGCGGGCAGATCATGAGATCAGAAGATTGAGACCATCCTGGCTAACATGGTGAAACACCATCTCTACTAAAAATACAAAAAATTAGCTGGGCGCAGTGGCGGGCGCCTGTAGTCCCAGCTAGTCAGGAGGCTGAGGCAGGAGAATGGCGTGAACCCGGGAGGCAGAGCTTGCAGTGGGCCGAGATTGCACCACTGCACTCTAGCCTGGGTGACAGAGCAGGCCTCTGTCTCAAAAAAAAAAAAAAAAAGAGAACTAAGGCCAGGGCAGGGGCTCACGCCTATAGTCACAGTATTTTGGGAGGCCGAAGTGGGTGGATTGCTTGAGCCTAGGAGTTTGAGACCAGCCCAGGCAACACAGTGAGACCCTGTCCCTAAAAAAATACCAAAAAAATTAGCCATGCCTGGTGGCAGGCACCTGTAGTCCCAGTTACTCGGGAGGCTGAGGTCGGAGGATCGACTGAGCCCGGGAGGTCGAAGCTCCAGTGAGCCGTTAATGCACCACTGCACACCAGTCTGGGTGACAGAGGGAGACCCTGTCTCAAAAAAATAAATAAAACTTAAAAAGTAAGAGACTTACGAATCATACTAACCAAATGCACCTTGTGGACTTTGGCCCCTAATTAAAATGAACCAATCTTAAAAAGATATTTACAACAATTTAGAGAAATGCAAGCAATGGGTATTAGATGATAACAAAGAATTACTGTTATTTTGTTGTAGGTGTGATATTGACTTATTTGTTATGCTAAACAAAAGAAAAAAGAATTCATCTCTTTGAGATACATATCAAAGTATTTTTAGATAAAACATTGTGTTTGAGATTCACTTTAAAATAATCCAGGAGCTGTGTAGGAAGGTGGTTTCAGATGAAATAAGAATGGCAGAATGTTGATGATGACTGAAACTGGGTAAAAGGTACAATAGGTGAACAGGTTGCTTATACTATTCTCTTTACTTTTGTATATATTTAAATTTTTTCGTAATAACATGTTTTTGAAAAATATGATCCTCCAAATAAAAAATCTAATTTGGAATTGCACAGTTAAAGGAATGCCTATTTCCACATGGTGTACATATTTAAAGAAAAGTATTGGCTGGGTGCAGTGGCTCACACCTGTAATCCCAGCACTTTGGGAGGCCGAGGCACATGGACCACCTGAGGTGAGGGGTTCAAAACCAGCCTGGCCAACATGGCAAAACCCCATCTCTGCTAAAAATACAAAATTAGCTGGGCATGGTGGCGCATGCCTGTAATCCCAGCTACTTGGGAGGCTGAGGGAGGAGAATTGTTTGAACCTGGGAGGTGGAGGTTGCAGTGAGCCAAAATCACGCCATTGCACTCCAGCCTGGGCAACAAGAGCAAGACTCCATCTCAAAAACAAACAAACAAACAAAGTATACTAGGGACTTGAATACCCTTCCCTCACCTCAGCAATTTATCAAAATACTAGACAGGAAATCATCAAATATACAGAAAAAGAAGCAACAGTATTTAATTGATATTTATAGACTACTGCAACAAACAACAGCAGAATACACATTCTTTTCAAGAATCATAGAAAAATGACCAAGATAGACCATACCCTAGGCTATAAAACCAACCTCAACAAATTTAAATGAATAAAATACAAAGTATGTTCCACAAGGAAATCAAACAAAAAATCAATAACAGAAAGACCACAGAAAAGTCTCCAAAGGAATTAAAAAATAAAAACAAAAGCTTTCTGGAAAAGCAAAAACTATTTGGAAATTAATAACCCACAGTTAAATGACCTATAGGTCAAAGAAGAAATCTCAAAGGTCATTTTAAAAATAAATACACCTGGCCGGGCATGATGGCTCAGCCTGTAATCCCAGCACTTTGGGGGGCCGAGGCGGGTGGATCACATGAGGTCAGGAGTTCGAGACCAGTCTGGCCAACATAGTGAAACCCCATCTCTACTAAAAATACACAAAATTAGCAGGGCGTGGTGGCACGCACCTGTAGTCCCAACTACTTGGGAGGCTGAGGCAGGAGAATCACTGGAACCCGGGAGGAGGAGGTTGCAGTGAGCCGAGATCATGCCACTGCACTCCAGCCTAGGCAACAGAGCGAGACTCTGACTCAAAAAAAAAAAAAAAAAAAAAAAAAAAAATTCAGGAAAACAAAACAAAAAACAGAAAAAAAAAGTCAATAAAACACAATCCAGTTGTTGGGGAGAAAAAATCAACAAAATGCGGCTGATTGGCCTGTTAGTCAACTAGACTGATGAAAATAAAAAGACACAAATCAGCAATATCAGGAATAAAACAGGAAATATCATGACAGATTCAGGAACCATTAAAAGAAAAATATGGGAATACAAACACTTATTTAGATAAACTAAATAAATTAGCTTATTTAGATAAGATAAATAATCTTATAACTATTAAATTACATTCATAATTTAAAAGTTGGTGAAAAGAAATTTCTAGGCCTAGTTTTGCCAGAGAATTCTACCAAACTTACAAAGAAGAATTAGTCTTGGCCGGGTGTGGTGGCTCATGCCTGTAATCCCAGCACTTTGGGAAGCTGAGGCGGGCAGATCACCTGAGGTCAGGAGTTCAAGACCAGCCTTACCAATATGGAGAAACCCCGTCTCTACTAAAAATACAAAATTACCTGGGCGTGGTGGTGCATGCCTGTAATCTCAGCTACTCGGGAGGCTGAGGCAGGAGAATCGCTTGAACCCAGGAGGCAGAGGTTGCGGTGAGCCAAGATTGTGCCACTGCACTCCAGCCTGGGCAACAAGAGCAAAACTCTGTCCCCCTCAAAAAAAAGAAGAAGAAGAAGAATTAATGTGATTTTTACACAAACTCTTCCAGAAAATCAAAGAGGAAGACCTCTTCCAAATTAACTTTGTACAGCCAGTATTACTCTGACATCAAAACCAAAGAAAGCACAAAAAAAGAAAACTATAGACCAGTATCTTTCATAATTTTAGGTACAAACATCCTCAACAAAATATCAGCAAACAATCCAGCAATGAATAAAAAGAATCGTGTACTACAATAACTGAAATTCATGGGGGAACCCTCTGTATCATTTTGTAATTCTCTGTGGATCTATAATTATTTCAAAATAAAAAGTTTTAAAAAATATACTCCTAAAGAAAGATTATTCCAAAACATTTGGAATATTTTGGAATAGTTATGACTGGAAAATCATTGACAAGACTCACTGTACAAGTCACATGAGAGAATGTGAATTACAGTTCACCTTTGAACCACATGGGTTTGAACTATGTGGGTCCATTTGTAACACAGATTTCTTTTTTCAGTAAAATTACACCGAGTGTGCCTCCCTCTCCTGCCCTCCCTTTTACCTTCACCTCTTCCCCCTTTGCCACCCAAAACAGCAAGGCCAAACTCTCCTCTTCCTCAGCCTCCTTAACCTGAAGACCATAAGGGCAAAGACCTTCATGATGATTCACTTCCACTTAATAAATAATAAATATATTTTCTCTTCCTTTTGATTTTCTTAAAAGCATTTTCTTTTCTCTAGCTGAATTTTATTATAAAAATACAGAATATAATACATATACCATACAAAATACATGTTAACCAACTCTTTGCTATCGGTAAGTTAACAGCAGGCTATCAGTAGTTAAGTTTCAGGGATGGTCAAAAGTTATACACAGCTTTTCAACTGCACAGAGGTTAGCGCCCCAAGCCTGCATCGTTTGAAGGACAACTGTGCTTAGTATAATTGCGGTTTCTGCCATTTTTTCTTTTTATTATACTTTAAGTTCTAGGGTACATGTGCACAACGTGCAGGTTTGATACATAAGTACATATGTGCCATGTTGGTGTGCTGCACCCATCAACTCATCATTTACATTAGGTATTTCTCCTAATGCTATCCCTCTCCCAGCCCCCCACCCCACAACAGGCCCCGGTGTGTGATGCTCCCCACCCTGTGTCCAAGTGATCTCATAGTTCAATTCCCACCTACGAGTGAGAACATACAGTGTTTGGTTTTCTGTCCTTGTGATAGTTTGCTCAGAATGATGGTTTCCAGCTTCATCCATGTCCCTACAAAGGACATGAAATCATCCTTTTTTATGGCTGCATAGTATTCCATGGTGTATATGTGCCACATTTTCTCAATCCAGTGTATCACTGATGGACATTTGGGTTGGTTCCACGTCTTTGCTATTGTGAATAGTGCCGCAATAAACATACATGTGCATGTGTCTTTATAGTAGCATGATTTATAATCTTTTGGGTATATACCCAGTAACGGGATTGCTGGGTCAAATGGTAATTCTAGTTCTAGATCCTTGAGGAATCGCCACACTGTCTTCCACAATGGTTGAACTAATTTACACTCCCACCAACAGAGTAAAAGCGTTCCTATTTCTCCACATCCTCTCCAGCATCTGTTGTTTCCTGACTTTTTAACGATTGCCATTCTAACTGGCGTGAGATGGTATCTCATTGTGGTTTTGATTTGCATTTCTCTGATGACCAGTGATGATGAGCATTTTTTTCATGTGTCTGTTGGCTGCACAGATGTCTTCTTTTGAGAAGTATCTGTTTGCCATTATTTTTAATGGCAAAACCGCAATTACTTTTGCACCAACCTAATACATAAAGTAAGGCTATAATGTTAACAGGGATGTAGAAGGAAAATGGCACTAATTATTAGGGAGGCAGACCTGATGTTGAATATGAAGGTGAGAAAAAGGATTAAGAAATAATTCTTAGTCATCAATTTTGTGTCACTATGTACATTCTGGTGCCAGGAATGTGTAGAGAAGGCTGAGGAAATAAAAAAAAATGACTTAAATTTTGTATATGTTGAGATTTAGCTGACAGGATATATACGAGGGTGTACACTAGGTGGTGGATAGAGAGCTTATGATTAATTGTGATAGAGATTAGCTGAATAGAGAGCTTATTTATTTATTTTATTATTATTATTTTTTGAGATGGACTTTTGCTCTTGTTGCCTGGGTTGGAGTGTAATGGCGTGATCTTGGCTTACTGCAACCTCCGCCTCCCGTGTTCAAGCGATTCTCCTGCCTCAGCCTCCCCAGTAGCTGGGATTACAGGCATGTGCCACCATGCCCGGCTAATTTTTGTATTTTTAGTAGAGACTGGGTTTCTTCATGTTGGTCAGGCTGGTCTCAAACTCCCTACCTCAGGTGGTCCACCAGCCTCAGCTTCTCAAAGTGCTGGGATTACAGGCATGAGCCACCAGGCCAGGCCATTCCAGTGTTTTACAAGCACTTTGGGAGGCCAAGGCGCAGATCACCTGAGGTCAGGAGTTCAATATCAGCCTGACCAATGTGGAGAAACCCCAACTCTACTAAAAATACAAAAATTAGCTGGGTGTGGTGGCACGTGCCTGTAATCCCAGCTACTTGGGAGGCTGAGACAGGAGAATCTCTTCAACCCAGGAGGCAGAGGTTGCAGTGAGCCGAGATTGCGCCATTGCACTTCAGCCCGGGCAACAAGAGTGAAACTCTGTCTCAGAAAAAGAAAAAAAAAAAAAAAAAGAAAGCTATATTATTAATATAGTCACAATATTATTTATTGTATAAAGATTCAGAGGTCCTTTGTATAGAGGTCACTGGATTCAGGGGAGGGTATGAGCATGCAGATGGAAGTGGAAAGAAAAGTACTAAAGATATTTATAATTTTTAATATGTAAAATTATGATTTTTGAAAGCTACCTTGTTGATTTCTTCATTTAACTGCATTCAGAGATTACAGTTTGTCTCTTGTGATGCATATTGATTGTGCTTATAGGGCTCAGAACATCATTTCTTTGAAAATGGTACCTATATACCTGAAAAGAATATACATGTTCTAATTTTTCTCTTTATCATACACTTGTATAGTCACACCCTACACACACCAAACTCCCCAACCCCCAAACCCTATGTTATCAAGAATTTAGTAGGAACACGAGATGTCATGTTAGGCTGGAATAGAGCTTTACCACCTCACCAAATGAGCTTCTTATACACAGTTTGTCCAGGCTGGGTGCAGTGGCCCATGCTGTAATCCTGGGATTTTGGGAGGCTGAGGCAGGCAGATTGCTTGAGCCCAGGAGTTCAAGACAAGCCTGGGTAACATGGTGAAACTGTCTCTACAAAAAATACAAAATTTCGCCAGTTCTATTGGCGCGTACCTGTAGTCCCAGCTACTCGGCAGGCTAAGGTGGGGGGATCGATTGAACCTGGGAAGTCCAGGCTACAGTGAGCCGTGATTGCACCACAGCACTCCAGCCTGAGGATAGAGTGAGACCCCGTTTCAAAAAACAATTAAAATAACAGTTTGTCCAGGAAGAAACCTCCTCACTCAAAGATAATACTAAGCATCGCCTAATGTACAAAGATACTATGAGCAAAAAGGATAAAACAAAAATAGAGAGGAGATTAAAAGGAATACACTACAAATAATATACTACAAATAAATTGACACACAACAGAAAAAACATCCACCATGAATTCAAGGAATTCACTATAATTATAACTACTTAAAATAATTAAACAGGCCAGGCGCTGTGGCTCATGCCTGTAATCCCAGCACTTTGGGAGGCCGAGGTGGGTGGATCATGAGGTCAGGAGCTCGAGACCAGCCTCACCAACATGGACAAACCCCGTCTCTACTAAAAATACAAAATTAGCTGGGCATGGTGGCACATGCCTGTAATCCCAGCTACTAGGGAGTCTGAGGCAGGAGAATCGCTTGAACCTGGGAGGTGGAGGTTGTGGTGACCCGAGATGGCGCCACTGCACTCCAGTCTGGGCAACAAGAGCGAAACTCCGTCTCAAAAATAAATAATAAAATAAAATAAAATAAAATAAAATAAAATAAAATAAAATAATTAAACCCAAGGAAGAAATAGTGGAAAAACAGATAGGCTAAGAATGTGGTTATGTAAATTTTTGAAAAATAAATTGGCAGAACTCAGTAAAGTTTTTTTGTTTTTCAAGCAACACAGAAATAAAGGTCTCCTTGAAAGCAATGAAAAGACCCTGCTAAAACACAAAAGGTAGGCCAGGCACGGTGGCTCACGCCTCTAATCCCAGCACTTTGGGAGGCTGAGGTGGGTAGATCATGAGGTCAGGAGCTCGAGACCAGCCTGGCCAATATGGTGAAATCCTGTCTCTACTAAAAATACAAAAATTAGCCAGGCATGGTGGCGCGCGCCTGTAATCCCAGCTCCTCAAGAGGCTGAGGCAGAAGAATCGCTTGAACCCGGCAGATGGAGGTTGCAGTGAGCCGAGATCGTGCCACTACACTCCAGCCTGGGTGACAGAGCAAGATTCTGTCTCAAAAAAAAAAAAAAAAAAAAGCACAAAAGGTGGCAAAGACAAGTGAGCAACATAAAATGGAAATAAGGAGTTTCAAAAAGAAAATAGAAAAAAAGAATTTAATAAAAACATCTAATTAAAAAATCCTTGAAGTGGCAGTATAGAACTTTTATTGTTATTCACAGTATAAATTTAATAGTCTTAAACGATAGATATAAAGATTGGGTTAAAGAAGGTAATGTTATAAAGCCGCCACTAAAAGAACAAAAGAAAAAACAGAGGCCAGGCACGGTGGCTCACACCTGTAATCCCAGCACTTTGGGAAGCTGAGGCAGGCGGATCACCTGAGGTCAGGAGTTTGAGACCATCCTGCCCAACGTGGTGAAACCCCATCTCTACTAAAAATACAAAAATTAGCCGGGCATGGTGACACACACCTGTAATCCCAGCTACTCCAGAGGCTGACGCAGGAGAATCGCTTGAACCCGGAAGCCAGAGACTACCATAAGGCAAGATCATGCCATTGCACTCCAGCCTGGCAACAGAGCAAGACTCCGTCTCAAAAAAAAAAAAAAAAAATTATCTTTCCACTGCCATACAGAAGAAATGTACAAGGACTCCAAAGGATGACAGTAAAAGGAGGAGCAAAGGCCTATCTGGAATTGCCAAAGGAAAGGAAGCAAGAACCTCCACCTTAATATTTGAGCTGAATTCTCACCAAAAAAATTAAATATGACAAGGACACAATCTGAAATGAATCTCAGATGCCATTACTGTCACTGCACCAAATTACATAGCATCAAAATTTATAAACTATAGGAAACTATAGGAAAATAATAGCAAGAAATACATTGGTGGTGGGAAACTTTACATAATATCTCCCAGCTCCATTTGATAAAGTAGAAAAAAATCATTAATACTATGAAAGCCTCATAACTATATAAGATATCTTATAAGTTACCAATAAAATCTTATTGCTAAGATATCAAATTCTATATCCTGGAAACAGATTTCCTGTTTACACAGTGCCGGTGTAACATTCAGAAATGTTAAACATAAAATTTTCAAAACAAAAAACACAAAAACCTTTAATGTTATGCCACATGCAAATAATTCTCTCCATCTCTGCAATCCTAATTTTATTAAAAGTAGAATATTTTAAATGAAAGTCTTAACATGTAGAAATGAAAATGTGGTAAGTGGTCAATGAAGACTTGGTGCTTGGTGGGAAACAATATGTTACTAGAATTTCATTCTTTTTTTCTAGATTTTTAAATGTAATTGCATAAGGTAAATTACTTCTCTAAATTATTTTTGGTACTGTTTTGCTAGACTGTGTACCATTACTTCTGATATACAGTATTTTTTTGAGGTATTTTACTATTTTAGTTTTTAGACTTCTTTGACTTTGGACTGGGCTGCTGAATGAGAAAACAGTGCTTGCTTCACTTTTTTCCCAGTGATAAACTATTAGTCTACTGTTTTCATCTACTCTTTTTTTTCTTTTTTGAGACAGAGTTTCGCTCTTGTTGCCCCGGCTGGAGTGAAATGGTGTGAACTCACCGCAACCTCCACCTCCTGGGTTCAAGTGATTCTCCTGCCTCAGCCTACCAGTAGCTGGGATTACAGGCGCCCGCCTAATTTTTGTATTTTTAATAGAGACAGGGTTTCATCACGTTAGCCAGGCTGGTCTCAAACTCCCGACCTCAGGTGATCCACCCTCCTTGGCCTACCAAAGTGCTAGGATTATAGGCGTGAGCCACGGCACCCGGCCTCATCTACTCTTGAATACAGTTAGTGAA
Source organism: Homo sapiens (assembly GCF_000001405.40). NCBI lineage: Eukaryota > Metazoa > Chordata > Mammalia > Primates > Hominidae > Homo > Homo sapiens. Next base: position 37,202,331 of record NC_000019.10, read on the forward strand.
TACATTTGACTTCTGAATCTATTTATTTCCAGTTCTTTTGGGCATTGAAGTTAACTCTGTAAACAAAATAAAACAAAAACCTGAAACAAGGTTGAGAATAATTTCTGATATTATCTGTTACTCAAAACTTTGGCATGAAAATCAACTGTAAAATCACATGATCTTTTCCATCATTTTTGACTGCGTTGGGGGTGTTGAATCAACATTTTAATTCCTTTAAGGGCTTCTGTATAATTTGTTCTTACCGAGTTGAAAATTTATTTCTTATAAAATTTCATCCTTTTGTTTAGGTTTTCATATATTTGCATGGTTTTTTTTTTTTTTTTTTTGAGATGGAGTTTCGCGCTTGTTTTCCAGGCTGGAGTACAATGACGCAATCTCAGCTCACTGCAACCTCCGCCACCTGAGTTCAGGCGATTCTCCTGCCTCAGCCTCCTGAGTAGCTGGGATTACAGGTATGTGCCACCATGCCCAGTTAATTTTTGCATTTTTAGTAGAGACAGGGTTTTACCACGTTGGTCAGGCTGGTCTCGAACTCCTGACTTCAGGTGATCCACTGGCCCTGGTCTCCCAAAGTGCTGGGATTACAGGCATGAGCCACCACGCCCAGCCCTATTTGCATGATTTTACATAATACTCACTCGTGATTGTTTGAATCTTAGGTATAGAAGTAACTATTACTCCTGTTTTCTAACATATTTTGATTATGTTTATCTTCACTCTTTTTTCTTGATCATTAATATGGAGAAGCAACTTGTGTTTCTGTCACATTTTTATCAACCATTTTTTGTTCTCTGTGACTCATGTCTTTGCTTTTCTTTTTTTAGTCCTCGTTCTTTTTTGTATTTTTTGACTCATTCTTTTTGTAACTTCTTCAGTTGAAACCATAACTGCTTTTTTCCCAAAATTTCTAAGATTCCTTAAAAGGCACTTAATCTATAGTTTTCCCCTCTATCTACAGTTTAGCTTTACCACACGAACTTTAAAATGTAGTACTTTATTAGCAGGGCACAGTGGCAGGTGCCTGTAATTCCAGCTAGGAGGGAGGCTGAGGCAGGAGAATCACTTGAACCCAGGAGGCAGAGGTTGCAGTGAACTGAGATCGTGCCACCGCACTCCAGCCTGGGCAACATAGTAAGATCTTGTCACAAAAAAAAAAAAAAAAAAAAGTAGTACTTTATTGAACTATTTTGCGTTGTGGTAAAATATACATAAAATTTGCCATTATAATTATTTTTAAGTGTCCAGTTCAGTGGCATTAAGTACATTCACATTTTGTGCAAGAGCCTTTCTGTTTTGTTTTGTTTTGGTTTTTGAGATGGAGTTTCACTCTTGTTGTCCAGGCTAGAACGCAATGGTGTAATCTCGGCTCACCGAAACCTCCACCTCCCGGGTTCAAGCAATTCTCCTGCCTCAGCCTCCAGAGTAGCTGGGATTACAGGCATGGGCCACCACGCCCAGCTAATTTTGTATTTTTGGTGGAGACAGGGTTTCACTATGTTGGTCAGGCCAGTCTCAAACTCCCGACCTCAGGTGATCTGCCCGCCTCGGCCTCCCAAAGTGCTGGGATTACAGGCATGAGCCACCGCACCCAGCCTTCAAGAGCCTTTTACTTATTTGTAATTTAATGCTCTTTGTCAGAAAACAATCAATATTATAGCAAAGATTTATATTTTTTATCTGCTTTGATCAATAAGCTTCTGAAAGTAGTGTGATAAAATGGCCAATATTGCATTTAATGATTTCTGTTCATTTTTACTTAAAATAGTTCAAAGATACATTATTAATTAAAAAAATGCTAATAATTTGTATAATTCTTTGTACATGATTCTTTTCATAAGGATGAACAACATGTTTTCATCCCTTTAGGTGATTTTCATCTTAAATCCCTTTTGATCTGTTCCTAAATTGCAGCCCTAGCTTTCTTTTGGCTCACTCTCTTATTTTTAAATGAGGACAAAAGCAGTCCTAACCTCTGAGAGTTAGCCTCGTACTATCAATTAAGCCTCAGTGTTGCTAGAAGCTAACCTGGCAAGGGCCAGCTAATTCATGGTGTTCTCCATGGTGCTACACAAAAACAATCTCTTAGAACACCAACAGCAAACAAGACCAATCTCTGACCATCATGGTGTAAGATGATACCAAGACCACTCTGTCGTTATATTTGAGCATAGACAAAAATCAGAACATTCTTCAAACCACAAAAGTGAATAAAAGTCTCCTTATTCTGCCTAATGCAAGAGACTGCTGCTTTTTTCTTTTGAGACAAAGTCTATCTCTTTCATCCAGGCTGGAGTGCAGTGGCATGCTCATAGCTAGGTGTAATCTCGAACTCTTAGGCTCAAGTGATCCTCCTGCCTCAGCCTCCCGAGCAGGTGGGTCTATAGGCACACAGCACCATGCCAGACTAATTGTTTTTCTTTTTTTTTTTTTTGAGACAGAGGCTCACTCTGTCACCCAGACTGGAGTGCAGTGGTGCAATCTCAGCTCCCTGCAACCTCTGCCTCCTAGGTTCAAGCGATTCTCCTGCCTCAGCCTCCTGAGTAGCTGGGATTACAGGCGTACGCCACCATGCCTGACAAATATTTTTTATTTTTAGTAGAGACGGGGCGTCACCATGTTGGCTAGGCTGGTCTCGAACTCCTGACCTCAGGCAATCTGCCTGCCTCAGCCTCCCAAAGTGCTGGGATTATAAGTGTGAGCTACCGCACCAGGCCCAAACTAATTTTTAATTTAATTAAATTTTTTTTTTGGTAGTGACAGGGAATCACTACATTGCCAGGGCTGGTCTTGAACTTCTGGCCTCAAGCCATCCTCCCACCCTGGCTTTCCAGTGTTGGGATTACAGGTGTGAACGACCGTGCCCAGCCAACTGCTGCTGCTTTACCAACTGTAACTTTAGCCTCAAGCTATCCTTCCTATCTTCTAGAATAAAATTATTAAGATACTCAATCCTAAAACTGCCCAAGAGCAACTAAAGTAGAGGTTCACTGAGGTGCAGATGAGACTCTCACCACGTGACTAGAACCCTGAAATGAAATTCCACTACTTCTAATATATCCAATAGAAAGAGAAGGCATGACAATATCCACTGCGATATTGTTCATAATAGTTTCTGTATTTTACCAAACAAACATTAAAACAGCAATGTACAAAAAAGTTAATCTGCTATGCCATTCTGAAATCAAGAGAAAAAAATTGTAGTTGTTTTCATTTGTATACAGAACTAAGCAATCAAAGAAAATGAATAAAGCAGGTTATCACTACCGGGAGACACAGGTAGATGGAAGGCAGAGGTGGGTGAACCACAGTCCCATCTCTTTCACCATAATACTTTTCAATATATTGCTTTTCATATATTTCTAACTTTTGAACTAGGTATATGCATTGCCTATTCAAAAGATTAAACTATTCCTAATAAATTATCACAATATCTTCAGATGGATAAGAAATAACAATACACCCAGGCCGGGCATGGTGTCTCACACCTGTAATCCCAGCACTTTGGGAGGCCGAAGCAGGTGGATCACCTGAGGGTCAGGAGTTCGAGACCAGCGTGGCCCAGATGGTGAAACACCATCTCTACTAAAAATACAAAAATTAGCCAGGCGTGGTGGCTCGCACCTGTAATCTCAGCTACTCAGGAGGCTGGGGCAGGAGAATTGCTTGAACCTGGATGGCAGAGGTTGCAGTGAGCGGAGATCATGCCATTGCACTCCAGCCTAGGCAACAAGAGCAAAACTCCATCAATAAATAAATAAATAAATAAATAATTTAAAAAATAACATTACATCCATGAAATAAGAACGGGATGGCAATAAAAAAAAATTTAGGAAACAGGCTGGGAACAGTGGCTCATGCCTGTAATCCCAGCACTTTGGGAGGCTGAGGTGGGCAGATCACCTGAGATCAGGAGTTCGAGATCAGCCTGATCAACACGGAGAAACCCCGTCTCTACTAAAAATACAAAATTAGCCGAACGAGGTGGCACATGCCTGTAGTCCCAGCTATTTGAGAGGCTGAGGCAGGAGAATCTCTTGAACCCAGGAGGCGGAGGTTGCAGTGAGCCGAGATCATGCCATTGTACTCCAGCCTGGGCAATGAGAGCAAAACTCTGTTTCAAAAAAAAAAAAAAAAATTTTAGGAAACAAACTAGAGTTTTTAAAAATTAAAACATTAAGTTAAAATGTGGATAGTGGTAATGAGAAGCTCAATAGAAGGGCTGGAAGGCAAAAGGTGTCAAAGTTACCCAGAATGGATAGCAGGAAATACATAGAAAATAGTAGAGAAAAGAAATGGAGAAGCAACATCTGAAAAACAAGTTTCAGAAAGAAAACAGAGAAAACATTTGTGTTTGAGGAGGTGGTTTAGGAAGAAATGAAAAAATGCTTTCAAAATCTCAAACAAAAGTCACTTCTAACAAGGAATTCTATTTGCAGCCAAAACATCAATATAGCGTGATGACAAAATCAACAACAGTTTTCCTTGACAGTGCACCTCTCCACTGTCACACAGGTGGCCTCCAGAGACGGAGACATTACCCACGTGTTCATTCTTGACAGGAAGATCAAGTTTTCTTTCAGGAGCACCAAGTCTAGAGTCCAGCTGGTTCCTAAGGCCTGTCTGCCTCTGCCCTAAGGCTGTGGTGACAGATTAGAGCTATCTACTCTTGGACTGAAATTCCACCCCTTGGGACTCCTCCTCCTCACCTCATAGGAGCTGCCATGATCCTCTGGAGCCAGGGCTGAGGATTTCTGGGGTGAGGTCCAACTAGCTGGCATGGCCACACTGGATCTCAACCCTTTTTGTCTAGGGTGCCTGAAGTTTAGTGGTCATCTGTGAACTCAGCAGAGCTGCTCCGAAGAGGTGGGCTGGAGTCTGGAGGAAGGTCTGGCCCAGGGACTCCCCAGAGACACCCAAGAACCTAGAAAAACAATGTCCACGTAGTCATTCAACATTCACTACATAAACACTTCCTGGATACACCAAGGTGCAGGTCCCTGCGCTAGAAACCAGAGCAGTGGTTCCCAAACGTAGGTATGCATTCAAGTCACCTGGAGGGCTTGTTAAAACATAGTTTAAAATTCTCAACTTCACCCCTTCGATGGGTCTAAGGTAGGCCCTAAGAATTTTATTTTCTAATAAGTGCCCAGGAAATGCTGATGCTGCTGGTACAAGAACCACACTTTCAGAACTGTGGAGAACAGTGCTGAAATATGGGAAAAGCCATGAAATTTAGAGTAACATTACTGCAGATTTGAACTGCAGCTGTACCACTTTTCAACAATGAGAATATAAAGAAGTTACTCAGATTTTGTTTCAGAAATAAGGATGAAAATGCCTGTGTCACAGTTACTAAGATTAAATGAGATTATGCTTTTAAAGTACTCAATGCCTCCCTGCCATGCAAGAATCACGCAATAAATATCAGCAATTACCATGCACTATATTAAAACGTAATACAGAAAACCATGTCATCAAAACAAGTAAGATAATAAACATATCAGACAATGTTGATCTATATATGAAATAAAAATGATATGCGATTGAGTGTGCACACGGCATTCATTGTATACATATCCCCAATTGGTGCATGCAATTGGCCATGCATCTGGAATAAAACAAACTAGATCTCCACCTCACACAATATTTTTTTCTTTTAAGATGGGGTCTCGCTCTGTGGCCAGGCTGGAGTGCAGTGACACAACCTCATCTCACTGCAACCTCCACCTCCAGAGTTCAAGTGATTCTACTGCCTCAGCCTCCCAAGTAGCTGGGACTACAGGCATGCGACACCACGCCCAGCTAATTTTTGTATTTTTAGTAGAGTCAGGGTTTCACCATGTTGGCTGGGATGATCTTGATCTCCTGACCTTGTGATCCGCCTGCCTCGGCCTCCCAAAGTGCTGGGATTACAGGCGTGAGCCACCGCGCCCAACCCACCTCACACTATTAAGTAGACAAATTCCAGGAGCACTAAACATTTAAATACATGCATTTTTTAAAACCCCTAAGGATATTAAAATAATTTTCAGACTATATATTTGTATAGCATTGTGGTGGGGTGATAAGGATCTTATTACACATGACAGGAAACCCAGAAGCTATAACAGAAAAAAACAGGTATTTCTGATTATGTTTCCTAATTATATGTTTAAATAAACCATAAAATTCGACATAAAGATATATAAGAAATTTTTTCAATATGTGATGATAGCTTGCTTGTAATGTTAACTCTAAGCAATCACTAAGCAAAAAAGGCCAAAAAAAAAAATAAAAGAAACTGGAAAAGGTATGAAAATTCAGAGAAAAGGAAGCAAATGGCAATTAACAAAAAGATACCAACTTAACTAAAAGAAAAACGCGTCAGAACAATTAGAGAGAAATTTTCCTTAGAATCATAAAAGCTTTAAAAAAGTAACAGACCAAGCACAATGGATCACTTGAGGCCAGGAGTTCGAGACCAGCCTGGCCAACATGGCGAAACGCTGTCTCTACTAAAAATACAAAAATTAGCCAGGCGTGGTGGCGGGCACTTGAAATCCCAGCTACTCAAGAGGCTAAGACAGGAGAATAGCTTGAACCAGGGAAGCAGAGGTTGCAATGAGCGGAGATCACGGCATTGCACTCCAGCCTGGGCGACAGAGCAAGACTCTGTCTCAAAAAAAAAAGTGACAACATCCACTGTTGGAAAGCATTTAGGCAAATTGCTTTTATAAATTATTGGTTGAAGCTTGAATTGCTATAATGTCTTTTGAGCTATTTAGTCATATCTATTTTTTTATTTTTTTGAGATGGAGTTTCACTCTTGTCGCCCCGGCTGGAGTGCAATGGCATGATCTTGGCTCACTGCGACCTCCGCCTCCCAGGTTCAAGTGATTCTTCTGCCTCAGCCTCCCGAGTAGTTGGGATTACAGGCACCCACCACCACACCCAGCTAATTTTTGTATTTTTGGTTAGAGGTGTTTTTCCATGTTGGCCAGGCTGGTCTCGAACTCCTGACCTCAGGTGATCTGCCCACCTTGGCCACCCAAAGTGCTGGGATTACAGGCGTGAGCCACCAGGCCCGGTCAGTCATATCTAGCAATACACTCAACTGATCCCAATAATATAGTTTTAAATATATAAAGCAGAAACAGAAGAAAGGACAGGTGGACAAATAACTTTTCCAATGTGAGTAGTTTACCTTCCTCAACAAAATAATCTGTGAGGAGATACATAATATATATAACATATGATTAATATCCATAACAATACAAATTAGAGAACATATTACACTCTTTTCATGTAATAGATGTGACATTTATGAAAAATGAGGAAGAACTAGGCCATAAAGCAATTGTTCAACTGAAGCATCACCTACAGACACTAATTGAAACATAAAGTGCACTTCTTTTTTTTTTTTTTTTTTTTGGTGCTCTGTGGCCCAGGCTGGAGTGCAGTGGCAAGATCTGGGCTCACCGCAAGCTCCGCCTCCCGGGTTCACGCCATTCTCCTGCCTCAGCCTCCAGAGTAGCTGGGACTACAGGCGCCCGCCACCACGCCCGGCTAATTTTTTGTATTTTTAGTAGAGACGGGGTTTCACCGTGTTAGCAAGGATGGTCTCGATCTCCTGACCTCATGATCCGCCCGCCTGGGTCTCCCAAAGTGCTGGGATTACAGGTTTGAGCCACCGCGCCCGGCCATAAAGTGCACTTCTAAACAGCTCATGGGTCAAAGAAAAACAATTACTGAAAAAAATTTTTAAACACTTAGATTTGAACAATACGAAACTGCTACACATCAAAACTTGTTAATCTTTATATTACAGGCTGAAATGGAAAGAACTGAACTTTCAACTCAGGTCAGAAAGCAAGCTGATCACAGTCCTCACCGACCACCATAGCTGACCCTACAGGCCCTCAGTCACTGACCACAGACTCCCGTCACTGACCCCCAAACCCCAATCACTCATCCCAAAGAGCCCCATCAATGACCCGAGAAATCCCTGTCACAGACAACCATCAACGGACGTCACAGACCCCCATCACCATGCCCCGAAACCACCATCACTAATTCCACAGACAACTCCTCTATTACTGACTTCACAGAATCCCTAATTGCAACCAACCAAAATCGTCACAGAGACCTCTCGGCATTAAAACGTGAAAATAGTCCTGACGCCAGCGGCGAAATAGCCTTCGGGGACCACTTCCACTTCCGGTCCGACTTCTAGCACCTCCCCTTATGGACTGTTGATATTGCGCATGCTCTAAATTAACTTGGAAGCCAATTTCAGCCCACAGTCAACAGGGAGCACACACATATTTAGAGACATCGTGCAGTTTCCGTAATCGGCGCTCACGGGCAGAGAATATAACCGCGCCCTTATGGTGTTTATTTGTGTGGGTCGCCATCTTTGATGCGTATCGATTCCGTACAGTGGAGGAGTCCGCCTCCTGGAGTGTTGACTAGAGTAAGGCAAGGATTTTCACATAGAATGCAAGACTGTAACCAGTGTGACCACGCTTGTACCCAAGAAGAAGTTCCTGAAGATAGGATCTGGAGCTTTATGTTTTTTTTTGTTTGTTTGTTTGTTTTGAGACAGAGTCTTGTTCTGTCGCCCAGGCTGGAGTGCAGTGGCGCCATCTCGGCTCACTGCAACCTCTGCCTCCCAGGTTCAAGCGATTCTCCTGCCTCTGCCTCCCGAGTAGCTGGGATTACAGGCAAGCGCCACCACACCCAGCTAATTTTTTTGTATTTTTAGTAGAGACGCAGTTTCACGTCTCTACTGGTCACGCTGGTCTCGAACTCCTGACCTCAAATGATCCACCCACCACGGCCTCCCAAAATGCTGGGGTTATAGGCGTGAGCCACCGCCTCCGGCTGTTATATTTACAATACCTAAGTTACCCCTTGGTTACGGCACACTGCAGAAAACAACGATTTACTAGGAGAAACCATGGGGGAACTAGGAAGCCAGGGATCCTGAGAGAAATAAGGGAGATAAGAGGAGGCATCAGGATGGTACAATCTATTTTTTGGAGACACCACTCAGGAGAAGGGTGGACTGGGATCTGAGTTCACTCCTGGGTGAAACCACTAGGCAAGACGGAGTTATGTCACAGTAGGTAGTATCCTGCAGGAAGGGAGGTACAATTTTTAGTAGTTGAAAACACATTAGGAAATAGGGTAGAAGTTGGGTTAGTACAATCCTCTTCTAGGAGATACCATGGAAGAGGGGTTAGAAGTCTAAGCATCCCCTTTGAAACGGCTGGTAGAAGGCTTTGGGAGGTATAGATATTTTAATCCCCTTAATCTCCATCAGCATCCACCCTAGCTAACTCAAGCACAACTATAGTAAGCAGCAACAATAAAAATAATAATAGTCTTGGCTGGTCGTGGTGGTTCATGCCTGTAATCCCAGCACTTTGGGAGGCCGAGGCGGGCACATCACCTTAGGTGGGGAGTTCGAGACCAGCCTGACCAACATGGTGAAACCCCGTCTCTACTAAAAATACAAAATTAGCTGGGCATGGTGGTGTGTGCCTATAATCCCAGCTACTTGGGGGGCTGAGGCAGGAGAATCGCTTGAACCCAGAAGGCGGAGGTTGCAGTGAGCCGAGATCATGCCATTGCACTCTAGCCTGGGCAACAAGAGCAAAACTCCATCTCAAAACAACAACAACAACAACAACAGCACAATAATAATAATAACAGTCTTTAATATGGCCAACGTGTGACTAAAAACACCTGAAGAAAATCTTGCTTTTTTTTTTTTTTTTTTTTTGAGACAGAGTCTCACTCTGTCACCCAGGCTGGAGTGTAATGGCACAATCATGGCTCACTGCAACCTTGACTGCCCAGGCTCAAAAGCAATCCCAGCTGGGCGCAGTGGCTCATGCCTGTAATCCCAACGCATTGGGAGGCCGAGGCAGGTGGATCATGAGGTCAAGAGATCGAGACCATCCTAGCCAACATGGTGAAACCCTGCCTCTACTAAAAATACAAAAATTAGCTGGGTGTGGTGGCGTGCGCCTGTAGTACCAGCTACTTGGGAGGCTGAGGCAGTAGAATCACTTGAACCCAGGAGGTGGAGGTTGCAGGGAGCTGAGATGGAGCCACTGCACTCCAGCCTGGTGACAGAGTGAGACTCCAAAGAACTGGGATTACAGGCGTGAGCCTCCGAGCCCGGCCAGGGAGTTTTGTTTTTTTTTTTTTTTGATTGCAAAGAGATGTTGAATTTTGTCAAATGCTTTTTCTGTTTCTATTGAGATGACCATATGATTTTTGTCCTTCATTCTGTCAATGTGATGTATTGCACATACTAATCTGCATATGTTAAACCATCTTTGCTTCCCTGGGATAAGTCCCACTTGATCATTGTGTATCTTTTTGACATGCTATTGGATTTGGTTTGCTAGTATTTTGTTGAGGATTTTTGCATCTGCGTTTATCAGGGATCTTGGCCTGTAGTTTTCTCTTTCTTCTGTCTTTGCCTGGTTTTAGTATGAGGATGGTGCTGGCCTCACAGAATCAGTTTGGAAAAATTCCTTCCCCTTCAATTTTTTTGGATTAGTTTGAGAAATATTAGAATTTGTTCTCCCTTAAAAGTTTGGTAGAATCAAATCCAAGAAGGGGATGATGAGAACCTCTAATTTTCAGGCAAACTGGGCAGTTGTTGGTAATCAGGTGACCTAGTAGTTGTCATTGGCATCTGAAGAGGTGGGCAGTCTTGTGGGACTGAGCAATTAAACTGTAAGGTCTGTGCTAACTCAGGTTAGTGTCAGAATTGAATTCAATTGTAGGACACCCATGTAGGGAGGGCTGGAGAAGTGGTGTCAGAAAAACTCCACATATTTTGTGTTAAAAACGAAACATTCTGGAAGTATTGAGTGTTGTGAGAGTATATATTTTTAAAACCAGTTTGTTTTTCCTATGCAACTGTATAAAAAGACATATCAAGTCTCACTCCCCCCACCACCCCAATCACTATAGGTTATCACTATAGGTATTGTTTCTGGTTCACGTTTCCAATACTTCTTTTTTCCTATCTTTTCTTTTTTTAGTGAATATAAACAAATGCTTATATCTAATCTAATTTCCTTTTCTTTTTTAGACGAACTATATGTTACACTGTTCTATACTTTCCATTTTTTATATATTCCAGAGTTAATGTCATTCCGTAGAGAGCTTCGTTTTTTTTTTTTTCTGCTGTGTGTGTATGGGCTGCATAAAACTTTATGATGTGACTGTGGTGATTTGAGCTGCTACCTTTATCAAATACTAAGCATCTATGTGGATGTTAATTTCTTTTTTTTTTGAGATGAAGTCTCACTCTGTCACCAGGCTGTAGCGCAGTGGCACAATCTCAGCTCACTGCAACCTCTGCCTCCCAGGTTCAAGCGATTCTCCTGCCTCAGCCTCCCGAGTAGCTGGGACTACAGGCGCGTGCCACCACACCCAGCTAATTTTTGTATTTTTAGTAGAGACGGGGTTTCATCATGTTGGCCAGGATGGTCTCGATCTCTTCACCTCATGATTCACCCGCCTTGGCCTCCCAAAGTGCTGGGATTACAGGTGTGAGCCACCGTGCCTGGCCGGGATGTTAATTTCTTTCTTTCTTTCTTTTTTTGAGACGGAGTTTTGCTCCTGTTGCCCAGGCTGGAGTGCAGTGGCTTAATCTCGGCTCACTGCAACCTCCGCCTCCCAGGTTCAAGCAATTCTCCTGCCTCAGCCTCCTGAGTAGCTGGGATGACAGGCGCATGCCACCATGCCCAGCTTATTTTTTGTATTTTTAGTAGAGATGGGGTTTCATCATGTTGGCCAGGCTGGTCTCGAACTCCTGACCTCAGGTGATCCACCCACCTCGGCCACCCAAAGGGCTGGGCGTGAGCCACCGCGCCCGGCCATGGATGTTTATTTCTCCATTTCCCATCCTCCTCCCTTTGTCTGTCTCTCTAACCACACACAAATAGCACACTGTTTTAAGTATAGAGGCTTTATCATGTACCTCATATAACTTCATGTAACTTCAATTCTACTTTCTGTCTCTATGAATACACCTATTCTAGGCACCTCATATAAGTGGATTCATACAATATTTGTCCTTTTGGTCTGGCTTATCTCACTCCGCATAGTGTTGAAAAAGAAAATAAATGGCTTTTATCTGAGGAATGCAAGCCTTCTTTATGTGATCAAGCCCAGAGAGGGGTTGGGATGACACAGCTGTTGTGGTGGCTCATGCCTGTAATCCCAGCACTTTGGGAGGCCTCGGTGGGAGGATTACTTGAGGCCCGGAGTTTGAAACTAGACTGGGCAACATAACTAAACCCTCTCTCTATAAATTTTTTTTTCAATTAGCCAGGTGTGGTGGTGTACACCAATAGTCCCAGCTACTCAGAAGGCCTAGGCGGAAGGATGCTTAAGTCCAGGAGTATGAGGCTGCAGTGAGCTGTGATCATACCTCTGCATTCCAGCCTGGGAGACAGAGCAAGACCTTGTCTCTAAAAAAAAAAAAAAAAAAAAAAAATGCTGGGTGCAGTGGCTCACACCTGTAATCCCAGTACTTCGGGAGGCCAAGGCAGGCAGATCACTTGAGGTCAGGAGTTCAAGACCAGCCTAGCCAACATGATGAAACCCTGTCTCTACTTAAAAAAAAAAAAAAAAAAAAAAAAAAAAAGGAAAGAAAAATTAGCCGGGCATGGTGGTGGGTGCCTGTAATCTCAGCTACTAGGGAGGCTGAGGCAGGAGAATCACTTGAACCCAGGAGGCAGACGTTGCAGTGAGCCGAGATCCCACCACTGCACTCCAGCTTGGGCAACAGAGGGAGACCCCATCTCAAAATAAATAAATAAAAATTAAAAAAATAAATTAAAAATTAAAAAAAAGAAATGAGTTTTTTCTGCTCTAAAATCAAAAGTTTGCAAGCTGCATTCCTTTCTGGAGGCTCTGGAGAATTTGTTTTTTTTCATTTTCCAAGTTGGAGAAGCTGCCTGCATTCCTCAGCTCATGGGCTCCTTTCATCTTTACACCCAATAATGGCTGGTCGTGTGTTTCTCACAGCACACAATTCCAACACTGACTTTATGCCTTCTTCCTCATTTCAGACCCCATGTGATTACATTGGGTCTAACTGGACAATCCAGTATAATTCCCCTATGTTAAGGTCAGCCGATTAGCAACTTTAATTCTACCTGTTAATTTAATTCCACTTGCCATGTAACATAGCATATTCACAAGTCCCAGGAACTAGCATGTGGGTATTTTGGGGGGAACATTATCCTGCCTACTTTAGATGTTGAGGTCATTCAAGAGGAAAATGATAGTTTTGTTAACATGTGATGTTAGAACAACTGAATTTCCATCTGGAAAATAATAACTTTGAACATTACCTCACATACACAAAAACTAACTTCAAGTGGATGATAGACCAAAAATAAAAACTAAAACTATACAACCTTTAGAATAAAACATAGGAGAAATTCTTCACAACACTAGAGGAGTCAAAGATTGTTAGAAAGACCAGAAAGCATGAAGCACATTTTAAAGATGAGAAATTGGATTTCATCAGAAGTAAAAACTGCTTTTTGAAAGACATCATGAAGAAACTGAGGGCTGGGCACAGTGACTCACACCTGTAATAACACAGTGAGACCCCATCTCCACAAAACACAAGAAAATTAGTTGGGGGTGGTGGTGCACACCTGCAGTCCCAGCTACTCAGGAGGATCGACTAAACCCAGGAGGTCAAGGCTGTGGTGAGCTATGTTAACACCACTGCACTCCAGACTAGGCAACAGAGCAAGACCCTGTCTCAAAAAAAAAAAAAAAAAAAAACTGAGAAGGTAAGCCCCAGGCAGGGAGAGAATATTTGCAATTTGCAATATGTATATTTGGCAAAGGACTTTTACCCAAACATATAAAGAATTGTTACAACTCAATAATAACCAATTTTAAAATAAGAAAATTTTATTTATTTATTTATTTATTATTATTTTTTGAGATGCAGTTTTGCTCTTGTTGCCCTAGCTGGAGTGCAACAGTGTGATCTCAGCTCACAGCAACCTCTGCCTCCCGGGTTCAAGTGATTCTCCTGCAGGGATTACAGGCATGCACCGCCACGCCTGGCCAATTTCGTATTTTTAGTAGAGACGGTGTTTCTCCACGTTGGTCAGGGTGGTCTCGAACTCCCAACCTCAGGTGATCTGCCCGCCTCAGCCTCCCAAAGTGCTAGGATTACAGGCGTGAGCCACTGCGCCCAGCCGAATATTTTCAATAGATGTCACAAAAGAAGATAAAAGAATGGCAAATAAGTATATGAAAGTATGCTAAGTTCATTGACATCAGGAAATGCAAATTAAAAACATAATTTGATACTACTGCTCATTCCTTAGAATAGTCAATAGATGCCTGATGTGGGGTTTGGGAGGTGGGGATTGACTTAACAATGTGGGGGGCAGAGGGCGGTGAATAAAAATATTCTATATCCGCCGGGCGCGGTGGCTCACGCTTGTAATCTCAGCACTTTGGGAGGCCGAGGCGAGCGGATCACGAAGTCAGAAGTTCGAGGTCGGGAGTTCGAGACCAGCCTGTGAGCTCGAACCCTGTCTCTACTAAAAATACAAAAATTAGCCAGGCATGGTGGCGGGCACCTGTAATACCAGCTACTCGGAAGGCTGAGGCAGGAGAATCGCTTGAACCCGGGAGGCGGAACTTGCAGTGAGCCGAGATCTCGCCACTGCAGTCCAGCCTGGGTGACAGCTAGACTCCAACTCAAAAAAAAAAAAAAAAAAATTCTATATCCAGTAACACTAAGGATAAATGCTTGAGGGGATAGACACCCTATTTTACATGATATGATTCTTACGCATTGCATGCCTGTATCAAAACATCTCATGTACCCCATATACAACTACTATGTACCCACAAAAATTTAACTAAAATGCTTAAAAATTTTTTAATTTTAAAAAATATTCTATATCCTGATTACGATGGTGGTGACAAGGGTTTAGACATGCGTTGAAGCTTACCGAACAGTTCACTTAAAATGAGTGCATTTTATTGTATCTAAATTATTCTTCAGTAAAGTTGATTTTTAAAAAACATGCACACAAATATAATTTACAAACTATAACATTAGCTCGTTTATGGTGTACCATTCAGTCACTTTTAGTGTATTCAGAGTTGTGCAAACATCATTATCTAATTCAAGAAGCTTTGCATTACCCCAAAAATGAACCCTTTAGCTATTACCAATCACTCACAGTTCCCCCTAATCCTGCTAGTCCTAAAAAACTCTAACTTACTCCTTTTCCGTAGATTTGACTATTTTAAATATTTCCTATAAATGCAGTCATACAGTATGTGGCTTATCCACGGATGAAGGCAAAAATGACGATTTAGTCAGTCTAGCATTCTCAGAGAGCGTTATAACGCCTAGTACAGTCCGGGGTCCTGGGTGCGTTCTGCACTGAGTCGGCTTGGGGCAGGAAGTCATTTAAGCGACCTCCTTCCACTTGCCCCAGCGCCTCACCCCTTCCTGCTCTAGACTACAGTTCCCAAAAATCCTTGCGGCTCTAGTCAACATCTGGCCCGAAGCTGGCGACCTTTTCCTGTTTCTCAGGGAACTCCCTGGGGTTGGCCGGTACCATGGAGGAAGATTGTCTTCAGCGTGCAGGGCCAGCGTCCTACGGCAGTTTCACTCTGAGCCTGTGTCTGGATCACGGAGACGCGGGGTAGCGGTTCGGAGTGCGGAGCAGGGATGTCCCCGAGCTGTGCAGCTGCAAGAACCCGAAAAAACAGGCGCCATCTTCTCGGCGCGGTCCTACTCCGGACTGTATTTCCCAGAGGCCCCCGCGAGTCCAGGGCAGCCCCTTCATTTGCCTGCTGGACCCTCCGCCTCAAGGGTAGGGGAAGTGCGCGGTGAGCGGCCTGGGTCTTGCAGGCTCGGCTGGGGCCCGCAGGTACGTGCATGGGAGTTTGAAGGGACTGACCAGGCTGGTCTGGAGTGTTGGGCATGTATGAGTGTGTCGGGCATGTATGAGTTGGTCGGGCTGATAGAGGGGGTGGTGGGGAGGCGGGCGCGAGGCGTGGGCTTCCGTGTGTGAGTGTGACCTTATGTGACTGTGCCTCTCTGTGTGCGCGGGTGTGATTGTATATCCTCGTTGTAGTTGTGTAATTGTAACAATGTAAGGCTGTATGTGTAGGTATGACTGTGTCCCGTGTTGGGACTGTGATTGTGTGTGGCTGTGTAACTTTGCGTGACATTTGTGGAGGGTGTTTGTGTGGAGAGAATCTGATGAGGCTGTGACTGTGTGTTAGTCTGAGGGGTGTGTGTAATTGTGTTTGTATGACTGTTAGCAGCACTTAAGTGTACTGGATGCCTTACTGAGTAAATCTACTACCCAGAAATAACCCAGTAACGTGAGAATGTGAGAGTGTGACCATGTAACTTTATGTAGCACTGTGTCTGCGGTTGGAAAGTGCGTGTAATCGTGCCGGGGTGATATGTGTGTCCTAGTGGTCATTGTGTTATTTTGAATGTGTGATTGTGTGTAGTGCTCAATAGGGGTCCTGGGGAGGGGGGAACTGTAACTTTGTGTGGCTCAGTAGTGCGTGTGGTATTGTGACTATCTGTAGCACTCTGGTTCTGAATGGTGCTATGTTTGAGGGGTCTGTAAATATGCTAGTGTAACTTATCCTCAAGGTAGATGTGGGACAATGATTGTGTGACCATATATAGTGTTATTGTTTGGGTGAGGCGTGCCTGTGGAGGTCTATGTGGGTCCCCATGGTGGCTGGGTGACTGCAGCATTGGGTAGGGGGTGCTTGTGACTGTCTTTGTGACTCCAGCTCTCCCTGTGAGGTCAGGACAGATTCTCGAGAGGAGAGACCTCACCCCTCTGATACCAAGAATGCTCATGACAGCCTACACTTCTCTGTTTTTGTTTTGTTTTGTTTTAAGGCGGAGTTTCGCTGTTGTTGCCCAGGCTGGAGTGCAATGGCGCAATCTCGGCTCACCGCAACCTCCGCCTCCCCGGTTCAAGCAATTCTCCTGCCTCAGCCTTCCTAGTAGCTGGGATTACAGGCGTGTGTCACCACGCCCTGCTAATTTTGTATTTTCAGTAGAGACGGGGTTTCTCCGTGTTGGTCAGGCTGGTCTCGACCTCCCCACCTCAGGTGATCCGCCTGCCTTGGCCTCCTAAAGTGCTGGGATTACAGGCGTGAGCCACCACGCCGGGCCGCCTACACTTCTCTGACCTCCCCCATCCCTTCTTCTCTCCATAGATAGTAGCTGTAGATCCAAAATGACCTCTGATCTGCTCAGTCTGGGCCACAAGAAAGGCCTGGCATCTCATCATTCCTTTCTTCTTCAGCTCTGCTCTCGTCAAGAGAGTTACCCAGAGGAAGAATGGCTGTTGACCAAACCAAATACAAGGTGCATTGGGTTTCCTTTTTGCTTCTCTTCTCTGGATAGTCGTGGTTAACATAGAGTCAACAAGTGACCTGGTTCTTACAAGTTTCTATTCAAGAAAATGATGAGAAGCCTTGGAGTGGACTCAGAGATCCCAGTAGTCTGTTACTTCTTTCTACAAAATGTTCACTTATTAATTTAGAAAATAGAACAGTTTTCCCAGTGTACTAAAGTTTTGTTTTTTTAAACACACACACACTCTCCCCTCCTCTGTCTCACACACACCCACCCACACAATTCCAAAGAATTTAGAAAATAGGGAGTTACAAACAGCAAATCTACTACCCAGAAATAACCCAGTAATATTTTGATCTATTTCCTTCTAGTAAGTTTCCTATGCACATATACATTGTTTTCAAGATTGGAATCTTATGACATTTACCATTTCATATCTTGTATTTTCACTAAAAATTATGTATGGTTCTTATATTTGGTTTTCTTTTCTTTTCTTTTTTTTTCTTGAGACGGAGTCTCGCTCTGTTGCCCAGGCTGGAGTGCAGAGGCGCGTTCTCAGCGCACCCAGGCTGGAGTGCAATGGCTAGATCTCAGCTCACTGCAACCTCCCGCCTCCCGAGTTCAAGCAATTCTCCCGCTCCAGCCTCCTGAGTAGCTGTGATTACAGGCACCTGCCATCATGCCTGGCTAATTTTTATATTTTTGTAGAGATGGAGTTTCACTATGTTGGCCAGGCTGTTCTTGAACTCCTGACCTCAGGTGAGGCCTCCCAAAGTGCTGGGTTTACAGGTGTGAGCCACTGCTCCTGGCCTATATTTGTTTTTTTTTTTGTTGTTGTTTAATCCCTTTATATTACGTAATACAGAAAAATAGTTAAAATATAGATGTATAGTTTAAGAAGTAATTATAAAGAGACCCTCAGCATAACAAAAACTTGCTTCAGCAGTCCAGAAAAGCCCGCTAGTCCTTTCCCCAGAATAAACTTATCCTACCTCCCTCTTTAGGCAACACTTATCCTGACTTTGATAATCGTTATTTTCTTCTTGACTTTTTAAAAAAAGTTTTGTTTTGTTTTGTTTTTTACCACATATCTGCTTATCCCTAAACAATATAGTTTAGTTTTGCCTTTTTAACACTATATAAATTAAATTGTACTGTATGATGTTGTTTTGAGTCTTGCCTTTCTTATAAAATACTATATTTGTTAGCCTCACTCTCGCTGCTATACATAGCTGCAGTTCAGACGTTGGTTATTTCCTGTATGACAGGGCTGCTGTGAAAATGTTTTTACAAGTATACCAGCATATATGCATACCTTTCCAGGATATAAGTGTATGAAGGAATTGCTGGGCCATACAGTATGTTTTGCATCTTTAAATTTCCTAGATAATGCTGAACTGATCTACAATATAGTTTTATAAATTAAATTCCTACCGACAGCTTATAAACATTATAGTCATCTTGTATTCTAACACATGGTCATTTGGTATTCTAATCTTTAATGAATCTGCTGATACCATGATATATCATGTTGTTTTAAAAGTATAACATACATTCTGGGGCCAGGCATGGTGACTCATGCCTGTAATCCCAGCACTTTGGGAGGCCTACTGGGCAGATTGCTTGAGCCCAGGAGTTTGAGACAAGCCTGGGCAAGATGGTGAAACCCCATCTCTACAAAAAGTACAAAAATTAACCAGGCATGGTTACATGCTGCTATTGTCCCAGGTATTCAGGGGATAAGGTGGGAGGATTGTTTGAACCTAGGGAGGTTGAGGCTGCAGTGAGCTGCGATTGCACCACTGCCTTCCATCCTGGGCAACAGGGCAAGACCCTGTCTCAAATATATATATATACCATACATTCTGAAAAGTACAAAATCAAGGTATATGACCTGATGACTTGTATAAAAGTGAGCATATTCCGGGCTGGGCGCGGTGGCTCGTGCCTGTAATCCCAGCACTTTGGGAGGCCAAGGCAGGCAGATCATGAGGTCAGGAGATCAAGACCATCTGGCTACGGTGAAACCCCGTCTCTACTTAAAAAAAAAAAAAAAATACAAAAAATTAGCCGGGCATGGTGGCGGCCGCCTATAGTCCCAGCTACTTGGGAAGCTGAGGCGGGAGAATTGTGTGAACCCGGGAGGTGGAGCTTGCAATGAGCCAAGATTGTGCCACCGCACTCCAGCCTGGCCGACAGAGCGAGACTCTGTCTCAAAAAAAAAAAAAAAAAAGAAAAAGCATATTCCTTTGACCAGATCTCAAATCTGATAAGGAAATAAAACATAACTGGCATTACAGAAGCCCAAGTCTTGTCCAGTTCACTCACTACCCACTTCTCCTAAAGAGAACTAATAGTTTGTCTTCTATAGCCATAGACTAATTTTACCTATACTTGAATTTTGCTTGGCTTCTTTTTTTTTCACTTTTTTTTTCCTACTGTCAGTTTCACTTGGAGATGATGCTTGGCTTCTTTTGCTCAATATTGTATTTCGTATGTAATATGAATGTATTCTGTAATAATATGTAGTATAAATATATAAAATTCATCCATGTTGCTGCACGTTAGTTATAGGTGATATAATGAATATAGTGAACACATTATTATTGCTGTTTAAAATTCTGTTGTATGAATATAACACTTTTTTTTGTTTTTGAGACAGTTTCGCTCTTGTTGCCCAAGGTGGAGTACAATGGCACCATCTCTGCTCACCACAACCTCCACCTCCTGGGTTCAAGCGATTCTCCTGCCTCAGCCTCTCAAGTAGCTGAGATTACAGGCGCACGCCACCACACCCAGCTAATTTTTTGTATTTTTAATACAAACGGGGTTTCACCATGTTAGCCAGGCTGGTCTCAAACTCCTGACCTCAGGTGATCCGCCCGCCTCGGCCTCCCAAAGTGGTGGGATTACAGGTGTGAGCCACCGTGCCCGGCCGAATATAACACATTTTACTTATCCATTCCATTACTGATTGGCATTTGATTTCATATTGAGGCTGTTATGAAAAACGCTGCCGGGAACATTCTTTTACATGTCTTTTGGTGCACATATGAATGCATTTGTCTTGGGTGTATTTCTAGGAGTGAAATTGCTGGGTCATGGTTTCTGTATATGTTCAGCTCTAATAGATACTGACAGTTTTCTGAAATAGTGGTATCAATCTATATTCCAAACTGCAGTGTAGACTTTATGACAAGAATAGATTTTACAACAAGAAGCTTTACTAGAGATAAAGAGGAATAGTTTATAATAAAAAGATCAATTCACCAGTAAGATATAACAGTTCTGAATTTATATGCCTTCATAAAATGGCTTCAAATATATTTGACATAACTAAAAGAAGTAGTAGATAAATCACAATCTTAGTGGGGAGTTTTTAGCACTCTTCTCAATAGCTGACAGAACAAGTGACAAACCCAATAAAGCTATATGGTATTTGAACAGTGTGATTGACAAGCTTGACCTGATTGATATGTATAGAACAGTGTACCTTACAACTACATAATATACTTGCTTTTCAAATGCATATGAGACATTTATCCAAATTGATCATATGCTGGGCCACAAAGGGAGTCTCAATAAATTTCAAAGGAATGAAATAATACTGTAACTTTCCTGACCACAGTAGGTTAAGCTAGAAGTCAATAACAAGAAGATAATTGGAAATATCCCAGCCAGGTGTGGTGACTCATGCCTGTAATCCCAGCACTTTAGGAAACCGAGGCAGGAGGATTGCTTGAACCCAGAAGTTTTAGGCCACCCTGGGCAATATAGCAAGACCCCATTTCTAAATTTAAAAAAACAAAAATTAAAGAAATATCCCAATGTTTGGGATTTAAGCAATGTATTTATAAATAACTGGTGACTCAAAGAATAAATTGTGATAGATATTTAAAATATTTTAAACTGAGTGATAATGAAAAATAACATACCAAAATTATGTTTCTAAAGCTGAATATGAGGAAAATATATAGCTGTAAATGCATATGTTAGAAAAAAATGAATGTTGGCCGGGCGCAGTGGCTCACACCTGTAATCCCAGCACTTTGGGAGGCCCAGGCTGGTGGATCACGAGGTCAGGAGTTCAAGACTAGCCTGGCCAAGATGGTGAAACCCCATCTCTACTAAAAATACAAAAAAAAGTAGCCAGGTATGGTGGCGGGCACCTGTAATCTCAGCTACTCAGGAGGCTGAGGCAGAGAGTTGCTTGAACCTGGGAGGCAGAGGTTGCAGTGAGCCAAGATCGCGCCACTGCACTCCAGCCTGGGCGGCAGAGTGAGGCTCCATCTCAGAAAAAAAAAAGAAAAAAATTAATGTTGAAAAATTAATGATCTATGTATTCATCTCAAGAAGCTAAGGAAAAGTCTAGAAAGTTAAACCCCCAAAATTAAAATCTAGGAAATAATAAGAATAAAAGCCCAAATATAAAATTTTTAGTTTATTTGGTATTGCATATATTTAAGGTGTACGTGTTTTGCTGTACATAACGAACATATATTGAAATACAAAATGAATGTACAGTGAAGAAAACTAACAAAGGCAAAAGCTTATTTTTGGGAATTAATAAAATTAATAAATCTCTAACAAAACTTAAAATATGAAGTAACACAAAAATTGCCAATATCTGATAAGAGGAAAATTAAACCAACCACAGACTTAACTTAAAGGCTGAGGGCTCAATTAATTAATTAGTGTTTGGTACCTGGGACTTGGTTCCACAAAATAAGCTCATTGGAATCTGAGCCACTGATCATTATACTGGGTCCCTTTTTATACTTCATTGAACATGTAGATTTTTCTGGTTTTTTGTTTTTTTCTTTTTTTGAGAGACGGGCCTCTCACTCTGTCACCCAGGCTGGAGTGCAGTGGTGCAGTCACAGCTCACTGCAAACTCGACCTTCCAGGCTCAGGTGATTGTCCCATCACAGCCTCCCGGGTAGCTGGGACTACAGACAATGTGCCACCATGCCCAGCTAGCTTTTTTTTTTTTTTCAATGATTTTGTTTTCATTTTAATTGTGGTATAAAAGACAATGTAAAATTTACCATCTTAATCTTTGTTTTTTTTTTTTTAGACGGAGTCTCACTCTGTTGCCCAAGCTGGAGTGCAGTGGCATGATCTCAGCTCACTGCAGCCTCTGCTTTCCGGGTTCAAGCGATTCTCTTGCCTCAGCCTCCTGAGTAGCTGGGATTACAGGTGGGTGCCACCATGCCTGGCTAATTTTTGTGTTTTTAGTAGAGACGGGGTTTCACCATATTGGTGAGGCTGGTCTTGAACTCTTGACCTCGTGATCACCTGCCTTGGCCTCCCAAAGTGGTGGGATTACAGGCATGAGCCACTACGCCTGGCCATCTTAATAATTTTTTTTTTGAGATGAGTTTTGATCTTGTTGCCCAGGCTGAAGTGCAATGGTGCGATCTTGGCTCACTGCAACCTCTGCCTCCCAGGTTCAAGTGATCTCCTGCCTCAGCCTCCCGAGTAGCTGGGAATACAGGCATGTGCCACCAAGCCCAGGTAATTTTGTATTTTTAGTAGAGACAGGGTTTCTCCATGTTGGTCAGGCTGGTCCCGAACTCCCGACCTCAGGTGATCCACCTGCCTTGGCCTCCCAAAGTGCTGGGATTACAGGTGTGAACCACCACACCAAGCTAATCATTTTTAAATGTACATTCCAGTGTTAAGTATATTCATATTGTACAATAGATCTTTAGAACTTTTTCATCTTGCAAACTGAATTATAACTATTAAGCTACAATGTCCCATTTCCCTCTTTCCCCAGCCCCTGGCAGCCACTGTTCTACTTTCTGTTTCTATGAGTTTGACTACCTTAGATACCTCTGTAAGTGGAATCATTTATAATAGTATTTGTCTTTTTGTGACTGGCTTCTTTCCAGTCACAATACCCCAAGATAGAAAGGGGATTCACTGCAGTTAGTCAGTAGACACACACAAACCCAAGTAGTAACGGGATACAATATAATAATGAATTAGTTGAATGCTTTGATAAATTAGTTTGACATGTTACTTTTTATTATCATTCAGTTTAAATTTTTTTTTTTTTTTTGAGAAGGAGTCTCGCTCTTGTCACCAGGCTGGAGTGCAATGGTGCGATCTCAGGTCACTGCAACCTCCGCCTCCTGGGTTCAAGCGATTCCCCTGTCTCAGCCTCCCAAGTAGCTGGGACTACAGGCGCGCACCACCATGTCTAACTAACTTTTTTTTTTTTTTTTGTATTTTAGTAGAGACGGGGTTTCACCATGTTGCCCAGGATGGTCTCGATCTCCTGACCTCGTAAAATATTTTTAACTTCCATTGCAATTTATTCTTTGAACCACCAGTTATTTATAAATACATTGCTTGAATCCCTGACTTAGCATAATGTCCTCAGGGTTCAAACATGTAGCATGTGACAGGACTTACTTTTTTGTAGTTGTTTATTTGTTTTAATATGCTTTATTTTTTAGGGTACTTTTAGGTTCACAGTAAAATTGAGCAGAAGGTACAGAGATTTCCCATACACGTCTTTCCCCCACACGTATGGTCTCCCCCATCATCAACATCCTCCACCAGAGTGGTACATTTATTACAACTAATGAACCCACATGGACACTCAGAGTCTATAGTTTACATTAGGGTTCACTCCTGGTGTTACACATCCAGGGGTTTGGACAAATGTGTAATGACATTTATCTCCATTATGATGTCATCCACATTAATTCCATTGCTCTAAAAGGCCTCTGTGCCCTGACTGATCCTCCCTCCCTGTCAACTCCTAATCTTTTTATTGTCTCCATAGTTTTGCCTTTTCCAGAATGTTGTAATCATACAGTATGTAGTCTTTTTGAATTGGCTTCTTTCACTTAGCAATGTGCATTTAAGTTTCCTAAGCTGTTGATCATGAGACTGAGTCCCTTTTTATACTTCAACAGACATGTAAGTTTCTATTTTTAATATAGATTTTAATTTTTGTAAGTTCATTTATTGGACAAGATGTGTGCTTTAAATTTTTGCATGGTGAAATCTGCAGTTTCACTATAAGATATATTGACCTGGGGTAGTCGTATTTTTAAAATTTATTTATTTATTCTTTTTTTGAGATGTAGTCTTGCTCTGTTGCCAGGCTAGAATGCAGTGGTACGATCTCAGCTCACTGCAACCTCCGCCTCCTGGTCCTCCTGCCTCAGCCTCCCAAGTAGCTGCGACTACAGGCGTGCGTCACCATGCCCAGCTAATTTTTGTATTTTTAGTAAAGACAGAATTTCACCATGTTGGCCAGGATGGTCTTGATCTGTTGACCTCGTGATCTGCCCGCCTCGGCCTCCCAAAGTGCTGGGATTACAGGCATGAGCCACTGCACCCAGCCAGGCTTTTTTTTTTTTTTTTTTTTTGAGACAGAGCTTCGCTCTTGTTGCCCAGGCTGGAGTGCAATGGCGCAATCTCGGCTCACCGCAACCTCCGCCTCCCAGGTTCAAACGATTATCCTGCCTCAGCCTCCCTAGTAGCTGGGATTACAGGCATGTACCACCACGCCCGGCTAATTTTGTATTTTTAGTAGAGACGGGGTTTCTCTGTGTTGGTCGGGCTGGTCTTGAACTCCCGACCTCGGGTGATCAGCCTGCCTCGGCCTCCCAAAGTGCTGGGATTACAGGCATGAGCCACCGCGCCCAGCCATCCGGCCAGGCATTTTTTAAAAAACTTAAATCTCCCTTGTTAATATCACTATATAATTATTAGGGGTTTAATATTGCTAATAGAATGTTTACTTCCTAGGCGATACCAGCCCTGCAGGGCCTGTGGGATTTTCTCTTTGTGTGTGGAGACGAGAGATTGTAGAAATAAAGACCCAAGACAGAGATAGAAGAAAAGACAGCTGGGCCTGAGGGACCACTATCACCAAGACACAGAGACCGGTATTGGCCCCGAATGCCTGGTCGCGCTGTTATTTATTGTGTATAAGGCAAAGGGGCAGGGTATGGAGTGAGAGTCATCTCCAGTGATCGGTAAGGTCGCGTGAGTCACGTGTCCACCAGACAGGGGGCCCTTCCCTATTTGGTAGCCGAGGCAGAGAGAGAGAGGGGACAGTTTACGTCATAATTTTTTAAATGTATTTTAAAGACTTTAGTTTTGTTACTGTCAAACAAAATTTGTAACTAATTTTGTTACTGTTATTTAGAAGGCAGAGCCAGGTGTACAGGGCGGAACATGAAAGCGGACCAGGAGCGTGACCGCTGAAGCACAGCATCACAGGAAGACAGGCCTCTGGATGGCTGTGGGCGGGCCTGACTAACGTCAGGCGTTTTTACAAGAGATGGTGGAGCAGAGTGTTTTTTAACTCCCCCAGGGAAAGGGAGACTCCTTTTCCCGGTCTGTTAAGTAACGGGTGCCTTCCCAGTTACTGGCGCTACCGCTAGACCAAGGTCGGCTAAGTAACAGGTGCCTTCCCAGGTACTGGCGTTACCGGTAGACCAAGGAGCCCTCTAGTGGCCCAGTCTGGGCATAACAGAGGGCTCGCATTTTTGTTTTTTGGTCACTTTTTATCGTGTCCCTTTAGTTTTTATCTCTGTACTGTGTTCCTTTAGTTTCTATCTCTGTATGGCTTGGGTTTTTTTAGGTTATAATTGTAGAACAAAGATTATTATTGGAATAAAGAGTAATGCTACAAACTAATGATTAATATTTATATATAATTATAATTTATTTTTAGTATAACTATTTTTATTCTATATATTTTCTTTATTATACTAAAACAGCTTGTGCCCTTGGTCTCTTCCCTTAACACCTGGGTGGCTTGCCGCCCAGAGTATGCAATAAGCTCTCATTTGGAACATTCAGCTAATTTGTTATTTTATTGTATCCCATTTCTACTTGGTTTTGTGTGTGTCTACTAACTGCAGTGAATCCCCTTTTCATCTTGGGATATTGTGTGAGGCCACTGTTGTGATGGGTCCTTCTGGCTTTGGTACAGTTTTTCCTTTTTCTGGGACTAACTGGCTTTTTCAAAGTTCCCGAGTTTATTCTTTTTGTCTTGGGTAGATGGAAACAAGCCACTAATACTAGAACTATAAAAAACAGGATAAGAAAAGAACACATATATAATCCTTCTCTAATTATTGTATGTAAAAAAAAATTATTTTATTCGCCCACCTTTTTTGTGCACTTTATAACAATTTTTTTCTTACATATTATTATGGACTTAGAGCATTTCATAGCTATTTCAACTGACTGATAGCTGTTAAAGACTCTATCACAGTGTGGAGGAGTGGCAGAAGTATTCTGTTTATTGTTGTGTAAGTTTTCATTAGTTGGCTAATGGGATCCCCTTTTAGGAGACTCTTAAAAGGAGTTCTTTCAGCACAGATATTTTTAAAAACAGCCTCACCTTTTGGCAATGGCAAAAGGTTGAATTTTTTTTTTTTTTTTTTTTTTTTGAGACAGAGTTTTGCTCTTGTTGCCCAGGCTGGAGTGCAATGGCGTGATCTCGGCTCATTGCAGTCTCCACCTCCTGGGTTCAAGTGATTCTTCTGCCTCAGCCTCCCGAGTAGCTAAGATTACGGGCATGTGTCACCATGCATGGCTAATTTTGTATTTTTTTTTTTTAGTAGAGACGGTTTCTCCATGTTGATCAGGCTGGTCTCGAACTCCCGACCTCAGGTGGTCTACTTGCCTCAGCCTCCCAAACTGCTGAGATTACAGGCTGTGAGCCACTGCACCCAGCTTTTTTTTTTTTTTTTTTGAGTCAGAGTCTCACCCTGTCACCCAGGTTGGAGTGCGATGGCACAATCTCAGCTCACTGCAACCTCTGCCTCCCAGGTTCAAGGGATTTTTGTGCCTCAGCCTCCCAAGTAGCTGGGATTACAAGCATATATATATATGTGTGTGTGTGTGTGTGTATATATATATATATGTATATATATGTGTGTATATATATGTATGTATATGTGTGTGTATATATATGTATATATATATGTGTGTGTATATATATGTATATATATGTGTGTGTATATATGTATATATGTGTGTATATATGTATATATATGTGTGTGTATATATATATATATATTTTTTTTTTTTTTTCAATAAAACAGAGCTAGAAGAATTAGTGCCTGCATCCCTGTGTGTTTAGGGGTGGATGCGGGTGTTGTGTGTGTGCATGTGGTGAGTGAAGTTGACTTTTTGAGGGTTGAGAAACAAAAAGACTTGATTAGGGAAGTCTTTGGTCTTTCTGATCTGAGTGCACTGTGTTCCTGGCCAAAGGGCACCATTTGTGTGAGTCTGGTTTGGGGACCTGAGGGCTGCAAAGGAGGTCATGGTAGCTCAGTCTTGGGTCATAGTAGGTCATTAGCTCAGGGCAGACCATAATAGCTCAATCATGGGTTCAGAGCAACATCACTGAGGTGGGACAAGGTCTGGCCCGAATCCGTTGGCTAAGGCAGGAACTTAGGTTGTTTGCATGAGGGAGAATGAATCTGAGTCCTTGTCTTGCTGCAGCTAAAGCCTGAGGTTTGTAGGATTGAGGAAGGAGTAGGATTTGTTCCATATTCCTACTAACTGGAGTTGTATCTCAAGACCAAGAAATATGGAGGTGGTTTTATCTGACCTCTAGTGTGATTTCTAGAGGGTTTTACTTCCCCAGTCATGCAACCTCAGAACACTGTCCTTTTTCAGGAGAACGGCCTCAAGGAAGACTAACCATCTGCAATACTAGAAGCCATGGCTGAGGTGAGTTGATGCTTTTTCTTGCCTTCCTGACATTTAGTTTAAAAAAAAAAAAAAGACATGAGCATTTGCTTTCCTTATCCTGACATTTCTGGCTAACAGAGTTCCCCTTCAGAATCCTTGTCCCCATTTTTTCTTAGCTAGATAATCCTATACCATCTCTAAGTATCCCTTTTATTTTTATAAATCAACCAGCATTAATATTTTCATTCCGTAAATACCTGAGCATCTCTTTTTCTGAACTCTTTCCCAAGGACTATGATAGGGGATGAATTATCTCAAGGAAGCAAGAATAGATTTGTAAAATGAAGTTACCCTGTCTGGACCATTATTTGATGAGTTGAAGGTGTGAGTTACTTAGCTGGAAATATAGACAAGCCAAGATTATCTCTACAGAGTAGCATTCTCCAGTAAGATAGGATGAAGTGTGGTGCTGGTAGTTCCAAATGTTGGATTGTTGCAAGATCTGGTTTAGGCACCTTTGGGGATCATGGGGTTGGTGGCTGATACAGAGCTCTGCAACTCTGTAAGAACATCCTGGAGAGAAGTCCAATTTCAGGTTGGATAGGAAGTTTGGATTGTAAGGAATTTCTGTGAATCATTGAGTTTTCTGTATCTCAGAATTAAGGATAGTGATAATGGATGTTTACAATGGTTCAGCCAATGCATAAGTCATGTGGATCACACTGTCAGAGCTCAGAAGAACCTTTTAAGTCTTATCCAGTAATATCTGTATTGTAGAAAATTCTACCAGAAAAATAATTATTAAAGAATTTGTAAAACGCCAGGTGCAGTGGCTCATGCCTGTAATCTCAGCACTTTGGGAAGCAGAGGCAGGCGGATCACCTGAGGTCAGGAGTTAGAGACTGGGCTGGCCAACATGGTGAAACCCCATCTCTACTAAAAATACAGAAAATTAGCCAGGTGTGGTGGCACATTCCTGTAGTCCCAGCTACTTGGGAGGCTGAGGCAGGAGAATCCTTGAACCTGGGAGGCAGAAATTGCAGTGAGCCAAGATCACACCACTGTACTCCAGCCTGAGCAACATCTCAAAAAAATAAAAATAAATAAAATAACTTTACATATAACTTTATATATCTTTTTCGTAGCTTTGATTGATGCTCTAAGATCACATGGGGGTAGTTTAGAATATATTAGATGAAGGACAGCTTTGGACATAACACAGACCAAGAGTTGAGAACTTTTGCATCAGGCACAAGCAAACTGATTATAGTTGTGTTATACCAGATCATGTAGCTGCTGTGTAACGTGACCTTAAATAGTCTTCCTGCATAGGACGAGCAAAAGGGGATGATTCATCAATAGGATAGAGATTTAAGACATTCTCTGGCTACCCCTTGCATTGTTAGGTGATGTCTTTTAGCAGAATTATGAAGACCTTTTTCTCCCTTAATAAAGGAGAAAAACTGATGGCCTGAGAAATCTTTCTCTGCTTTTCAATTTTATGAATTTTTTCAGAAGTTATAAGACTATTACTGAATTTTTACTTATTTGATAAACATTAACTATTTTTGTTTTGGTCAGATAAATTATTGACAAAACTAATTAGTATTTTTTTATAAGTAAAACATTTTCCTTTTTTCCTCAAAAAGGTTTTTTTGTTTTTTTTTTTTGAGACGGAGTCTCACTCTGTCGCCTAGGCTAGAGTGCAGTGGCACGATCTCGGCTCACTGCAACCTCCGCCTCCCAGGTTCAAGCAATTCTCTGCCTCAGCCTCTCGAGTAGCTGTGACCACAGGCCCCTGCCACCACGCCTGGCTAATTTTTTCGGTTTTAGTAGAGACTGGGTTTCATCATGTTGGCCAGACTGGTCTTGAACTCCTGACCTCGGGATCCACCCACCTTCGCAAAGTGCTGGGATTACAGGTGTGAGCCACCATGCCCGGCCAAAAATGTTTTTTTCACGTAGGTCTATATAGCTAACTGGTAGACCAGAGAATTACCTCATCTTATTTTGGTTTTATACCAATAAAATATATCTTGGATACTCAATAAATAAATACTCAAAAAATAAAAAAATAAGGTCATGATGCATAATTTTATTAGGATGCACATCGTATCTGGTTCTCTTTCTTTTTGTAATATTACCAGTTATTGATAATTTTTAGATTCATTCACTAGGGGTTACAAGTGATCTTTTAATTCTGTCATTCTTCCTTCATAGATTAAGTGGAATACGTCTATCTATAAAGTAAAACTTTCCCTCATCAATTGTTTGGTTACCCTGAAGGACAGTTCATATAGGAAAGAAGAATGTTTGATTCTTTCCATTTAATTACCAGTTTTCCAAATAATGAGTTGGCTTCTTAGACTTGTCCAAAAGTGACCAATAATGTTTTAAAATAGTGTTGTGAACTCATGGATTAAACATTTTTAATATGATCAGTCCGTTGCAGTTGTCCATATAATTTGATGTGCAACCAATCCTAGTGAACACGTATTATTCTCTTTTATAATGCTATTGTATTATATTCTCTTATTTTTTTTTTAATCCTCTTGATTTCTCTGCAGAAAATAGGGAAATTCATCAAACACAATGGAAAGTTTCCTTGGAAGATTATTATCTAGTCACACTTGCATACAGTCCCCTCTTACAGCATTCTACAGTTTGGGATTTTGTTTGTTTGTTTATTTGTTTTTGTATTTATTTATTTATTTATTTATTTATTGAGATGGAGTCTTGCTCTGTCGCCCAGGCTGGAGTGCAGTGGTGATATCTCAGCTCACTGCAAGCTCCGCCTCCTGGGTTCAAGTGATTCTCCTGCTTCAGCCTCCCGAGCAGCTGGGATTACAGGCGCGTGCCACCACGCCCAGCTAATTTTTTTGTATTTTTAGTAGAGACAGGGTTTCACTGTGTTAGCCAGGATGGTCTTGATCTCCTGACCTCATGATCTGCCTGCCTTGGCCTCCCAAAGTTCTGGGATTACAGGCGTGAGCCACTGCGCCCGGCTGTTTTTATTTTTTTTTTGGGATGGAGTCTTGCTCTCTTGCCCAGGCTGGAGTGCAGTGGTGCCATCTTGGCTCACTGCAACCTCCGCCTCCCAGGTTCAAGCGATTCTGCTGTCTCAGACTCCCGAGTAGCTGGGACTACAGGCGCACACCACCACAACTGGCTAATTTTTGTATTTTTAGTAGAGACAGGGTTTCACCATGATGGTCAAACTGGTCTTGAACTCCTGACCTCGTGATCCGCCCGCCTCAGCCTCCCAAAGTGCTGGGATTACCAGTGTGAGCCACCACACCGGGCCTGGGATTTGTTTTTAATCCTATGGGAAATGTCCTAATAGGGCTTTGGCATATCTTTGTTCCAATTTCTACATTGAGGAGGGGAAGAAGCTTTCTTTTTATTAAATAAAATACACATCTTTTTATTTTTTTAAAATTTTATTTATTTATTTTTTCGAGACGGAGTTTCGCTTTTATCGCCCAGGCTGGAGTGCAATGGCGCAATCTCTGCTCACTGCAACCTCCACCTCCCAGGTTCAAGCGATTCTCCTGCCTCAGCCTCCCAAGTAGCTGGGATTACAGGCATGTGTCACCACGCCCAGCTAATTTTGTATTTTTAGTAAAGACGGGGTTTCTCCATGTTGGTCAGGCTGGTCTTGAACTCCTGACCTCAGATGATCCACCCACCTCGGCCTCCCAAAGTGCTGGGATTAGAGGCATCAGCCACCACGCACGGCCCACATCTATTTTATTAAATAGGTGCCTCAAGCATTAGTTGCTAATGAAACAGAAATACAAATGAAACATCTAAATATCCAAATACCACATTTTCTCTAGATTTCCCCCAAAATGTGCCTCATCTCCCTGTA
Source organism: Homo sapiens (assembly GCF_000001405.40). Classification (NCBI taxonomy): domain Eukaryota; kingdom Metazoa; phylum Chordata; class Mammalia; order Primates; family Hominidae; genus Homo; species Homo sapiens. The sequence continues at coordinate 37,234,295 of NC_000019.10, forward strand.
CTTTTACATAATATTTCTAGTATCTTCATTTTGTTAGTTTTGCAATGTCACTGTCAAGATAGAATTATTTGATGGCTTAAGACAACTTTTATTTTATTTTATTTTATTTTTTGAGACAGAGTCTTGCTCTGTTGCCCAGGCTGGAGTGCAGTGGCGCGATCTCGGCTCAGTGCAAGCTCCGCCTCCCGGATTCACGCCACTCTCCTGCCTCAGCCTCCTGAGTAGCTGAGGACTACAGGCGCCCGCCACCACGCCTGGCTAATTTTTTTGTATTTTTAGTAGAGACAGGGTTTCACCGTGTTAGCCAGGATGGTCTCGATCTCCTGACCTCGCGATCAGCCCGCCTTGGCCTCCCAAAATGCTGGGATTACAGGCATGAGCCACCACGCCCAGCCAACTTTTGTAAGATTTTCAAACTCTAAATTTATAAATCCTATTACAAAAAAAAATTATAATAATTTGACGTGCAAGTTGTAACAGTATTGGTCAGTGGGAGTATCTTCAAGTTGCCTCCTAGTCTTATCAGCATGATCCTAACAGTTTTTGGTTGCTTTCTTGCTTTTTGGTATAACAAGACGTTCAGACTCATCCTGTGCATTTTGTAAAAGTTGCTCTTGTGGATTTCGTGAAATCAGTTCTTTTCCCAAAGAACCTTGGTTTCTTTTATTTGAAAATGATATTTAGAAACCACAATCTAGGCTGGGTACAGTGGCTCATGTCGTAATCCCAGCACTTTGAGAGGCTGAGGCGGGCAGATCACCTGAGGTCAGGAGTTCGAGACCAGCCTGGCCAACATGGTGAAACCCTGTCTCTACTTAAAATACAAAAATTAGCTAGGTGTGGTGGTGCGTGCCTGTAATCCCCGCTACTCGGGAGGCTGAGGCAGGAGAATTGCTTGAACCCAGGAGGCGGAGGTTGCGGTGAGCCGACATCATGCCACTGCACTCTAGTCTGGGTGACAAAAGCGAATTTCTGTCTCAAAAAAAAAAAAAAAGAAAAGAAATCACAATCTAGACTCTAGGGATGCTCGTTGCTACTGGATTAGTCATTATTTCTAGGCCGTTTCAATGGACAGAGTCAGGAATTTGTTTAATATAAACTTCCTACTCTTGCATCTATTTCTGAAATCTAAAGATACAGGTTCTCAGTGACACCAATATAATGACTCATTTTGTATTACCCCACAATACAAGCATCGTAGTCTCTGATACATTTTTTTAATTACACAAGTAATACGTATGTTTATTGTTTCAGGGATCAGTGATGTTCAGTGATGTGTCCATAGACTTCTCTCAGGAGGAGTGGGACTGCCTGGACCCTGTTCAGAGGGACTTATACAGAGATGTGATGTTGGAGAACTACGGCAATCTGGTTTCAATGGGTAAGGGCATCTGTACCAGTGATTCCCAGTTCTCCTCTGGAATGTCTCCTTCTTCCACAGTGAATTTCTCAGCTGCTTTTCAGGTTACTAGCTGAATTTCTATTCTTTATTACCAAACAAATGGTTTGAGCTGAAATGAAAAGGAAGAGTGGGAAATTGGCAACTCCAGTGGGCTGTGGTTGAAGCTTCATCTTCATCTTTCTTTGGCTGTTCCTGTAGTGGCATCTCTTCCTGTGATCATCAAGGGACTGGATCTCCTTTACCCCCAGCATAACCATGTTCCATATCTTTTCTCGTGAGCAGGACTTTACACTCCTAAGCCTCAAGTGATCTCCTTATTGGAACAAGGGAAAGAGCCCTGGATGGTTGGCAGAGAGCTTACAAGAGGCCTGTGTTCAGGTAAGTGAGAAATGACCGGACAGGAGAAAGTCACGATAGGTCAGAACTCAGCTGGTCAGGGAGGAAACAGCACCTTTGAGATGTTATCCCTGAAGCTCCCATCAAGAAACTAGGCCAGTGGAGAAAATGAAGTCCTTTTAGCATAGTTGTTAAATAACCTGTTTCGCCCTTTTCCTCACTTACCACTATTTCTACTACTCCTCTCCAATCCTCCTCTTAATTTCAAGCAGAAGGTACCTTTTACTTCTCTAAAAAAAACCCTATTTTACCCGTATTTTAGATTCAGCTGCTTGCTAGCTTTTTTTACTCTCTCTCTTTTTTTTTCTTTTTTTTTAAAGGGTCTGGCTCTGTCACCCAGGCTAGAGTGCAGTGACATGATCATAACTTATTGTAGGCTCAAACTTCTGGGCTTAGGCAGTCTCCCTGCCTCAGCCTTCCAAGTGGCTGGGACCGTAGGCCTGTGCCACCATGCCTGGCTAATTCTTTTTCTTCTTCTGCATTTTTTTTTTTTTTTGAGACGGAGTCTCGCTCCGTCGCTCAGGCTGGAGTGCAGGGTGCGATCTTGGTTCACTGCAACCTCTGCCTCCCGGGTTCAGGCGATTCTTCTGCCTCAGCCTCCTGAGTAGCTGGGACTACAGGCGCATGCCACCATGCCCAGCTAATTTTTGTATTTTTAGTAGAGGTGGGGTTTCACCATATTGGCCAGGCTGTTCTTGAACTCCTGACCTCATGATCTACCCGCCTCAGCCTCCCAAAGTGCTGGGATTACAGGCATGAGCCACCGCGTCCGGCCCCTCTTCTGCATTTTTTAGACTTGTACAGGTGTTTTCTACTACCACTCCCCAAAATAATATAATTGCGTCTGTATACACACATGTGAACACACACACACACACACACACACACACACACACACACACAGAGACACACACACACACACCCCTTGCCCAAGTACTGGTCTTCATTATAGCTGCCTGTCAGTGACCTGTTTTATCAGACTGTCTTCAATGTTTCCTTTATGGAACGTTTTTTAATTTCCTGGTTTGTGTAAGGGAATCTTCCAGGTGCTACAGTTTACTAATTGTGTTACCTTTACAAATTCAAGGTCCAAAAGTGGTGCTAAAATATATACATATATGACTTCCACAAAGTAGAGTAGTATAAAAGAGAAATGAGATAAGGAGTTTAGCAGAAAGTCAAAGGCTAACTATGTAGAAGTGGAATTAATCCCTATTGAAGTAGTAGGTGGAGCCTTGGAAGTGACTGCAATCACTATGTATAGAGATATTGTTGGGGCCAAGAAAAAAAAAGGATCTGTGCCTATATTAAAAAGGAAGAGGTGGCAGAGCAGGAGAGATTTGGGATGAAGTAGGAGAACCAGAAGAGTACTTATTGAGCACTACTATGTACCAAGCATTGGTCCAAGGGCTGGGACTGTAGTATTCATGAAGGCATTCTAAAGTTCTGCACTTCTGAAGCCTACATTCTAGAGGGTAAGAGAGAAAATGTCTTAGTCCATTTTGTGCTGTTACAGCAGAATACCTCACATCGAGTAATTTATAAAGAACAGACATTTATTTTCTCATAGATCTGGAGGCTAAGAATTCTAAGATCAAGGCACTGTCATCTGATGAGGGCCTTCTTGCATCTTCGTGTGGCAGAAGGCAGTAGGGCAAGAGAGCCAACTCCTTCCATCAAGCCCCTTCGTAAGAGCACCGAAACCCATCCTTGAGGGATGGGTCCTTGAAGCCCGATCATCTCTTAAAGGCCTCACCTCTTCGTTTTTGGAATTTTTTTTTTTTTTTTGAGACAGGGTCTCACTCTGTCACCCAGGCTGGAGTGCAGCGGCACAATCATGGCTCACCACAGCCTCAACCTCCCGGGCTCAGGTGATCCTCCCACCTCAGCCTCCCGAGTAGCTCGGCCCACAGGCACACGTCACCACGCCCAGCTAATTTTTCTATTTTTTGTAGAGACAGGGTTTCGCCATGTTGCCCAGGCTGGTCTCTAACTCCTGGGTTCAAGCGATCCACCCACCTTGGCCTCCCAAAGTGCTAGGATTAAAGGCTTGAGCCACTGTGTCTGGCCCCCACCTCTTAATACTATCACATTGGCAACAGCTGAATTTTGAAGGAGAGACATTCAAACCATAGCAGAAGATAAACATGAATGTCAAGTATATATGTATAAAACAATATTAGCATGACATTAATATTATATGATATATAAATATTTTTAGAATTATATATCACTTACATTTATCTACATGTAACTAATATATTGGTATAGTATAAATATATATCATATATTAATAATATTTCTATATTATTATATGTCCATGTGTATATGAAATGTCAGGTGGTGGGTGATAGATAAGTGCTGTGAAGAGAGGCTAGAGAGGGCCTCTCTGATGAGGTGTTCTTTTAGTGAAGACTTGAAGGAAGTGAGGGAACAGGTAATGTAAATATCTGCTAGGAGAGATTCAGGCAAAGGGAACAGGAAGAGCCAAGTACTCGAGTTCAGAGCTTTTTGGCAGCCACCATTATGGCTGAAATTGAATGAGCAAAGCGGGAATTGTAGAAGAGGAGATCAGGAAAGTAGCAGGCTTATGAGTGTTTGCATGCTGGGTGCAGGTCAGGATGGGAGTTGGATGTACCTGTAGATGATTTTGGGTCTTGTGGACCTTGAATTTTACTCCGAATGAGGTGTAAATCCATTGAATGATTTAGCAGAGTGATATTATCATGTTTGCAAAGGATCATTCTTGCTCTAGGGGTTCCTAACTTTGGATTCCTTTAGGTAGAATTCAGGGAGTCCATGAACTTGGATGAGAAGAAAAAAATACATCTTTTTGGTTTTTTTTGAGACGGAGTCTCACTCTGTCACCCAGGCTTGAGTGCAGTGGTGTGATCTCAGCTCACTGTAGCCTCCACCCCGCAGGTTCAAGCGATTCTACTGCCTCAGCCTTCTGAGTAGCTGGGATTATAGGCGCCTGCCACTGCGCCCGGCTCATTTTTGTATTTTTAGTAGAGATGGGGTTTCACCATCTTTGCCAGGCTGGTCTTGAACTTGTGACCTCATGATCCACCTGCCTTGGTCTCCCAAAGTGCTGGGATTACAGGCATGAACCACTGTGCCCAGACCAAAAATACATCTTTATATTTAATAACCTCTAATTGAGATATAACATTTCTTCCTATCGTGATGTATGGGACAAACCATAGTAGCAGTAGTAGTAGTAGTAGTTACTGTGACTTTGACATTAATGGAAATCACAGATACGTTCATATTATTTTACTGTTATTGTAGGCATATTGAAATATTTATGCTCATCACTACTTCAGAATTAATGTAGTACTAGGCTTGCCACTAGGTCTTGTTTAATGTTTTACTAGAGAAGAAAACTCCAGGCAGAGAGAAGAACCCCTGTGAAGGTTCTGATGGGGAAAAGCTTGGTGTGTTTGAAGGACTAAATGCCAGTGTTGGTGGGCCCCATGATCAAGTGGGAGTGGAGTGTGAGTCAGGGTTTGGATAGACAGGCAGGAGCCACAGCATTCAGCCTTTGCAGGAGATTGTAAGGAGTTCGGACTTTGAGCAGTGGAAACCTAAGCCAAATGATACTATTCCCTGAATAGATTAAAGGGTGAGAGAGCTTGGTGGGGAGACTGGTTGAGGAGGCTACTTCACTGGTCTGGGTAAGAGTTGATTCTGGTTTGGAAGATGACATTGGCAGTGGAAGACAGAAGAGGGCAGTTTCAAAACTTTACTTGGGAGCTTAACTAGATGAAAGTTACTGCAAGATCTGCCGGGCGCAGTGGCTCACGCCTGTAATCCCAGCACTTTGGGAGGCCGAGGCGGGAGGATCATGAGGTCAGGAGATTGAGACCATCCTGGCCAACATGGTGAAACCCCATCTTTCCTAAAATACAAAAAAATTAGCCGGGCGTGGTGGTGCACGCCTGTAGTCCCAGCTACTTGGGAGACTGAGGCAGGGGAATCGCTTGAACCCTGGAGGTGTAGGTTGCAGTGAGCCGAGATCACACCACTGCACTCCAGCCTGGCAACAGAGTGACACTGCGTTTCAAAAAAAAAAAAAAAGTTATTGCAAGAGCATATAGAGATAGGAGGAGAAAGATTGTGTTGGAATGAATTCCCTGTTCCTGTTTTGAGATACTCCAATAGGCTTCATTTTGATATCTTCAAACCATTTAATTTGCCTAATATCCCCATTTTTAGTAAGAAATTGTTTCATAATACCTGAACACTTTACTCCAAAACATGTATATACATTTTCCTGTAACCCCCCAGTAATCATGAGTTAAGGATTATTGCCCTTTTACAGATGAAGAAATGGTAGCTTAGAGATTAAATAATTGCTTGTGAGCACACAACGATTAAGTATCAGAATTGGCAGTCAGCTCTCATCAATCTGCTTCTGGTTCCTGTTATCTTTCTATGGCAGTATGTTGTACTGTGTCTTAGTTTCTTTCCATCTTCCTTAAACTTTAGCTCCTTCTCTCTCATTCACTGTGGTGGTACATAAGCAAGTCTCCTCTCCCCTAAGATCAGCATCTCAAAATTCCAAGGCAAACAATATTTCCATTGAATCCCCAGCACATAAAATAATTCTGAGTTTTCCTATCTGCCACTTACACACCTACATCAAATTAGTTCAATACATTAGACTTACATCTGTCTCTTCCCTCATGTGAATAACCCGCTGTTACCAATTCCTTTTTTTTTGTTGTTTTGAGATGGAGTCTCACTCTGTCACCCAGGTGGAGTGCAGTGGTGCGATCT